>NC_000006.12:55871153-56516836 GCF_000001405.40 Homo sapiens
TTTAACTTGTACTGGTATTTAATACATATACTAACACTTAGCACTTTTGACAAAGAGATGGTTAAAAAAGAAAATAAAACTAAACAGAAAAACATTTTTATTACTAACAAAATAATATTATATTGACCAAGCAAAAGTTCCACTGATATTCAACAGTTTTAGGGAAAAAGCAAAGAATTCAATCTGTAAAATTTAATACTATGAGACTGATAAAAGTGGCCTAAGAATAATGAATATGATCGAAGGAATATTTCTCTTCACACAGTTAATAATTTATATTTGTTTCTTCAAAATAAACGAGTCACTAAAATAAAGGTTAAAATGATATGTTTGGTTTCATATTCAGATGTCTGCATGCCTTAGGCAATTTATTTACTTTTTATTTTGCTTTTAGTAAATTCAAATCTATTTTTCACTTATGAATATAAAGCTAATCTCATCTGAATTTTAAACAGTAGGTATTCTGTTAAACATGATTCTGAGTTTGGATTAAGTTTAATTGTTCTTCGTGACCAAAACTATGTTGAAAAAAGAATTTCTGAATGGCAAGGTACCTGTGGAAAATCCATTATTTGACTTGAAAAGGACAACACACAAGCATTTTTTAAAAGGATGCTACTAGATCCTTTTTATATAATTCTTCTAATTATGGGAAATGTCAACAGATTCTTTTCACATATTTAAATATCCAGGTGACTTCCTCAATACAAATCCCTTGCCTACTACTAATGTGACTCATTTGTACTTAGTCTCAACTATATGCATGTCTTTTAAGACAGTGAAAAAATAAAATCTAATCCTTTTTAGTCTTATAAGAACATGAAATAAACTACAGGTAATATTTGCTAACGGATATTACATTTAAAAAGCACTGGCACTCTTATTGCAGCTAATAATGTTATTACACTTTCACCTTTTCTGAGTATGCTTATTTATTTATTTGATTATAAAAGAAATGCAAAAGTTGAAGCTTTTTACTAAGCAGTGATCAACTATAAATCTTGAATGTATTTGAAGGCATGATCAAAGGATAATTAAACTGTGGTTTAATTTTCCTTAAAGTCTACCAAGAAAAACTCACCTAGTATCAGAATCAGTTTGTCAGTAATTTCATGTAAGACATTTAGTTTGGAATTATTAAATAAAGAAGAAACAACATAGTTTGTTATTGAATATAAAGCACTACTCAGAAGTTCAAGCATGATAAAAATAAACACACAGTTTCTCTAAAGCTTATAGCTAATATTGTTTCTCTAGAGTCAAATGAATAATTGTATTTCTTCATATAGGCAATAAACTAATAAACTGCTATGTTATTATAATCTGAACAATGTAACCAAAATGTCATTTATTTTTAAATGTGTTTCTCAATAATAAAAAAGTTATAGGAATCAATGAATAAAACTATTATTGGTTTTGACTTTCTTACTCTATGTAGATTTATAAAAAGTAAACACATAAATCCAAAAATCATGCTTACACTTCTCTTGTGAATGATCAGAGCAATTCTAATAAAATATATTATGACATTCATGACTGAGCTATCGTTTATTAAAATATGTAACATACATATGCTTCTTTGTCAGATTTTAGATGATATGACCTGATTTTCTCAATGGTTTATGAATATATAAATTTTGCTAGGTTGAAATTTTTCTATTAAAATATTTAAACTACTTTAAATTCTTGAATAATACTTTAGAAATGTTACAAAGCAAAATGTACCACAAGCTACACTTGCATATCCCTTATACTAGGTAAAAGCAATCACATTAATTTGAAATTAAGCTATATTTTAATGACTAAAAAGTTCCATGTGAAGTCTGTTAATTATACGTAGAAGAAAAGGCCTCCAGGACACCTGATTAGTGCAACAAATTATGACTTACTCACTTAATAATGAGACCTTTGTCTCTAGCAACATAAAACGTACGATTTATTAAGTACCTTATCCTTCATGCTAGGATTGCTAAGAGCAAATGAGCAGAGTATATTAAGCAACATATATTATAAAAGCATCCATGTGTTATTAAGATTTGTTGATAATCTGACTTTTCAAAGAATATTTCCTTTGAGATGTTACATGAGGAAGTTTTTAATTAAGTGTTTAATAAAACATGTTAATTTTAAGTCAAAGCAGATTGCATTTTTAAAACAAAGTTCTAAAAGCTATAACATCATAAAGTTCTCAATTCTTCCCAGTGGATTAAATTTGTTGATAGAGTTTTTAATCTTCAAACATAAAATATATTCGATGTTATTTTCCTTTGACTGCCAGAGATAGTAAATTTCACCTTCAATTTTTACTAAAACATTTAAAGAAAACAACAGCCCTTATAAAATAATTTGAAATTGGTAATCCATAATATTATTGTGAGAGGGAATATTGGGAACTAAATTATCATTTGACATTATCAGTATTTAAAAACCACCATGAAGTACCAGCTACAACTAAAACATAATTTTAAAATTTTCTCATTAATATTGTTGTGGTTTACAGAAAATTTCAAATATTTTATCTCATATAGAAGGAAAATTTTGTATAGATAAAGACCACTAAAGCATGTTTTACATTTTTCTTGCCTGTGAAAAAAATCAAGTAGCTATAACATACTTTACTCATTACAGTTAAGAACTGTTAGATTGAAACTTTATTTCTGAAATATTTACTATAGAATTTCAGAATCCCTTCCTTGATTCCTTGATAGTAATCTTTTATGGTGCTATTCAATCTTGGTTAATTTTACCTCTATATTTTTACAGTAGTTGCCTCCCCTAGATGAGAGATTTTTAAGTAGTATGTGAATATATACTTACATGTGCTTTAAATCACTTAAAAAAAAAGTGCTTCCGAATGTCACTTTTACTTTCCCATCTGTAAGTGCTTCTTTTTTTTATTGTTGCCCATAGCATAGCTATCCTCATAAATTTCCCTGTTTTTAGACTATTGCCTTTGCATTCATATATTTAAGCGAGGTTGAAATTTTAACAAGATCTGAAAAGACCCACACTATAAGTGTTTAAATTTAACTATTCATATTAAATATATATATATGACTTTTTGCCTAAGGCATCAATGAAAGAAAGAAAACAGAAGCTAAACAGGAGAGTTAGAGAAAATGTCTTTATATAAACATGACCACCTACCAAGCAGCTCCTTTACCATTAGGGAAAACTTCCACTTTGTAATAACATAGATTAACAAACAAATGAACAACATACCTAAGTTGACAAAGCTCATGACCATGTCAGCATCATTCAGAAAGTTGGTATCATGGAGGCTGGCTAGAGGAGGACTCTGGGTGGTCAGAGGAGTCGTCCGAGATAACTGTATGCGACGAGGATACCCATTGGGAGAGGCTGGGTATCCCTTTCTTGCCCCTCTGGTCTCTTCTGCCAAGGATGCCCTTACTGAGTACTCCGACTCTTCAGGATTTTCTTCATTGGTCATGGCATTGTAGAGATCCAGCATAAAGAGAGGTGCAGAGGACGCTTGTTTTCCAGGTGAAAATGGTCTGGGTCTGTGAGGCAAACCCAAGATAGAGAGAATTTCCCTTTGTATTTCCCGTCTTTCGTGGTTCCGTAGTCTTCTATAAATAAAACTGGAGTGAACATGATTGTCTCCCAAACCTCCTTTTGCATAACCCACTAGAACCCAGCAGCTCCAGAGGAAACCCACAATACCCTTAAGTAAAAATACAGTCAGATGCATTTTTGTCCAAAAGCAAAAGTTGATATTTTTAGTCCTTCTTGTCCTCTTAAAAAAAAAAAAAACCTAAGGTTCTAGGAGGTACAGTTTCCCAGTAGCTGAAAAAACAAATTTACCTATTTTTCATGACAGTGACATTTCTGAGCACAACATCCTCACCGATTTTCCTGTCCTATTTTAAATATTTTGGAATATGTCAAGAGTAGTTATTTCTAAGAAAGCTGAAACTCAGATTTCCAATTATCCACAGTTGTTAAGAGTTTTTGCTGCATTGATGTAGCAGAAGACGGCTAATATTATTTGATCAGATGACCTATGCATTCCTATATGAATTTATGATAATCAGGCCTTTGGTATTTGAATTAGCAAAAGTTGATCTTCTGATAAACTGTAGTTCCCAAAGTAATCTTCACTTGCTTTTGAGTTCTTCTCAACCCTTGAGCTCTTTCCAAAACAAATCCTGATTTCTGAATCACAGATCTATGCTGATCTGCACCTTGGTGTTGGAATATATATCTGTCCGGCAGCTTGGTGATAACTTTAACATCTTTTGTGTCGTCTTAGTGTAAAATAATACTCTAGGTTGTACTATTCAAGTAAATGTGTTTCCCTGAATTTACTTGAAATCCTTCCTGTAAGTCCATTCAATCCCTTTCTCCTTCTTACTGTTAATTCCACCTCCAGCAGGCACAAATATACCAGCCCTCTTCAAGAGAGATCTAAAGAGTAGTGTAAGCACAACCCTGCTGGGAAAGAAGAGGCTTCTCATTGTAATTTGAAACTGGTAAAGCAAAAAGAACTTAACCCTTTTGCTACCAGAAAAGTCTCCATTTTCACAATTTTATAACCACGCATCTAACATGAAACAGTGATGCATGGGACATACAAATTCTAGGGGAAATAAAAGGCAGTTTTCAAGTAGTACACTGAAAATTTTGCCATCCATTTTACATAGTACTTCTTTAGATCTTTTTTCAGTGACATGTACTTAATACACTTCTGTATTAAGTCTCAGGTTGTGCCTAAGTTAGCTTGATGAATCTCGGTTCTGTATTTGAGATTATTTCTAGTTTTTGTAAGTCATTAAAATGCACTTCTTAAAAAATAAAAGGATGAGTTGTAAATTGAGGTTAATTCACTGTTTCTTAATGACAGCCAGATCCTTTTAAAATAAAATACAGCAGACAATTAATCACTAATAAATATATTCTAGCTGCCAAAATAGTAGTTGTAATAATTCAATAACAGTAATTAGATAACCTAGCTTTAAGTGTCTTTAAGTATTAAAATTTTAAGCAGAAAGTTGAAATACAAATATCCTAAGATGTAGTGTCATGATTCATAACTTTTAAGTTATTTCAGTTGAAATATACACAGACTTACAAATTAGATATTTCCCATAAATTGTATTCAATACTTTGACTTGTTTTAACCCATGCAAATAAACACAAATCAAATCGTCATGACTACATGCAGATTGAAATTTGAGTTTTTAAAATTTGATGGGTAAAATGGGGAAAATGCACACCTTTCTAAAATACCATACTTAATCCAAGGAAATGAGCAAAGTATGTGTTTATCCTTAATGTTTAATGCCTTTAAAATTTGGAAGTCTACAATGTTTTTGTGCAGCTATAATTTTCCTTACAGGCTCTCACTTAACCTTAGGGCTCACAATACTTTCATTGTCTGGGATAGTATGCTGATACCAATGTAAATTTATCGAGCAAATTCTAGAGCTGTTATGAAATTTTAATGTTTTTCCTTTACTCTACCTAGAGGCGCCTGGTTTCTTGTTTCTTTTTAAATATTTCCTCTGAATGTATAAAGAAAAGTCATATTTCTTAGAAGTCTTCAGTTATTGGTGAATGCAGAATACTGAAAGGGTTTGCAGAATCTTATTGTACGCATCATTTTCTTATACAAAGTTATTGCACGAAAACTTGATGTTGCTATTTAATATTTGCTTTACTGAAATTTAATTATTAATAGTCATGTAGGATGCCACAGTAGCAGATGCAAATGCTGACATACATGCAACACCCTTGTAAAATAGATATCACAAAGAATAGCAATAGTGCAGGTTGAAAGTAAGTTAAGAAATACCACTTCAAAAAGAAATAGTTTAAATGGCTAAAATTCTTGACATTGCTTATTTAACATCCAAACCAAACTAAGAAACAAAGTCAAATCAATTACTTCAAGACAAAAAGTTTCTCTGCATTTACAAAACATCCTAGATAAAGCAGGCTACAGTTCTCAATATTTTAAAATATATCATCAAAGTTATGAATTTGCTTCATTTGTCTCTAGAGCACAGCATAGAGTTACAAAGTAAAAATTTACCACACTAGAGGAAGAAACAACTCTTACTATCTTCCATATGTGTGGATTTTTGTTCTAAGATACATGTGAAAAATAAAAATGAGACTAGGCATCACAAGTCTTAAAAACTCATTTTCCCAAAGCATGATTTATAATATCAATCAGTGTAATTATAATTTAATTGTTTCACCAGGCATATAGCCTACCTCTATATTGGAAATCAGTTGCTAGTATTCTTAGTCAGAATATTAAGTAATCACCCTTCCCGCCGACCTTCCCTTCCAACTCAGACTAGATTTGGCAAACACTCATTTTTCAAAAAGATCAACTTGTGCAGTGAGAGAAAGAAAATAAAGAAAAAGCCTTCCAGGAATAAAGAGGAAATAGTAATCGCCAAACAAAAAGTCAGATTCATTTTCAATTAAAAGTATATGTATTTTACTCCATCATTTGAATTCTCAGGTAGACTTGTATGTGAGAGCAATTTGAAGGATAAAGTATTTTGCAACTGAAAAGTATAAACATTCCAAATTTCAGAGTATGTATTTAAAGTTGTATAAGGCATTGAACATACGGAATAAGCATATGCTGAGAAAGAAGACATGGGGACAGGAAAAACACCCAGGGCATCACAAAAATTGTGTCTAAAGATAAGCACATTTCAAAGAAAAAAAAAAGGAGCCTTGTAAAAATCTACCTTTCACAATGTAGTATTTCCCTGGGTATATCCTAATGTTAGGAACCTTCTGGTAAGGAACAGAGACAATGCAATTCATGTAAGAAGTATTTCTGCACTGTCATTCTTTCTGATCATTTTTCTCTTTCCCTCATTAAAATCTGACACATTTCGTTCATTGATATATAAACCAACTATGTCCAATCAACCAATTTTTTTTTTTTTGGCTTTTTAAAAGAAACTTGCTCTGAAAAAATTTGAAGCGTTTAAGTCTGTTTTGCTCACAAGGACCTTTCTATTTCACTTTTGGCTTTTTGTTTTTGTGTTGTTTTCTCCTTGAAAACATTTCTCCTTTCTCTCTATTAGGAGAAAAATCTCCTAATATAAAGATATGACTGCAGCGAAAGACAAATACCCAATATAAATGGCATCTGCTTTCTAAATTGTCTCTCAAATTAAAACAAAATTCAAAATCCTTTGAATGTAATTATAAATCTTAAGCAAAAGCTGTCTTAGATTGTATTGGAGGGAGTAAGAGGAAAGGGTGGAGATAAGGCCACTTAGAATGTTGAAGAGGCTGGAAGCAGTGGGATAATTTAGGGAAGGTATCACGTTCTAGAATCTTTTTGGTGACTACATGGACAAATGCATAACAAAGCAGCATCTATAGTATTAAATTGCTTCAGTTCACTCTCTTTGAGTGAAAAACATATAAATAGAGAATATGGTGTGGTCCAAAGGAAGGCAGAGCAGTGCTACACCACTACCATCTGACTTAGATTTGCTTGTTATAACCTGAAAGGGAACTGTAATCACGGGCAGCATAGGCTTTTTGTCCATCTTGATTTCTAGTTGTTAAGGAAGTCTTGGAAATGCATAATAAAATACAGTCACCAAAAACTTTTGAAATGTTTGGTATTATTTTTCATGGATGGTGACATTGCCGAATAGTTTTAAATGAACAGAAGATTTTTCAATATGCTTCATATTATTACATGTTCCTAAGATTGTTTTTATATTATTTCTTGAGAGCAAATGTTATCCTATCAATAGACTTAAGGACATAAAATTATTATTTCAATGTAGTTATTAATCAAGGGAGATTTCTACTTTTTTTCTTGAGATTTTAACTGCAATGCAAACTGCATGAAAATAAGGGCAGAATTTATTTTGGTCACCGGTGTAAAGCAGTACATATTAGTGGCTCAGTTAATATTTGTATAACAGTCTATTTTCTTAGCAAAGATGAACAATATTCCAGGGAATTTTTTAAGGGCAGGTCTCTCTGAAGTGATAGTTATAAGGATTCCTTAAGCTGATGAGTTGATGAATTGCTGCATCTCTTAGTATGCAGCCCCCCTAACCTTCTAAAGTTTCCTTTCATAAAGAAACTTGCCAGTTACACATCTTACCCCAGAGTTTTGAATCTAACTACAAACTTCTGTCAATACTAGGCAATTGGAATAACTCAGAAGAGAAAGCATTATATAAAGAATTACATTAGAACTTGCAAAATACCTCGGTCTCTCATTACAAGGACAGCATATTGAATTAAAGTAGCCCTTGGCCCAAATGAGCAACTTCTACTCCTGTCAGTTAACACCTCATTCCTTTGCACTGTAATTGCTTATTGTATGTTTTGTTTTGTTTTGTTTTGTTGGTGCTGTTTTTATGACCCATATTACAATGCAAGAAGCCCTGAAAATGACCATTTTTAAGGAACATTAGCAATTAACAGCACACCTGCTAAGGCTCAGTAGGTACATGCAGACTTGAAACACATAGTAGACCCTGGGATGAGGTGGGGTCTGGAGCATGGAAGAATACACTAAAGGCATGTTTGTGAGTATCAAAGTAAATGCTTATAAGCCCACACTATTTATACTTTTGTAGATGGCTGACTCTAACTACAAGTATTTTACCAATAAGTTGACCAATTCAAAACCCGTGATAGTTCATGAAAGGCACGACTGCCAAGTTACCCCAAAATTCCCATTAACAGCAACTTGATCCTCAGAAGGAAGTAAAATCTATAAATGTCACTAGTCTGATATGTTCACAATGAGACAATTTAAAGAAAACTTAAAAATTATCTAATGCAAAATGGCCTTGATGGCAGACCTACTATTATCTGTAATGCTTTAATGAAATGGCCCTACTATTCCATAGCATTCTTTTTTCCTAGGAAGCAGATAATATTTTATAGGGTCTTCTTCAAAACCTTTAAGATAAATTTACAGCCTAACAAATTGGCCCAAGATATATGACAGAAATTGTCCATCAGGAACGTAAAGAACTTGTGTATACATCATCCAAGATCCATTAATATTCTGTGATATGAGAGGATATGGACTATCTGCTTCCTAAGACATAATACCCTAAGGAAATATAATAATGGGGAACATAACAATAATTATTAATATTCAAGCTGTACATGTAAATATCCCTCTAACACGAAGGCTCTCAAACCAGGCTGCACATTAGAATCACAAACCGGGGACAGGAGGACATTTTAAGAAATACTAAGAGTAGGGCCACACCCAAGACCAATTGTATCACAACTCTTGAGAATGATCCCAAGCATTAGTATTTTTCAGTACTGATTAATATGTAGCCAAAGTTGAGAATGACTAACAAATAATCTTGGCAACATATAGATCACTGCACATATAATAAGCTATATATTTCAGTATCATAACAACTTCAAATTAGAGCAAGATTTTTTTATTTTTTCCCTGATCGCTACTAAGTTTCTATGATATGTAAATAAATTATTCTTTAAACAGATACACAATGCTTGCATCAAGAAAAACGTTTCCATCCATTTACAGACTAAATACTAGGCTATTCTGTACCTACTATAGCAGTAATTAAAACAGTTCCTACTCTTCCCAAAATTAGAGGTCAGTTGTTTCTAGAACAATTTCCTTAAGTGTTTGTATTTCGAATACTAAGCTTAAAATGCAGTTTCTTAGACACAAAGTGCTACTATTTCACAGAGGGAATAAGAATATATTTTTCAAAATGGTATCTACTTATTACACAGTCCTCTGCTCTTATTTGTAGTTTTTTTCTTAGATTATAATATAATGTGAATTATAAAGCCTCCTCTACTACAAAGCTTTAAAATCTAATTTTAAAAAATTCAGTCATTATTTGAACTCATATAAAAAGAACTCTTCATATCTGTACTGGATATGTTCAGTTCTGAAGTTTTCCCATTTTCTTGGTTTTTGGAGAGAGCCATGTGCATGGGTGTGCATGCACATGCATCTTCCTCAGAGGTGCATGTTTATTTCTGAAGTTTCCTCTTACACTGGATCTCCTTTCCGTCTTCATTTCCCAGTTACTTCCTACATTTAAAATGTATTGATTTTATCTTCTTATACTTTGCATTCTGTTTATATCTTTTGTTCCTCTATTTTACAATAAACTTTTTATCTTGAGTCTCCATTTTTAAAAGGCTTATCCCTCCTAGTTTTCTTATCTAGAACTCTCTTTCAAGTGTGTAACTGTTTTCTTTATCTCTCACCTTTCACCACCCCTTTCTTCCTACAGAGAGGGATTTAATCCTACCATCTCTTCTCCTAATCTCCAGTTCTTTTTTCTTTCTTCTAGAACAGTTGTATTTTTATAGCTGCACGTTCACCAGCAAGACAGTGATGACATCGATCTGCAGTATAATAATATTCTTCCCATCTTATAACTTCATTTTACTTTTAAACTGCTTTTGCGGAAACAGATGCAAATATTGTACCCTATTTACCCAACCCAAGAAGATCAGTGTTTTCAGATGTAGATATAAATTCTTTTGAAATATTCACAACTTTTTCACTATTTCTGGCCAAAACAATGATAATAATAATAATAATAACAATAACAGTAATAATAACTCTGAATTTGTTTTTTAGAGATGCGTCTCACTTATGTGTCCCATCCTGGAGTGCAATGGTTATTCACAGGCATGATCACAGCACACTACAAACTATAACTCCTGAGCTCAGGCAACGCCCCCACCTTTTCCTCTTGAGTAGCTAACACTTATAAGCATGTGCCACTGAATCCAGCAATAACTCTGAATTTTAACGAGATATGCAGCCTCATAGTAAGAATACAAGAAAATAACCTAAGTAGCTGTGGAAATTATATCCTGTCAGTTCTCACTTATAATGAATAATTATCTTTGACTCTAAGGAATTAACTTCTTACCATCCAATAATTTTATATTCTGGCATGAGATATTTTCTTTTAATAGTAGGCTCTAATCCAATATGCAATCTCACTTAATACTGTGTCTTCTAAAAAGCCTTCTAAGATTTGTGTTTTCCTCCAACCACTTCTAGGGAAATAAAGTTAAGCAAAATTGTCTACAATTTCTACAATAATCCAGAAACTCCACATATGTAAATATACTACATACTACATATATATTTTAAGCATGCTTCTTAAATCAGTGATAAAGGCACATTAGAAAAAGATCAATCTAATAACATCCCTTACACAGAGTCAGACAAGTGTCAACACTCACAACTAGTCAAGCTTTTCAAGAGCTCTCTAGATGCCCAAAGTTATTTCCATGGAAATCTAGAGCAGTTCAAATATTCTCAGCTTAGTCTATAAATCTAAATATACAGATTTCAATGGGTGCTTGCCTCTGCAATTGTAAGCCCAAGAACAGGCTAGCATGATCTTCCTACCAAATTGAAATATAAATCACCCATATATGATAGAATCAGAATCTCTTAGATGGATAAAATCAATAACTACAGGGCATAAGCTTAAAACTCATTACTCTATGATATGAATACTATATCTTTGCAACTATCCAAATGTCATTTGGATGCTTGAAACTTTTTAGTAGAAAGTTTCTATTCCTTATCACTTATCATGTAATCAAAGAATGTTGTAAAAATTCTTCAGTTCTCATTGCTCATGGTTTTTCCACTTCCATGACTAATGCCAGGGATATTTAAGAAGCATGGTGCTTGCCAAGGAAAGTGCATAGGGCTTGAAGCCAGGAAACAAGATTTATATCTTGTTTTTGCCACTTACTGTCTGAATGACCTTGGAAAAGTCACAGTGGAATCACACAACTACAGAGTAACAGCAAAGAGTCACTTTTCTGAATCTAAGTTTCTTCATCTGTGAAATGGAGAAAAAAAGAGTCCCTTATCATGAGGCTGTTGAGCCCATTAAATGAGAACATGTATGAGAAAATGCTTCATAAAAGTCAACATGTTTCATAACTTATTATCATGGGCACTTCGCCCAGTAAAATTGAGATTCTTGTGAGCTTTTCCATTGGTTACTTCACACTGACAACCTGGGATTCAATGTTTGTATTTCTGTTTCATCACTTGAAGAAGAGAAAAAGACTTAAGAATTACTATGAAAAGATCATTTCACCAAATAAAATTGTTATGTCTACAGATAGACAAAGTTAGACAAAGCCAGGGATTTCATGCTGTTATCTTTCTGTACAATCTCCTAATATCCTGGAGGACATACAGCATTTCTCTCCTTGGTGATATTTCCTCATTGTTTTAACAGCACATCTCAAATCTGTTCTCATGGTATCCTACTGCAGTAGCAATAGAGAAAAATAGGCTTGATTCACTAACTGCTCTTCCACTGCACAAGGAAATAAAATTAAAATGCACATCTACCCTGAGGTTTTTCATTAGTGTTAAGGGAGGCTGTCAACTTCTGAATATGATGAGTGAAAAGAGAAAAAGTTAGCTTGTTCACCCTTGAAGCAAGCAATACACAACCAACTAACAGCTTGGTAAAAGAATCATCTAAAGCATATAGATAATTGCCTACAAGGATGTGGTATTTGACAGTGGAGACGTTTACTTTACATAATTGGGAGCATTGGGTTTTGAATTAGAACTGATTCAAGCACTGGTTTTGCTACTGTCTGCTTTGTTACATGTGAAATGTCACTTAACACATCTGCCTCGGTTTCTTTACCTTAAAAAAGGGATATTAATAAGAAATATTTCAGAAGATTTTTATAATCATTAAAGGATGCAGTATGTGAATATTCTTTCATAAATGTAATCACTATCTTAGCATTTGTCACATTATTCAGATCACTGTGGAGAAGTGTATAATTTTCATACCTTTACAAAGAGATCGCCCAAAACATTTAGCATGCTACTGCACATTTAGATTTTTAAAAATATGGTAGTGAAGGGGAGGTGTAGTATATAGCATTTTCCAAAAAAATTTTACTATGGAATCACAGTATCTAAGGAGCTAAGAAGGTGATTATCCAAGGAGCTGATTGCCATCATGCAAAACATATCCTAAGACTGATTTTCAACCAGAACATCTGGAAAAGAGTACGTCTGTCTTGTTATAAATGGAGAAGCAAAATAACACAACAATTGAAAGCCTCTGCTCAGGAACTAGACTAAATTTGTATCTCACTCCACCATTTCATAATTGTATAAGCACTATCTGCCTCAGTTTCCTGATCTGTAAAATGGAGATAATGGCAGGTGCTATCACTTAGGGTTTTATGAAGATTAAATAAGTTAATAAACATAAAAAGACTTGGCATGGGTCCTGACACAAAATAAATAATAAGTGTCAAGTGTTATAATATTTTACTACTTCTTGAAGGATGGAAATTTCTTCTTATGCATTATTGTTGCCTCAGTGTTATAGGAACAGTGTTTGATATATAGATGTCCAATAGAATGAATATTCATAGAGTGAAATTTATAAATTTGCTTAAAAATATTTACAAACCATCTATAAGCAATGACAACTATTAAATTAACATTATAATTATTCATATATTTTATTACTTTACTAATATTGTATCAAAGTCTAAGAAATGTATGTCACAATTGTGACTGGTCCATATAAACTTTTACACAGTTTATATGACAACACAGCTTAAAAAAATGCATTCTCCAGTTTAATACATAGCAGTCAAAATGCTTATCTACTAAAGGATATTTTCTTATGCCAATATGACCTATAACAACACTAAATTCCTTGAGAAACACACATAGAAGTAAGCAAACATAGTATGAATCCAAGGTATAAAAATCAGTTCACGGTTTTTGCTCTCTCTCTTCCCAAGTCTCACTGACCAGCCGTAGACAATTTGACTGTCATTTCCGCTCTTTCAATTGAGAAGCAAGTGAGTAGAAGAAAGATAAAATTATAACTAGTGTAACCTATTCTGTCCTAGAAGTCTTTCTTAAGTTAGCTGGTTAAGGAGTCTTACATGAATAAATAAGTCATTTAAAAAGACTTTGTCACTAACATTGATAAGTGAAAAATAAATGCATTTTATTCATTTTGATAAAATCAATTATAAAAACTTATTTGGGCTTACCAAATAAAAATAGCTATCATTCAAATATGTAAAGGC
This sequence comes from Homo sapiens, assembly GCF_000001405.40. Taxonomy (NCBI): domain Eukaryota; kingdom Metazoa; phylum Chordata; class Mammalia; order Primates; family Hominidae; genus Homo; species Homo sapiens. The sequence goes on from NC_000006.12 coordinate 55,885,257, forward strand.
TTTGTTTAAAACTTGTTTCAAATTTGCTATGAGTGGTTCATTAATTTATATTTAGTATTATTTGCCAAATATACCCAATTCATAACTTTTATATACATATTTAAAGATAAAATTCTCAAGTTCAAAAATGTAATTATAATAAATGGTAGAATTTACTTTTTCCACGTTTATGAGAGTAAAAATGAAAGTCTTTTGGTGTTCAGACCAAACTCAAAAAAAATCCCTAAACTTCTGTTTTAGAATTTTGATGCCAAGCCTTTGCTAAGGAAGTAACAATCCACAGCACTGTTGCAAACCTCTAAAGAAATTAGTTTTTATACAAACACTGACAGGCTCTGACCATCAGTGGCATTAGAAGGCGCCACCATAATTGCAGTCTCCTTAAGACATAACTTATTTCAGGCTAAGTAGGAGAGCCAATATTTTGTATTTTAATTAAGAAACCTGGATTTTGTTTGTAATAATTGACTGTTAAGTCAATTATTGCCAGGACATACTTGTAAAAGAGAATTTGTGCCTCCAATAAGCTTTCATTTAAGATTTTCTGGAACAGATTTGGAATTTGGGATTGAAATCTGTTTCAATTATTTATGTTAGCTGCTTTCATTGTAATACTAATAGCTGAAGATTGTATTTGTATGTATTTTCAATAGATGAAAATATTCATAAATGTTTATTATTTTCTTCTTGAAGAAAATGTTGAAAGATAATGATGAAATTATATTGTCTGTTACGAACTCTCAATCCAAACTATTCCCCTTATTAACTAGTTAGACATGAAGATAAATCACTGTTTTCATAGTGTTACAAAATAAATTAATTAATATTAAAGACAGAGTAGAACACCAAAGAGACAATCTAGTAACAAAGTATTTTAGATGTAAAACACCCATATGATGATGTTGAAAATGTCTAATTTTTGGCTGTTCAGATCAAACTATTCTATACAGTAATGCTTTAATGTTCTTATACTCAAAAAATGCTACTCAATTATAATTATTTTAAGTACATGTGATAGTAGTATTTATTAATTTAATAAAAGTCAATTGTTTTAAAAGTTAATTAGAATACATCTGAAAATTTTACCTCTGGAGAATGAGTTTCCAAAGGAAACTAGATGGAACACTGCCACCTCTTGGTTATATAAATTGTAAAGTTGCAGAAATTTACTGTAACCTTTTTGAATGGAAATGTTTAGACACACTTTAAGCTTTTAGAAATAATAATCCTATCTCTATTGCTATGAAAATATACATCTTTAAATTTTTGCTTTTCAGTTACAGTTCTTTAAGTATTTCACTTACCATTTTACTAAGTTTGTCCAAAAACTCTTGAACTTTAGAACCTGGAAACAATTCTTCATGTTTATTTTGTAAAGAATGGCAAGTAATGACCTTGTAATGAAAAACACAAAGGGACTTTTATATCCTGGGTCTCTGTTATGAACATTTCTATTACTTCTTTTATACCAAACCACACCACTAACCTAGAGAACAGTATTTTGCAACGACACACTCAAATATGCCGAAACACTAATTACATTTCTTTCGGCTAGAAGGATTTATACCTTCTCACCCCATAAGTATTTTATGTACACAGTTTTAAATTATAGGGTAAAAAATTATACAGTAAGTACCTAGGCACATCTAGAGACTAATTTCGTGGGTGAAAAGAAATGAAAGGCTCTACATAGACATAGATTTCACGTAGGACAGGATCTGAAATTATGAGGTTGTCTCTACATGGGGTCAATGTAAAATAAAGGAAATCAAGGATGGGAAGGAAGATATACATTGATAAATAAAGTAAATAAAGGAATTGGTTCAACAACAAATTTCAAAAGTAAATAAAGGAATTGGTTCAATAACAAATTCTATTATTATTTTTCAGTACAGTTCTTACAACCTGACTGTAGTAAAAAAGCACATCTCTTGCTACATAAGTAAACAGTAAATCACATGTAATCAAAATAATGAAGTGAAATATACAGATGAGCTTAAAGGAAAATAAGAGAAATTCCTAGGCACCAACAACAAAGAAGAAATGTAAAACCAGATAATTTACAAAATGACTCAATAGATGTTTAGGGGGTTATCAGGCTCAGGAAAAGCCGCATTTCTAGGGGATGCAGATTAACTGTCCATATAGAGACATGAATATTACCTTGGACTTACATGAAGATAGATGTTGAACTTGAGATCCTTATAGAGAGCTAGGAAAATAAAGGGGGGACCTCTGAGCAATTGAAGAGAGAGATAAAATAATAACCCCTAGTGAAGTAATATTTGATTTGGCCTAAGGATATAAGTGAAAAATAAATTAAAATTCTCCTTTAAAAATTAAAACAAGGCCAGGCATGGTGGCTCACAACTGTAATCCCAGCACTTTGGGAGGCCGAAGCAGGTGGATCACGAGGTCAGGAGTTCAAGACCAGCCTGGGCAAGACAGTGAAACCATCTCTACTAAACATACAAAAATTAGCCTAGCAGGGTGGCGGGCATCTGTAATCCCAGTTACTCAGGAGGCTGAGGCAGAGAATTGCTTGCACCCGGGAGGCAGAGGTTGCAGTGAGCCAAGATCGCGCCACTGCACTCCAGCCTGGGCAACAGAGCAAGATTCCGTCTCAAAAAATACAATACGATACGATACGATACGATACGATATGATACGATACGATACGATAAATAAATAAAATTAAATAGTTCATGGTACTCTGCTGTCCTTAAGGTTAGTGGTAGAATTCCCAAGTCTCAATATTAAAAACTTGTTTTAAACCAATTGAACAAACATAGCATAGATACATATTAATAGCTTCCCTTTAAGCACTAGAGTCCACAGAATTCTGCACAGGGAGAAAATACTTATTAAAGAAAAGTTTAAAATCAAAAACTACAAACCATATAAGGAAGCAATCTAAACTGAGCAGGAGCTGTCAAGTAAGACAGCAGGAAGTACTGCACATCCCCAAACTGGAGGGAATAAAACCATCCAAAGTAAACTTTTAAAACTATGTTTAAAATGGTAAAGCCACAACAAAAGAAATAGAAATCATAATTTTTTAAAGCAGGACATTGATAAAAGAACAGGAGGATTTGAAAATTAATAAAAATTTAATAGAAATAAAATTATGAACACCAATTTTTTAAAAAATCAATCAATAAATGGTCCGATTTCACACAGCTGAAGGGAAAAATTTAATGAAGATAGATCTGGGAAATGTATCCACATATATTACAAAAAAGATACAGAAAGAAATATAAAAAAGATAGTTGGATATCTATCTTTTCAATACATGGCAGGTTTCTCTTAAACAGTGTCTTTGTCTCAATATAATATTTACAAAGAGATTTCAATAACAACTACCCTAATAGTCACTACTATTAATACTCTCAAGTATTGCTTGAAACAATCATAGAAAAACTTTCCATGGTGCAGGTAGCCAAATAGTAAGAATGTCTTCAAAATTGTTAAAGAATATTCATATGTTCTTCAGTGTAAAAATGTGAATACCTCAAGAAAATGTTTTGGTTTAGGTCCTGATACAGATAATGGCAGCCTCTAAAATGGCCCCTGGTCCTCCTGCCCTAGTGTAATCCCCTCCCCTGAAGTGTGGGCTGAATTTATTGACTGCTCGTAATGAATAAAATACATAAGAAGTAATGGAACGTTACTTCTACTATTAGATTATAAAATGACTAACTTCCAACTTGCGTGTTCTCTCTTTCTCACTCTCAGGCTTTCTGTCTCTTGGATCACCAGCTGTCCTGTGGTGACGACTTTCAGAGGGCCTCTGAAGAGGCCCACATGGTGAGGAACTAAGGCCTACTAGCAACCACATGTGTGAGCTTCGAAGCAGATCTGAGGCCTGCCAAAAGCCATATGAATAAACGTGGAAGCAAATCCCTCTACCCACCCACCCCCATGAAACCATCAGAGGATACCACAGCTACATTCAATAACTTAACCACAGTCTCAAAAGAGACCTTAAGCCAGAGGTATCGATTTATGTTGTCACCAGATTCTTGATGCACAGAAAATGTAACATAATAAATGTTCATTGCTTTCACTTTCTATGTATAGGAATGTCTTAGTCTATTTTGCTGCTATAACAAAATACCTGAGATTGAATCATTTATAAAGAGCAGAAATTTATTTCTTATAGTTCTGGAAGCTGAGAAGTTCAAGATCAAGATGGCAGCAGTCTGTCTCTGGTGAGGGCCTTCTTGCTGATTACTTAATATGGCAGAAAGGACACATTATTTCCTCATGCAGCAGGAAAAAGAAGGGCAAAAAGGGTCTAACTTAGTTCTCTCCGGCCCTTTTGTAAGACACTGATCCGTTCATAAGATCATGACTTCTCCCAAGGCTACATCTCTTTATACCACCACAATGGAGATTAAGTTTTCAACATGAATTTTGGAGGCAATAGACACATTCAAACCACAGCAGGGAGTAATTTGTTATACAGCATTAGTAGTTTCTTTACCTAAAATATCCTTTAATTTAGAAAAATGACTAATATTAATATCTCAATATGTATAATGAAATGTTAAACAATATCACCTGATAATCCACTGTCCACAGAATATGAACCTGTCATAAATCAATCTTACAGATATTAACATTTTTATACTCATCAAAGAAAATAAATACAAAAACCTGTTTTATGATTTTATTTAACATGAGCTAAGAAACAAGTTACTTAGAAAAGATAACTTAATGAGCATGCCATTAATACACCCCTTGAGAAAATCTGATTTTAGGGATAAAGTATAATATAAGTCATATTAGTTTAGTACATCTATAACACTGATGCTGAGAACATTGTTCATCTCTACATAAACTCCTATATGAGCATCACATGAATTTTTCTTTTAAAATTTAGTACCTGAGAAATGTGTTTCTTTTGTAATTTTATCATTCATTTACACATTCATTGAATACATACTTTATTGCCTTACCATAAGCTAGGCATTTAAGATGGTACCAGGAATACATTTATTAGAAGTAAAATATCTCTGCTTTCATGGAAGTAACTTTATTATTCTAAGGAAGAAGCAAACATTAAACAACTGACTACATATAAAAAGACGATAAAGTAGGAGTTTTATCCAATACCTTAAAATGGCAGATTCAGAAATCAAGGAGAGGTGCTAGACAAAAGTATTTTCAAAGGACGTTTATATAAAACCCAGCTAAACAACCAGTAAGTTCCTCACTTCCAGAGCAGAAAGGGGTCAGAAGTAGAAAACCGGTGGGTTGTGAATTCCTCTTCTTTTTCAGGGGAAAGAGCTGAGGATGGGGATCTGCCTCTAACTTCAAACTTAATTACAGAAGCTTCAAGGAGTCTCCTCAGAGAACTTGATATGTGCACCTTAAAGTTGGAAGTTGCCGTGCCTCACATCTGGGAAGTGTTAAGACAAGAAACAACGGGCGAATGGCTCTGATGGTGAAGCAAAAGCGGGGAGCTGAGTTGGAATGAGCCTGTATTCCCAGAATTCAATAAAGCAAAACAAACTTAAAGGTTTCTATGGACCAGATGCGGGCCACAGGTAGGGGTGACTCAGTATGTTGAGTTTTATTAGGGCCCATCCCATGAAGGCTACCTAAAGAATGAACTGGTTACAGTAGAGAGAAGTTAAAAGCCACCCTGGATTCCTAGAGACTACAAAAAAAAAAAAAAAAAAAAAAAGAACCATAGGTCAAAACATCACTTACATCAAGAAATAGTCAGTGAGAAAGCTATCCTACTGGAGGGCAGCGGTGGGTCATAAGAATCCACATAAGCAACTTTTCATAAATCCGCCAGCCATTTCTATGCTTTCTTTGGAAAAATGTCTATTCAGGTCCTTTGACCATTTTTTAATTATTTTTGATTTTTTTGCCATTAAATTATGCAAGTTCCTCATATATTTTCTATAGTAACCCTTTATCAGATATATAGTTTGCAATTATTTTCTCTTATTCCACAGGTTGCCTTTTCATTTAACTGATTGTTCCTTTGCTGTGCAAAAGCTTTTCAGTTTCATGTAGGTATCTCTTAACTTAATTTTACTTTTGTTGCCTGTGCTTTTGATGTAATATTAAAAAAAAAATATTGCCAAGATCAATGTCAAGGGGCTTTTCCCCTAGGTTTTCTTCTAAAACTTTTATAATTTCAGGTCTTATGTTTTTCTTTAATCTATGTTGAGTTAACTTTTGAATATGGTGTAAGACAAAGGTACAAAAGTATGAGATACTGTTTTCCTAACACCATTTATTGAAGAGATTTTCCTTTCTCATTGTGTATTTGTAATGCTCTTGTCAAAGATTCGTTGACCATATATGCATGGAGTTTTTTTCTATACTCTATTCTGTCCCCCCTTGGTCTATGTGTCTGTTTTAGTGACAATACTATACTGTTTTGATTAATACAGCTTTGAAATATTGTTTGAAATAAGGGAGCATGATGCATCCAACTTTGTTTCTTTCTCAAGATTGCTTTGGATATTTGAGGTCTTTGTGGTTCTATACAAATTTTATGGGTTTTTTTCTACTTCTGTGAAAATGCCATTGAAATTTTGATAAGGATTGTATTGACATACAAATGGCCAACAAGTATATCAAAATGTGTCCAACATCATTAATCATCAGAGAAATGCAGGTCAAAGACAAAACAAGCTTTCACTTCGTACCTGTTAGGATGGCTATTATCAAAAAGATAGGCAGTAAGTGTTGGTGAGGATATAGAGGAAAAGGAACCCTTGTACACTGTTGGTGGGGTTGTAAATAGAGACAGCCATATGGTAAACAGTATAGAGATTCCTCAAAAAATTAAAATAGAACTATCATATAACCCAGCAATCCTATTTCTCAGGCTATATCCAAAGAAAATAAAATAGTATCTCAAAGACATATTTGCACCCCCCTGTTGAGTGTGCATTACTCATAATGACCAAGATATGAAAACAACCTGTGCCCATCAGTGGATGAATGGATAAAGAAAATGATATATGTGTGTGGAATATTACTCAGTCAAAAAAGAAAGAAATCTTGCTATGTGACAACATGGATAAACTTAGAGGACATTATTCTGAGTGAACTAAACCAGATACAGAAAGACAAATATTATATAATCTCATTCATATGTGGAGTCTAAAAATGTTGCACTCACAGAAACAGAGTAGAATAGTGGTTTCCAGGGGCTCGGGGATGGGGGAAAGGGAAAGATATTGCTCAAAGAGTAAAAACTTTCAGTTATAAGATGACAAGTTCTGGGTATCTAATGTATAGCATGAGTAATGATGAATGTATTAATTAATTTGATTGTGATAATCATTACAATACAATACATATATGTATATACATATATATACACTGAATCATCACATTCTATACATTGAACATATACAATTTTTATTTGTTAGTTAAATATTTTTAAAATAAAAAATAATTCACATAAGTACTTTACAAAAGAAAGGGGTCAATGTTGAATACCTGCAGGCCCAGAGAATATAAAACAAGCACGGGAAATTTTGCAAATAAGAAATAATCTGTTCCTTTCATCTTTCTGTTTTAGTTTCCTATGGCTTCCATAACAAATTACCACAAACTCGGTGGTTTATAACAACAGAAGTGTATTATCTCACAGTTAAGGGGACTAGAAGTCCAAAATCAAGGTGTAAACAAGGTGTGAACAAGGTGTGAACAAGGCGTGCTCTCTCTGAGGGCTCCAGGGGAGGGCTCCTCCTTTGCCTCTATTAGCTGCTGGTGGCTGGCTGGAATCTTTGGTGTTCCTTGATTTACAGATGCATCACTGTAATCTCTGCCTCCCTCTTCACATGACCTTCCCTATGTGTCTGTCTCTCCTCTTCTTACAAGGACACCAGTTATACTGGAGTTAGGACTCACCCTACTTCAGTATGACCTCATCCTAATTAATAACATCTGCAAATAGCCTATTCCCTAATGAGAATGATGTTGTGGTTTTGTGTGGACATGCATTTTTGAGGACTCTATTCAACTCAGTACAGTTCCCTACCTGCCCATGGTTTAAATTCCCAAAGTGCTCAGAAAAGGAAGCAAGTGGTAGAGGAGGTGAGCAGTTAGCGAGGGGAAAAAAACAAAACAAAACAAAACAAAATTAAAAACTTACCATTTCACCTTCAGCCCCCACTCTTACCTCTTTCCAGCTAGATTATACATCTTCATTTTATGGCAGCCTCCACCTTTCAGTCACATTCACATTTAAGTTCCTCAAACTTGCCACAATCTCCCTTGCTATGAGGCTTTTACACTGCTGTTCCTTCCATCTGGAATACTCTTCTCTGTAACACCTACTTGCCTAAATTATGCCTATTCCTTCAGCATTCAAAAGAAATATCACTTCTTCAGGACCCAAAGTCTAGTCATCAGTGTCTTACCAGATCATGGCAAAGCTTTCATGACCAAATAAACCAAAAAATAAGTTATGGCAATAATGATACAATAAGGATAAATATATATATACACATACATATATATACACACACACACATATTTTACTGTATTATAATATCATATGTGTATGCATATATATATATGAGTATATAAATTTAAACTCAGGTATTAACATAATTGCAAAATGTGCTGTTTTGGAAAATCCATTTTTTAAATTCTTATATTTTGTCTTCCTTGCTTTTTTTCATAGAGCAGATGGAAGTTCTTTTTTATTGCCCTTAATTGTCAAAAATAAATTTAAAAATTCCAAAGGTGGCAATTTTATGCATCAAAATTTGAAATTGTATTTGGGAATCACAGAGACTCTAATAATAAGACTTTCACATGGGCCACTAGAGGAGGAAAAACTTGAAAAAAATACCCACCAACTAAAAAAAAAGGATTCTCCTTTCACTAACTAAAAGTGCCTGTTATCCTGTGGTTTTGACTCAGTTACTCTCAGAGCTTCTAAACCTGTTTTTTTTTTTCCTATATTTCCTTGGATCTCTACACCATATTTCTCAAACATTCATTCACTATAGCCTTAACCTACTACAGTCCAAATGGTCACTTAATTCGGTGTTGCTCTTCATAAGATCTCCACATTTCTCATCTCCTTAAATTTTTACCATCCTCATCTGTATTAATATATTCACAGTAGCTCCTCAGGCTTGCTTAGTTGCCTCAGACTTTGACACTAATTCTATACTTTATGTATCTTCAGCTAATGCCATAATTTCTTGGGAAGTTTTTGTTTTTGTTTTCTTTGGTTTTATTTTGTTTTGTTTTGTTTTGTTTTGTTTTGTTTTGTTTGAGACGGAGTCTCTCTCTGTCGCCCAGGCTGGAGTGCAGTGGCATGATCTCAGCTCACTGCAAGCTCTGCCTCCCAGGTTCACGCCATTCTCCTGCCTCAGCCTCCCGAGTAGCTGGGACTACAGGCACCCTCCACCGTGCCTGGCTACTTTTTTGTATTTTTAGTAGAGACAGGGTTTCACCATGTTAGCCAGGATGGTCTCTATCTCCTGACCTCGTGATCTGCCCACCTCAGCCTCCCAAAGTGCTGGGATTACAGGCGCGAGCCACTGTGCCCGGCCCTGGGAAGTTTTAATAAACCTAAAATTAATTCCCTTTCAACCTCAAAATGATTCTGTATCTATTTTCTTTTTCTCTTCTATGTCATGCAAAGAGGTGCCTCCCGAATCGTCACAATGTCCCTCTGTGGTTGCAACGCCATACCATACTGCCTTGCCAAAGTTTATCCTTCACCAGTCATTCCTTTTTCAATATTTTCTACCATCCCACCTTTATCAGTCATTTGCTCCTTCTTTTCCAATATTTCAATATAATGCAAACTTTTGTGTTCACCTGTCAGTCCATCAAGTTATCATGTAATTTCTCACCTGTCCAAAATTCCACCATTTTATCACTACGTATTTGGTTATCTACTAGTATTAAGTTATTGTCCCCACAACTTAGCTGAAACTATTTCCTTACATGTCAACTCTCATCTCCTAGTTATAATATAAAATGGATGTTCTCTATCCTTAACTTTTCTTGTGTATCCCAACCACAGTTTTAAAAAATGTTTTGTAGAGAAAGAGTATCACTGTGTTGTCCAGGTTGGTCTCAAACTCCTAGTCTCAAGCAATCCTCCTACCTCATCTTCCCAAAGCACTGGGATTACAGGCATGAGCCACCACACCCCACCCTCAATAGCACTTGATACTGTAGTTATAATATTTAACAATGTTGACCCATTATTCACTGTGAAATTTTTTCTTCTCTTGAGTTATGTGGCACTGATTCTCCTTATTTCCTTTGTATATTTAGAAAAGCCTTTGATGTGTCTTTTTTATTAATTCTTTATCCTCCTATGCTTAGATAGATACATACATACTTTTCATAACTTCAGCTAATACTGTGTTGAAGATTATTAGCAAACCAGCATCTCTAGTCCTGACTTATTTCTGAACTTCAAGTCCCACATTTCTAGTTGCTCACTGGGTATTCAAAACTAAATAAACCAATGGCACCTTAGACTCAATATGAACAAAATAGAATTTATTGGTCCCTCTTTAAAACCTGAGTCCCCTATATTCCATAATGCATATCCCCTACATTATAGTCAATGTCAATTAAGCATTTTCTATGCTTCTGGTACTACGCTGTGTCTTGTTAATGCCAATATAAAAGATATAGTTTTTATCCTCAGGTCTAATGGAGAAGACAGAAATATAGAATTTAGTGTATTTTAATAGAGCTAAACCCAGATTTCCGCAGGTGTTTATCCCAGACTTACGACAATACAAAACAAATTTCTGAAAGGATGCTATCTAAGCTAAGTCCTGAACAAACGTAAATCACTAGCAGAGTTCTTGTTTGTTTTTTCTTTGTGTGCTTGCCAGCTATTATTTAACAACAGTATTCAACCTTGCATGTGTATCACAGTGATCTCCAGAACTGTTTTTCAAAGATGAAGTGTCTGACCTCACCTGAAAATCCTGTTTTGGCAGGGTTAGGTTATGAGCAAAACCATTTTATCATTCCAAAGCTCCTCACTTTAAACTTTGGCACTGATTTAGGATATCATTGATTTGTCCCCTAATGGAAAGAACTAAAATCAACTACAGAGAAAGATTTATTTTAAACATAGGAAAGCACTCCTTAGTCATTAAAAACTTGGGAAAGTACATGGCTGTTCTCATAGTCTTAGTCCATTTGTGCTGCTATGACAAAATACTTGAAGCTGAGTAATTGACAAATAATAGAGATTTATTTCTCACAGTTCTGGAGGATGAAAGTCCAAGATCAAGGTGCTGGCAGTTTCTGTCTGGTGAGGGCTACTTTCAGTTTCCAAGAATAACATCTTATTGCATTCTCGGACAGGGATGAATACTGCGTCCTCACATGGTGAAAGGGATAGAAAGGATAAATTTGCCCTCTCAGGTCCTTTTAGAGGGCACTAATTCATTTATGAGGGCAAGGCCCTCATTACCTAATTATCACCTAAAGGCCCTACCTTTTAATATTGTAGCATTGGGGGTTATGTTTCAATAAAAATTTTGGAGGGAACACAAACATTCAAACCATAGCACATAAGTTCACTTCTGTCATGAAGTCTTTCAAGACCTTTCCCTCAATTCCAGAGACACCATCTGTGATACATCTCTATCAATGTCCTATCAATAAACTTATCTCTTGTGTCTGCCTCTTCCAACAGATAATGAGTTCCTTGAGAGCAAGGATTTTGGCTTTTTCATCTTTGGGATTCAGAACTAAACAATACTAGGCACATTGTTAGATGTTCTGTAATGTTTATGGATGAACTAATGAATAAGAATTACTCAAGTGAATATTGGCTAACAAATATGCTAAGAAAATGTAAGAGCAAATATAGAGGTCAGAAAAACCATGCTTATTCAAAGGTAGAATGCAAGGATGCTTGTAGCCAGAGATGAGGCTGGAGAGGCAAGCATGAATCTGATTGTAAAGAGCTTTGGATCCAGTGCTATAGTTTTTGGACTTTATCCTAAAAGTTATAAGGAACTTCTGAAAAACGTTTAGAAGTATACTGTAATTGAACAAATTTAAGTCATATTTTTAAGCTGTGCATTCAGGTGAGCAAAATTTTAACATACTTTTTCTAAAATGCACTTCAACCTCAATTTTGAATCTCCATTATAATTCTTTAGCCAATTCTATGGAAAAACAGTTATTTCAAATTCAAATGCTTTCTATGCAAGATTTTCTGTCCTTCTACTCCTGTTTCTCTTCAGGGGGTAATTCATGAAAGAAAGACATCTGGTCTCTGGCCATTGGCAACTGTCCATGCTGTCATCTACTGAAATGCAGAGTCAAGCAGAGCTCTTGGGATTCTAATTGGGTCAACTGGATAAATGTTATTACAGTTCACTAAGAAAAAAGATAGAAGAGTAAGACTTAGTCTGAGGAGGGGTCGGGACAGAGAATGTTATCTTTGCAGGGCTTCGATTACAGTCAGGAGATTAACTCAAGTAGGCAGATGGACATCTGGGATCTAGAGCTCAGGAGGAAAAGGTGAAATAGAAATGATGATTTTGGGATTCATCAACAAAATGTCTGGTAAAGACAGATACTCAATAAATATTTGTTTAAAAAACATTGGAAATTAAGGTTGAAACTATGGGAATGCATGTGTAGAATTATAAGATGTAAAGGCTGAAAATAGAAAGTTAGGAAACTCCAACATATATGAAATGGGTTAAGGAAGCATTGTTCTTTAAATAACCAAATATGTAGGAAAAGAAACTAAGAGATAATGGTGTCACAGAAACCAAGATAGGAGAGAGTTGAAAATGATTAATTAATTACCATTATCAAATAGTTAGTGAAGTAAAGATAAGGAATAGAAATCTAGCCTATTAAGCCACAAAGAGATCATCATCAAAGACCTTTGCCTAAAAAGTTTTGGTGGAGGGGTGTAGATGGAAGCCAGATTTCAAAGGGTATGGAAAGCAAAATAATGAAAATAATGAAAATAATAAAGAAATATTTTATAAAAAATTAGAAGAGTAAAAGGAAAGGGAGAGATAGGTTTGCTACTAAAGACAAAATTAGAGTGAAATTCTGAATAGTTGGTTGCATTTAAAATTGAAAAACATAACTTTTTCACTAGTCGGTTTGTTAGTCTCAAACAGATATTTGGTTATACTCTTCTCTTCAATACATAACCTATATCAACATCAGTTGCTAAATGCTTTGAATTTTTTCCCTGTAGACGTTTACATTTCTTTCATTCTTCTATTATGACTCCCATGAAGTATAACGTCTTTTGATTCTTCCTTAAGTCACCTTGCACAACACTCTTAATTACTAAAGTACTGCTTGGATCATGTCACACATCTTCATTGTTTTTGGTACTTTCCTATTTCCTATCAGATAAACTAAACACTACTCTTATTTATGGAGAGAAAACAAAAAAGAATCTCAAATTGTTGCTCAGCTCAACAGCCATAAACCTCATTTTTAGAAGACTCTACCATTGTTCATGCCATTTCTTATGCCTAGAGATAATGCCCTCTTCACTTTTTCCACTATCCAAATTCCACTTATCATCTAAGACTCACTCTGGAAGTCATCTCAACAATGATATTTGCTTTAATCTCCTCGGGTGACAGAGATCCCTCTTTCCTGGTCAATGTGACAGTCCTGAATTTTTAGAGCTCCATCACCCTCTTATGCTGTTTGTGTTAAAGTTACTGGTGTCTTTAAATCTTCTGTGAGACAGTAAACAACTTGAAGATAGAGAATATGTCTTGTGTATCTTTTAGCCATCACAAAACTTTACATAGTAGATGTTCAACAACACCAGTAAAGATATGAATCTGTTTGTTAGTAATGTTAGTGCAAGAAAGGTCAAAAAAAAAAAAAGGAGGTGCAAAAGAGTGAGACAGAATTATTTTACTGTCTATTCAGTAAACTGAGACATTCATAGATCATATATTAAGACTTCTTAATCAGGGTTATAAAAATCCATTTAAAAATGAATTCATGACCAGGCACGGTGGCTTATGCCTGTAATCCCAGCACTTTGGGAGGCCAAGGCAGGTGGATCATGAGGTCAGGAGATCAAGACCATCCTGGCCAACGTGGTAAAATCCCATCTTTACTAAAAATACAAAAATTAGCCAGGCATGGTGGCACATATCTGTAGTCCCAGCTACTCGGGAGGCTGAGGCAGGAGAATCGCTTGAACCAGGGAGTCGGAGGTTGCAGTGAGTTGAGACTGTGCCACTGCACTCCAGCCTGGTGACAGAGTGAGACTCCATCTCAAAAAAAAAATCATTATACACAAATGATAATGATACTAATAGTAGAGTCTCCAACATACTTTAAAAATACTATGAAGCTATGCACCTTGAAAGAATTCTTTACCTTCTGGCCAGTGCTAGAGAGGTAACGGGTCCTGCGTGCTTATTATCCTGAAGGGGTCTAGTAGTGAATGAAGTTAAGAATAATGGTCCCATGGAAAGCTTTTGAACTAAGAAATAATTCCCGTTTGAATTAACAAGTAAGTCTGGAGCTTGTTTTCTATTCAAAACAGTTTGTTGTTATATAGTAAGAGATAGGAAAAAGGTAAGCCACAGGACCTCCTCAAGAATCTTGAAGTCTAACAGGAGAGGCAGAAAAATTGATGATAGCCTGAGATTATCACCCAGCCTCAAAGATCCAGCCCTAAGCTGAACATGTCCAGGGAAGCCAGCAGAAATCACTCATGGCCCCACTGCCGTTATGGACTGACTGTTGTCTCAGAGAGCCATCTCTGCAGCGCCTCTGCCTCTACAGACCAGAGCTGGAAATCTTCTCTGGGATAACTCCAAGGTCTTCAGCTCTGGCTCCTCAGCCTGTGGAGCTTGAGTCTCCCAAGCATGATGGCTATGGCCTAGTGCGCAGGAAGAGCCAGGTCATCTCCTCCTCCTCCTCCTTCTCCTCCACCCTGCCAGCATTTATGCTGTCTCCACCCCTTACACCCTGCACTAATGCTCTTCAGCTCAGATTTACCACAAATCAGAGCTGTTCACTAGAAATAATAATTCCACTCATCAGAGCCACAAATGTAATTTTAAATTTTCTGGTAGCCACATTTTTTTAATGTACAATGAAACCAGTAAAACTAATTTTCATTTTAGTAATATTTAAGCCCATATATCCAACATATTAGCATGTAAACATGTTATCAAAAGTTATTTATATAGTTTGCATTTTTATACTGTCTTTCAAATCCAGTGTTGTATTTTATGCTTATAGTGCTTTTCAATCCAGAGTAGCCATATTTGAATTCAGACTTGTAACACAGAGATTATCATAATGCACAGCAAAGTTCTAGATATTTGACATCCATGTGGAGACTGAGAAAAGAAAAGATACTCAACACAGTAAAGTTGGGCATGTCCACCTTGCCTACTCTACCATACCCTAGTTACCAGATTCTGGAAGGAACATGTGGTCCTCTGAGCCCTTCCAGTGGTAATTATCAAGTATACTTAAGTACCGTTAGGACCTGGAGGTCCCAAATAATGTCAAATATAAAGAGTAATATTGAATATCCTCCTTATTCTTGATTAAAAAAAAGCGTATCTGACATTTTTCTATTAAGTATAACATTTGCTCTAGATTGTTAGTATGTGCTGTCTATTATCCTTAACTTGTAATGTTTTTTCATCAACAATGAATTTTTATTCTTATCAAATGATGAACTTCTATTAAGAACATCTGAAATTTTTTCATTCCTTAATCTGTTAATGTAGCAAATTTATTAATATACTTTCTAATGTCAAGCCAAACTTGAAACTAGAATACAAGAATTTAATATTTGGTATGTTATCTAAATTCAGTTTGCTACTATTTTGCTTAAGTGTTTTTCCCTCTATGTTCATGAGTAGACGGGCCTGTTATTTTTATTTTACTCCATCTATCTAATTTTGATATGAAGTTACTTTAGTATTGCAAAAAAAATCTATTCTGTAGTTTTCTACTGCCTAGGAATTTTTTTACGACCAAAATCATCTATACCTTTAAAAGTTTGTAGAACTCATTTATAAAATTGCCTAGATCTGATGTTTTCTTTGTGTAAAGATTAACTAATGATTCAATGTCTTTAAATGTTATTTAACAACCCAAGTTTTCTATTTTAAAAAGTCATAAGAAAAGACAGACTAAAAGAAATGCTATACTACAGATACAGATGTAATTGCTGTCAAAATATTAAAAATTAAGATAGCTAAAGAGAAACAGAAAAGAAGAGGTTGTAGGCCCTAAGTTAAGATTTGAAAGATGATAGAGAATAGGCCCGCGCTGGCCAGGAGGTGGAAATCCTGACACAATGCATCGTAGGAGTATAATTTCAAAAGCATCAGCTGTGTAATATGTTCATGGAGGAGCAAATGTTCAAGTCTGGGTGCACTTCATAAAAAAAAAATAGAAGAAAATGAAAAGCAGACTGGAACTTGAATTCAGTGCTTAGGTGTTTGGACCTGACCTTAGTTATTTATAAGTTGTCAAAAATAATGGAACTGTTTCCTTGTCTTTGTTTATTGACAGATTAGAGCTGCCTAATATTGTTATGAATCAACATGTGTTGTACTCTTCTTGTTTACTTTTGTCAACATTTTCTAAGTTTACAAATTATTCTGTAGTGTTCTGAGAAAACTAGTGCTAGTAATGGTTACATCACATCTTGAGTGTCTTTCCCTTTAAAATTTTATCTGAAAGGAGAGAATCAGGCTCATGGTTAATCAGTTACTTCCTGGATGAAATAACGATTTTCACCCTACATAAAAAATAAAATGGAAAAAGTGTAAAACTTTAACTAGGAGTTACTTTATGATGGACTTACGTTATTTCTGTCCTAGCCAGTTTAATGCTAGAAATTGTTATAAAATACTGTGATACATAAAGAATAAGATACTGGTCCTGGCCCAGGAATTTAGCAGCTTGATAACTCTGAGAGAGGAGAACTGTAGGAGAGCTATAATTTATTGACTCCTGTTATGTGCCAAGCACTAAGTCAAGTGTTTTGCGTATATAACTTCATTTCTCCTTGCTATAATTCTATTAGTTAGATATCATTTCTTTTGATTTAATAATGTAACCCAGGTTCTAAAATGTATATAGTCAATACAATTTTAAATTTTAATATTAATTTAAAAATAAAAGGCATAATTTTTTTCAAAAATACTTGTTAGATAAAACAATGTTTAATAACTTATACAAGGTCATACACATATTACTTGGCAGACACAGAACTGAACCCAGGTCTCTGATCCATTGACCATGCTCCAAAACATGTTTTATTGACTGTCTGCAACCTGGTTCATAAAATACAATGTTGACTAGAAGAAAGAGGTGATTGTTATTTAATAAATCTAGATTTCTTATAGAACTGTGTAAACTACTTAACTCAGCACAAGGTACATAAAAAAACAGTTAATAACAGTCATTATTGCTAATATAATTAATACTATTTATTAATAAGGTAAGTCTAGCCAAAATATTAAGCAGTAAAATTTCCAGTACAAAAATTGAATTACTGTGCTGGAATCACCAGATGACTATAAATTCTTTGCTTTGCTTAGGAATAAAAGAGCTCTGGGGAGAAGGATCTATGTGAAATGGATATGGAGGCTTTGTGTCTGCTGCAGAGACACAGAAAGGGTAAGAGCCAAGGCATTCTTAGGAAGAAAAGTTTATTTGTTTTTCTTTCCCTAGGTTCAGATTTCCAGAGGCCCCAAACATAAGCAAAAGAAGGAAAAAAAAATACAGAGTTGAAAGGTAAGGTTTAGATAAACGTGACTCATTTGTTCAGAGAAAGAGTTCGAGTTCCAAAGAGATAATGGGAAGGAGCACCCTTGAGGACTGGGGCAGTCAGAGAAGAGGCCCAGGCTGGGTCATTTTTTTTTTAAGAGACATGTCTATTAGGTTAAATAAGCCAAATAGAGATTTTGAGGGCAGAGAAAGCTTGTAAACCAAGAAATAACTCAGAATTGGTCAGGAAGATGGTGATAGCAACACAAGCAGAGAAGGGTATGGTCTCATCTCCTCACCAAATAGCAGTCAAACTCGAGTATTCGATGTTCTGCCAAATAATATCAAGGTAGAGGTGCTCAAACTAAAATAAACATTTAAGATAAAAATTATTGTGGTTTTATCAGGTGGCGTTTAAAAACAAAGGACAAAAGCAAAGCTATAGCTTGGCCCTGTTCTCTATGTGTCTGTCAGCAGAGAAGCAAGCAAATGAGAAGGAAAAAAATAAACATAATTAATGAAGAAGAAATAATACCCATACCTCTGATTTCCGGAAAAGTTACTATAATGCCTAATTCAAAAGAAAAATTAAAAGTGCAAACAGTGAAAATATTTTATCCAAAAGAAAATTATTACTTTTTAAAGCATTTAGTAGTAAGAAACTATTATGTAACAAAGTATCTAAAGAAAATTAATTTTTAAAGCAATTTATTAAGGGAGCCAAGAAAGAGGATCGCTTATTTAGTGCAATCTTGTTCCAACTGAAAATTGAAACAGAACATTTCCCACAGATTTAGAAACAATCTATTGAAAAAAATTTAAGCATCTTACCAATGCAAGAAAATTGATTCATTCCCTTCCCATTTCAAAAAAAAAAATCCCAGTTATTACATGCACTAATGAAGGGCAATGATCAGAGCCCAAGCCTGCAAGGTTATAGCCAGCTAATATGAGGAAGCAAGTTCATATAAATTTTTCTCTAAGCACTCTTTAATTTTTTTCTATTTTGCACTTTTTTCAAGGTGGGAGGGGGGGTCCAGTGGAATTTGGATGGGTGACACTTTCTTTTATGCACGTGTTAATTTAATAAGGCCAACAGCACACTGTCAAAGTCAGTTTAGGCTGTTATAAAGGAATACCATAGACAGGGTGACTTAAACAACAGAAATTTAATTCTCACAGTTCTCACAGTTCTGGAAGCAGGAAGTCCAAGATTGAGGTACTCAAAGATGAGGAGTCTGGTGAGTGCTGTCCTCCTGGTTTGCAAAGGGTCATCTTCTCCTTGTATCCTCACATAGTAGAGAGAGATCATCTCTCTCCTGTTTGATCTAAGGGCACTAATTCTATTAATGGGGGCTCCATTCTCACGACTTAATTATCTCCCAAAGGCCCATCTCACAAAACCATCATACTGGGTATTTAAGCTTCCATATATGAATTTTGAGGGTACACAAACATTCAGTGCATGGAACATACCAATAACTGTTAGAACTGTATCATTAAGAATATCTTCTAGTCTCAGGATGACAGAGGGGTAAATAAAGAGATGTCACTCTACTTTCTATGTCTTGACTTAAAATCTTCATCTCCACCACCCCAAGGAGCTCAGAAATTTAAATTTTTCTCATTAATTATACTCTTAAAGTTATTGTCCTCCCTTGAATGGGCACTAAAATGCACAGAAAGAATCCTCCCCAGACCAAAGACAGGGATGAAATTTATGAATAGTACAAACAAATAATGGCATTGACATGAATGGAAGGAAATACACATGGGCAAGAACAGAAATGTTCATGGGGCCAAGGGATAAAGGAATAAACTCATGACCATTCCAGACATGGTGCTATTTCATCTGAGTCCTCAACGAAGACCATTCTTTATTACAGAATTCTTTATTACAGAATGGTCTTCCTTTAGCTAAAAAGGATACCCATTTCAATCAACTCTGTGCTGTTTTAAGAGGCTTGGGCCAGAATTGGCACAGGAAGGAAAACAGAGAAATCTATATAGTCATTAGATGAATGAGTTGCCACAACAGATTTTGCAACTAATTTTCCTCCCTGTCAAAAATGGATCAATATACCATACTTTCTTTACCCACTTATCTATTGATAAGCACTTAGGTTGATTTAATAGTTTGGCTATTGTGACTACTGCTGCAATAAACATGGAAGTGCAAATCTCTCTTTGATGTACTGATTTTCTTTCCTTTGGATATATATCCGGAATTACTGGATCATATGGTAATTCTATTTTTAGGATTTTTTGTATGCTAAGTGAAATGAGCCAGGCACAGAAAGACAAATACAACATGTTCTCATTCATATGTGGGAGCTAAAAAAAAAATATCTCAAAGAAGGAGAGAGTAGAATAGTGGTTATCAGAGTCTAGGAAGGGTAGCAGGGAGGGAAGAATAGGAAGAGCTTGGTTAATGGGTAAAATATTGCATTTAGATAGGAAGAATAAGTTCTAGGGTTCTATAGCACAGCAGGATGACTATACTTAATAATGTATTGTATAGTTCAAAATAGTTAGAAGAGAGGATTTTTAATGTTACCAACACAAAGAAATGATAGATATTTGAGGATGATGATAATTACACTTTGCAGTTTGATAATTTGATAATGACACTTTGTATACATGTATCAACATACCACATATGCCCCATGAATATGTGCAATTATTATGTCAATTAATTTTTTTAAACAAAATAAATCTATAGCAGCTGAAAAGAAAACACAGATCAATAGGATTTTCAGAAGATATGGGAAAGAAATTCTCTGTACTTTACAAAAGCAGAAAACAAAATAATTCAATTTGTGCCCCCAGGAACTTTGAGCAGCTAAAGTGCAGAGTGCATTCTGAAGAAGAGCAGAGGAAAATGAAATCAGGAAAACAGCACAGAACCAAAATACAGACATTGCTTATGAAAGTTTTTAGCCCATCAGGAGTGGGGAGTGAAAAATTTATTAATCAGGTATTTTACACAATCAACTACCTATAGTGGTAATGTGGAGAAGACATAAAATGAGGAGATGTTGAGAGCAGGGAGAACAAGTGGAGGCAATAACACACAGGGCAAAAAGGGGTTGAACTAGAAGAAATGGAGAGAGTGGACCATTTTCAACTGTGTCACACAGATAGATTCAGTTTTAGAAATAAACTTTATTTTTTATCTGCATTTTGGTTAGCTAGGATTTGCGAAGAATTTTCCGACCTGTGAAATTAAAAAACCTTGGTCAATAAAGATTTACCTGAACCATAAAGACATGCAATGACTTCTCATAATAAATAAAAATACTTTTTATTCTTTAAAAAACGATCAAATCTTGATCATTTTAAAAGATCAAAACTTCAAATTGGCAAAATAATCATAGAAAAAATGTGTCATTCGAAGATTTCCTGGAAAAGTGAGATGCTCAGAAGTGATAGCTATAGGATTTTTATTCAATTGTAGAAATTAATTAAAGTGATCTCTCAGTTGCTTTGTCCTGAATAATGACCAATAGAATCATTAGTTAATTATACACTATATGTTTTTAAACTATATAGACCATCAATCTATAAAAGATTTCAAATAACTGATAAAGGCAATTGTATATAATAGGACTGAGAATAAGCAGGGAGAAGAGAGTTAAGCTCTGTAAAAGAAAAGGGCTGATAAATGCAACCAAAATATGGGCTTACATAATTCTTCAAACTTAGCATTTAAAAATAAGCACTAGACTTCCTGGAAGCCAGTTATTATTTTTTAATATTAAAAAATTCTGGTCAGGCATGGTGGCTGACTCCTGAAATTCCAGCACTCTGGGAGGCCAAGGCGGGCTGATCACCTGAGGTCAGGAGCTCAGGGCCAGCCTGGCTAACATGGTGAAGCCCCGTCTCTACTGAAAATACAAAAATTAGCCAGGCATGATGGTGGGTGCCTGTAATCCCAGTGACTCGAGAGGCTGAGGTGGAAAAATCGCTTGAACCTGGGAGGCAGAGGTTGCAGTGGGCCGAGATTGCACAGTTGCACTGCAGCCTGGGTGACAGAGATGCCATCTCAAAAAAAAAAAAAAAATCTGTCAGCCATTTCATCTTAAATTTTCTAAAATTTTGTCATTAGCCATTTCTTTTTTTTATTTTTAATTATTATGGATACATAATGGTTGTACATATATCTGGGGTGCATGTGAAATTTTGATACAAGCATATGAAGATCAAATCAAGGTAATTAGGATATTCATCACTTCAAGTATTTATCATTTATTTATATTAGGAACTTTCTAATTCCACTATTGTAGATATTTTGATATACACAATTAATTATTATTAACCATAGTTGCCCTATTGTGTTACTGAACACTAAACCTTATTTCTTCTATCTAACTGAATTTTGGTACCCATTAACCATCCCTTTATCATACCCAATCCCCCTGTCCTTCCCAGCCTCTGGTAACCATTATCAGCTATTTCATTTTAAATTCTTTATAGTCTCTTCCAAACTGATAATCAGACATATCCAATTGGATTTTCAGCCAGAGCTTTAAATGACATCTAAATTCATTATATTTTCCACTAAATCAATATCCTATGCTGGCTTCTTTGAAGTATCTATTAATGGCATCACCATTTTCCCAAAACACAGTAATTCACATACATTATCAAAAAAGAAAAGACTATAGAAAAAAGTAATATAAGCACTCTTAGAATTATAGCTATAGCTATAGATATACTTTCAAACCTTTTCTATACATGCCTGCATATTATTTTAATGATGTATTTTACATACTACTCAGTGATCCATTTTTATCATTTAGCAATAGATTGTGAATATTTATGACCAAATATACAGATTTATATCTTCAGTTTTGTGACTGTATTATATAGATTGGTTCTAATTTGCTGCTTCAAAAACAAAGATTCAAGGCCAGATGTGGTGGCTCACACTTGTGATCACAGCACTTTGGGAAGCCAAGGCAGGAAGATCACTTAAGAACAGTTCAAAATCAATCTGAGCAACAAAGCCAGACCTTGCCTCTACAAAAAATTTAAAATATTAGCTGGGCATGGTGGCATGTATCTGCAGTCCCAGCTCCTTGGGAGGCTGAGGCAGGAGAATTTCTTGAGCCCATGAGTTCGAGGGTACAGTGAGCTACAATTATGCCACTGCACCCCAGCCTGGGTGACAGAGAGAGACCCTGTCTCTAAGAAAAAAAAATAATAATCAAAAAAACAAAGCTTCAGGAAAAGGTTTTGTTCATACATATTCACATGTTTGTCTGAATAATTTATTGCTTCTGAAGGTGGAATTGCTGGTGAAAGGTATACTGTATACTTCTATTTTTATAGTTTCTGGCATGCATTCCCAAATTCCCTATCTGGAGATTTGGCTAATTTATATTTCCACTAGCAGTGAATGAATGCACCTGTTTATAGAGATTTTGGTCTTTGATCCATGGTATTTTTTATTCCTTTTGTTTCTATCACTGTTAATTGTAAATTCACATTGTCTCAATGAGTCACTATCATGTACTCATCTACCCTACATCTTAGCAGGATGATTGCAATAATGTCCTGACTGGTCCCCAACTTCCAGTAATTTGCTCAGCATTATGGTGATACCAAATAACCAGATTGTCCATATGGGTGGCTGAGATAGTGAACCCATTGCTTTCTTTTGGTTCAATGTATACAAGCTTTGCTTCATGCACAAATTATTGAAAATATTGAATAAAATTATCTTCAAGCTATGTGCATAAAGTGTATATGAAACAAATAATTTTCATGTTTAGGCTTGAGTCCCATTCTAAGACAGTGATAATATGTATACAAATATTTCAAAATACAAAAAAAAATTAATCTGAAACACTTCTGGTTCCAAGCATTTTGGAAAAGGGATACTCAACCTGTTTATCCAAATAAGCCTATTGCTTAAGGAATAAAAATATAAAAGATTGAACTAATACTACATATTAACAGCATGTGAGCTGGGAATATGCTAAAGACAGTTAAAGTAGTCTCCAAATGAGAGTAAAAATATTGATTACATCATTTTAGAATTCATTAAATTTAAGTTGCATGTTTCAATTTCTAAGATACCAATTAAAATAAATGTGGGCAAATCATCTCTAAACCAGAGAGAAAAAAGGTGAACTAAAGAAAAACTTGATCTGAAAGTAAGCAAGAAAAAAAGAAAAGAAACATGGAAACCCAAAATATAACATTAGAAATAAATTCAAATACAGCTGTAATTACAATACATTTAAATGGATTGAGTTCACCAGTGGAAACAAATTTTAAAAATGCCATATTGGTTGGACTTTATTTTTTTTTTCTTTTTTTTTTTTTTTTTTTTATTGATCATTCTTGGGTGTTTCTCACAGAGGGGGATTTGGCAGGGTCATAGGACAATAGTGGAGGGAAGGTCAGCAGATAAACAAGTGAACAAAGGTCTCTGGTTTTCCTAGGCAGAGGACCCTGCAGCCTTCCGCAGTGTTTGTGTCCCTGGGTACTTGAGATTAGGGAGTGGTGATGACTCTTAACGAGCATGCTGCCTTCAAGCATCTGTTTAACAAAGCACATCTTGCACCACCCTTAATCCATTTAACCCTGAGTGGACACAGCACATGTTTCAGAGAGCACAGGGTTGGGGGTAAGGTCACAGATCAACAGGATCCCAAGGCCAAAGAATTTTTCTTAGTACAGAACAAAATGAAAAGTTTCCCATGTCTACCTCTTTCTACACAGACACGGCAACCATCCGATTTCTCAATCTTTTCCCCACCTTTCCCCCCTTTCTATTCCACAAAACCGCCATTGTCATCATGGCCCGTTCTCAATGAGCTGTTGGGTACACCTCCCAGACGGGGCGGCTGGCCGGGCAGAGGGGCTCCTCACTTCCCAGTAGGGGCGGCTGGGCAGAGGCGCCCCTCACCTCCCAGACGGGGCGGCTGGCCGGGCGGGGGGCTGACCCCCCCACCTCCCTCCCGGAAGGGACGGCTGGCCGGGCGGGGGGCTGACCCCCCCACCTCCCTCCCTGACGGGGCGGCTGGCCGGGCAGAGGGGCTCCTCACTTCCCAGTAGGGGTGGCTGGGCAGAGGCGCCCCTCACCTCCCAGACGGGGCGGCTGGCCGGGCGGGGGGCTGACCCCCCCACCTCCCTCCAGGACGGGGCGGCTGGCGGGGCAGAGATGCTCCTCACTTCCCAGATGGTGTGGTTGCCGGGCGGAGGGGCTCCTCATTTCTCAGATGGGGCGGCTGCTGGGCGGAGGGGCTCCTCACTTCTCAGATGGGGCGGTTGCCAGGCGGAGGGTCTCCTCACTTCTCAGACGGGGCGGCCGGGCAGAGACGCTCCTCACCTCCCAGACGGGGTCGCGGCCGGGCAGAGGCGCTCCTCACATCCCAGACGGGGCGGCGGGGCAGAGGCGCTGCCCACATCTCAGACGATGGGCGGCCGGGCAGAGACGCTCCTCACTTCCTAGATGGGATGGCGGCCAGGCAGAGACGCTCCTCACTTTCCAGACTGGGCAGCCAGGCAGAGGGGCTCCTCACGTCCCAGACGATGGGCGGCCAGGCAGAGACGCTCCTCACTTCCCAGACGGGGTGGCGGCCGGGCAGAGGCTGCACTCTCCGCGCTTTGGGAGGCCAAGGCAGGCGGCTGGGAGGTGGAGGTTGTAGCAAGCCGAGATCATGCCACTGCACTCCAGCCTGGGCACCATTGAGCACCGAGTGAACCAGACTCCGTCTGCAATCCCGGCACCTCGGGAGGCTGAGGCTGGTGGATCACTCGCGGTTAGGAGCCGGAGACCAGCCCGGCCAACACAGCGAAACCCCGTCTCCACCAAAAAAAATACGAAAACCAGTCAGGCGTGGCGGCGCGTGCCTGCAATCGCAGGCACTCGGCAGGCCGAGGCAGGAGAATCAGGCAGGGAGGTTGCAGTGAGCCGAGATGGCAGCAGTACAGTCCAGCTTCGACTCGGCATCAGAGGGAGACCGTGGAAAGAGAGGGAGAGGGAGACCGTGGGGAGAGGGGAGAGGGGAGAGGGGAGAGCTTGGTTGGACTTTAAAATCAAGCTATGTATTATTGGTAAGATATATCCTAAAATTTAATGAACCTTAAAGCTATTATAAAAGCATGATTTGTCATAAAGAGATTTACAACCTAATAAAAGTTTTAATTAACAAGGAAAATAAAATACCTAAAAATTTTATGCACTTAATAAGATAGCTACAAAACAGATAAGGTAAAAAAAAAAATTGAGAACATCACAAAAAGAAATGGAACAATCACCAACCACCAACATGGTGGGAGCATTTACATATATCTCTCAATAATGGATAAGTCAATCAAACCAGAAAGGACATGGAGCATTTAAAGAGCACAATTAACAAGCTTGATCTAAGGGGATTATATAGAACTTTAAACTGGTAATTAAGGAATACACATTCTGTTAAGTTAAATGCAGACAACTGATCATGTAATAGGCCATAATCCAGTCTCAACAAATTTTAAAAATATGTAATTTAATACAGAATATATCCTCAGATCAGAATGTAAGTAAATTAGAAATCATTGTGGATAAGATAAAATGTTGTATAATTTTATTTAAAAAATTATAAGACACATGTTAACTCATAAGTCAATTAAAAATACAATGGAAATAAATATGCATCTAAAATTGATATATACAGACTATATACAAAAGTTGTTAAATGTAAGTAAAACAGAATTTAAAGGGAAACATACAGTATAAATGCTTATATAAGAAGAAAGGTAGATAACTAATGTACTAATTGTGCAACTTAAGGAATTAGATTAAAGAACAGTAAACAGTAAAACTTTCTTTTTTAAGCCGTCACACAAGGTGAAGTGCTGTGGCACTATCATGGCTCAGTGCAGCCTCGACCTCCAGAGCTCAGTGGATCTTCTTACTTCAACCTCTGGAGTAGCTGGGACTACAGGCACACACCACCATGATCGGCTAATTTTTGTATTTTTTGTAGACACAGGTTTCACTGTTACCAAGGTTGGTCTCGAACTCCTGAGCCCAAGGGATCCTCCCACTTTGGCCTCCCAAAGTGCTAGGATTACAGACGTGAGCCACCATGCCCAGCCTAGTTTCTGAATATCTTCTCCCATTCTGTAGGCTCTCTGTTTACTCTGTTGATAGTTTCTTTTGCTGTGCAGAAGCTGTTTTTTTGTTTTTGTTTTTGTTTTTGTTTTAAGAGCAATGATCTATATTCATGTTCTGCTATCTGTTTTTTACAGTTTTTGAAATTAATCCTCAACCTCTAGACTTTTTATGAGAATTTAACTTTCTTGCATCAGAGTGATACCAGACTGTACTCTTGATAACTTTTAATGCAGGTTTTAATTATGTTATTGCATGCTTAATTTTCTTAGCTCACACAGCCAACTACTTTTGTGTTTTTAACTGTTTCTGAATCAGGTTCTCATTTATTCTCTATCCATTCTCTTAACTTTCTATCTTTCATTACTTTTAGAAGGATCTTGTAAGTGTGGAGCTGCCAAATAATGTTCCCACCTTACTGTCAGGTATCTGGGGCCCTTGGATCCTTGGATGCAGGTTATTTTAAATGTCTGAAATTACAACAGTGAAAATGAATCCAAGTGGAAGGTTTCTCCTCTCCCAGTGGTGCTCTTGCCTTCTGTGGAAGTCTTCCAGAATTCTCTGTGCTAACCTACTTCACCAAAAGGGAAAATTTCAAATTTGGCTCTCAGAGTTCTCATCAATCTATACCATCACGCACAAATTCCTGAAATGTTATGGCAAATTTACAGTATTTTCCCCTCATTCTATTATTTTTGTCATTACAGATGAGAATATAAGAGGAGGAACTAGAAGTCAGTGTTTAGGTAATCATTTTATCTGACAGTCCCTCAAATAGATTTTTTCAACTAAACATTTTAAAAATCAGGGAAGTGGTCAGGCACAGTATCTCACACCTATAATCCCAGCATTTTGAGAGGTCAAGGCGGGCGGATCACTTGAGACCAGGGGTTCCAGATCAGCCTGGGAAACAGAGTGAGACCCTATTTCTGAAAAAAAAAAAAAAAAAAAACTGGACATGGTGGCACATGCCTGTAGTCCCAGAGGTACTTGGGAGGCTGAGCAGGAGGATCACTTGAACCTAGGAAGTCCAGGCCGCAGTGAGCCTTGATCGCACCACTGCACTCCAGCTGGAGTGACAGAGCAAAATCCCCATCTCAATCAATCAATCAATCAATAAAAATAAAAAGAAGGAAAGTAACGCTAACTTTTCAGGGATTTCATGTGGCTAACACTGGTTTGTGTATCCTTGTAACACTAGCATCAAAGAAGCCAATGTCACTAGGAATTGGTTATTTTTAAGTATATCAGCCCTCCTTGGCTCAAGTCCTTACTCAGAAAATGTGGGATATCAGCCCATCTAAACAAGCTGACTCTCTCCCATTTGTCATGATGCTAACAAAAATGAGCCAAGCAAATATTTAGTAATAGTTGACAGGCAAGACTCCCTGATTTCACAGAGACAAGGGAGGTAACTTCCCCAAAGTCAAGTACAGACCTTGGCTATAGACTCTCCTCTTACAGGGCTCACTTTACTTCCTGTTACAAAGTTTTCAGGGGTAAGCCCCTTCTCACAGGATCAGCTCACCACCCTGCACTCAGCAGGACAGACAGCTGTGCTTGAGTTGTTTACAGTCCCATCAGGTAGGCTGACCTTACAACTAACTGACAGCCAGTGTTCTCTCCTGCAGAGTTGAGATTATCCTCATTCTTTACTTGAGTAATTATCCATGATTCCTTTCATTCAAACATTTTCCTCAAAATTCACAGAAGTTGCCCTTACCTGAGAGAAGCTCCAATTTCATTGGTTGTGTCAATCAATTTTAGGACCCAAAAAATACAAAAGGACAACTGTAAACTGCTCAAAATTATGTGACTTTTTCATCTCTAGGGTCAAGTACAGTGTCAGACTCTTTCTAAGTGCTCAATAAATATCAAGAGCTCACGTGATGACAGATGCTTTCTGTCATTATTTCTACATGACACAGTTAATTCCATTCTTAAAAGTTTTATCTCCTCAGTGCCCTTAATTGCAGTTTATAAGAGGATAGAATGTCCTTTCCATACAAGGCCTAACCTTGGTTATATGAAAACAACCAAGCCGTTTTAACTTTTCTTCAGTTTATTTCCATGAGGCACTCAAGAACATTTTGAAATTTAAGAGAAAAAAAAAAGATTATTTTGGCTCAAATGAAAATGCATTTAATTATTATTAACTAATTATAAAGTCAAAGGCTAATTGAAATCCTTTCTCCTAGCTTACATACAAGTTCTTTTAAAGCTAATATTAGAATTTTCATTGTAATGTAAACTGATGTTTATTTTCATGCAAATAAACTGCCTCACCATTAATGATGTTTTAAATTTCAACTTAAGATACTATCAGTGATGTTTGGATGGTAGAAAAAATTAGTTGCTGCATCATATTCCATGTATACAATATTTATTTCGTGCCAGCTTCAAACTGTAAAACTGGGTCAAGACAGAGACATAGGTTGTTAATAAATGTGGTATTTTTTAATAGGAACATATATTTACATGTTTACATATATTTATAAACATGTATATTTATATATAAACATGTATATTTATAATAAACATGTATATATATTGGTTCCTTAATATATCACAGCAGAGTGGCTTAAGTCCAGTGCCTTCATTCATAAGATTATTTACAAAAATTTACAAAAGGAATAGCTTCATATTTGTCAACACCAAATAATTCATCAAAATTCTAATCTTATAATATTCTAATTGTATTGTATATTTTATTTACATATTATATATACTGTGCAAAATATGGAAGATAATATGGATTGAGTCAATGTACCAGGGATGTACTAATAAATGTTTAAAAATCGGCTGGCTCTTAGTGGTGGTGGGGGGTCTGATGTGTATTATTTGTCAATTTTCATGGTGTAAATATTACTATATATTATATAAATTATATATTATATATTATATTATTAATAATATATTATTAAATTATATATAACTGTTATATATTATTATTTAACTGTATGTAAATATATTTATTTCATGGTATAATTTTTCCATATCTATCTTTCAGGCACGATTCTGAATACAAACACAATACCAACAGTTAGATGTATCTCACAATATTTATAATGGGACAAGTGAGCCTGAGGTCAACTTCCTCTGCTAGGAGGCAAAGTTGTCGGATGTGAGATGTTCCTGCAAATCATTCCACTGTCCCCTCTTCAGGTTCCTGAGTACTGGCAGGTACAGCTTTCTAATCCTAGGAAATCAGCTCCCTTCGAGTCTTAAACTTAGTAGTGCCCATAGCAACCATACGGAAGCATGAGGAAATTTTGGTGAATCAATTATCTCATGCTCTGGAAATTTTCCCTGGAGGGCCAGGATGGGATCCCCTCCTTTAGCCCTCCACACATTTTGTAGGCCTTTAATTTAAACCTTTTCTGCTTAAAATTTGCTACACAACTGGCTTTGTTGGCACCCATTTACAACTTTAATTTTTTTTTTAATTTCTGCATATCTGGTCGTGTTCTCTCCTCAATTCTCTTAAATATCAGCTCAAATATTACATTGTTATGAAATCTTCTTAGACAAATTTTTTTTTTCTTAAGCCGTATACCTCCTTGTCTGCGAACTCTCATAGGGGGCCCAGGTATGTACAAAGTGGTCTCACTTTAAAATGTAGACAAGTTCCATCAGGTTGGCAGGACAGGTTAGGTGTGCACAAGTGCACAGGTTAGGTGTGCACAGGTTAGGTGTGCACAAGTAACATATCTGCAAGAAGACAATAAGCACTTGGAAAGAAATTAACCAAAGATAAATACATATAGAAAAACAAAACTGGTTCAATAGCAATGCTCTCATTATCAGAGGGTCCAGGTGATTTTGATACAGTTTTCCTTTCCTATTCCTGAGGATTTATTTATGTCTAAATCCCAGGGAGATAGGGAGCTACTATTGGCAAGCAACAATAAATGACTGCTTCACTAAAATTCTGAATATTATTGGTATACACACCATAAAAGTAGAAACAATTTTCCATATTTGAGGTTGCATACCATAGCTATAGAGCCTGAAGACCACCAGCTTTCCCAGCTCACAAAGGGTCTTCACACAGCTAGCAGTTTCAGCTACAACGTCTCTTTGACACCACATTTTCAGTAGTTGGTCCAACAGCAAGTTTGGCAGACTCAGATAAACCCTGTGGTTATCAATCACTTTGCTACTTATAAGTTTGGAGGCACAGGATAAAAATTCCCATGGGGCCTATGAGAATGAAAAGAGACAACAAGTGGGAGGCACAAAATTAAAGCTTTTGATAACAACTAGTAGCCCAGATGAGTCACCTACCAGGATTTTTGAGCATGCATAATCAAATTGTTTCAGAGGAAAAAGAAAAAATGGCACATGGCTACTGTGGCTAAATCACCTTACTCTAAACATCTATGAGCACCATCTATGGACTCCTAGAAATAGCTGAAAAATAGTTTTCGTGATGGGGACTATAATAGAAATAATGTTCGTTATTAAAAATATGATTCTATATTTACTTATAGGTATGCAAAGATATGTATACATGTTATTTTCCTTACGTGATCTGGACTGTAAACTTCTTAAAGCTAATTTATGAATCCCACACAACACCTAGCACATTGCCTCATACATAAGTGAACAATATATGTGTTAGATAAATGAGTGCACTTTTCTTCTACATATTTTTCTTCACTACAAAACACATACGTACATACACAAACCCTGCGAACATTGTAAATCAAATTAATTCAAATTTCACTAATGTATAATTTACAATAATAGGTATACATAAAAATATTCTCCTGAAAAACACCCAAGTACTTTCAAACGTTTTTTCTTATTTATGAATCACAAGGCTTTTTGTAGATATTAAAAGTAGACATAGTAATTTTACATTCAAATGAAAATTTAGTATCAATAATTTAAATTAATTTTTCACTTTGTGTAGTTACTTCACTCGAAATAAAAGTAGAGAAAAAAATTAAATCCCACTTCATGGTAAGTTTTATGCTAATTTCTCTAAAATATGCTATATTTTTGAATGTCTACAATAACTCTGATTATGTTTTAAAAAACATTTAGAAGGGGTTAAATCTGCAATTTTTAAGTGTTTATATATGGATGTAGTAGGTCATTTTTCCTTTGGTAGAGGCAATTGGAGTTCCCTTTTCAAATATCAAAGTGAGTAAATACATAGGCAATTCCAATGAGTGTCTTTCAATATTCTGCTGATTTCAAAAGAAGCCAAGTGATGCCATATTATACCTTTATTTTCTCTAGAGAGAGCAGTCTGGTATAAAATATGTCTATCTTAAAGACAACATAATATTTTACAACTACAATTTCTAAAGGAAAACATGACAAAAATATGGCCTAAGGCAATACCATTATATGAACAATGTTTTAAGTCACAATAAAAACCCTATACTTCACCAAATTTGCATGCACTTCATATTTGCCAGTAACAGTAGCCATTTAATACTATGGGAAAATGTATACACCTACACACCCACACATACATTGCTCCTTAAAATTATATCCTGAGAAGTTCTTAAAAATAACACTCTCCAAAGAGGGAGTTTTGATGAGGTTTGAGTCAGAGTGACAGGAAAATCTGCTAATCTCCTATCAGGCAGAGTTAAATAGAAGTGTTATTAGAGATTTTGATGATTTTGGAGGCAAATTTAATAATGATATAAATCAAATGTTAAAATAATCCTCTGAGGAAATTTACTTCATTTGGGAGAAAAATAAAGTTTCACCAGTAACCATAGTGAGTTGATATTATTGCAGTTGTTTTTATAAGTTGTTGCCATGACTTTTTTGACTTTTGGGCTAGATTTTACTCAAATACAACAGATGGCAACGATTACTCTTCTGTAACTTTTTTTCCCTTGAATAACTAAACAGAGCACAATAAAATAAACAGGCTTATACCCCAGAGAGTTTTGTCTTGTTTCACATTTTATTAAAACTAAAAGTGAACAAAGCAACTAAAAACAAATAATAAAGTAAGCCCTTCATGTATCTCAAACTTCACCCAGATTTTAAAAATATTAAAATGTTCTCTTTTTCACTTTTTTCCTGGCTTCAACGGACTAAAACAAAATAGAACAAAGATATCGTAAGAAAGAAAGCTGCAACACTGACAGAATGTTGCTCAAATCAGAAGCAAATGTTTAACATTTATAAAGCTTCTCCACATGATACTTCTCCCTTGCTTCAAAATTTGAGTCATCAATTTAAATATAATTAAAATTTGGAAGAAAGATTCTTATCACAAAATTTTTATTTCAAACATTTTCAGATGTATTCCTTAGTATATGATATCTCTCCATATCCTATCTCTTCTCCTTTATAAAGACCTGAGTAATTTTCAGAATCCAAACTAACAGGTACAAGGAAAGTCAAGTTCTGATTACTCATCACAAGCCTATTTCAAATAAATTAATTCTATAAGATTATTTAATGAAAATCACATGCTTAATAGGAATATATGCTAATAAATAGAGCACTTAATTAGATGTTAGAGATTAGAGTCCCATTTCCCGGTGTTTAAAATAACATATGTCCTTGGGTGAATCATTTAAATTTTATCTATATTTTTTCATTCTGGTAAATGAAGGTAATACATCCTCTGACAAAATAGATTTATATATCATGCTGAGACGCTGATATAATTAGACAGGGACTTTAATGCATCATAATAATATAAATGTTAAAACTATTAGTCATCGTAATTTCATTGGCATAGATAATAGTCTTTCTTAAATAGTGTGTGGAATGGTTTCTAAAGTGCCAGGTTGCCTTTTGAGTGATCTCATCATGATTTCATTCTTTGGTCAAAAGCTTGAGAATTTGATGGAATAAAGTGTTCTGATTGAGCAATACCCAAAGTATTTGCCTATAAAATTTTTATTTTTAAAACAAATCCTGCAAAAATTTAGTAAAATGACCATTTAAAGATCAGAAAAACAATTCTTAGTGAGGGTTAAAAATCAAATCCTAATAATAATTATCTACACTAAACTATCAATTAATTGCTAAGTATTGCAAATTAGAGGCCACTGATCCTAACACAAAAAGACTAAAGTTTCTTAGTCATGATATGTTTCCTATGTGACTACGAGTGGGGAGGGCACAGAAGTGGGATAGGAAATACGTAGGTAATATTTGATGATTATTTTTAAAATTTGGAAAACTATAAAGACCAAAACAGAGACAATAATAAGCATGCATAATGCTTAGAAACAAACTGTTACATTTTTATTATATTCTTTCAAGGCATTTCATTATATGCATGTACAGAAAGTCCTCTATTTACATGTGTTTGCTTTCCTGGAAATGTATTTAAAAGTTAGAGGCCTAAAGTAATTGAATGTTTATATATTGCACTTAAGTATATCAAGTTATATTCCCAAAGAATGAAATTCACACACATACACGCACACCGCACACCTAATACAAAGCCAATTTGATATGGTTCAAATGTGCCCAGGTTTGTCTGGCAGGCAGACAAGAAGATCAGAGTCAGGGTCCTCCACCAGGAAGACCCTAATAGAACCCTACTGGCTGTGCCCACTTGACGAAAGCTGGCCTCATCTCTCCGTCAACCTTTCTGCAAGAGACACAGAATCAGAAGTTCCTCAGCCCCTCCCTGCCCAGATAACCTGAGTGCCTGGACAGGGCATTGGGGAAAAAAGGCTGTTCCTCCCTTTGCACACATGCGGTAGTCATGGGCTCCATGGAGATTCCTTAGCAAACCAGAAAGAAATCAGAAGAGCAGGGCACGGTAGTAAACTGAGCAGACAATTTGTCTGTTACACAGACATAGGACCTGCAGCACATGGACCAGCTGAAACACACTGTCAAGGCTGTAGCAACCTGCCCTTTCCTGTACTCTGCTATGTGATGTCTCTAAAGCATTCTGCAAAAGATATACATCTGTATACCTGTATGTGTGTGTGTGTGTGTGTGTGTGTGCAGTTATGTGTCGCTTAACAAAGTAGATATGTTCTGAGAGATGCGTCATGCTTAGGCAATCTCATCATTGTGTACTCACACAAACCTGGATGGTTTAGCCTATTCCACACCTACGCTACATTGCTCCTAGGTTACAAACCTGTACAGCATGTTACTGTATTGAATAATATAGGGAACAGCAACACAATGGTAAGTACTTGTGTGCCTAAACATAGCTAAACATGGAAAACATACCATGAAAAATGGTTTTGTAATCTTATGGGACCACCATCTTATATGCAGTTCATTGTTGAACAAAAAATCCTTATGTGGTGCATGACTGTATATACATGCATAAGTTTTCTTGTACCATTGAACTATATAAGCTTATTCTAAAAAAAAAATTGTTACCTTATGTTGCACATTGCATTGTTTTAAGTTACTCTCACTTACATTAAGAATTGTATCCTTGAATTATCATAGCATCCAGGGGAAGTTTTATTCCTACAGGTAATTTTTTAAAATCACATTAAAAGGAAACAAAGAGTCATTGGAGGAGGATGAAAGCACCCATTCAAATATTCCTGATGTAACATCCTAGTGCATGGAGGAATAGGATGGTTCCAGAATTATTTTTGGACGAATTGCATGGAAATATCTGGATGAGATTTGGGGTAGGAAATCCAGGTCGAGTTCAGGATTTTTCTAGTGCTTACTGGACATTAGATACTGGAAATGATACAAGTTCTCCTTTACTCAGTTTGCTTAGGATTTCCGGTGGATTAAAGCAATTATAAATCCATTCCTCACTAAATACTATTAAAATACATATGGGAGTAGAAGTTGTAGATGAAGACAAAAATAGGCCAGGAAAAATATGAAAAAAGATCAGGACACAAAGACTGAGGACAAGAAGTTCATAAATGAGGTCGGGAAAAAAGCAGCGTTGGGGGTGGGGGTGCAGTGGGCATCATTGCAACCTTAAATTGGAGGGAGAAAGGGTTTTAGGAAAGAGAGAGATAGTCAAATATCAGATGTCTCAGAGAGGCCAAGAAAGACAAAAAATATAGAAAACTGTCTGTTGTGCCTTTATCGAAGTAAAAAGAGAAGAAGTTGGCTCTCCATGGATGTGACAATCATATTCTTTTCAGAATCTTGATGGAGAAGGAAAAAGCAGCAATGGCATTTGTTAGCCAACTGACATCCATAGTTCCCCTCTGCATATTTGAACAAGGTCTAGTATCTTCACTTAATTAATTAGTCATTTCCTCCTTTATTCAAGGATTTCCTTGTAGAATTCACAGCTGTTCATACCCGAATGAATCTCCACTGTAAGAGTTATGTCGGCCGGGCGCGGTAGTTCACGCCTGTAATCCCAGCACTTTGGGAGGCCAGAGGCGGGCGGATCACGAGGTCAGGAAATCGAGACCATCCTGGCTAACACAGTGAAACCCCGTCTCTACTAAAAATACAAAAAATTAGCCGGGCATGGTGGCGGACGCCTGTAGTCCCAGCTACTCAGGAGGCTGAGGCAGGAGAATGGCGTGAACCCAGGAGGCGGAGCTTGCAGTAAGCCGAGATCGCGCCACTGCACTCCAGCCTGGGTAGACAGAGCGAGACTCCGTCCCAAAAAAAAAAAAAAAAAAAAAAGAATTCTGTCAATCGCACCCAAAGCCCTAAGTACACAAAGGACAATGGTAAAGTCCTCAAAGGTGTGTAACTTATTCATCTATGTAGCTCTAGAAACTGGTGTAGTACCAGACTCTTTTTGAGTGCTCAATAAATGCTTGGAGCACAACAGGATCATAAATCTTTTGTGTCACTAGCTGTGTTAGGAAACCTCAAGGAGGGACTTGGGTTTTGCACTGGGGAGTGGGTTTGTTTTGTTTTTATTTTAGTCAGATGGAAATTTAACTTGCTTATATACAAAGAAAAGAAAAGCAACAAAGAGGAGCATACAGAAGAACTAGGGTGATTACCAATGGATTGAAGTTCACTAAAGAGATGGCAGGGAATGGGATCCAGGACACAGGTGGAAGGGCAATTCTCTCCACCAAAGTGCATGTGATGGAGATAGGGACATATATATAGACATAGATAAATGTCTATGTGACTGTGAGTGGGGAGGGCACAGAAGTGGGATAGGAAGGAATTTGAAAGAGTTTCAGTCTCTGAAGAAATAAGTCAGGTTACCTGATGACTGTGAGAACAGGGAACGGCACTTTTGACTTGAGTTGGGCTGTGATGGTTTGGATTAGTTGTTGTGGGCTGTTTGTGATAAGTGCAAGAAAATGCTTTCTACATTATGAAGACTTACACAAAGTTAGATTTGTATTGCTATGTATGCACATCTGGTCAGATGATGAAATTTAAATTTGATTGTAATAAGAAACCAAGTTGTATTGCTGTAAATATATAAAGACCTCTAAATTCTACAAGAAAGAAAAAAACTACTAATAAAAAATTTGTAAAAAAAAATGTGAGAATACAAATCACAAAAGAAAAACAAGGAAATAAGTACTGGGCAAAATTCAACTTCAAGAGGATTCAAATAATATAAGTTAATGATGTCACCATTTTGCCATTCAAATAAAGTTGGGTTCTGTAAAAATTATTATACACCTAATATATGTTCAGCTAATAAAAGAAAGATTAAAAATAAAAATGCCCCAAAGAAAAAAAATTATATAATATCACTTAAAATTCCAACATCCAGGGATATTCACTGTTTATATTTTCCTGTATCTGCATTCTCATGTTTCACATGTACATACATATGTAAATTTGTATAAGCATTTGAAATACATATAATATATATTGTTCTAAAACTTGCTTATTTCACTTACTGTTCCATGAATATCTTTTCATGTTAATAAATATCCACACAATTATTGTTAATAGCTGTTTATCATCCCACACTATAAAAATAACAAAATTTATTTAAACAAACTTTTTCTTGATGTTCTGTTTACAATTTGTTTCTGTAGCAAAGGATTCATCAAGGAATAGTTTTCTACATGACATTTTTGTGCATCTGTATAATTAATTTCCTAAGGGAAAAATTCTTTAAAATGAAATTTCTGAGTCAAAGACTTCACCCATTAAACCTTTTGAAACCATTTTCCTCTAGAAAGACTGTGCCAATATTTGCTCCTAAGAGCTATGTCTGTGGTTCTTCATATCTCTCCACTCATGCCAACACTTGGTTTCATCCTTTAATCTTTGCCAAACTAATAAACAAAATATGCTGCTGCTTAATTCGCAATTTACATTTCTTTACATACAAGTGAGACTGTGATTTTTTTACTTTGTTAATGATGATGCGTATTTCTTCTTTTTAAAAATCAATATCCTTTCCCTACATAGAGTAAATACATTTAATAGTAATATTCAGTGCTGACATCATCTACTATTGGTAAAATTATAAGCTGATACAACTATTCTGGAAACATATTTGATAATACAATAAATGTAAACCAATAAAGTGACTTTTAATATGACAATGACAAATAAAAACAAACAAGCCCTTTAAAAAGTGGGCAAAAAACATGACCAGACACTTTTCACACATGCAGCCAAAAATCAAATGAAAAAAAAGCTCAGCATCACTGATTATTAGAGAAATGCAAATCAAAACCACAATGAGATACCATCTCACACCAGTCAGAATGTCTATCACTTAAAAGTCAAAAAATAACCAATGCTGGCAAGGTTGTGGAGAAAAAGGAATACTTACACACTATTGGTGAAGGTGTAAATTAGTTCAACCATTGTGGAAGACAATGTAGCAATTCCTCAAAGACCTAAAAACAAAAATTCCATTCCACCCAGCAATCCCATTACTGGGTATATACACAAAAGAATATACGTTGTTCTATTATAAAGACACATGCACACGTATGTTCATTGCAGCACTATTCACAATAAAAACAACATAGAATCAACCTAAATGCCCATCAATGATAGACTGGATAAAGAAAATGTGGTACATATACACCATGGAATACTATGCATCTATAAAAAAAGAATGAGATCATGTCTTTTGCAGGAAGATGAATGGAGCTGGAGGCCATTATCCTTAGCAAACCAATGCAGAAACAGAAAACCAAATACCACATGTTCTCACTTAAAATTGAGAGCTAAATAATAAGAACACATGGACACATGGAGGGGAACACCACACACTGGGGCCTATTGGAGGGTGAAGGGTAGAGGGTGGGACGAGGGAGAGGATATGAAAAAATAACTAACGGTTACTAGGCTTAATACCTGGGTGACAAAATAATCTGTACAACAAACCCCCATGACACAAGTTTACCTGTAAAACAAACCTGAACTTGTACCCCTGAACTTAAAGTTTAAAATAAATAAATAAATATGACAATGTTTAGGGATATTTCTGTAAAGCATCATATTTCTACAAATAAATGATTTGTGTTACAAAATGGTACATTGTTAGCAGCGTTCCTGGCACATAGTAGACATTCAATAAATATTTGTTAAATAAATAAATGAAAAAAATCAATGTTTAATCTTATTATTTAATTGGCTTCATAAAACAATAACTACTAGACAAAAAGTATGAAGGAATATATCATCTTACTTTGCAACAGTTCTTCTACCGCTTAGTAAACACAAGAACCAAGAGTTCGTGAAAAATGACCTTTTATTGTGGTATTAATTTTAATTTCTCTGACTAGTGAGCAGCTTATACATATTTTTATGTGTTTCTTAGTCTTACATATTTTGCATTTGATGAAATATCTGTCTTTAGCCCAGGTTTCTATTCATTTGTTTTTTCTTATTGATTTGTAGCACCATTTTATATGTTCCAGATACTAATAATTTATTATCAATATGTATGAAAAATATCATTTCCCAGTTAGTGGTTTATTTGTCTTATATTATGTCATGAGGAATTTTTAATTTTAATAAATCAAGATATATCAATAATTTTCTTTATGATTAGCAATTTTTGTATCGTCTTTAGGAAATCCTTTTCTATTCTCAGGCCAGAAAGATGTTTTCCTACACCTTATTCTAAAAGTTTAAGGTTTTTGTGTCAAATTTAAGTATTTAAGTAACCTGGATATGATATTTTAGTATGTTGTAGGCAGGGATCTAATTTTATTTGTTTTTCCATCTGTATACAAATAATCCCAGAACTCCTACTTACCCTACTGCTTCGAAATGTCACATTTGTGAATATATCAAAGTTTCACATGTGCTTTAGAACTCTCGATGCTGTTTCTTTTGTCATTATCATTCAGTTCAAAATATTTTTAGATTTCTATTAGAATTTCCCATGAGCTACTTATAAGGTGTTTTAATTTCCAAACTCATGCATTTTGAATTTTGCT
Organism: Homo sapiens; assembly: GCF_000001405.40. Classification (NCBI taxonomy): domain Eukaryota; kingdom Metazoa; phylum Chordata; class Mammalia; order Primates; family Hominidae; genus Homo; species Homo sapiens. The sequence goes on from NC_000006.12 coordinate 55,925,403, forward strand.
TTTTGCTTCTTGGATTTAAACTAAATTGCATTGTGATCAGAGAACACGCTATGTATGACTCAATTTCTCCTACACTCATTCCATTAGTCAGAATTACTCACACAGTTTTACCTAGATACAAGAGGTCTGGGAAAGTATTCTTCCTGTGTGCTGATGGGGAAATTTTAATGGATTAGTGGGCATATGGCACTATTCTGCCATATTCTAGGGCCCTGTTCTTAGATCAACCCCCTCAATTCCTTCAAATGTTTGCTCAAATTATTACCCTTTCAATGATACCCTGTTAATCCTATTTAAAATTCTTCTTCCTTTTTACTTTTTTATACCTAATACTTTTTACACATACCTATTTTTTTCTTTTTATAGAATTTTCTACCTTTAAAAATATTATACATTATATCTATTTCTCCTGTCTTTTGTCTTTCACTTCCCATAAGACTGCAAATTCCCTAACGGATTTGTTCACTGATATATTCCAAAGGACTAAAACATGCACATAGCAGGTGCTCAGTGAATATTTATTGAATTAATGAATGTAACTTCTAGTTTATTAGTTATTTCCTACCTGTGCCTCATATGTTATTCAACCTATTAATTCTTCAGCTTCAACATTTCATTATTGATTTCTAGATGCTTTCCTTGATTCTTTTTGAATTCTGCTGGCTATTTTATCATCTTTTTTCTCGGCATGTTTTTCTAGTGTATCTTTATTTCTTCAAAAAAATTTATAAATAGTCATTTTAGATTATTAAGCCTTTGAGGATCTTAATTATTGTTTTTGCTTACTCTCAATCATGGTAGTTTGTTTCATTTTATATTAAATGATTTTTAAATGTGAGCTTCTCTTGAGTAGAGTAGCTACACAGTCACATAACTGTAAAAAGACTGAATTTAGGGTTGAGAAAAGGATAATTGCCATTTGGAACCCACAAGGATAATGCTCCTACTTCTTGTTAGGAATTTTCCTAGGCCTGAAAGCTTGACAATTAAAGAATATAGTCATTGCCCTACCTTTGTTTCAACTGGAGAATCAACCTCAGCAGATATGTGAACTGACGTTATTATTGATGCTTATACCCTGGACTGTGTACAGGGTCCTCATGAGTTTTAGTACCCCGCCCATGTGTTCTCCAAACTGCATACAATTCTTCCTCCACTTTGGAACTGCATACAATTCTTAGGCCTGGTTCCTCTTGGTGAAGCCAATGCCTGCACGTCAACCTGCAATAATTACATTTTTCTTAAGTCTGTGAACAAGCCATATGAATTCAGGGTTTATGTCTCCAAATTTTCTCCCTGACTCTTAATTAAATTTGGGACATTTGACCTAGCACTGCCTGTTTAATCATTGCATTAAGGATATTTGCAAGTAGAGCTTTACAAGTGTTAGGGTCTTTCCAGTTTAAAGAAAGCAAATTTTCTTCAATGCACCATGCCTCAAAGACTTGTAAGGATTCCCTTTTGTATAGGTATTCTAGTTTGTACCCACAAAAGCCTGGTTGCTTTCCTGTTGCACTTTCAATGACTCCTTGACTTTTCTTAAGCTTGAAAAATCCCATTGCTATAAAAATCCACTAATCTACAGACACCAACCAAAGTAAAACTGTGTGCTACCTAGGATTCAAAGCCTTTTGCCCATGACTTAGCAGTAATAAATGCTCTATAACCACCAATGTTTTAAAAGCCTTGTTTATATATTGAAGTTCCAGACTCCAAATATTGGTTCTATGACAAAGCTTTATCACTCCATGTGTAATATATAACCCCAATTTGGGAGAAGGGGAAGCTCAAAATGAATGGGTCCTCTTGCAGGGACACTTGCTCCCGAAGAGGGAAGTGAGAGGAGCTGAACTGAGTGTGCCCAGGTTACTCCTTCCCAAATTTACCAGTCAGTTCAATAATTCACGTCTTCTGAACAGAATGAGGAAAAGGAAACAGAAGGTGAAAATGTGTAGAGTAACTACATTCCTTTAATAGGAAAGAAAACTTTAGGAGATAATGGAAATATACCAATTTAGTCTAGGAAAAGAGGTTCAAGGTAGGGAGCAAGAGATAATTTGGTATATTTTGTCATTCATATTATTATCCAACCCAGCTTCAGAGGAAAATCATTTTATTCAGCAAAGTGAGCTGTAGAAAGTGAAAATTGAGTCAAATGCAAATTTTATAACATTGGAGACATTTTTATGCTTTTTTTTATTTTACTTTAAGTTCTGGGATACATGTGCTGAACGTGCTTTTATTACGTAGGTGTGCATGTGCCATGGTGGTTTGCTGCACCTATCAACCCATCATCTAGGTTTTAAGCTCTGTATTTGTCCTAATGCTCTCACTCCCCTTTCCCCACCCCCATCCCCTGACAGGCCCTGGTGTGTGATGTTCCCCTCCCTGTGTCCATGTGTTCTCATTGTTCAACTCCCACTTATGAATGAGAACATGCGGTGTTTGGTTTTCTGTTCCTGTATTAGTTTGCTGAGGATGATGGTTTCCAGCTTCATCCATGTCCCTGCAAAGGACATGAACTCATCCTTTTTTATGGCTGCATAGTATTCCATGGTGTATATGTGCCACATTTTCTTTATCCAGCCTATCATTGATGGGCATTTGGGTTGGTTCCAAGTCTTTGCTATTGTAAATAGTGCTGCAATAAACGTATGTGTGCATGTGTCTTTATAGTAGAATGATTTATAATCCACTGGGTATATACCCAGTAATGGAATTGCTGGGTCAAATGGTATTTCTGGTTCTAGATCCCTGAGGAATCATCACACTGTCTTCCACAATGGTTGAACTAATTTACACTCCCACCAATAGTGTAAAAGCATTCCTATTTCTCCACATCCTCGCCAGCATCTGTTGTTTCCAGACTTTTTAATGATCACCATTCTAACTGACATTTTTAAAAATAGTCTCTGATTTATAAAAAGAGAATTTTCTTTTACCTCAGCAAAATCAGTATAGATAGAAAATTAGGTTAATATTTCTGTGACCTACATTATGTTTTATCCAAGATGATTAAATTATAATGTGCCTGACCACTATTAGTTGAAAGTCATGATTAGGGTAGTAAAAGCTTCCTTTGTCCCTGTGTCAAAGGACATCACATTTCCTAATTTCTCTTGCAGTTGTGTGTGCCTTGTGGCTCAATTCTAGAATATGAGTGGAAGTGACTTGCATCACTTTCAGGCCTGGGCCACAAAACCTCCCATACGTATCCTCCCTCCCCCAGTGTTCTTTTTCCTTGTGCTAGAAAAATGCCAAGGCAGGGGCTGCTGAGTTCAGGATACTGAAGGACTTGAAGGGATGCATTAGAGGTTCTCTAGGAGGAATTGGAACCATAATATGACCACACTAAGGTATGAGTAGAAATTTTCAGAGGCATGAAAATAAAGAAGAGTTGTGGAAATTCTGAGAGTCTCCTCTTGTGAAAGTGGTTTGTGATTTAAAAACTAGAAATTAATCAGTTTGGACTCATGACAGCATGCACACATTATGATAAGTCTTTTATTGTGCAGTATTGTGTAGTATGCCAAATTTACTAATACAGCAAGAGTTTAAATTTGCAAACTATAACCCAGATGTAAAAAAAAATGCACTTTTAAAATCTAAAAAGGATGTCATCCTGTTTCAAATTTCAATTTTTACTCAGTAGATAAAACAATCTTTCAAATACTTTCAAGGTAGCTTAGTTCTTTTAAGTTCAACAATCTCTTCTGGGTATTTGTAATTCAGATACTGTATTACATAAACTCATTGAGTTTTTAATTATTCCTGTTTTCATTCTTCCTGCTTCCCTCTCAAGGAAATCTATGGTCTCAGGAGTTTAAGCTATGCTTCCCTACAATCAAGCTTCATTCAATTAGTCACTGAGAAATTATCTGCCCCTATCTGCTGAGATGTGCTTGGTCCCACCTGGTTCATTTGATCTTTGTGCTAGCATCATCTGCTAAAGTCTACTGCCCCTCCATGGCACCAAGACACACTCTTCTACAGCCTTCTCAGACAATCTGGCTCCTTTAATCACTTGTATGTCAGGCAGCAGGGCACAGGGACCTTCTAGGTTACCTACACACAATGCCCAGGCTAATAAATATATACATATATATACACACACATACATATTCTGCCATATATATATTTATATGTATATATATACTGCCATATATATATACACACACACACATATACTCTGCCTTAACAATATTTTCCTAACCTACAATCCTCTCCAACCATATGGACCTTCTGATTTTTCTTGAAGACACCTGTCTTAGGGACTTTGCACATGCTTAGAGTTCACACTCTCACTTTAGTCAGGTTTCCGCTCAAATGTTAGTCCATCGGAGAACCACTTCCTGACCACACCTCATAAAATACAGCATTCCTTCACTCTCTACCTTGTCTCCTTTACCTTTCTTTATCTATCGTTACCTAACGTGGTAACTATTGATGTATCTGCATGCCACTTTACATGCTAGCATGTAAGCTCCATGAAGGCAGAAACATGATCTGTCTTTTCTTCTGAATTTCTAGTACCTAGGAAATTATAGGCACACACAAAATATTTGTTGAATACATGAACTAGAGTACATCTTCCTGTATATACTATATATCATATACACATATAGTCAAAGACTTCAAGAGCAATAAAATATATGGAAATAGTTGTAATGTGGTGAGATTATAGGTGGATTTTCTTCCTTTTTTTTTTTTTTTGAGAAGGAGTCTCAGTCTGTCACCAGACTGGAGTGCAGTGGCACGATCTGGGCTCACTGCAACCTTCTCCTCCTGGGTTCAAGTGATTCTCCTGCCTCAGTCTCCCGAGTAGCTGAGATTACCGGTGCATACCACAACGCCCAGCTAATTTTTGTATTTTTAGAGATGGGGTTTCACCATGTTGGCCAGGATGGTCTTGATCTCTTGACTTGGTGATCTGCCCGCTTCGGCCTCCCAAAGTGCTGGGATTACAGGTGTGAACCACCATGCCCAACCTCCATTACTTTTTAAACTATAAAGTTTAGAATTATTAATAATGATAATAGTATGCATTATAACTTGGGACTAACAGTACTTTCTCAGTCTTCAGAAGTGTTTTGTGAGGATAAAATAAGATAATACACATGAAGTTGTTCTGTAAGTTGTAAAGATTTTGATTAAGGGAAGATCCTGCATAAATGTAAAGTTATTTGGGCTAAGGACATATGGTAAATGTGAATTATTAAGATAATTAAAAGCTAATAAAGATATAAATTAAACTGAGTTGATAGGTCTCTGTGTAGTCCATATTATCTACCTGTTGGATTATCTTTCATTTTACTTTAATTATTAAGATATAAGCTTCATTAACATCTCCTTCCCTCCAAGTTTCTTCTGTTTCTTAATATGTCAGATAAACTTTTGAATTATTTCCTGGGTTATATATTCTCCAAACTACTTCTTTAAAATATGTTTCATATATAAAAGCAAGCCAGAAACAAATTTTGCTAAATATTATGAACTCCAAATTTAATTAAATTATACTGGAGAAGATAAGAAATCTCTTCAGATTATATGTAGGAGAAAAAAACCCACCTTTACAATTAATGACAAAGTAATGCTCAAAATATTAGTAATGATATTGACCTATAGCACACTGAAAAATGTAATAGATGAAAATATCAGATATTACAATACATTAGAGTGACAAAACACCTTACTTTGCTTCATATGTGGCTACCCAGGGAAGAAGCTATCCCTAAAGCTTGAATAACTTTTCTAAAATTTTCTGCAGTGTCACATCACCTTCACACTTCTTATTTTACATTAGATAAATATTTTTCTTTCTCCAGTTTTTCTATCTTTGAACACACTGGCCTCTTCCAAGAATACTTAACTAACAGCTGTAAAGTTCATTATAGTAACATTTATGGCTATGAATTCGAGCCCATAAAGCCAAGAAGCTTAAAAGTAGACTGTTATTCCGTAGAGATACAGGATTGTTCCTACAAAAAGGTGGATGAGTAGCACAGTCTCACAGGCAGATAATTTACGCAATGATCTGAGAAATTAACAGTGAATTTTTTTAGTATTACTTTTATAACAAATACCTAGTATTCCAGCTAGAGGCAATTAGACTAATCAACAATGGGCTTAGCAAAATGCCAATTAGTGTGATAAAACGCACTTGGTGGAAAAGCACACTTCCCACCACTTCTCCAGAACCTCTTCCTCCAAGCCAAACAGCAAACCTTGATTTCATGTATTTGGATCTAACATTATTCACCAAATGATTGATTTACTTTTTTATGTATATTTTCTCTTTATGAAGTTAATAGATGTCTATTTTACAAAATGTAAACAATACAAAAAGTATCTAGGAAAAAACAACAACCACCTACCAAAGCATCACTATTCGAAGACATTCACCAACATTTTGGTACACATTCTTCCAGAATTCTATGTGTACAAATAATTATAGACGTATATCATTTCACATAAACAATTTTATTTTATACATGTTATTTTTATTCTGCTTTTTCAATTCAATATGTTATATGTGTATGAATACGGATATACATCATACTAAGAGTTAGATAGTACTCCATTATATAAACCAGCAGGGGTGAAAAATTCATATGCCTACATTACTTAGAAAGGCAAGTACCCCATTATTACATTTTTTTTCAATAATTTTCTTGAGTCTTATATTTTTTTCTTTCAAATAAACTATGGAAACATTTTATCAAATGGAAACATTAGCATTTTGATGGAATTATGTTGAATTATAGACTAATTTAGGAAGCGTTCATATCATAGAGGCTTTCCATCCAAGCACAAGATATATCTTCCCATTTATTAAGTCATCCTTTACACACTTCCATATAATATTTTTTGGTAAATTATCCTAAGGGATTTTATTGTCATTGTTTTGTTTTACTTTGTTTTATAATTTTGTTGTTGCTATTGTAAAAAGTGATACTTTTCCTGTTACATTTCCCAAGATAGTATAGATATAGATGTAGATATTATATATGAGCTAGACCGTATGCATTTGTCCCTTGCTAACCATCTTACAGAACTCTCTTGTTCCAACAGTACAGCACTGATGTGAAGACATTGTTCTGAGTCAGACAAGAAACCATGGGCTTGAGATTGGCTCTGACAGAATGCCTTGTGTTCTCCGTGAAGCCTCAAGTATATATTCAAGTTCCAATTCTCTTAGCTATAAAATTATGATTTTAATGGAATCTACCTCATAAGGATATTAGGAGGATTAAATTTGATAAAATATGCAGTGTAATTTTCACAGTGATTTTAAGTGCTCGATAAATGTTAGTATAATAAGTAGTGATTCTAATAATTTTTTATGATTCTTATGGAATATAGTCACAAAATGAAACCTGGTATATCATTTGCAATTTATAATCTGCTATTTTTGTTTAAATACATTTGAGTAATATTAACTGATAGTAGTGAAAATGAGCATTTTAACTTGTTCCTGATAGTATTGGAACAGCTTCAAGTTTTTCACCATCATACACAGTGCTGCTGATTGTTTTAAGATTTATATTTTTAAAATCATATAAATAATGTATATATACTTTCACAAATTTTTTTTCTTTGTCGGGAATGTATATTTATTTTATAATCCTTTAATATCTATTAACTTGATCATTTTTTCCTCCTCCAGATTATAATTATGGCAAATTAGTATTGTTATATGTTTTGATTTGCTTAATATTTCACATTTTGAAATAAATAGTAGTAAATACCGATAATTGCAATTAGTCTGTGGTTTTATTTTTCTGTGCTGTGTTACAAATGTTGTATTTGTAAAAAAAAAAAAAATACATACATTTGACAAATTTTGTAGGGGGTGGCTCTGGAACAGTTGAAACCATATAGAAATGTTTCATGCTTCTAGGTTTTCCTGTTAAAACTATCCAGACCTGGCACTAGTTTCTGTGATGATTATTTAACAAAATTTCTAGTTTCTTCCATGGTTCTTTATTTAGATTTTATATTTCTACTCTAGTAAACTTAGTTTTACCTGTGTTGTCTGTATTTTCCTAGAAGAGTGTCCATTTCTTCTAAATTTTCAAGTTTGTTAGCATGAAATTTTACTTACTATTCTTTAATTATCTTAATTTCCTCTTTATCAGTGATTGCTTCTCTTTTCTCATCTCTAATTTGCTTAGTGTTTTTTTCTTCCCCTATCCTATCTGTCTTTACATACAGAGCATTGAACCACCTAATGAACAAAGACTTCAACAAATGCAACTTTTTCAAGTGCCAATGCTCTAAAAAAGCCAACAGCCAACACATGACATTAGACTTCAATAAAAATACTTCTATGTAGTACTAAATTCAGGACCACTTTTTCAAAGAACAGGCTTCAAAGTTGAAGGGCTCTGATTCAAGTTCTTGGCTCTGGCAGTTATTGTTATATAACACAGGGTAAGTTAAGTAACCTCTCTAAGCCTCAATTTTCTTTTTTTATAAGTTTAGGATAGCAATATACTTATCTAATACAGCTGCTGTTCGATTTAACCTAAAAAATTCATAAAAGGTGATTAGCACATTGCCTGAACATAACAGGCAGGGAATGAATTTTAACTTCTATTTTTATAATAACTGTGATTATTTTTTCTTCTGATGATAACTAACTTGCCACAGTGGTAGGAGTGGAGAGGACTTTTCTTCCCAAATGCCAATTTTTTAACTAAAAGAATCAAGTGTGAACCATAATAACATGGTAGAAAATTACAAAAGCTCCTTTATGAGAGAACTGCTATGTAACCTCATACCTATGTGGCTCTGAGTAAGTTACTTATACCTGATGAATTTAATTCCTTATATGTAAAATAATGGAGCTAATATAAGAGGTTCAAAATTCTGGAAATATAGTAGATTCTCAAGAAAGGTTAATTTCCTTCTTTTAGGTGCACCATATGAATGAAAACACTCTCATCCTTAAAGAATTGGAGACGGGGGCCGGGCGCAGACCGGGGCCGGGAGCGGTGGCTCACGCCTGTAATCCCAGCACTTTGGGAGGCCGAGGCAGGCAGATCACGAGGTCAGGAGATGGAGACCATCCTGGCTAAAACGGTGAAACCCCGTCTGTACTAAAAACACACACAAAAAAATTAGCTAGGCGTGGTGGCAGGTGCCTGTAGTCCCACGTACTCGGGAGGCTGAGGCAGAAGAATGGCGTGAATCCAGGAGGCGGAGCTTGCAGTGAGCTGAGATTGTTCCACTGCACTCCAGCCTGGGTGACAGAGCAAGACTCTATCTCAAAAAAAAAAAAAAAATGAGTTGGGGACCGGGCAGAAGCAGAATGGGCTTGTTCAGAATTACCTTCTGCTAAGTTTCTCAACTGTGAATCAAAGGAAAGTGTCTAGTTCAATCCAGTCACAAGAACATTTGATAAAACCAAGTTTCTGATGCTAGGAAGGAAGTCTGCAGTGGCAAGACACCAAGGCTCACACTGCAAATGTCAAAAGGCACTCACTCCATTTCAGCCTGGACCTGCTAGAAGCATCTTTACATCAGACCTCTACTAACATCCTTGGTCACTGTCACACTCTCACCTCTCTGACCATGTTTCATCTTCTGGTACTATCATGTCTACACTGCTATGCTACTTCAAAAATCCATTTTCCCACTGTTACCTTCACAATCAATGATTTCTGTTGACCTGAGATCTTCATTCTATTTATTTAAACCAAGCTCACCTTCATTCACCTTTCCCTGCATGCTCTCTGCACCTGCATTCTTTAAGTAAAACCTGGCTCTCCTCAGAGATCAACTTTCTGCCACAGCCTTCTCAGTTGGTGACCTCTCTTCGGCACCCTAGTTCTTTGCCCCTTCATGTTCATGTACAAAATTGCTCTTCTGAATTTTATGGCTGTTATCCTGACTTGACTATGTTCGTTCCCATATTCACTGAATATCTTGACAGAAGCGCACAGTATCCCTCCTCATCTGCCAAATGGAAAGTGTAGCCACACTGTAGATGTAGACGCTCCAAAGCCCTTTGTCTTCAGCTTGTTATCATCTCACTCCACACCATTTACCTGCATGCTACATGTAATCCCATGTCTCCAACTATCATCTATATCCTCATGGTCCCTTAATCTATTTCTATATTCCACATAGTTTGGGCTCCAGACTCTATAGATATATTCTACAGGCAGCTCACATTCAAAGCCTGAGATATGAATTTAAGCCATCTCCATACCTTTATCCACTTATCTCAGTGACTGGGTTTACTACCTGTAGTTTCCCCAGTCTAATCAGCAAATGTCATCCTGATGGATTCCCTCTTTCTTCACTTTCCAAATCTAAGCAGCCACCAAGTTCTGAGAACTGCACTTCTCAATTCTATCCACGTCACTCACCCCACTGACACTGCCTTAGCCTAGGCTTCAATTTCTCATAAACATTGCTAAAATGTCCTTTCAACTAGCCTCCTTACTTCCAATCTTAGATCCTTCAAATCTATTCCCCACAGTGCTAGGAAGATGCAATCTAGAACTCAAATCAAGTGATGCCATTTTTCTGCCTTAAATTTTAATGACTCTTCAAAGTTTCTGAAAAAAGTTCAAGCTCCTTAGCATGGACTAAAAAGGCCTTTACTAACTGGCCCTCCTTCATATCTCACCAGACTCATTCACTTCATTGATCTGTTTATGTCTTCCCAATATGTCAAGCGCCTCACCTCTAGATTATTCAACATGCCAACTAACATTGCTCTAGACCATGTCTTCCAACTCCTCCATCCCTTAACAGTCTATCTCTCCCACCCAAATCTGGCCAATTCATCTTTCAGTCTGCAGGATGAATCAGTTTTTATCCTTCTCAGGAAGCTTTGCCCAAGGCTCTCCACATGCTCATCTAGAATGTTGCCCCAGTTTGGGTTAAATGCCTCTCATGATAGCTCACCTAAAACTCTGTGCCACATCCTGGGATGGCAGTAACCAGGCTCTATTGAAATCGATTGTTTACTTAACTGTGCCACAAACTCAGTCCCCTCAGTCAGCCTAAACTGTCAGTTGATTGAAGTTAGAAGCTTTGGCTTTACTCATGTCTAAAATCCTAGTGTAATGCTTTAAATTGGGTACATAAACATTTGACAAATAAAAGGAAAAAGAGAAGAAAATGGGAGGACGAGGGAAGGAAGGAGGAGGGGCAAAGGAGGGAAGGAAGCTGGCTCTCTGGAGCAACTGAGGTATGGAGATAATCCCCATAGTTCCTACAAACATATCATACTTATACAGGTCTTGATTAAAATTATCAGGAAAGATCAGGCACACCATAAATATTTACGATAGAACAAAAAAATCTAGCAGGATTTTTTGGTAGGTTTTTAAATTTGATACATTTTTGATAAATTACCAGGATGGTTAATTATAGGTGGGAACTTTATCTGGTAAGCAAGGCTGGCTGTCACTTTTCCCATATGATAAATGGTTCAATATATGATAAATATGACTCCAATATGATTTCTTATGTATATCATAGTATTCAGACTTAATTCTTACAACCATACAAGGCAGACACACTATATTTATACCCATTTTATAGAGGAGAAACCTGAGGCAAGATAAGATGACATAACCTGCCCAAGATCACACTGACAGGACAAGAGTTTGAACCTAGATAGTCTGATTCTTTTTTTTTTTCTGAGACATGATCTCACTCTGTCACCCAGGCTGAAGTGCAGTAGTGCTGTCACAACTCACTAGAGTCTCAACCTCCCATGCTCAAGCAATCCTCCCATTTTAGCCTCCTAAGTAGCTGGTGAGATCAACAGGCATATGCCGCCACAGCCAGTTAATTTTTTGGATTTATAGTAGAGATAGTGTCTCACTATGCTGCCCAGATTGGTCTCAAACCCTTCGGCCCAAGATATCCTCCCACCTCGATGTCCCAAAGTGCTGGGAATACAGGCATGAGCCACCATGCCCAGCCAACAGCCTGATGCTTCAGCTCATACTCCTATTATGCAACACTGCCTATATGTCTCTTTTTAAATTACATTCATCCATGTTGCATCACTTTCCGTTACTGAATTTAGCAACTCTTCGTAGAAGAAACAAAAAATGACATACACACACACAATCAGCTTACAATTCAGAGGGTGGTATAGGCATTTTTAATGTTTAGAGCAGCTAGGAGTTAAGATAAGGAGTGTCCAAGAATTATGGCCGAAGTATTCAACTGAGAGTTGGGGTTGGGCCTCTTACTTTCCTACCAGGTAACATCCTAAATATGTATTATTATTTAGAGCTACTCAAGAGCTGGACTCAAATGAATGCTTCCCTCCTTGCTCTTCCCTGGTTATGAGCCAAGGCATAAGACATCATTACTCTTAGAAAGCCAACAATCATAGACAGTTTTTTCTAACAGCTACTCCAGCTTCTAAGATTCTACATTAATTTTACTTTAGTTTGTCTCTTTCTGTGTTGCTACAGATGATCAAGAGGTACTATTTCAAAGAAATGGCACTTGACCAATTCTTTCCCTCTGAATACAAGAAGGCTCATCCAATTTTTCTAGACCCATATTTAATAGCTGATTAAATGGAAGATGATCCATTTTTATAGCTGATTTGTAAAATCTGTATTGCATTAATAAGTTGCCTTTAAATAGTCTTTCTATAGTTAATGGAAGATACTGTATTCCTCAAACATTTGCTGATGTGCTACAGATTTTGGAGATCATAAAGCACTTACAGTTTCCCAGAATCTTCTTACTCAACCCAGTGGCTCAGTCAGTATAAACTCTACCAACTCCCTGACCCCCTAAAAATTCTAGTAGCATCATACATAGTTTACTGCATAGAAAAATTATTTGGGAAAACATTGAAAAGCTGAAAACAGATATTTAAAAATAAACACACAGTTAAGTAAACATTAAACATACGAACAGATTAACAACAAAATCAATTTTAACTTTAAATGTCATATGGTAAGCATTAAATAATTTTGTTAGCCTTCTTTTCAGTACACTATTTTTCTTTTTTCTAAATTACCCTTTGGTTTTCCGAAGATTTGGACTTCTTTCCCTCCTTGTATATGTACTCTTATAAGGAGCCTGTGGAGACTCATAAAAACGTTTTCTTATATCCCAGATGGCTCTCTTCTTTTGATTTTCATTTTTTTTAGAGGCAGTACTACTTAATAGCTGATGGTTAGCAGCTCTTCTACTGAGTGGGCTGTTTTTGGTGCTTAGCAGGGAATGCAACTCTCCACGGAACCATGCTTAAAGAAAAACACAATAGCTACCTATTCATATTATAGAAGCCAACTCCCTATTAGCAAAAGTTGGAAGAGTTCTTTTTAATGAACATCCACAAAACGTTTAAATTGAGTACACATACAGCTATATACACACACATACTTTAATTCATGACATTGATTAGGTTTGTCAATACTTTTTTATACATGGAAAATTTAAGAAATAAATTTTAAACTGTGAATTAAAACGGGACCAGATTTTAGAAAAAAAAAAACAAAAACAAAAAAACCCGGTATTTCCAAGCACCTGAATCCAGGCCTGGGCAACCACAGTTTCAATGGTCCAAATCCCCTTTAACATAGCAACAGGACAGGTCTGGTTGACAAGATTCCTATCCCAGGACACATCACACAGCCAGTCTCATTAACCTGTGTGTGTATTTTTTTTTACTTTATTAAAATTACGAGTTTATTTCATATGTGCATTTCCGTGTCCCACCATTTCCATGTCTGACCTCTATTACTGCCCTATCCTAATATTCCACACAAACTTAAAACCAAAGGATGGAGTTCCATCTTTAAAAACTAAACAGGCATTTTGGACAACATATTCTTAGCAGCAGAACCTGGACAACATTTAACAAACATGGTGGGGAATGTTCTTATTTTGCATTACAAAAAGGACAGCCAGATATCAACTGTTACAAAAATGAAATAAGAGAGAAAATTTTTAACAGCCCATCAATGATAGATGGGATAAAGAAAATGTGGTTCATGTACATAATGGAATACTATGCACCCATAAAAAACAAGAGTATGTCCTTTGCAGGGACATAGATGGAGCTGGGGACCATTATCCCTAGCAAACTAATGCAGGAACAGAAAACCAAATACCGCATATTCTCACTTATAAGGGGGAGCTAAATGATGAGAACACATGGACACATGGAGGGGAACATACACTGGGGCCTATTGGAATGGAAGGTGAGAGGAGGGAGAGGATCAAGAGAAATAATTAATGGGTACTAGACTTAATACCTGGTGGCGAAATAATCTGTACAACAAATCCCCATGACACCAATTTACCAATGTAACAAAACTGCACATCCTGTACATGTACCCCTAAACTTAAAGAAAAGTTTTTAGAAAACTGTTTAAACTGCTTTCTTAAAGAGACTTCCTCCACTGCCAGAGATCTTGAATAGTCTTCTGATCAGTCACCTGGAAGCAATTTTTCACATAATTGATGAACTTGGCTTCCACTTTGGGAAGAAAATCATCTTTTCCTATTCTTGCTTGCATTTTTGCTTTAATATCTTCTACAGAACTAGGTCTTTCTGGTGTTTTACAAGTTTTTTCCTCGTTTTTTGAATGATTCTTGACCTTTTGATCTTAGCTTTGATGGTTTTGAGTCCTTCCATTCTGATTTGACTTTTGTGCATTTTTGGCTGGAATATCTTCTACAGATTTCTTCACTGAATCTTTTTCTTCAGTTTCCTCATCATCAAAATCATCATCTTCATTATCATCATCATCATCTTCAGCAGCATCAAGTTTTACTTTTTTCTGTGGAAGGCTGCTACCACCTCCAGGGGAAGATTGCTTTCCAGATATAGTTAGGAGTTTTACATTGTCCTCCACTTCCTGATTCTGCATCTTCCTCCTCAGCTACTAATATGCACGGGCCCTGAACCACACTTCAACTGTAAGACCATGGGTGGTGTTATTTCAAAGCCCCCAAGGGAAACTGTTGGCTGTACAGGCATTTTCAAAGTTGCCAGTGTTACTTAATTCGACTGCCTTCATAACTCTCTGCCTCTACTTCAACAATGCACAATTCATCTTTTCCACAGGGCCCTAAACTTACCATTCTTAAAGATAACTGGTAATCATTTTCACCATTATCCACCTTAAAGTGATCATCTTTGCCGGCCTTTAGTTCACAACCAAAAAGATAATTCTGAGGCCTCAGGGGGCTCATTGCCATGTCCATTGAATCTTCCATGGGGTGGTGGCACTCACTTAGGTGGGAGAGAAGGTGGACAGAGATAAACAACTACTGCTCCAGAGAACAGCTCCTCAGGACAGAATCACACCAGGGCTTAACCTGTTTTTTTCAATAAGCTACCCACTAATCATCTGTAGATGGCAATATAGTTAAGCTGTCTGTTATGGTTATGGACTGAGCTGTATCCCTCCAAAATTCATATGCTAAGGTCCTAACCCCAGAACATCAGAACGTTACCGCTTTTGGAGCTAGAATCTTTAAAAAGGTAATTTAGGTAAAATGATGTCATATGAGTGGGTCCTAATCTGATTGGTGTCCCTGTAGGAAGATGTTAGGACACAAATACCAAACATGCACAGAGGGAAGACCATGTGAAGCTATAGGGAAAAAGGCCATCTATAAGCTAAGGAGAGAGGCCTCAGAAGACATCAAAAGTATTAACACCTTGATCTCACACTTATAGCCTCCAAAACTATGAAAAAAATAAATTTCTGTTGTTTAAGGCACCCAATCTATTGTATTTTCTTATGGCAGCCCTGGCGAAATAATACAGACACATGTCTGGTTCACCAGATTCCTATCTCAGGGGACATCACGTAACCAGTCTCATTAACTTAATTTCCTTAATCACCTAGATGGCTAATTATCTATACTTGACAATACATTTAAGCTGACCTTGAACACATAGCATACTTGCAGCTTCAGACAAAGGGACTAATTGTATAAGAGGAATCAGCAAAATATTTTTAAGGTCAAGAACTAATCTCTGTTCACCAGTTAAAAATTTCTTAACATAACCCTAGTTACTCAAACGAGGGATAAAGAAAAAGCCATTCATTCTACTTTCAATGAGAATATTGTCAATATTGTCAACAGGAATATGGGCAACATTTTCATTTTAATCTAGGTTTTTCTATTTCTTACAGATTAATTGTCCTTTAGTCTTGGTATATACACAAGTGACTTGTGTGGGAATCTCTTGTCTTACAGCCTTCTAATATTGCATGGGTATACTGCAGTCCCCTCAGTAACAACTAATACAATCGTTCAAATGATGATTCTATATTTGAAATGGAAAGTTCAACTCTTATATTATGGAGAAGATATTTTCAGCATCTCAGAGGATGGCAAATGTTTTGGCACTGTAAAGCAAAATCCACCTCACTCACTCCCATATAATTGCTTAGTGTAACCTATTATGAAAAGAAAATGTATAAGCTCATAAATACTTTGGAAATTCATTGTGAAAAGTGGTTCAGTGAATCTTGAGAGACCCCTATTGACTTTTTTAGGTATTATGAGAAATTCACCAGTGTTTAAGATACGCTGTCTGCATTCCCTTGTGCTTGCGAGCATTTGGGTAAGTTAAGGGTGCTTGCAATTGGGGTAATGTCTTACTTATCTTTGTTTCCCAGAGCCTACTACATAGCCCATTACCATTAGAAATTCAGTAACATTCATTTAATAAAATTAAATTATGTTGGTTAGAAGTGAATTACTTACAATTAAGAGGCTCCACATTGAGGCTAGGTTCAATGTACGAGAATTTATAGAAAAGAAACGGAGACTTTTCACAGTTCCAACAGCAGAAATAGAGTGGGCTGTCAGGTTCAACTGAAACCTGGGAACCGAATGCTGCCAAGGTTCTTCCTCCATCTCTCTTCTTGTCACATTTCTTTCATTTATACACTCTCTGTCCATTTCTCTAGTTCATACAAAAGAATACATGACTGCTAGCAGAAACCAAGTTTTAAATGCTGCAGTTTTTCACCATGTATAGAAAGCCTGCTTTGATTAGTCCCCAGTCCAGATTCTTTATTGGGTTTTAAGCAGAGGAGACAGCTGCAAGTCTTAGAAGAAAACAATAAACAGATATTTCCATTAGAGTCTACAATATAAACGAGAGAATGAATAAATGAAGGAATGAACAAACACATTAATAGTTTTCTGGCACCAGAATATTAAAAGAGCACTGAGAAGACAAGAGTATATGAAAGGACTAATTTATAAATTACTCTGCTGATTCTGTAAGTCAGATGACCGTGAGGTGTTAATATATTCAATTAATATGACAAATATATATTTCCAATATGGTAAAAAAAAAGGTTGTTAGCAAGGGAAAATGAAAGAAAGATTAAATAAACCAAAATCCCATTCATAAATAGAAATATTTTATGATGAAGCTGGATTTTATAAAAATCCTTAAAGTGTGAACATGACTTTTGCCTTTTAAAAACTAAGTGACAATTCAAAATTTATATAAAATATGAGTAAGTTTGAATACAATATTGGAATACTGGAAAACAAAGCAAAAATGTCTTTAAAAGGTTCAAAAATTGATTTTTTAAAATTTGTTGTTGTTGTTTTGGGGCATCTGGTAAATTTACTTTTGTTTCAGATGCATTGTCACTGTTTTCCCAAAAGCAGACTTAGCCAGATTGGATATGGATTTAATGTTTTTGTTTTTGTTTTTGTTTTCGTTTTTCACAGGATTCTTTCCTCTGTCACAAAACTTTGAAGCATACATTCTGGAGGTTTTATGAAGAATTAAAATAATATTTAAACACCATCCTATACTCTTGCCACATAGTAGTTTCTCAGTAAATATTTGTTAAAGGCATAACTCTCCTCTGCTTATTTTTTTTAATTCTCTGGCAGCAGATAGCACAGTTTTTGGACAATTTCTGAAGTGGATGAAGTGGATGACTAGTGAAGTTTAAAGAATGGAGAATGAGAGGAATTATATGATTTTAGAATTTCTCTGTTAAAATTCTTAACGGTTATGTGGGAGATATTTGGTTTGTACTTTAGATAAAATTAGGTGTTCTGGGAAGTGTTGGCCTCATAGAATTGAGATCTTCCAAGCTTGAATGTTTCTAGAGCAATTTAGTGACTCACTGACATTCTTGTGCACCACCGGGAACTAACAAATGTTCAAGTCATAGAATTGTGTTAACAGAGAAGAAATCATCAGAAAATTTCAGAAAATAGTTCAGTTTTTCAAAATATCAGATAGCGTGATAATATTCAGGAGTTTCTAGAAAAGTATGTAAATATAAATAATATATATATATATATATATGTAGATACACCTAAGATAGTGAAATAACTACTGGGAAACTTCCAAACACCAATGTGCAAACTCATCCTAATGAAATGTAAATGATATTCTGTCAGATTGACAAGAAGACTACCATCCCTTAGTCTGCTTTCCCCATTGTCCCTGTATATTCCTAGAGTTGAAGGTGACAGGTTGAAAATAACATCCCCACTGCCTCTTCATGTCTCTTGGAGTTCTTGTTTGGAACTTTTATTTCTCTTCCTCATCTTCCACACAATGGTCCTTTCAACCAAATAATCTCTCATTTATCCTAGTAAAATCCTGGATTATGATTTGCATTTTTCTTGTTTTTACTGAATACTAGGATTCAGGTATTACAAATCTTCCTAGTTTATCCTGTATAGTGGAAGTATTGTTAATAAAAGGCATGATGTGTTTATGTAGAGATAGATTTCATTCTGTTTCCTTTCTCAATTTCATCTAGAAACTGCACGTTTAATCACCCTTTTCTGACCAAAACTTACATTTACGTGGTTCTACCAACACAATTCAATGCAGGATTTAGGTTTAAAGAGCCTACATTATAAATTTCAGTTCTCAGTTTCCAAATCCCATGAACCATCCAAATAAACTTTAGATGATTTGTTGAACTATTCTCTTTCAGCATTTATTTAAAATACACAATAACTGTTGTGCTATACTTGATTGATGGCCAATTATATGTTCTAAATTATAAATCTGGCGTAGTTATCGAGCAGTTGATTTTACTTATAAAATGGAGTATATTTTTTTTATTTTGTTCAACGCTTTCTAGGGGGTTTACGTTTGAGTTATATTATCCAATTGCACATTACTACTGAGAATACTACTAGCCTGTTAAATTCCTATTAAGCAATCAAAGATGAACTTGCTACTGAAACTCATCTTAAACTTTGAGTTTCAACAGACATTACTAATTATTCTTTTCAATTTTGCAGTCTCTAAATATGTCATTGATTTATTTTTATTCAAAGGGGATTTTGAACTATTTTCATTCCACTCACCATGTCCATTCAATACCTACAATATTGTAATGATAATTTAATAGGCCTAGGATATTATTTTTACTTACACTGCTTTTCTATCTAAGCATAAGAATTCAGAGACTTGATTTATTTCATACTATATTTTAAGCGCTTTAATAAGTCAGCCTTATTTAATTTTTTTACTTCATTTAGAACTAATCTCAAATAAATTAGACCAACATTCAAACATTCGTACTGTATGTTAGGAGTCAGGAAAGGTGTTATTTAAGAGCAACAGTACCTCTTATGCTGATAACAAAAGAAAAGCCAGATGATATTCTCAAATAATTTAATTAAAGATTTCAAATTTAGGATTAAGTGAAAATTTCCTAAGATATCTTCTGTATCCTTGAATGTATCTATTATTGGTTTTATATGTCATCTAAATATCAAAATTACAGCTAAGCTAGTGAATCTATAAAGTCATACAACTTACTCAATTAGACACTTTAATATGTAAAATGTCATACCAAAATAGTTTCTAATATTCTTACTCTTTATTCAACTGTAATTCCTGAAAAACTAATTTCTAATGTAAAAAAAGTTTCAATTTAATAAACTTATGGTGTAGAATTGGCTTCTGAGCTAGTTTTTGTAGTTCGAGTCTAGCCTGTTTCAGTTTTTATATAGTCTACTTACATGTTTTAATCAAAATATTTCACAATGGGCAGTATGAAAAGAAGAGCATTAAAAAAGTGTATTTATTTGGATACAGCTGAAAATAAAGAAGAGGAAATGGGACCAATTGCCTCACTCCCTAATATTTTACTTCTGGACCCAACAGATGAAATTTCCTAAATACTTGTATTTCTCAGACTGAGTGTTGCTAACCTACCTTGGGCTAGCTCTTTTCTAGAACCCTGAGAGGTCACAGGAAAGTCATTGTACATACGATAAGATGTGGGTTAGGGACTTGGGTACATTTTACTCACGTTTTCAAGTACAGGTCTTTCCACACAAAAATTAAAACACACACACAATGACAACAACAAAAAACTTCTATTAAACAACATTAGGTGAAAATAACGACAATGACAATGTAAACAGTACATACCAGAATCCATGGGATATATTTAAAGTGGTGATTAAAGAAAAACTTATAATACTAAATACTTTTGTCAGTAAAAATAAAATAACTGAAATAAATGAATTTATTTCCCATTTCAAAAAACTAAAAAATGAACAGCAGAGTAACAAAGTAGCCAAAAGAAAACATAAGGAAATAATAAAGGAAAAAAAGAAAATAATGAGGCAGAGTATGTAATAATAGTACATCCAGAAAATAAATCAAAAATATGGATTTTTTGAAAAAATTAAAAACGTAGATACCACAACCTAAATTGATCAACAGAAACAAAAGAAATCATAAGAAACAAGAAATGTCAACGGAAAAATAAACAAGAAAAAATTGTTAATCAGAAAAGAATAACTTACCGACATCTACGCAAATACATTTTAAAACTTGGATAAAATAGATAATTTTCTAGGGAAATGCCAACTACTACAATTCACCTCATTAGAATTAGAAATCTTTAAAAGACCAATCTCCAAACAATTAATACAGTTATTAAGAAACTGTATAAGTTTTCCAAGGCTGCTGTCAGAAATTTTCACAAACTTGATAATTTCAAACAAAAATTTTTTATCTCACTCTGTAGACATAAATCTACTATCAAAGGTTGGCAAGGCCACACTCCTTTTGAAGTTTCTAGGCAAGAATCCTTCCTTGCTTCTTCTAGCTTCTGGAGGCTCTGGGCAGTCCTTGGGTTGTGGTAGCGTAACTTTAATCTTTACCTGCATCTTCACATGGCCTTCTTCTCTGTCTGTGTTTTCTATCATTTTCTGTCTCTTATAAGGACACCTGCCATTGGATTTAGGGCCCACTCTAATCCAAGATCCTGTCTTAAGATCCTTACCTTAATCATATCTGCAAAGACCCAAAGACTCTTTTTACAAATAAGGTCATCTTCATAGATTCTAGAAATTAGGACTTGAACATATCCTTTTGGGGGTCACTATTCAATTGACAACAGGAACTACACCACACACACACACACACACACACACACACACACACACGCAAAAACCTTAAATGGTTTTAGAGGATAATTCTGCCAAACCTTCAAATACCAGAAATGTCCAATGCTCTATAAGTTATTCCAGAGAAAAGGAAGGGAAAATTTCAAAGTCCTTTTATGAAACAAATTTTACACTGACACCCAAACCTGATAAAGACTGAAAAAGAAAATTACAGGCCAATATCTCTCATATAGTCATATGTAAAAAATACTAAGTAAAACACTAGCAAACATAATCCAAAACCAGATATTGAAAATAGTACACAATGACAAAGTAGATTTATTCTAAGAATGCAAGGTGGTCCAATATTAGAAAATCCATTAATATCATACACCACATTAATAAATCTATGGAAAAAATCATATGACTGTCACCACAGAGGCTAAGAAAGTCTTTGACAAAATCCAATGCCCATTAATGATAAAAAATAAAATTCAAAAGCAGGAATTGAGCAATATTTCTTAATATTGTAAAATGTGTACATCTTAGTTTTAAAGCTAGTGTCTGGTTTAGTAGAGAAACATAGAAGATGTTTCCCCAATATCAGTAACAAGGCAAATATGCCTACAAATATGCCTACTCTCTCCACTACTATTCTACATTGTAACAGAGATATTAGCTAATGCAATTAGACAAAAGAAATAGAGGCATATGATGGGTTTAGAAAGAAGTAAAACTATTTGCAGATGAGATAAGAGTATACCTAGAAAATCTAAGAATCAAGCATAAAACTAACTCAAAACAAAAATAATTAATTGAGGTAACAGGATATAAAATTGATGTAAAAATTAAATAAATAATAACCAAGTTGAGCTATACAGGTAGAGAAACTTTCATTTGTAATAGCAACAGAGAATATCAAATACTTAGAAAACACTTAAGAAATTGCAAAACCTGAAAGAAGAAAATTTAACGTGCCGAAAGGACACAAAGTAAGATTTGTACAAATGGGATATAATTCCCTATTCTTAGATAGGAAAATGAAGCATTATAAAGATGTTAATTCTCCTTTTATTAATTTATAAATGTAATGCAATGGCAATAAAAATACTAATAAGCATATTACGGGGTTAGAGATGTTAATACTAAAATTTATAGAGAAAAATAGCATGCAGAAATATTCATGAAAACGTGGACAAAGAACTATGAGTGGGGACTAGGAGACTGCCCAATCAAATAATAAAACATAATATAGAGTCTCTATAATTAAAACAGCATAGTACCTAGTATTGGCTCATGAAGAAAAATAGACCAGTGAAACACCATAGAAAGCCCAAACTAGACCCAAATACATATGGAAGCTTAGAAGATGATGAAGATGGCATCTTAAATCACCAGCAAAAATATGAACATTTTAATAAATTGTGCAGGGACAATTTGGCAGTCATTTAGAAAAAGGGAAAAATACATCCATACTTTGCACCACACATAAGAATAAACTCCAAATGGATTAGCAATCTAAATATAAAAATTGAAATAACACAAATACTATAAGAAAATATGGAAGAGTTCCTCTTTAACCTCAAGGTAATAAAAGGTTATCCAACCTTAACTCCAAATTCAGAGATAATAAAAGAAAAGATTGATAAATTTGACTGTATAAAAATTTTAAAAGAAAATACATGTTTTCATGGTAAAGAACACAATAAATAAATTCGAAAAGCAATGAACAAACTGGTAGAAAATATTTGCAACTTATACCACAAACAAAGGGATAAAATCCCCAATATATAAAGAACTCTTAGTAATTGAGGTTTCCTGTGCTACGCACCTTAAGTTTAAACTCAGTTATAATTAGAGAAATGTAGATTTAAAAAACACTGAGATACCATTTTTAAAGGGCAAAGTTTTAAAAATATGAGGACACGTCCTGTTGGCAAGGCTATGGAGTAAACAGGCACATTCATACATTGCTGGGGTAATACATCTCTGAACTCTTTTTGCAAATTTTCTGAGGCTAAAGATATTTTCAAATAATAATTGAAAAAAATTAACAATAAAACCTCAAAATTTCTATAAGAAGTACAGGGTGACCTAAGCTGAAAAAATAGATTACATAGAAATAATTATTTTGTCATTAAGCCGAAAAAGAGATAACATATGTGAAACTGCACTGAAAAATCATAAAGTGTTATATAAATACAAGATATTTTGTAGAAATTCTGAGACAGAAGCTTAAAGGAGAGATAGACACTGTCAATGATATGAGAGATCTACAAATCCAACTTTGGGATGGGTAGTAAACCTTTAGTATAATTATTTTGGGAGCTAGTTAATTTGCTATTGTCTTTTACCAAAATTCAAACCTTCTGTATTCTACTCTGTTATGTTGTAGCTAAAACTCTGCCAACTACTTTTCCCACACTCCCTTGCCAGTTAGCTTCCTGTTAAGATCTTCCAATGGTAGGCAATGGGGGAAAACTGGAAGGCTCTGAGGAAGGGAGAAAGGTCTGTCTTCCTGTTCTCCACTTCCTGCCAGCATTGCCTCTGTAGCTGCGGACTTGTCCCATTCCCTGTTTCCTGCCACAATCCTAGCACCAGCTTCACCACACCCCCTCAGAGACACCAGCAGTAACCAGCAGCACTACTTTGGCAGTCCAAGAATCAGCTAAGCCATATGCCCACCAACTGAGTCTTAGCCTGGGACCATCCAAGCACCCACTTGTAAACTGTCTCAGCATTCTCAGTCCCACCAGGTCTCAACCCCTTCAGAAAGAGGTCTGACACCCACCAGGACCCCTACCCCCTCAACACACCTTCTTCAGAATCCCATTGCAAATTGAATAGAGCTCCCCTCAGAGCTCCAAAGCACCAGCTTCACAGAGTCCTTTAGGCAAACTCATCATTTCTGTAACCTGCCTCTTCCCTGTTTTATCCTAGCTTCTTCTTGTAGTCATTCAACTTAAATACCTTAGTATTGCCTTTACATTCTTTAAGCATTCCTACACCTATGTCACCAATTCCCATAATCTATTCTGAAATTCCTAGAGAGGTTTCTGCTTTCTGATATCTGATAAACTGTTTTAGAAGGCATTTCTGGATTTTGGGTGGAATTTTGTTTACATTCTATTTATTTATTAATTTAACATTTATTAGGCAAATACTTGGTTACTGTGACAAACAATAAATATCTAAAGATAAAAAGGCATAGTTCCTGCCTTCAAATGTCACAATAAGTGGAGGAGGTATTTAAAGGAGCAACTACCAAGGGGATGAGCTCTATTACAGAGGAATACTGTGCTGTGAGTGCACATGATGCACGGTGTGCAAGAGAAGGCTTTCCTCAGGCCTGACATGAGAGCCTTGTGAGAGGTGACAACGTGCTGGCAGCCCTCACTCACTCTCAGTGCCTCCTCGGCCTTGGCATCTGCTCCGGCCACGCTTGAGGAGCCCTTCAGCCTGCCGCTGCACTGTGGGATCCCCTCTCTGGGCTGGCCGAGGCTGGAGCCAGCTCTCTCTGCTTGTGGGGAGGTGTGGAGGGAGAGGTGCGAGTGGGAACTGGGGCTACACACAGCACTCACAGGCCAGTGCGAGTTCCGGGTGGGCATGGGCCCAGCAGGCCCCGCACTCTGAACAGCTTGCTGGTACCACCTGCCCTGGGCAGTGAGGGTCTTAGAACCTGGTCCAGCAGCTGTGGAGGGGGTGCCAGGTCCCCCAGCACTGCTGGCCCACCCGCGCCGCGCTCAAATTCTCAGTGGGCCTCAGCCGCCTCCCTGCGGGGCAGGGCACGGGACCTGCAGCCCACCATGCCTGAGCTCCCCCCTGCAGTGGGCTCCTGCGCAGCCTGAGCCTCCCCGACAGGCACTGACCCCTGCTCCACAGCACCCAGTCCCATTGACTGCCCAAGGACTGAGGAGGGCAGGCACGTGGCGTGGGACTGGCGGGCAGCTCCACCCACGGCCCTGGCATGGGATCCACTAGGCGAAGCCAGCTGGGCTCCTGAGTTGGGTGGGAACTCGGAGAACTTTTATGTCTAACTAAAGGATTGTAAACACACCAGTCAGCACTCTGTGTCTAGCTCAAGTTTCTTAAACACACCAATCAGCACTCTGTGTCTAGCTCAAGGTTTGTAAACGCACCAATCACTGCTCTGTGTCTAGCTAATCTAGTGCGGACTTAGAGAACTTTTATGTCTAGCTAAAGAATTGTAAACACACCAATCAGTACTCTGTGTCTAGCTCAAGGTGCGGCTCAAGGTTTGTAAACGCACCAATCAGCACCCTGTATCTAGCTCAAGGTTTGTAAACGCACCAATCAGTTCTCTGTGTCTAGTTAATCTGGTGAGGACTTGGAGAACTTTTATGTATAGCTAGAGGATTGTAAATGCACCAATCAGCACTCTGTGTCTAGCTCAGTGATTGTAAATACACCAATCAGCACTCTGTGTCTAGCTCAGGGATTGTAAATGCACCAATCAGCACCCTGTCAAAATGGACCAATCAGCTCTCTGTAAAATGGACCAATCAGCTCTCTGTAAAATGGACCAATCAGTTCTCTGTAAAATGGACCAATCAGCAGGATGTGGGTGGGGTCAGATAAGGGAATAAAAGCAGGCTGCCTGAGCCAGCAGCAGCAACCTACTCCGTTTGGCTTCCACACTGTGGAAGCTTTGTTCTTTTGCTGTTTGCAATAAATCTTGGTGCTGCTCACTCTTTCGGTCTGCACTGCCTTTATGAGCTATAACACTCACTGCGAAGGTCTGCAGCTTCACTCATGAGGCCAGGGAAATCACAAACCTACCAAGAGGAATGAACAATTCCAGACAGCAGTAACGAACACTCCAGATGCACCGCCTTAAGAGCTGTAACATTCACTGCGAAGGTCTGCCGCTTCGCTCCTGAAGCCAGAGAGACCACGAACCCACCAGAAGGAAGAAACTGTGAACACATCCGAACATCAGAAGGAAGAAACTCCGGACACACTATCTTTAAGAACTGTAACACTCACCATGAGGGTCTGTGGCTTCATCCTTGAAGTGGGTGAGACGAAGAACCCACCAATTCTGGACACACTTGCACGTCACTCAGAAGTCTGAAGGAGGGAGAGGCAGGTTGTCAGAATGTCTGAAGAACATCATAGATTCAAACAATGTTGAATGAGGCGTGTGATATAGCATAGGGGAGTGACAAGCTGAAGCTGAACAAGGAGACAACTATGGTCATGAAAGGCATTTCACGATATGCCCATTAATATGAAATTCTTCCTGAAGCATTGGAGAACCACTGAAGGCTTTTAAAAAGCTACCCCTTTTTATTATTATTAAAATAGTATTTTTGCATTATTTTTAATGAAAAGATTAATTAGCCCTTTGACTTACCTTCCAGAAACAAGTTGATTAATGTACAAATTTATAGAAAACAGTAATACAGATCTTAGTGTATGCCAAATGCTGTTCAAAGTAAGTTATATTTATTAACCCATTTAATCTTCACAGCAGCCCTATTACGTAGTTATGATTATAGTTTTCATTTAACAAAGAGAAAACGGAAGCTCAGAAAGACTAACTGGCACGGGGTCCTAGAGCTTGTTAAAGTGGTGGAGTTAGGCTTTCAACCTAGCAATTATGGCTCCATGACCTATATTCTTAACAACTTGGCTACAGTGCTTCATGTATCTACATATGTTGTATGCATGTGTGGGAAAATGACCTATGCTGTTGAAAACTATGCTACAGTGCTACATATATTTACATGTGTTTGTATGTGTGTAAAAAAATGAAACAAATATTCTAATACAAATTACATACTCTACATTTTATTCTGCACCCTTTCCTTCCAATTAGTCATATACCTTGAAGATATTTTCTTAACAACACAACTTGATTCTTAGGGACTGCAAAGTATTCCATTATGTGAACATTCCAAACTGGAAGGAGATATTTGTATATTTCTATAGTGATAAATGTTTAGGTTATTTACAGGTTTGGGTCTTTGAAATAATGCTGCAACAAAACCAGTACCAGTGGAATTGTTCAAAGGAAACATTTCTAATATTGAAAAATAACACAAAAGTGCTCATCATAAATAAAAATGTTTAATAGCTTTACCATCACGAGAGTGTCTATTACCTGCACATTCTTGGCGACGTCAAGTTTTCATCAAATTTTGTTTTTAAATGTTTTGCCCATCTGACGAGTAAAAAGTGAACCCTGTAGCATTTTTTAAATAGCTCGATGTGATGAAAACGGGGTTTTGGAAAGCTCATGCTGAGACAATATGGAGTTTAGCTTGGTCACACCAAGACTCAATGCAGAAGAGATGGAGAGGAGACAATTACAATAGACTGTGTAACAGATGAAGACAGCTTAACTGGGGCAGTGCCTGGAATGTATTAGGGGAAATAGATATGATAGAGGCACTATCAAAAAGTCCAGCTGTTGAGGAGGTACAGCAATAGACCTTTGTTCCTGATACTTAATATTGTGTTAAGGGTGGGCGAGACGGAGGAAGGATTCAAGAATACCTCCTAGGTTTATGAGTTGGGAAGCCAGGATGATTGCAATGAAAATAACTGTCCTAGAAAACACAGAAAAAAGCAAAGATTTGGGAGCATGCCAGATAAAACGGGAATGATTTTAAAGGTCGTGTACAAATCTAAGATGCTATAGTTTATTTATGGAAACTACCTTCATCTGTGGCAGAGGCTATTTCAAAATACTCACATCTATTTAATGTCACTTAATGAATCACGGAATTTTGCAGTGCTATGAAATCCCTTAAATCAAACTAACTAGCACACTTATGAAACCAGAGTACTATCTTACTATGCCAGAGTATTCTTTTCGTATTCTGCCATCTAGTGAACAACAATCATTTGTACAACCTGGCTTGTAAATTGCTTCTTCCAAATTTAAAATAAACACACACGCACACGCACACGCACCCCTTCATTTTATGCTTTCTCATTATATATACTGGCAAAATATTCTTTCATGATATTTTACAAACAAAATTCCTAAACATAGAGGAAAGAATAGAGTTCATCAGCTGAATCTGCACATTTCACCTTGGGCTCATTTTGAAATTTATATTTTTAAAGTCAAGGGAAATTCACAAGTTTCCTTTACATTATGCCATCTCCTTTTATCATTAAAAACAACAAAAACAAAACATTTACTTGTCAGCAACTTTCTTCTCTGTAATAAAATACCTTTATATAAATTATCTTTCTCCTGCAATGAGCATTGTTTAATATTATCAAAAGTTTTTTATCTCAAAAATTATTGTACATGATACACTAGAGATATTATTTGAATGTTGTGGAAGTACCTTGTACAAATTTATTTTCTTGATATTTAGTTCTATAAAAGCTTCCCTGATTTCTCCTAAGGTGGTCACTTATTTTGTGCTGTTAGCGTACCTTTGTGTCACTAGTATTGTGGTAGTATTATACTATATTTTAAATATTCATTTTCAAGCCTATCTTTGCAAAGGGCTCATGAATTTCCTGATTAAAGGGACTATGTAATATTCAGTTTTATGTCTCCAATAACTCTCATGATGTATGGTATCTATTAGTTTTCAATAAATGTTAACGAATGATTTAAAATGATTGAACTGAATTATTGACAGATGTTTGAAACTTGACTAATTTTTATTCAAGTTGAAATAATATGTAAAGTAAGCAATCACAACATTCAGCTTCCTTCATGAAGTCCAGAAGAGAACTGAACATATTGCCCAAGTGCCCAGAGGGCCCTAAAATATAGATGTGTGTTCATTAGGCTAATTGGAGACAGGTAGACAAAAATCCTCCTTTGAAATTTGTCCTCATAGGCAATGGCATTATTCCCAGGCTTATCAAGTTCTTTCCCTTGGCAGATCTCTGTGGTCCATCTGCTGAACTTAAATGCTGAAATGGTCTCAATGTGAACATGCCTAATGGACATCTTTATTCTGAGTGGCTATACCAGCACAATCCATAAATCTGAGCTATTTCAGATTACAAATGGAATTGTTCTCCACAGTGTTCCATTGCCTTATAGATAATAATTTTGGATGAAAGCCCAAACTCATGAAATTAGCTCTAAGAGTTCAATTGATATTAGCAATGTACATTGCTTGCAAGTCCTCTTAATTCATCTATATATCTGAACTCATTCATTTTACTATTTCCAAGCTAATTCTATGGAGTTCAAGTAAAGACTCCATCTACTTTGTGGTTTTTGAAAATCCTGTTAGCAAATTCTGTTCTTTTAGGTAACTGTTTTCATTTTTCTTACAGTTTTAGCAACTCCAAGTTTTAAGAACTAATCATCAAGCATTAAGTTTCTCGTGGCACACACTGTGATGAAGCTGGGGTGGGTGAGGAATGAAGCTGTAGTCATCCCAGTCTATGATTAGATAGTAATTTAAACTTAGAAGGGGAAATTAGAAATTTTCATTTGGCCCCCTGTTCCCATCCACAGTTCCTATTAAATTTATCTGTAATAAGACTGATATCTTGACAGGCCTGACACTTGTGTCTTAGTTCTCAATTAATTCTGAACTTTGGAGGTGAAGAAAGTAGCATAAGTTATTATTAGCTTCCTTAGATACCAACATATAACATTAATTATGTTTTCTTCTTTTCATCTATTGCTACTGAGCTGGCTTTGATTTTCTCAATTATCATGAGGCACATGATCTGTGAAATATACTGCTTCTATTATCATCTTTACAATGAAAAGCTTGAAAAGTTACAAACAGAACCAATCAGTATGAAATAGAAAAATAAGACTCAAGCATTTTTTTAAAAGGCAGAAAATTTTAAATAATTATATAAAATAATTAAAAGGAACTTTTAAAAAGATTCAACACTTAGGTAATGAGATTCATAATAATGTGAAAGAGGACAGACGTGTTAAAAAGAAAAGGAGCTTTGTCTTGCAGAAAAAAAACTGGGATAATAGAACTCCCCCAAGAGAACCATGGGAAGTTGGAGGAATTCGTGGTTTTAAAGAATCAGCAGGTTCTCAAGACAATAAAATACACCTGGCAATTGAGACTTCACAAGGAATGACAGTCAAGCCATTGCCTAAAGGCTTCCTGGATGACAAAGGGCCAGTAGAGCCTTGCAAGGACAGCTTCTGGTGTCCAATTTTTCTCTAGAGAGAAGACAGTCCACATGTCACACAGTCAAATTGGACACTGACTCACTAGGTAAGGCCAAAGTCTTCTGCTCTTTCAAAACAGATATTTGTTTATAGCTATTGCTTTGAATCTGTAGGATTATCTTTGTTTATAAGTATACTTAGGGCCAAACCTTCCTCAACTCAGCTCCTGGGTGACTTCCTGGATTTCTAGGCACTAATGTTCAAATTGCCCAGCAACTTCAAACATGCCATTATTCTATTTAGGCATTTTTATTCTAACACCTACTTTGGTATTTATCCTTTGTTGTCCTCTTTTATTCCCAAGTATTAGAGTTTTTGATACTGCAGTTCTTTCAGATACCAATTGTTGCCCTAGATGATAAAAAACCAGCCTGATCTAATGTTCATCAGGAGTTCTGAGGGTAGAAAATGTTTGTTTCTGGGAAAAGGAATTGGAATATGTAAAGAGGATCAGGAACACGTCTTAGTGTATGTATGTGTTGTAAAGAGCTTTAATATATAGCATTACATATAAAACATCAGATTCTAGAACTTAGGAAATGGAGTATGTTGGTGAAATTTTAAAACTAAGTGAAATAAAGATGCAAACAAAAATGTTAGTAAAATTCTTACATGAATGTAGATCAGTCTGATCCTCAGACCAGCAGCATCAGCATCACCTGAATCTATTTGAAATGCAAATTCTTCTACCCCCTCCCCTGATCTACCAGATAGAAACTGTGGGTGGGATCCAGCAGTCAGGGTTAGAACAAGGCCTTCAGGTGATTCTGATAAATAGTAAAGTTTGCAAACCACTGGCATAGTCTATAAATAAGTTAAAAATTCATCCCAAGTTATTTCTTAAGAATCTCATTCACACTTTATATAATAAATGAATGCTGGGAATTTGAAATGAAAGAAATAACAAGTTTAAACAGCCACATGGTAACGACTGACAACATTTGATATTAATTACAAGTTGGAATTGACAAGTGAATTATTTGTAATTGACATACATTAAGTTTGAAGGAAGCTAGAGTATTTTTAAACATCTCTTAAGTGTATAGAGACTGTCTTCTAAATAGCAGATAATAGAACTAGTATTATATTACATTTTATTTCTGCTCAGCTAAACTTATAAGGAAGTCAGTAAAATTTTCAAAGGCAACAAATTCCTTTAATGAAGCCAAGCTAACAAAGAGAAAATCAAATAAAAATCCTTTGCTTGAGAAGAAAATATCAGATGTAAGAAGAACACAGAAGAGAAATCAACAGCTGGGCTGAGCAACATACTGATAAGGCTCCGATGACTGGAGGAACACCAGGGTCCTTTGCCTCACGCCGATTTAGATAAAAGAATATGGGACACACATGGAGTGGTTTTAAGGTGCAGAGAGTTAAATAGGCAAAAAATAAAGAAGGAAGAAGCTCCCCCATACAGAGACGGATGGAGGGGGCTCCAAGCCCAGAGAAGAAACCCCGAGTGCTGGGGTGGTAGGGGGCAGGCAGGGGCAGGCAGGAACAGGCGGTTATATTAGGATACTAGGAGGCTGGAGAAGGTGATGTCTGATTTGCATAGGGCCCAGGGGATTGGTTTGACCAGGTATGTCATTCACGTAGCCAGCCAAAAAATTGGCCCTCTCACCCTAGCCTTTAAATATGCAAATGCAGGGTGCCGTGATGTCCTGCATATGTGGGGTTATCTGGGGACAGCCATGATGGTTGCCACAGGGGGTGACAAGGAGAAGAGGGCGGAATCGCCGTATTGGATGGACCCAGTTTCTAATGGCCTGCATTCGCTTATCAAAGCTTGCCAGCCTGGCCCTTCAAGCTGCTTTTCTGCTAGACAAGAAATGTTTCTGGAGCTGCTTTAAAAGAAAAAAAAAAACCTTACCAAGGGAACCCTTATCCTTTCTATCTGCCTAAAATAATTTCTTAATAATTCCTATAATAATACTCAGGTCAGTGAGCAAACCAAACTAAGCCAGAAGTCTCAGACATAGAAGTTTTCACTTACAAAATGTTTGAAATTAAAGTTCTGAATAATTGCAGTGTACTGATGATGGGGGTTGCTACTGACTCTGAATCTAGGGGCATGTGTAATAAGGAAGGAAATTGATGGAGATGGAATAAATTCAGCCAATGGAGTACTAGCCACTGGTGTGAGAAAATGGAAAATGATGTCTATCTCACAGATAAAAACTTAATAAAAAGAGTTTAAGATACAGACTGTTGACAATCCATGCTGACTCATGACCCGCCATCTAAGGATGAATTAAAAGACAGATAAATAGTTTGGCAAATGTCACTTTTTCCTTTCAGTTGACCAAAGCTTGATGAAAAACATCTGCACAACTTTGCCTCAGGAAGTTGAGATCCTTAAGAAAATCCACGAGCAAACAGGCATGACTCTGAAATCAGCTGAATCATGGAGCCTATATACTGGAAGAGGAGGGAAGGCTGTAAGGTGCAGAGAAGAGCAGGCTTAAAGGCAGAGGATTTAAGAGATAGAGGATGAGTTGCACGAAATGGAGAGATCCTACTGAAACCAGATTGCTCGTCTTCTGAAGACAATCTTTGCCAAGGTCTTGCTGTTTTTCACAGCTCTTAAGGTGCGTAGCACAGGAAACCTGCATGTTTTCATTCCAGTTCATGTAACTTGGTTAATTGACAAACGCTGTAAAATTAAGCCCCATAAAAATATATTGCTTCTCTAAAAATTTTAAACAAAAAGATCTATCCCCATACATTTTTTACCTATATGTTGGTTTAGAGAAAGACCCTTTGAGTACATTTGATGTCTTTTAATATAAACGTTTGGTCCTGGAGACAAGGGGCACAAATGATTGCATTTTTAAAAAACAACTCCATGATAATGGTAGAAAAGCCCCAAATAGGAAGCAATGGATTAAAAGAGAGAGAGGGAGAGGAAACAAATTTAGATTTGGTGAAAGAGAGAAAATACCTACACAAAGGAATACAGGGAGGCTGATAGTAGCTCTTCCTTTATCACCAAACCTAAATGACCTAAATAAACTGGAACCAGTTTATTCTGCTGCAATGAAGATGGTAATTTGCATCAAGTGAGTGATTAGATCTGTTCTGATTTCATTAAGTCGCTCTCAGCCAGAAACACACTTATGAATATTTCTGGACTCTGTTCTCTTTCCTGATCCATCTGCTTATTCATACTCCAGTAAAGCACAGTTTTAGTTTCTCCCACATTATAAAATATTGTAACACTGAGTTGGGACTACTGTACCTTTATTATTCATCTTCTTAGAAATAGTTCTGTATATTTTAATGTTAGTTTATTTTCAAATTAATATCACTTTGCTTTCACTAAAAATAACCTTGTTTTTATTGAGATTGCATTATAAAAATTTATTAAGGAAGTATAAATTAAGACAGTGTTAATAACTTAATACTACTGAGTCTTCTTGTCCAGGAGCAAAGTATGTCTTCATCTTTACTTTCACTTCAGTCTCTTTCATGCCTTTCATTAAAGTTTTTTATAGCTATCTTGATATCGGTAGTGCACAATTATTTTTGTTTCTACAATATATTATTCCATTTTATATTTTTATCCAGTAATTATTTGGATGAAGATTTATATTTCTTTTTGTTTTCTGAATAACTTACTCACTTTTGTAATCACGTTTAGTATTTTTATTTTTAGTTCAGAAAACATGTTCTCATGTTTTCCAGTTGTGTAATTTTAACATCTGCAAAGGCTGAAGTCTGCCTTCTTACCATTTATTTTGTGCACCTTCCTAACTGCATAAGCCAATATTTCTGGAACAGCCTGGCTAATAATGATAATAATGGCAGTTTTTATACCATTCATTACAACTGAAGAGAAAGATGCTGACTTTTAATTTGAAACATAAATTTTACTATCAAATTTTAAATTACTACTTCTATTTTGTTAAGATTGTTGACTTTTATTAACAATTTCTGGCCAGGTACGGTGGTGCCTGTAATCCCAGCACTTTGGGAAGCTGAGGCAGGCAGATCACTTGAGCCTAGGTGTTTGACACCAACCTGAGCAACATGGCGAAACCCAGTCTCTAGCAAAAATATAAAAATTAGCCGGGCATGGTGATGCACACCTGTAATCCCAGCTACTTAGGAGGCTGAGGCAGGAGGATTGCTTGAACCTGGGAAGTGGAGGTTGCAGTGACCTGAGATCACACCACTGGACTCTGGCCTGGATGACAGAGCAAGACCCTGTCTCAAAAAAAAAAAAAAAATTCATATGCTTTTTCTTCTTTATAGATCTTAAGAGTCTCACAAGTAAGGATGTAAACTTCAAGTTATGAAATATTCAATGCCAGATACAAACCAGTGACAACACATTGGTCAACTTCTAGTTCTAAATCAAAACTACCATGCAGCACCCACTACTATCATCCCGAATTCTCTAAGTTCTGCCGTGCCAAATAATACTTAACCTTGCTTGCTTAGAGGACAGGGAGCAGAGCTCTGAAATTGAGCTGCGTCTTTTTCACAATTAGGCTGCAAAAGAATCCATGACTTGCTCCATGTCATGATAAATAGGTATTTTTTAACAAAATAATTGATTAAATTATTCTTACCAAGCACATTAGTCATACCTGATTTATACCCAGAAGAAACGGGTCTTGAAGTTTTACCAGTGACAGGGAAACAAAAGTCAGGAATCTGGACTAATAACATGAGTAATTTCCATTAATTTCAGTCCCACAGATTCTCCCATAAATTTAGATTAGGAAAAGAAAGATATTGAAGGCAGAAATTTCCCATGACAGGTCGCATATTCATTTTGCAAATATCACAGAAGAGGGGTAAATATAAATATAAATCAAGTGCCTATTATGACAAGACCGTGTGCTCAATAAGCACGGCTCTAAGGCAAACACAAGAATTGCATCTCTGGTAAAAGATATTCTTCATTCTGAGACACCTTTTTCAATAAACAGAACTCAACAGTCCTAAGGCTGAGTAATGTCAAACTAAGTAAACAGAGGAACCATTTTACTTCAAAGCACATTTCATCCAAGAACTCCACATGCTAGAGGGGTTTTAACTTTCATTCTAAAGAATAGAAAAGGCCAAAGAAGTTAAGTGACTTTCCCTGTTTATTGTACAACATAATAATTATTTAGATGCTACATGTCAAGTCATCAAGTTTTAGAGATACAGCATTACTGTTAAGCCATATATGATGAGAAATGAGAAAAAACAAAAATCTATAGAGAATTTCATAATGAAATGATCTACTTTTATAATATATATAAAATTATATTATTTTTGTAATATATATAAAAAATATGATTTTATATATAAAAAGATCTATTTTTATAATATATATAAAAATAGATTATTTTATCACATGATATATAAAATAGATGGTTTTGTCCTCTCTCATATAATTCGTACTTACACAGGCTCTATAATTCTTCTAGGCTGTAAAATATCCTTTGTAGAAAGAGCTAAATATTAGTACATGGAAATATTTTCAGCTCCTTATTAAAATATGAGACTGCTGAAAAACAATAATTAGACTTCAATATTTAGGAGCTTTTGCATACTTTAAATGCTATGGTTTATTTTTAATATTTTCAAGATTTTATTTTTGAAGATCATAAACCTTAATTATAATTGCAAATAATAAAAAAAGCAGTGGCCAGGCATGGTGGCTCACACCTGTAATCCCAGTACTTTGGGAGGCTGAGGCAGGCATATCATCTGAGGTCAGGAGTTCAAGACCAGCCTGACCAACATGGAGAAAACCCGTCTCTACTCAAAATACAAAATGAGCTGGGTGTAGTAGCACGTGCCTGTCATCCCAGCTGCTTGGTAGGCTTAGGCAGGACAATCACTTGAACCCGGGAGGCGGAGGTTGCAGTGAGCTGAGATCGCGCCATTGCACTCCAGCTTGGGCAACAAGAGTGAAATTTCGTCTCAAAAAAAAAAAAAAAAAAAAAGGCAGTAAAATGTGCCAGTAGAAGGAAACTGATCACTGATAGCATGCTTTTAATAGGCCAAATTAAATCAGACTTTCTAGGAACAAGAAGTGAAAATGTCACTTTTTTGGCATGATGCTAATAAGAATACAGATACCATAAATCTTTGTAAAGAATTTTCCAGAACAATACATAATACCTCATTGGTTTTGTTTAACATTTCCATCTGCATTTGAAACATCTCACTCAGATTGATACCTTTCCCAATTATAATTAATGCAGAACCTGTGACAGTAGGATCTTGATTTATTTTAATTATTTTCTAAAACTTTTTCAAATTACTTTGTCTTTTATAATGTTGTTTCATAGCTAGATGGTACAAGAGCAGACATGACCTTCAATCAATATTTTAATTGAATTCATTGAGTTCGCTAGAAACTTGATCATACCTGAGTAAAATGATAAAATTTAGATTCTAAGCCACCCAGGCCAAGAAATGGATCCTATGGAGACTCATCAACAGACAGACAGCCCAGGAAGTCCACATCAAACAGCAGGCTGGACATAGCCATTTCTTCACCCGAATACTAAAGCCCTATACACACACAACACTTTAATTAGAGGATCTTCCACATTCTTTAAAGAAATAAAGAATGTTTTGTCACTCTTTTATTTTTTTATCCTTCCTGCCTGCCTACCTGCCTTTTTTTTTTTTTACTTCTTTGCTTCTCTTTTTTAAATTTTCTTTCTTTTCTTTTCTTTCTCTCTATGTCTCTCTCTCTCTCTCTCTCTCTCTCTCTCTCTGTCTGTCTCTCTCTCTCTCTCCCCTCCACTCCCTTCCATTCCTTTCTCCTTTCTCTCTGGAAAATGAAATATGTTAACAAAAATCGATGATAAAGAGACTATTTTCCAGTTCAAACTGAAAAATGAGTTGTCTTGTAGGAGAAACAAACAAACACAATGCAACATGACACTTCTTAACCAAAACTGGCCAAAATTCCAATGGATATTCACAGAAAAACCCTAAGCTTAAAATTGAGAACCTTAAATAGCTCTATCAGACAACTTATATTTCTACAACAGAAGTTTATTCAATAAAATTGTGAGCTGGAGGGAAACAAGCAGAAGTTGACAGACGTAGAAGTGAAGGATAACAGAGTATTCAACAAATGAACCATAAATTTCAGAATTAAGGGAGACTCTAAGTTATTGTTATTATTAATCAGAAAATCCATGTCAAATTACTATTTCTGCTGAAGAGATTTTGGCAACAACAATACACAGGCTACCTTCTGAACCAGAACCCCAAAAATGCTTCAAGGATTAATAAATGCAAAGTTAATTCCAGAAATATCTGGTCATCAGATCCTCTCACAGAAAGACATCCAAAAGACAGCTTGGTTCTGCTGCCCTATGAAAGTTGTTAGAGTTTATATAGACTCACTTTTGGTGAAAAGAACCAAAAACAAAAAAAAGAAACCCTAACAAATAGAGCCAGGAAAAGTCAAGAATGGAAAGTTCTCGAGCACACATGACTGATAACAAGAACTATCACAGAAGACTGCAGAAAGCACAATTTGGCAAAAAGGCCATCACAAACGTATACAAGAAATACTTCTGCAAGGACATCTGCCTTGCAACTGCCTGTCCAACCTCCAGCTGGCGCCACTCTTGTTATTGATCCTTGTAGCCAAGAATAATGATGTAATGCTCCTCATTTTTTCCTTTAAAAACCTTTGCCTGTCTTCACCTCTCTGAATATGCAGAGTTCACTGTGGCATGCACATTCCCATTACAGTGCTCTATTCCCAAATAACTATCATTTTCTTTTAGAGAGCTTCTCTCTGTCATTTAGATTGACAGCCCAAGCTGACAGATTATACTACTTATGCCTGAAGATTAATACAACTTTCTCTTCTAAACTTTGCCAAAGGGAAATGCCTAAAATAAGTATATGCCTCTGGATAATCACCCACCTGGTTGTAGCACATCAACTGAGGTTCCTGGAAACACATCTGCCTCTGATGTGAGCTGCACTGCACATCATCACTGAAATGTGATCAAGATAACTGGGGGCTTTTGCTCATTCTCTGGGAGTGGTGAAAGATCTAATGACTCCGTGATCAAAGAGGTGTGGCAAGAAGTTATCTGAAGATTTCAGACCTGCCACCTTCTGATTCTGAAGGATTAGCTGAGAGATAAAGAAAAATATCTGGCTCCCATCAGGACATTAAGTCCACTTCATTGATACACAGTGGCCACAATGTTTCTTTACTCACTCTGTGTTAGTGGTAAAATGTCTAATCCTCTACCCCAGAGCAATCTGAGATTGCTCTGGTTTTAACACTGAAGGTCCCAAATCCCAGGAAACTCCCAGGTAAACTGGTATGGTTGGCCACTCTAGATATCTGAGATAGATGTCTTCCCCTCTGTGTAAAAAAGACCTGCAGAGATGCCAACATGAGACTGTGAATAGGCTTCCACACATGCGCAGGTGGCTCTCAGCATGGGTGGAACAGAATCACACTGTTCTGGGCCCAAATCCAGAGAGGCCCTTGTTATGACACCCTTTTATTCTGAAAACAGCAAAAGTAAAAAATTTGGCTCCCCAAAACAGTCACTTTAAGAATTCTAATTTTTCTTCTGAATATAACAGACAAACTTATTTTTCACTACCCTAGCCCTGTACACTTTTAAACCGAATCATTCAATTCTGATCACTGATTTTTAGCTAAATGAGGAACACTATTTAAATAATACGCTGCAGTACCTGCATTGCACAACACAAAAACCCTTGCACTCTGTATTAGTTAATGAATCTCAGGTAAGTAACAAATTATTTTAGATGTCACTAGAACAGCTTTATTTAAAAATCCATATCATAAAAGTAAAATCTTCCCTTCATTTTATAACTTAGTCTTTGCATTAGTTCATTCTCACATTGCTACAAAGTAACACCTGAGACTGGGTAATCTATAAGAAAAGAGGTTTAATTGGCTCACAGTTCTGCAGGCTGTAGAGGAAGCGTAGTGGCTTCTGCTTCTGGGGAGGCTTCAGGAAGCTTCCAATCATGACAGAAGGCAAAGGGAGGTCACAGGCATCTCACATAGTGGGAGCAGGAGCAATAAAGCGGGGAGGAGGGGAAGGGGGCTACACACTTCTAAACTATCTACCATCTCTCCCAATTTCTTCACAAAGCCACTTCAGTCCTGAAACATTTACCAGGAAAAGTTTCTTTGTCTGCTTCTGAATATGGTTCACCCATTTGATTTTCAATTTTCATGTTCGGTTAGCCTCCATCAAATTTTTCTTTCCAGCCAGCTCTTTTTTTTGTTGCCCCATATGAATAATGATTTTTCTTAAGAAGCGGTGGAAAAGAAAAGTTTAAAATAAAGAAAAAATGATATAGTAAAATAAACATGCTGAGAGAAAGGAAAAATATATATTTAAAGATGCATTTTATAGGGGAGGAATATTCATATGAAATCTAACTGGATCCATTAGCGGCAAAACACCAGATTAAAATATCGGAACACACCAGAAAGGTATATTTTATTAAATACTACCATAGGCATTTGCATTACATTTATCTCTTCTTTATTTCCATAGGGATGGCACCAGTTATGTATTTGGATATTAGAAATTAATATTTAATGACAGCTCAAAAGAGGAAGACCAAAAATGGAGAATCCCCCCAAATTAAGGAAGCATTCTGATTAAGAAGAAAGTATGCTTCCCAGAAGCACCCTCTAAAACTGATCTCTTTTAGTGTTGTATATAAAAATTATTTTGAAAATAAAAATGTGATATTTAGTAATGGTTAGGAATTTATATATATATACAACAGGACTTCATGGAGTAAAGTCTATTATCCGTTGCTATTTTCTGAAAATATCATACCCTCACTTATTTCTGATTTAATTTTTTCAGTTTGTTACAAGCAGGCATTAACAAGATGGAAATCATCATTGAGATCCACAATTCTCTATGTTCTATTAATTATTTCAAATGCAGAGCTCTTTTTGTTTTTTGCTCTATCTTGTATTTTTATACAAGATATACTTAGTAACATAGAGAGTATTTCTATACTTAGTGATATAGAAAGTTTATATTTCTTTGAAGTTAACAAACTTTTCACAGAGTAAGGACCATCAATAAGAGAATGTTCTGTGTAATGCTGTAGGGCCTCTGTTCCCTGAATCTTGAATCTTGGGAAATATTCATTCTCATAGTTTCTTAACAGTGCCTTCCCAATATTCTACAACCTTTGGGCAAAACAGTAAATACACCCTAGATGTACTAGAAAAAGAAAGAAAAGGAAGAGGAAACACATTAAGGATAATAGAGAGACCAGAGTTTTCATTTTCAGCAACTTGTTCTAAACTATAATTGATACTTTCTCCTTCACCATTGATTCCCTATTTTCCTTACCTTCGGCCACCTTCAGCTGGTGAAGATTTTCCTCTGGCGGGGTGATTTAAACCTTTATCCTTTGTTCTGAAGAAGCCTGTGTAGGATGCAGTAGTATTGTGTTAATGTTTACTATTGGCTATAGCAGTAGAATGAAGTATTCCCCGGGCATCCTTCCCTCCACCACCCACCTCCACCCTCCATCCCAGTCTTGGTTTCCACGCATCCATTTGGTTGCAACAATCCCCTTTCTTCCTGATGCTCAACATTACTTAACACAGAATTTTTTGCCTATTGTCCTAGTAAATT
Source organism: Homo sapiens (assembly GCF_000001405.40). Lineage (NCBI taxonomy): Eukaryota > Metazoa > Chordata > Mammalia > Primates > Hominidae > Homo > Homo sapiens. The sequence continues at coordinate 55,966,572 of NC_000006.12, forward strand.
CAAAATGACTAGGCAGCAATTTCTTTTTTTTTTTTTTTTTTTTTTTTTTTTTTTTTCCTGAGACGAGTCTGGCTCTGTCGCCCAGGTTGGAGTGCAGTGGCGTGATCTCCGCTCACTGAAAGCTCTGCCTCCCAGGTTCACGCCATTCTCCTGCCTCAGCCTCCCGAGTAGCTGGGACTGCAGGTGCCCGCCACCATGCCTGGCTAACTTTTTGTCTTTTTAGTAGAGACGGGGTTTCACCGTATTAGCCAGGATGGTCTCCATCTCCTGACCTCGTGGTCCACCCGCCCCGGCCTCCCCAAAGTGCTGGGATTACAGGCGTAAGCCACCGCACTGGCCGACTAGGCAGCAATTTCTCGTGCAAATTTAGGGTTGAGAGAGAACACACATTTCCCACTCTTACCTTTGTCTTAGGGAGAAAGAAATTTATACTGTCTAGTAAGTGCATTCTTTGCTCATTCTCTTACTCTTCTTTTTGGATTGGGGAATTTGGGAAAAGGAGTTTTATGATACCCTGCTCAACTTTTGGAGCTCTCCATTAGAGCAACGTATCTTCCAGTTACAGATGCCCTCTCCACTATCAGGAGAAACCACTTTGCCCCTGTCAGGGAGGCCTGTGATTCCAACAACTGGGAGGACAGACCTATGTACTTCACCAATCAAGGTTAGAAGGTCCAGCGTGGCCACATGCCTGCACCACATCTGTCTCTCCAGGTTCGGTCTCCTCTGAAGCTGGTATTTTCCCCATCTTACGTCTGACTTCTATACCTATCTTTCAATTAGTTCCAAATTTGGATTTGGGTATGTGGTCATGGTTAACCTCTCCTAAAACCCCACACTACTGATGAAAAGGAAAGATCATGTCCAAAGCAGAGCTTTGATTTTTTTCTAGGTGGTGAAATAGGAATCTTCCCAATTGTTCCTACTCTTGGGTTCTTAAGTGGAACAAAAAATTAGGGAATTAGGAACAAAGTTCATGAGAGAAGTTTACAGTCTTAGAATCTAGGCCATTCTATAAGAAAATACAACTGTAGTTTTGTTCTATTTAACATATGTCAATTCTCAAACCATCAAGGACACAACATAATATATATTGAGCTGTAAAGGTTTTTTTTTTAGTCTTATGTGATTTTGTAGGTTATATAGAGCATCTTTCTTTCTTACTGTTTAATAAGCCAACTAACTAAAAGAATACTTTTCACAGGTACTCTAGAAGATAATCACTTTAAGGCATTAGCCTAACATTTTGGGAACCTGGAGTAGTTTTTTGTTATTAATATTTTCTTAAATTGATTATGGTGCTGTGATGTGGATGTGTTAAGATTTATACTGTGTAAATGAATGACTGTAAACTGAAGGGCTACATTTAATTAAATTATCAAAACCTGTGCTATAATCGCCCTTTTTAAGGAAAGAGCTATTTTCTAACTCATTTTACTGAATAACAAACTCACTGAACATATGTAAAAACTTACCTGTGAGAAAATTAGTATTTATTGTATTTGTTGCGTCATGTTATAAGATTATTATTTAAGCATAAGCCATTAACATGGGTAATTTCATTTTGTGGCTTTAACGTAGGTTTCCCTACGTTTCAGATAAGAATGTTGACCCAAAGAAGTGCAGGCTTCAAATATATCACTTTGATTTGGAATGAGTTCTCTGAATATTTAAATAATATCCAAGTTGTATACATTTCTAAAGTAATTACTACATTAGATATATGGTTGTTAAACTTTAAAAATAAAAATCAATTATAATGGAAAGCCTCCTTAAGTACTTGAACTATTTATTTTGAATAAAATTGTTCAAATTATGGTTAAGCATATGTTATTAATAACTTCAGTCTTAGATAGACGGTTTTGAATTTATCATTATGTATGTTAGCCTTAACTTTTAGTTTTATGATGACATTTTTATTGATTTTCCTCTGATTTAAATTGTATTATCCTTTAACCATTTGCTACCCTAAAAGAGGAGAAACAAATTCCATTCTGATCAAGTAATAGCTAGTTCTTTAATAATGAAAAGAATTCCACACACACCATTTGATCCCTTCTTCTGAAGCTGGTTGGTAAGCTCAAAAGACCAGAGAAAGTTTTGCTGGCAGCCATAGTAGCTGTTGTAATAGAAATAGGGAAGATTTCAGGGTGAAGGAGAAATAAAGTAAACTACCTTTATTCTTTATTTTTCTTGTAAAATAGGGTAATGGTAGGGGACGAGAACATGAGAAGATACATTAAATCCAAATTATATTCCTTTAGGATTCCCAATTGCTTACCTGTACCAGCATATCATATTTCTTTTTATCCTTCAAAAAGAGTTATTGTTTTTATTTTAACCACTTTTAAAATGTTGTATATTTGTTTGGGATATAATAACATGTGATTGTAGTTCTGGGGCAAACAATAAGAATCATTTTAATGTGATCAATTCTTTCTCTGATTTACTATTGTAGTAGAAAATGTTTGTAATAGCAAGAAAGACTAACTTTATGCTCTGATGTCCTGTAGATGCAATTTTCCATGCACTGAGCCAAAATCTGAGTTAGAACACATGCAAAATGTTTTACAGGGCAGTAGTAGAGTGGGAAGTGGCCAAAAGGGAGTAGAAGGAAAATCAACTTGGTGTTGAGACAGACCTGCAATTGAATCCAGACTCTTCCACCTGGCATCTTGGTTTCCAGTTTACTATGGGCAAGATACTTAACATCCATAATCCTCACATTCCTCATCTCTAAAATGGAAATAATAAGAACCATCCAATAAGGTTACTGTAAGCTCTAAGCACCTAACATATCTGGCACTTAGAAGGGATTCCATAGGTATTAAAACACTCCTCGCTCCCTTTCTCTATAAAATATTTTCTATTAATAAGTATATTTTTAGTGAACAATTGATGCCAACAAAGACAGTAAATAGAAAGTATAGAGGATAATAACATTTCTTCCTACATAATTTATTTCAAAATAAGAAGCAAATAGATGACATATTCAAACCAAAGTCAATTTTTGCTGAATGTTTTTCCCATCTTGTAACACTTTACTTCTTGTAACACTTTACTTCATTAACCAGCCTAACTGTATACAGCTTCCCTAATCCTCCTGCGATTGTTAAAATTCTTGGCAGCTGGATGTGCTAGAGATGAGAACAGATAAACTCAATTATAACCAGTGAGGCATGCTTTATTAGGATACTATCTTGCCTCTTACTACTTGGATTTAGCTTGTCAAAACTAAGAAATGAAAGGCTTAACTTTCTGTAACGTTTCCCTCTCATTTCACTTGTAACAGTCTTGAATATCCTCCGAAGTGCTTTTTATACCCCAGAAAAGAAATCCACATTTAGATATTTTTTAAATTTCAATGTCAAAATATCAGTAACATATTAACTTTACCAGCCAAAGTCAGAGCCAGATATAAATGATTCTTTAACTTTTTATCAGAAAGTAAGTTGAACCCAACAATTTTTAATTTGTTTATGAAGACATTCTGTTAGCAACACTAGACTCCCAGAGACACAAAGAAAACTCAAGTCAACCCTACTGCCCAACCCCTGCATCATTGCTGTTGCTTTTTAAAAATTCAGATAATATATAGCATCCTTGGGCCTGGTATTTAGAATAAACTGATCTCTAAGTTCTCTTTTAATTCTAAAATATTGTATATACTATGATTGTCTTAAGTAATTATTAGGCACCATACATGAGTTTGCCCTATTAAGGTATAAAATAAGCACAAAATAAAATCTTTAATGTAGGAGATTAAAATCCATGTTTCCCTCCAACCTCAGTCCTTGACTAAAAATAACTGAGTTCACTTGCTTAAAGCACAAAGTAAGTGAATTTTCATTTGAGTTTTTACCTTAATATATACACTATGTACCAGGGAGTGAGGTTGCAAAAGTAAACACGATAACCGTGATCTCTGTCCTATCAAAGCTTAAAACCTAGAGTGGGAGACAGGCAATTAATTAAAGACTTGAGATAAGAGCCTCCCTGGGACAAATCTTTGAATGTTTCAGGTTTCTGGCTTGGACAACAGAGTGAATGGCAATTATCATCAACCCTCAAGAGGGAGCACACAGAATTTTAAAAGATTAAAAGAAAAATGATGGGTTCAGTTTGTACTATATTGAGATTTTATTGTCTTTCTTAGAACTTTAAAAAATATACATTTATATGTTTTAAAATATATAAATGTATATGTTTATAATTTATATAAAATATTTTTAATGTTATATAATTTATATAAACTATATTAATATTTTTATATAATTTATATAAAATATATATTTTAAAATATATTTATATTTTTTAAAATATAAGTATATTTAAAATATATAACCTTTCTTGAATCCTAATGTTTGTGCTAAATTGGAATCATTAAATACAGAATTAAGGAAAGTGGGATCTCCTATGGACATTTTTTTGAAATTCCAATAAGCCTTCAACCATATGAGAGAGAGAGAGACCATGTTCTAGCACTGGCCAAAGCAAGAAAAGTCTCAAATGCCAAGTTCCTTCTAAGACACTGGTAAGACACAGAAAGTAAAATCTAAGTACAATTAGAAAGATGATTTTGGGGTTGGGGCCTATATCTTACTCCTTTAAAGATCAAAGTTGAAAATTACTTCTGTGATTGGAAAGAATCTAGTCATAGAACACTTAACCTCAGAGGACCGTGAACTTGTCTCTTCATTTCATCTTTAGTCTCATGAGTTGGAAGAAATATTTCAGTCAGACACTAAAATGTGTGTCTTTCTAACTGTTCAGTAGTAGTGGGAGAGCAAATTAAAGGCCTCTTTTTGACTAGGTTGGACACAAGCTTTCTCAAAAGGACAGTAAAAATAGACATTGCTGTGGGAAAAGGAGTTCAAAACTTGGAACAGGGCTTTCAATTATCACCTAAAGTTTGAGTTGAATTAACACAGGAAAAGTTAAACATACTGTATTTTATTCATTCTAACTTCAAATTATTTCATAACAAAATAGTCAATGACCTCTGAAATTGGTATTTTAATCAGCCATCTTAAATTTACTGTCATTCTGGTGTCATTCCCAATACAACTGTTATGCCTAAGCATGTACCAACTTCATAATAGCTATTTCTTTGGTCGCAATTTTAATAGTTTTGTGCATTTGGGGCATGTATCTTGAGTGTAATCGCCACAAAATGCCCTCAAAAAGATTGTTGTATGATTCAACAATGAATAAAGTTACCATATACCCAGAAAAATGTGGAAACAGTCTAGTGTAATGTAAGGTAAATGTCTATGTCTAATAATTACAAAATAACTTTTTCAATAAGTATAAAATAAAATTTCTAAGTGATAAGAAAGCATTGTATTACTGTTTAATTGGCAATGTATTTTCCTTCTTAGTCATACAAAAAAGAATATTGCCAGTTACAATGAAAGGCATCTATACTTGATGAACTGCAATAAGTTAACAAATTTCCAAAGCATGTCATTGTCTCTTCAAATATTTAATTGTGGATCTGTTTAATGTTATTTAGATCTAGTTGATTATTTCAGGTTATTTTGGAAATAAGAGTCTAGATCTCAGTGAATCCTTTTTGTTTTCAAGGTAGTGTGCTTGTTAGTGCTACCTTGTGGCAGAAAATCCTAACTATTCTGAAAGCATTTAAAAGGGAAAACAGTTTCAAAAGTGCTGAAACTTTAAATTTTAAAGTAATACATTGTGGCAAATGTCCCAGACACTTTTATGGGCCTGGAAGAATAGTTGCGCTGGACTGTACAGAAGAAGTGATATGATATATTTAGATTCTGATTAATTTTTTCCAGGGACTTTAGAGAAATATTTCTAAGTCAACATTTGTCATTTAGGAGAGATGTAAATTTCAGTAGTTCAAGTTTAGATTAGTAGCAGATTATTTATGCATGCTATAAATACAGAGCACCTATTTCTACAAGAACTACGCTGGATTTGTGGCAGATGCAAGAATAAAGAGGCAAAGCTCCTGTCATCAAGGAGCTTATAGTCTGGACAAGCTAAAATGTCTCTACAAATAACTATAACTTGAAATGATAAAGGGTTTCAAAGGACACGTGAGTCAAGGACTCTGGCAGCAAGATGCTGACATACCTTTCTATTTTGAATGAAAGTAGAAAAGGTGGAGAGATCAGACAACTAATACACTTGTGTAACATGAGGGGCTACTTTTAAAAAAGAATTTTTTTTCAAAAGCAACTTCAGTTTTCACTTTTAAATGACTTTTTAAACTAGAGGAATAAAAGAAAAATAGAAAGTATCAATATTGCTTTGACTTATGATGCCATAGCATTAAAATTTTTAAATATAATTTAAATTTGAGTTGTTTTTAAATAAGATATCTCCTCTTACAATGCATTAACATCTTAAGATCCAAGTTGAAGTCATTTAAATTTTTTAATTTTTTATCTATGATTTCAAGATTCTTGCTGCAATAAATAATCAGTTTTGTACTAATATGTTAATAAAATTATTTCGTTCCTTTTCTTTGTGTGTACTTCAATTAAATACATTTTTATGTTCAGATACTTCTTTGATGATTTCTTTGCTATCACCTTTGTATGGACCTCTTCATTTCACTTTCTACCACTTTGCTTCTTACCATTATTATTTATCTTTCTAGAGAGACCATGAGTCCTTAAGGCAGAGACTATATCCTACTCACTTTCCCTTCCTCATTACCTAAAAGAGTGTGTGGAATTTAGCAACAGTTCAATAAATGTATCTCGAATAAATGCATGCATGGAAAATGCCTATACTAACAGAAATCTAAAAATATAAAGAAAGCATAATTTAAAAAATCTTGGTCTGGTGCTGTGTATGTCAAACCTCAATTCCAAAAGATTATACATTTTCCCTATATCAGATATTTTTAATTTTGTAAAATACTATTACATTTTCAAATGTGACAACTTGATACATGGAAAATCACTAAACAGAGAAACAGGGTGATACATGAATTATTTGAATTCATCTGACTGAAGTGAACCTGATTAGAATTATAAACTGTAATTGAATTATTTTCCCAGCAAGCTACTGAAAAAAGGTGTGAATACTACACAAATACTCTTTATTTATTGCAAATTAAGCTTAACTGAAGTTTGTTCATTTTCATTGCTTCAGAACTCTTACTGTTGCTATTGACAACCAACTATCGGTTCATTCTACAGATAGATACAGAGATAAAATAACTTATACAGATAAATAATTTTTATAATTCATTCTAAAAATGGGTGGAAAGTTAAAGGATAGGGAAATACTTATAGTATAGGGATGTAGAAGTAAATGCAGTATGCTAGGGTTTTGTTTTCATAATGTCCATGCATCCAAGAAAACACTGTAGTTGTTAATCTTATATAAAAGAGAAAGCAGATTTAAGGTTGATTTATTTAATGTTATAAAGAAAAGTGATTTTTAAATAGTGATATGGAAAAAATTATATTACTTTCCCACTTGATATAAAATAGTATTATGAGAAATAGTGATTTTTTAAAAGAGAAAGGGTGTTCAAGTTATAAATATGATTTGTTTTTATAGTTCTGTATCAACTAGATGTAAGTTCTTTGGAATCAGGAACTATATCATTCACCTTTTTATCTCCAGGACATAGTCTAGTGTCAATAATTAATTGACAAATGAATGAACAGATCCCATCATTAACAAGAGCTACATTCATGATGTATTATACTAATCTATTGAGTATGTATTTATGATAGACTTATTCCTTATAAGAAACACTAAATCAATTTGTGTGTTAAAACATATTAAAATAAATCAGAATTGAATAAAGTAGTGTTTGAATACTTCCCTCCCAATCCTTCCTCCTCCCTCCCTAGAGTCATTAACAATTTCCTGAATGTATATAGTCCCATCTTTTTCTATGCTTATTTAAATACATATACATATATTTAAACAAATTATAGATATTTAAACACATAGATATATATGTACTTTTAAACAAAAATTGAATCTTGTTACACATAATGCTTTTTTAATTTTATTGAGAATAAATTCATATACCATAACATTTATTCATTTTTAAAATCATTGGTTCTTAGTGATTGTACAGTTTTATACAACCATTATCACATTCAAAGTTTAGAACATTTTTATCCACTGAAAAAGAAACCTTAGCAGTCATTTCCTCTTCCCCCAGCCCCCACCCCCAAGTCATAGGCAACCACTAATCTATTTCCTGTCTCTGTAGGTTTTCCTAGTCTGGACATTTTTTAAATGGAATCATGCAATATGTGGTCTTTTGTGTCTGGCTTCTTTCACTTAGAACGTTTTGGAAGTTTATCCATTTTGCTGCATGTATCAGTACTTCCTTTCCTTTTATTATCCAATATTATTTCATTATATGGGTATAATATATTTTGTTTATCCATTCATCAGTTAATGGACATTTGGGTAGTTTCCACTTTTTGTTTCATGTGAATAATTCTGCTATGAACATTTGTGCACAAGTCTTTTATGGACATTTGTTTTCATTCCTCTTGGATAGATACCTAGAAGTGGAATTGCTGGGCCATATGGTAACTTTATGTTTAACATTGACAAACTGCCAAACTATTTTCTAAAGTGGCTACACCATTTTACATTCTCAGCAAACTTAAGAGTTCTAATTTTTTCATATGCTAATCAATACTTGCTTTTGTCTATACTTAATATTACTGTCATTTTACTGGTTATAAAGAGGTATTTCATTATGGTTTTGATGTGCATTTCCCTAATGTCTAATGATGATGAACATCTACTAGTGTGCATATGGAATATTCTTTTATCTTCTTGGAAGAAATATCTATTTCAAATCGTTTGACTATTTTTAATTGGATTATATTTGCTTTCCAGTTATTGAGTTATAGGAATTCTTTATATATTCTGGATACAAATTCCATATTAGATACATGATTTCCAAGTATTTTATCCCAGTCTGTAGATGGGATACCACTTCATGTAGATGGTGTTGTCTGAAGCAAAAATTTTTAATTGTAATGAAGTTCAACTTGTTAATTATTTTTCTTTTATCATTTGTGGTTTTGGTTTCATATATAAGACGTCCTTGGCTAATCCAAGGTCATGAAGATTTGTTCCTATGTTTTGTTTTGTTTTTTTTCCCTAGGAGTTTTATGTTTTGACTCTTACATTTTGTTCATTGGTTCATTTTGAGTACATTTTTGGATATAATGCGAGATAAGGCTCCAAATTCATTCTTCTGAATGTGGATATCTAGTTGTCCCAACATCATTTGTGGAAAAGAATATTTCTCCCACTGAATTGCTTTATTATCTTGTTGAAAATCAATTGACTACTAAAGTAAAGGTTTATTTTTGGGCTCTATATTATATTATTATGTTGATCTACATGTCTATATTTTTGCCATCACCACACTGTCTAGATTATTAAAGCTTTACAGTAAGTTTTAAAAGTAGATGGCAGGGTGCAGTGGCTCATGCCTGTAATCCTAGCACTTTGGGAGGCCGAGGCAGGTGGATCACCTGAGGTCAGCGGTTCAAGACCAGCCTGGCCAACAAGGCAAAACACCCATCTCTACTAAATGTACAAAAAAATTAAGCAGGTGTGGTGGCACGCACCTGTAATCCCAGCTTCTTGGGAGGCGGAGGCAGGAGAATCTCTTGAGCCTGGGAGGTGGAGGTTACAGTGAGGTGAGATGGTGTCACTGCACTCCAGCCTGGGTGATAGAGCTAGACTCTGTCTCAATAAAATAAAAAATAAAATTAGAAAGTGTGAGTTCTCCAATTTTATTTCCATTTTCAAGAATTTTTTGGCCATTCTGGGTCCCTTACATTTCCATATGAATTTTAGGATAAGCTAGTCAATTTCTAGGGGAAAAAAATCCAACTGGTATTTTGGTAAGGATTGTATTGAATCTACAGATCAATTTGAAAAATGTTGCTATTTCAACAATATTAAGTCTTCTGACCTGATTCATGAACTTGAAATGCTTTTCCATTTATTTAGATCTTCTTCAACTTTTTCAACTATGTTTTGTAGTTTTTATGGTACAAGTCTTGAAGTTTTATTGGTAAATTTATTCCCTAGTATGTTTATTCCTTTTGATGCCATTGTGAATGAAATTATTGTGGCAATTTTATTTTTAGATTGTTAGTTGTTACTGTATAGAAATGTGATTAATATTTGAATATTAATTTTGTGTCCTGCCATCTTGCTGAACTCATTTATTATGTCAAGAATTTTTAATTAATACATATTTTCAAAATTCCTTTTTTTCACTTCACAGTATATGGATATGTCTGTCTTTACAAGTCAGTTCATATACGCCTTTTTAATTTCCATTTTAATAGTTGTCTGGTATTTCACATTATGATATAACAAAATATATTTATCCATTCTTCTATTGATAAGCCTTTATACTGATTTTTCTTATTTTTTGTTTTGCTATCACAAAAAAACTAAAATAAACATTTTTAATTATACCTGTAACTACTCACTTGTCCTTATCTTTTTATAGGTCAGACTCCTGAAAACAGAATTGACTGGTCGTAGTATACATTTATCTAAAATTTTAGCAATTGTTCCAAAATTGTTCCTCAAAAGAGTCCAGATTTTTCTCTCATCAAAAGACATGGTAGATTCATTAAGAATGAATATCAAGGCCGGGCGCGGTGGCTCACGCCTGTAATCCCAGCACTTTGGGAGGCCAAGGCGGGCGGATCATGAGGTCAGGATATCGAGACCATCCTGGCTAACACGGTGAAACCCCGTCTCTACTAAAAATACAAAAAAAAAGTTAGCTGGGCATGGTGGCTGGCGACTGTAGTCCCAGCTACTAAGGAGGCTGAGGCGGGAGAATGGCGTGAACCCGAGAGGCGGAGCTTGCAGTGATCCGAGATTGCGCCGCTGCACTCCAGCCTGGGGGAAAGAGAGGGACTCCGTCTCAAAACAAAAGAATGACCATCAAAAAGTGAGCAATTCCTCATAATTGTCCTTTAGCTGGGTTTAAAAGGTCCTCTCCAAAACAGCAGCAAGACCTCTTCTGTGATAGTTAAAGTATAGATATTCAGTATTGCTGGTGAAGGCATCTTTCTTTTTAAACACTTTTAACTAGAAATAACAGAGAGGAACTAACATGCTGAGAAGCTTTCTGACACTTTTGCTAGCAGATTCTTAGGGGAATGTGGTTCACTAGGTCTCAAAATATAAAGCACATGTTTGCAATTCAGAAACACTTGCAAACTGGGTATAGCTGTATACTCAACAAGGACTTCTCAAAATAAATGATTACTCGAGTTTGTATATACCTACAAACTGATACATATGTCATCTATGTGAATTTTGGTGTAAAATGGTTAAACCCTCTTGCTGCTGCCAAAGGAGGTGTATTTTAATCGTATTCCAAAGAAAGTATGATGGTGTCACCCACCAGGAAATGTCTGTTAGTTTACACCCCTGCTTCTAAAGAGAGTTTTGAAGTACTTCTCCATTGCCTCACCAAATTCCCATACTTTGTAGAATTGTGCAGAAAAAAAACAGAATGGGAACAAAATGTTTGATAGGAATTACTTAACAAAGACTATATGCTGAGTAAGTATATTAGCAAAAACTAAGATCTTTCTGCCTTATTAATAAGAAGGAAGAAGTGAACTGAACCCCACGTAAGGAGACACTGGGAAATGAGAAATGCAGGCCATCCCAGCTCAGAACTTAGAAACTTTGCCACTAGATTCAGGTTTATCAGTGATTTTGTTTTTATTGAGAAAGAACTAACTAAAAGCAGAATTCAAGGTACAGGATTTCTAGTTGAAATGTATGTATTTGGGGCTAAATTAACACTAGAGTGAAAACTGAATTGCTTACAATTTGTCAAGATTTCTTTGTTCTTAATCCAAAATGTGTTTTTAGCTTTCATCTCAGCTCCAAAGCACATAACTGCTAAACAATTTCCATATGGAAGCCATTGCGTTAAGAGTTCTGGACAAAATAATGATACATGGTTGCCTTAAAGGAGTTTACTGTACAGTTGGAAAGATAGGCATGCAGATACAAAGATATAACACAAGGTCCTATAAAAATCTATAGCTCATTGTTTGCAGAGATTTTTCATGCATTCTACATTTAATAGAATCTCTATTCTACAAACAATATAAAGCTGTAATTAACCCTTTAAAGCTATTTGCCAAAGTAAATGTAAGTAATTACATTGCTTTACTTAATTTTTAAAGTAGCAAAGAAAACTCTTCCAACTAAGTGGATTCATCTTGTTCATTGTACCTCCAGCATTTATCACGACACTTGTTATAGTAAGGATTCACTATTCCTCATAAATATATAATATATACAGTAATGGCACCACATAACAATGTTTTGGTTAACAATGAACCAATATGCAACAGTGGTCTCATGACATTATAATGAAGCTGAAAAATTACTATTGCCTAGTGGGCTAGTTATTATAACATCATAGAGCATAACCTATTCTAAGTTTAGATTTGTGTAGATACACAAATTGTGTAGTAATTGCCTACAGTATTCAGTCACATGCTGAACAGGTTTTTAGCCTAGAGGCAATAGGCTATAGCATATAATCCGGTTGTGTAGTAGACTATGCCATCTAGGTTTATAAAGTAGTTACATAAAGCCTAGATGGCATAGCTGACTACACAGTGTACTTACATAGCCTACTACACAGTGCCCTAAAGTTTATGTAAATACACTGTACTTATATAACCTACTACACACTGTACTTTCATAACCTACTATACAGTATACTTACAGTTTATAGTACTTAGTACACTGTACTTACATACTATGCCTAAAGATATATAATCCCCTAAGGTTACATTTCTTAGAAGAAATCCCTGTCATTAGGTGACACATGAATAAAATTATTATTTGTCAATTCCATGAAAATTTTAAAAGATTAGTGGAAATAATTTTTAAAATTCAGACTAATGTATAAAAACATAAAATAGAAGATAAAGATGACACAAAATTCAACCAGCTTTGTAAACAATCTAAAAGTACATTGTTTTGCTCAGATTTGTGATGGCATTCTTAGAAAATTATTGTAATTGGAATTGCTATGTTTGAAGTATATTTTCATGTTGCACTGCAATACTACTCTCAAAAAAGCTGACATTGCTTTACACTTCATTCACAAGTATATGAAATTCCTATTTCCCCAAAATGACCCAGAACTTTGTCAATGCTTCCTTTTTGGTCAACCTGATATGTGACAAATAATCTTGCATTGCTATTTTCACTTGCATTCCTGTGATTACAAAATAAAGCATTTTCTGTTCATTTTCCTTTAATACTTCTTTATGAATTGGCTCTTCTTGAAATTTTTCTCATGAATATGTAAGTTCTTTATACAGCACTATTATATAGTACCTTTTCCATCATATATTGCAGTTTTTTCTGTTCTGTGCATTTGCTTTTAATGCCATACACTATATTACTTATTATCAATATATTTTATTATTTATGTAACAAACCAACAAAAATTTTCCTCTTAGTTTGTGATTTTGATGTCATTTCAAAGGCCATTAACAACCCAAGACAACATAATTATTTCTCTGTAATATTCCTAGTTTTATTTTTTTCTTTAAACTTCAACATATCAAGTGTTTTAATGTAAGCTTGAAGTATCACTTCAAATTTTTTTCCAAGCAGCACAGTTATTCTAATGTTATTTGATAAATAGGCTAATAGCCTTGAAATGCTACATTTTTAAGACCAAAAAAAATTGTAACTGTAATTTTTTTAGTTCTATGTTATTTATCATTATGTCTATTTTGACAGTAGTTCCACGGTTTTCATACTACGGTATCTTTATAATATCTTTTGTATTATAATACTTTTTGTATTTGTATTTTGTTGAAAGCCTCCTCTCTTTTAGGTGAGCATTGCAGAGTTTCTGGACCATTCTTTCATGTTTATTTATTCTGATAAATCTTAAAATGTTTTAACGAGGTATTTCTCTCCAAATCTTATTAGAACTGGTTCTGCAATTCTCAGAATGTTGTTTACAATTCTCCATGAGGTAGTTATTTTGCTCAATTTTATTTTAACATAATTTGAATAAGTATGGAAGTCTTTGCAAGAAAAAAAAGGAATAAGTAGAACAACAAATCTGAATGAGAAAATTCACAATGTCAAAAATCTTGTCAACAAAGACCCCTAGATCTTTTCTTTCCAGGGAGCCTTAGGGAAAACCAACAAAAATGAAAACAGTGCTTTTCAAACCACCAGAGGGCAGTGCACTCAAAATAATGGATATCAGCAATCCTGAACTAAAGCCCAAAGTTTCCCTTCTCTTAAAGATAAAATTTACATAACAATAGACTCTTGGTTCATTTTAAACTCTGAAATAATTACAGTCCTTAAATCTGATATTAGCAATATGACATTTATTTATAATACTTAGAGAATATTCACAGAAATATAGTCACCACTGAATTTTTCCATATTAATATTATAGTCTGCCTGCCCAACCACTTTGCTAAAGATCTACATAAAACCTTAAGGTGTTCTGTATGAATGAGAATTCCTTGAAAACAGGAATTGTGCTTTCTCACCAGTCGTTTCTTCTGTACATGGACAGGACTCAGTTTATTGTAATAACTCAATATCTAATGAATAAAAAACAAAATAAATGATTTGTAGTCTCGGCCCTACTCAATTTCTGCATTAATTCAAATGAAACCTGCATTACACTATGAGCTATTGCTACCCTTAGGCAAGTGGGTTCTCTGCCCTGAGCCCTGCACTTCATCTGGGCCTCTTCCAGCAACAACCCTTCTCCCTCTGGCCAGGATTACTCTCCTTCCCATGGGCAATGCAATAGGGCTACCTTTCACATCATACTCTGGGTGTCTCAGACACAGATTCACTGAAGCCCCTGTGTAGTTCTACTTCTCTAGGCCCATCTTACCCAGAGTAGATTATGTAATGGGTGTGCACAGGGCAGACCCAAAGAGTGGCTGAAGGGGTGCTATTTCTTTGGGCTGTGGACAGAATTTTATTGTGCAATCTGGGATTTATGGACCAGACAGATTCAAGGAGAATTTTTTTCTCTTTCTTCCTTATGTTTCTGGGTCATATAATTTTTAACAATAATTACCTATTACTTGTATTGTTTTTAAAACACAGAGAGAAAGGTGTAGAAGTAAAATCCACTTCACTTGGGGACAGATTGGATCTACAGAATGATGGGACAACTGACCTTGTATATCTTTCTGGCATGGGGACTGGTTAAACAACACTATCATCAAATGAAATTTGCAATTCTAGAAAAGGAATAGATTTATGCACATGGCATAAGAATGCTAAATTCTGTGAAGAACAAGTTGTATTGAAGACCTGTGTAATATCTATGTGCAACTATCTAGAAAGCAGTCAGAAATTTTTGTGGAGATCTCAAAAGGAAGGTTTTGACTAGATCATGCATTTTTGAGAGGGGTCTATGTATAGCTAACAAGCAAAAAATCTACTGAGAAAAAGTGTAGAAGATACAAAAAGAATAAGACCAAAGTCAGTACCATTTTAGAATAAGAGAGAAGAAAATGACATGTTAGAATAAGAGAGAAGAAAATGACAAAGAGCATTCACTCAGGAGAAGGATCAGAAAAGCAGAAACAAAGGAAAAGTTTCAACAAATACAAAGACTTCTTGATGTCAAATGGAACAGAAAAATCATATACAATACATTCTTGCAAGCACTGTCTGGATTTGTTCATCAGGAGGTCACATGTGACCTTGGAGATAGTCATGTCAGTGAACTGTCAGAGTGAAGTCAGAGAGCTGTAGGCAGAAAAAGGAAAGAGAGGTAGAGAAATAAAGCTAATGGAAGGTCTACCTTTTCAAGACTTCTTCCCTGGAGATGATAAGGAGAGAAAGAGTGCAATACCTTCCAGCTTGATGGAAGAGGCTACTTTCAGAAGAAGCTGTAGGTTAATAATAAGCAAATCTGAAAAAAATGTCACCTGAAAAACTGCTCCCATTGGAAACACAAATGCAACCTCTATCTCTGCTATTTTTCTGTTCTTGACTCCCATCCAGCAACATCCATCATCAAGTGGTATCAATTAGAAATCAAAGATTAAAATAAAAGAACTAATTCCTGTCAACAAGGTAGAGTTTCTCTTCCATGAAGATTAACAATAATCTTTTATTCATCATCTTTTGATCATTTTCTTGGAATGTAACTCTGGTAATTGAAATCTCAATTTATTAACAAGACAATAGACAACAGGGTTCTAAGCAGTAAGTAGTAAGCTGATACGCAAATTTGCTAATGCAGAATCAGAAGCTAGTATAAGAATCCTTAAGGAAGTCAAAAAAAATGTAGGCTGACTAAAGTGTTTTAGTTTCCTTTGGCATTTTCATCTTGGCTTTAACTTCTCTTCTTACAACTAAATTTGTAAGTAATGAAGATTTAGTATTGATTTGTGCCAGCATGGATTTTCATGGATTTATTATTGGTCTAATTCAAACACCACTTCTTGGCTCTTACCAGAGTCACTTTCCTCTGGCATATACTGCAGACTTCCCCTGCCCTGCTCCTCATTGTTCTCTTCTCTCACACCCAGCTTGAACCATCAGCCATTGCTAATTGAGCAGTTTACATCTTGCCGCTGAGTGGACACTGCTGTCTTTATGTAGATGTCCACAGGAAACAAGGCTGTGAACTAAATCTGATACATTTTAAAGTCCAAGAAAGGAACCCTAAGAAATTGAATCCCATTCCCTTCTTAACTGTTTCAAGCACTCTCCAAAACAACGCCTTTCTGAGCTCTTCTGTGAGACTCTCCACTCTACTTTTTGAAACTCCATTTGCTTCTCATGATATCCCACCACCCTCTCTACCCACGCCCATCCTTCTAGCACAGTGCCCTAAATCCGATTCATTCCATCCATTTAATACTCTGGGGCTGGGGACCAAGGGACAGTCAACAATATGACTAATGAGGAACATGACCCTCCTTTCCCAAAATAAATGCTATGTGAGTTGGGGAAAAGGAAAGTGGGTACTACAAGCCTCACAGGGCCCTTAGAATGCTTTGGGTTCCCAGCTGCAGGAAGACCTCAAAGGACACACCTCTAGAGGACAAAGAAAAATTGTCAGACAGCATAGCTTGAACCCATAAGGAAGCATGAAATAGTTTCCCAGCTGCCTCCAAGCTGCTTCGTAATTTGGGAGGCACCTCTGCCTCCTCTGATACAGTGAGTCACAAGATTAAATAGAGCAGTAATTGTACGTCTCAAGGGTGGATCCCTTAAGAAAAAATAAGTTTGGAGATAATTGTTCTACCAAGTCCTTAATAAACTTCTTTGCCAAATACCCTTGTTCTCAATTTCCATTGGCGGGGGGTGGGGCAGAAGGGGGTGGTTTATGCTCCACTGACTTCTGCTTATTTCATTTAGGAAGAAAATCCAAAATTCATTGTGATGTGATGCCCAGGATACCAACTGACCCATTTGACAGTCTTGATGAGCCATCTGTTTTTGTTGTAGCCAAAATCTTCTCATCACAGCATCCTATGGTGAGCAAGAGATACGTTTTTAGATGTTATCCTTGTGCATTTATACAGTACCTGTGATATGATTCAAGGTATCCTAAAGGGATTACCAACACTTGTTCAGTTATTCATTTAACCAAACTATTTGACTGTCTTGCTGTAGTCATGGGAATTGTGACTGATATTGGGAATATCACATTGAATAAGACGTGGGTTCCTGCCTAGGAGCTTACAGAAAGTAAATAATTAGCCCTGAAATAGTGTGACTAGTGCTGTGATAGAATGAGGCAAAAGGAGCGACGGGGAAAGAAAGGAAACACACTTGAAGAAATCAGAGATAGCTTCTAGAAGGAACTATCACTAAAGCTTGGCAGGCATACCAAAAAGGAGTAAGCATTATTGTAGCCCAGAAAAAACAAAAGTATATTCTAGTAGTGGGATCAGCCAAGGAAGATAAAAGCCTCAGATAACCTGGTTAGAGAATTTAAAAAGGCTTATTATGACTAGAATGCAAGGTTTAATGTAAGTAATTTTACTTTCATCAAACAAATTCAGAATGTGTGGCAGAGATGTTTATTTTGTTTAAGGAAGAAAGTGGTGGAATCTTCAATAGAATTATTGTATTTGATCCGTTAAGTTCAGAAATTTTAGCATATATAGTTTATTAGTGTGTTTTCACACTGCTATGAAGACACTACCCAAGACTTGGTAATTGACAAAGAAAAGAGGTTTAATTGACTCACAGTTCCACATGGCTGGCAAGGCCTCAGGAAACTTACAATCATGGAGGAAGGGAAAGCAGGCACATCTTACATGGCAGCAGGCAAGAGAGAGAATGTCAAGGAAGAACTGTCAAACACTTATAAAACCGTCAGATCTCATGAGAACTCACTCACTATCATGAGAACAGCATGAGGGAAACTGCTCCTTATGATCCAATCACCTCCCACCATGTCCTTCCCTGAACACATGGGGATTATGGAGATTACAATTTGAGATGAGATTTGGGTGGGGACACAGAACCAAATCATATCATATAGTTTGGGGATTTGGGCTGCTGGCGCTCAGAAACCCTCAAAATTCATTTTCTGAATTACGAGAACTTTTCTTTATAAACTTTTTATTTTAGAATAATTGTAGATTTACAGAAAAGTGCAAGATTGTACAGAGAGTTCTCACATACGCTACACTCAGTTTTCCCTATTATTAACACCTTGCAATAGTATCATATATTTGTTACGATTAAAGATCCTAAATTGATATTACTAAGTAAAGTCCATACTTTATTCAGATTTCCTTAGTTTTTATCTAATGTCCTGTTCTGTTCCAGGATCTTGTCCAGGATACCACATTACATTTATTTGTCATGTGCTTCTGGGCTCTGAGTGTCTCAGATTTTACATGGTTTTGATGACCTTGACAGTTTTGAGAAGTAGTTGTCAGGTATTTTGTAAAATCTGCCACAGTTTGGGTTTGTCTGATGTTTTTCTCATGATTAATCTGAGGTTATGGGTTTGTGGGAGGATGTATAAACTCTTAAGCAGAAAACTGCATAGGTGTAAGGGAAGGCTGTCCTTAGGCAAAATTGAAAAGTGGGTACAGTTCCCACTAGACAACCATTTCCCCACTACATCCATGCACATTTTCTCTCCACTTCCCCAGCCTCCAACATGCAGTGCTGTCTCTTGTCCATTTCTCCATGCCTCTCAGGTTCTTCCCTAAGGAACGCTTCCTCTACCTTTCCCTCACTGTCTGCATTGGGGCTCACTAGCTCACTTAAGAGCCTATATTATGCCTCCCTCAATCCCCAGAGCTATTACACATGCTACTCTTTACCTAGAAATTTCTCCGGAATATTCCCTACACCTCTAAATGGCCACTCCATTCCATTCTACACCCCTATTGACCTCCCTTTCATACTTCCTGTCTCAGACAAACATCACCTTCCCGAGGAAGACCATCTATCCCTTGGCCACACCTTGCCTCTTGGAAAGTCAGATCCTTCTACTCTTAGGGAAGCTTGAGCTGTATTTTCATAGTATTTGTCTCAGGTTCTGATCAGATGCTCATGTGATTCTGTGATTAATGCCTACTTTGTCCTATTATTTGTAAACTGTATGAGGGCAGAAAATATTTCTATTTTTTCAAACCGAATATTGTCGGTGCTTTGCACAGGCCCTGACAGCCATTAGACATGCACTGCATATCAGTTAGAGGGAGGAAAGGAGAGATAAAGACAATAGAAAACACCAGCTTGGTTCTCTGACTTGATTAATCTGCGTTCTGGGATCTTAAAGACTATAGCAGTGTAACTTCAGTTTTCTGTGAGCATGGTAAGAAGCATTCCAAGGTAAAGTATGGAGGGCATGCTTTAAAAGAGCAAAGTTACCACCCTATGAAACAAAATATGGGGTGATAACACCTGTAGTAATAAGAAAATGTTTTTGCATTAGCACATGCCATTCCACCTTATGAGACACAGGACATCCTCAGACTAACAGCCTCTCTGTATCTTAAACTATCTCAAACACTAAGAGTTACCTCTTAGGATTCATGGAAATTAAAACACATTAAAGATGTTCATTGTGGTGAGTAACATATTCTGATTATCAGAGGCCATTAGAACAACTCTGCCTATAGCCAGTAACTTCCAAATTGACCTTCCACTAAAAATCACAAATTTACACACACACACACATATACACACATATATATCTATATAAATACATATATACACATATATATCTATATATATACACATATATATATCTATATATACATATATACACATATATATCTATATATATACACATATACAAACATATATATATAAAATATAAAGCAGCAGGGGAATCAGCATTAAATCCTTTTTTTGGAATCTTAAAGGATATAAGTAAATATATAAATAGTGGGGAATAGAATTCATTTTTATGTATTAAAATGCTCAACAAGTAATAAAACATAAACAACGTTTATGTCAGAAATGAATAACATCCAAAATGTTTTTTCATTTTTAATTTTGTGGGTACTTAAGAGGTATATGTATTTATGAGGTATATGGGATAATTTGACACAGGAATACATTGTCTAACAATCACATCAAGGTAATTGTGTATCCATCACCTCAAGCATTTGTCATTTATTTGTGTTAGAAACATTCCAAATATACTCTTTAGTTACTTTTAAATGTATATTTAACTTATTATTGAATATAGTCACCCTGTTATGTTATCAAATACTGGGCCTTAGTCATTCATATTTTTGAACCCATTGATCGTCCCCACTTCCCCCAAACCCCCAGTCATCTTTTCCAGTCTCTGGTAACCATCATTCTACTTTCTATCTCCATGAACTCAGTTCTTTCCATTTTTAGCTCTCACAAATGAGAGAGAACATGCAATGTTTGTTTTTCTGTGCCTGGCTTATTTCGCTTGATATAATGACCTCCAGTTCCTTCCATGTTGTTGCAAATAACAGGATTGCATTCTCTTTATGGCTGAATAGTACTCCCTTGTGTGTATGTACCACATTTTCTTTATCCATTTGTCTGCTAATGGACATTTAGCTTGCTTCAAAATCTTAGCTATTGTGAATAGTACAACAGTAAATATGGGAGTACAGATAGCTCTTCAATATACTGATGTGCTTACTTTTGGAGAGATACCTAGCAGTAGGATTGCTGGATCATATGACAGTTACACTTTTAGTTTTTTTGAGAAAAATCCAAACTATTCTCTATAGTGGTTATACTAATTTACTTTCCCACCAACGGTGTACAAGGGTCCCCTTTTCTCCACACCTCAGCAGTATTTGTTATTGCCTGTCTTTGGATAAAAGCCATTTTGACTGGGGTGAGAAGATATGTCATTGTAGTTGTGATTTACATTTCTCTAATGATCAATGATGCTTAGCACCTTTTCATATACCCGTTTACCATTTGTATGTCTTCTTTGGAGAAATGTCTATTCAAATATTTTGTCCATTTTTTAAAATGGATTATTGGATTTTTTAATTGGGTTGTTTGAGCTTCTTATATATTCTGGTTATTAATCTCTTGTCAGCTGGATAGTTTGCAAATCTTATCTCCCATTCCATGGGTTGTCTCTTAACTTTGTTGATTGTTTCCTTTGCTGTGCAGAAGATTTTCAACTTCACATGATCCCATTTGTCTATTTTTTCTTTGAGTGCCTGTGCTTGTGGTATATTACTCAAGAAATCTTTGCCCACTCCAATGTCCTGGAGAGTTTCCCCAAAATCTTCTGCAAGTACTCTCATAGTTTGAGGACTTAGATTTAAGTCCTTAATCCATTTAGTTTCAATTCTTATATGTGGCAAGAGACAGGGGTCTAGTTTCATTCCTCTGGATATAGATATCCGATTTTCCCAGCACCATTTCTTGAAGAGACTCTTCTTTCCCCAATGTATGTTATTGGCACCATTATTGAAAATGAGGTCTTTGTAGATGTATGGATTTGTTTCTGCGTTCTCTGTTCTGTTTTTTTGGTCCATGTGTCTGTTTCTATGCCAGTATCATGCTGTTTTGGTTACTTTCACTCTACAGTATAATTTGAAGTCAAGTAATGTGATTTCTCCACTTTTGATCTTTTTGCTCAGGATAGCTTTGGCTATTCTGGGCCTTTTGTGGTTCCATATAAATTTTAGGATAGCTTTTTTTTTATTTCTGTGAAGAATGTCATTGGCATTTTGATAGAGATTGCATTGAATCTGTACATGGTTTGGGATAGTATGGTTTGGGATAGTATGAGCATTTTAACAATATTTATTCTTCCAACCCATGAACATGGAATATCTTTTCATTTTTTTGCATGTGCTCTTAAATTTCTTTAATCAATGTTTCAAAATATTCATTGTAGAGATCCTTTACTTATTTGGTTAAGTTAATTTCTAGGTATTTAATTTTATTTGTAGCTATGGTAAAAGCAATTATATTCTTGATTTCTTTTTCAGATTGTTTGCTATTGGCATTTAGAAATGCTACTGATTTTTGCATGTTGATTTTGTATCCTAGAATTTTACTGAATTTGTTTATCAATTCTAGTAGTTTTTTTCTGGAGTCTTTAGGTTTTTCCAAATATAAGATTATATCATCTACAAACAAAGGTGATTTGAATTATTCCTTTCCAATTTGGATGCCCTTTATTTCTTTCTCTTGAATGATTGCCCTAGCTAGGACTTCCAGTACTATGTTGAATAATATTGCTGAAAGTGGGCATCCCTGCCATATTTCAAATCTTAGAGGAAAGGCTTTCCATTTTTCCCTGTCCACTATGATACTCGCTGTTGGTCTGTCATATATGGCTTTTATTATGCTGAGGCATGTTCCTTCTATATCCAATTTTTTGAAGGTTTTATCACAAAGGAATGTCAAATTTTAGCAAATATTTTTCAGCATCAATTGGATCATATGGATTTTGTCCTTCATTATGTTGATATGATGTGTTGCATTATTTGATTTGCATATGTTGAGCCATGCTTGAATACCTGGGATAAAGCCTACTTGGTCATGATGAATGTTCTCTTTAATGTGTTGTTGAATTTGGTTTGCCAATGTTTTGTTGAGGGTTGTTACATCAATGTTCATCAGAGAACACTAGTTTTCTTTTTGATATGTCTTTGTCTGGTTTTGGCATCAGGATAACACTGACCTCATAGAATGAGTTTAGAAGTAGTCCCTCTATTTTTCAGAAGAGTTTGAGTAGGATTGGTGTTCGTTCTTCTTCAAATGTTTGGTAGAATTCAGCAGTGAAGACATCAGGTCTTTGGCTTTCCCCCACACCCCGCAAGGAGACTTTTTATTATGGCTTTAATCTCATTACATGTTATTGGTCTGTTCAGCTTTTGGATTTCTTCATGGTTCAATCGTGGCAGGTTGTATGTGTCTATGAATTTTTCTGTTTCTTCTAGATTTCCCAATTGTTGTCATATAGTTGCTTATAGTAGCCTCCAATGATCCTTTGCATTTCTGTGGCATTAGTTGTCATGTCTTCTTTTTCATCTCTGATTTTATTTATTTAGGTATTCTCTCTTTTTGTCTTAACTAGTCTAGCTAAGGGTTTGTCAACTTTGTTTAGCTTTTCAAAAAACTTTTTATTTCATTGATGATTTGTATTGTTTTCTTCAGTTTCATTTATTTCTGGTCTGATCTTTATTATTTATTTTCTTCTACTAATTTGGGGCTCGGTTTGCTCTTGATTTTCTATTCCTTTAAGATGCATCATTATGTAGTGTATTTGAAGTTTTTCTACTCTTTTGCTGTAGGTGCTGATAGCTATAAAATTTCCTTTGGTACTGCTTTTGATGTTTCCCATAGGTTTTGATATGTTGTGTTTCCATTATCATTTGTTTCAGAAAATTTTTAAAGTTCCTTCTTAATATCTTCATTGACCCACCAGTCATTCAGGAGGATATTGTTTAATTTCCATGTGTTTGTATAGTTTCTAAAATTCTTCTTTCATTGATTTCTGTCATTGATTCTTTCATTTATTTTTATTCTGTTGTTGTCAGAGAAGATACTTGATATAATTTCAATTTTTTTAATGTTTTAAGATTTGTTTTATGGCCTAATATATGGTCTACCTTTAGAATGATTGACATGCTGGGGAGAAGAAGGTGTATTCTGCAGGCATTGGATGAATGTATTGTAAATATGTCTTAGGTCCATTTGGGCTATAGTGCAGGTTAAGTCTGATGTTTATTTGTTTATTTTACATTCAGATGAGCTGTCTAATGCTGAAAGTGCATCTTGAAGTTTCTAACTATGATTGCATTAGAGTATATCTCCCTCATTAGCTCTAACAATATTTGCTTTATATATCAGGATGCCCTAGTGTTGGGCGCATATCTATTTAAAATTGTTATATTCTGTTGATGAATTAACCCTTTTTCATTACATAATGACCTTCTTTGTTTCTTCTTATAGCTTTTTTTCTTGAAATCGATTTTGTCTGATATAAGTATACCTGTTCCTTCTCTTTTTTGATTTCCATTGGCATGACATATCTTTTTTTATTCTTTTATTTTCAGCCTGGGTGTATCTTTGTAGGTACATGTAGGCTGAAAATAAAAGGATAGAAAGTGTGTTTTTTGTAGGCAAAAGATCACTGGGTCTTGTTGTTTATTCAGTCAGCCACTCTTTTTCTTTTGATGGGAGAGTTTAGTCCATTTATATTCAATGTTTTTTTTTTTTTTTTTTTTTTTTTTTTTGAGACGGAGTCTCGCTCTGTCGCCCAGGCTGGAGTGCAGTGGCGCGATCTCGGCTCACTGCAAGCTCCGCCTCCCGGGTTCACGCCATTCTCCTGCCTCAGCCTCCCCAGTAGCTGGGACTACAGGCGCCCGCTACCACGCCTGGCTAATTTTTTGTATTTTTAGTAGAGACGGGGTTTCACCGTGTTAGCCAGGATGGTCTCGATCTCCTGACCTCGTGATCCGCCCGCCTCGGCCTCCCAAAGTGCTGGGATTACAGGCGTGAGCCACCGCGCCCGGCTCAATGTTATTATTAGTAAGTAAAGACTTGCCCCCATTATTTTGTGGGGGTTTTTTGGGGGTTTTTTCGTGGTCTTTTCTCTCTTATTTCCTTCATATCTACTTTCTAGTGAAGGTTTTTTCCTTTGGTGGCATGTTTTAATTTCTTTTTTTTTTATTTTTTGTGTATTGATAGAGGCTTGCAAACAACAGCAATTATTATAGCCAATTATTTTAAGCTGATGACAACTTAACATTGATGGCATAAACAAACTGACTAACAAGCAATCAAGGAGAAAAGTAATAAAAACTCTACACTTTAACTTTGTCCCCCTGCTTTTTAGCTTTTTATTGTTTCTGTTTATATCTTGTGCAGACTTGAAAAGTTGTTGTAGTTATTATTTTTGATAAGTTCATCTTTTAGTCTTTCTACTTAAGATATGAGTAGTTTACACACCACAATTACAGTGTTATAATATTCTCTGTTTTTCTATGTATGTATTATTAACAGTGCGTTTTCTATTCTCATATGATTTCTTTTTGTTTGTTAACATCCTTTTTGTTCAGATTGAAGAAATCCATTTAGCATTTCTCGTAGGACTGGTCTGGTGTTCATGAAATCCCTCAACTTTTGCTTGTCTGGGAAAGTCTTTATTTTTCTTTCACATTTGAAGGATACTGTCACTGGATATACTATTCTAGGATTAAAAGGGCTTTTTTATCAGCACTTTGAATATGACATGCCACTCTCTCCTGGCCTTTGAGGTTTGCACTGAAAAGTCTGCTACCAGGTGTGTTGAAGCTCCATTGTATGTTATTTGTTTCTTTTATCTTGCTGCTTTTAGGATGCTTTCTTTATCTTGACCTTTGGGAGTTTGATTATTAAATGTCTTGAGGTATTCTTCTTTGGGTTAAATCTGCTTGCTGTTTGTATTAGTCCATTCTCACATTGCTGTAAAGAACTACTGGAGTCTGGGTAATTTGTGAGAAAAAGATGTTTAATTGACTTATAGTTCTGCAGGCTATACAGAAAGTATGGCTTGAAGGCCTCAGGAGACATAATCATGGTGGAAAGTGAGAGGGAAGCAATCACATCTTACTATGGCAGAGCTGGAGAGAGAGAGAGAGAGTGAAGAGGGAAGTGCCACACACTTTTAAACTATCAGATCTCATGATAACTCACTGACTATAATAAGAACAGCAAAGGGGAAATCCACCCCCATGATCCAATCTCCTCCCACCAGGTCCCTCCCACAACATTGGGAATTACAATTCAACATGAGATTTGGGTGGAGACACAGAGACAAACTATATCACTGTTCTATAACCTTCTTGTATTTGAAAATTTATATGTTCCTCTAGATTTGGGAAGTAGTCACAGAGACAAACCATGCCATTTCTCCCCTGGCCCCTCCCAAATCTCATATCTTTCTCACATTTCAAAACACAATCATGCTTTCCCAACAGTCCCCCAAAGTCTTAACTCATTCAAGCATTAACCCAAAAGTCCAAGTCCAAAGTCTCATCTGAAACAAGGCAAGTCCCTTCTGCCTAAAAGCCTGTGAAATAAAAAACAAGCTCATTACTTCCAAGATACAATGGAGGTACAGGCATCAGGTAAATGCCTCCATTCCAAAAGAGAGAAATTGGCCAAAACAAAGGGGCCACAGGCCCCATGCAAGTCTGAAATCCAGCTGGGCAGTGATTAAATCTTAAAGCTCTGAAGTCTCCTTTGACTCCATGTCTCACATCCAAGGCACACTGATGTAAAAGGTGGACTCCCAAGGCCTTGGATAGTTCTGCCTCTGTGGCTCTACAGAGTACAGCCCCCATGGCAACTTCCACAGTCTGGCATTGAGTGACTGTGGCTTTTCCAGGTGCATGGTGCAAGCTGTCAGTGGATCTAACATTCTGGAATCTGGAGCACAATGGGCCTCTTCTCACAGCCCCACTAGGCAGTGCCCCAGTGGAGACCCTGTGTGAAGGCTCCAGCCCCACATTTTTTCCTCCACACTGCCCTAGTAGCGGTTCACCATGAGGGCTCCACTCCTGCAGCAGACTTCTGCCTAGACATCCACAGATTTCCATACATCCTCTGAAATTGAGGCAGAGGTTCCAAAGTCTCAACTCTTGCCTTCTATGTACGTGCAGACCCAACACTACATGGAAGCCATGTAGTGTTTGCACCCCCTGAAGCCACAGCCTGAGCTCTATCTTGTCCCCTTTTAGCCACAGCTGGAGCTGGGGAAGCTAGGACACAGTATGCCATGTCCCAAGTCTGAAGAGAGCAGAGGAGACCTGGGCCTGGCCTATAAAATCATTTTTCCCTCCAAGGCATCTGGGCATGTGATAGGAGGAGCTGCTGTGAAGGTCTCTGAAATGCCCTGGAGACATTTTCCCTTTCACCTTGGCTATTAACATTTGGCTCCTCTTTACTTATGCAAATTTCTGCAGCTGTCTTGAATTTCTCCTCAGAAAATGGGATTTTCTTTTCTATTACACCATCAGCCTGCAAATTTTCCAAACTTTTATGTTCTGCTTCCCTTTTACATATAAGTTCCAGTTTGGAATAATCTCTTTTTCATGCATATGAGTTTACGTTTTTAGAAACAGCCAGGTTACATCTTGAATGCTTTGCTGCTTAAAAATATCCTCTGCCAGATACCCTAAATCATCTCCCTCAAATTAAAAGTTCCACAGATCTCTAGGGCAGGGGGAAAATGCCACCAGTCTCTTTGCTAAAGCATAGCAAGAGTGATCTTTACTCTAGTTCCCAATAAGTTCCTCATTTCCATCTGAGACCCTCCCTCTGCCTTGACTTCATTGTCCATATTACTATCAGTATTTTGGTCAAAACCATTCAATAATTCTCTAGGATGTTCTAAACTTTTCCTCATCTTCCTGTCTTCTTCAGAGCCCTCCAAACTGTTCCAACCTCACCCGTTACACAGTTCCAAATTTGCTTCCATGTTTTTCAGATAACTTTATATCAATACCTCACTCCAGGTACCAATTTTCTGTATTATTTAATTCTTACACTGCTATAAAGAACTACCTGTGACTGGGTGATTTATGAAGAAAAGAGATTTAATTGACTCACAGTTCTGCAGGCTGTACAGGAAGTACGGCTGGGAGGCCACAGGAAACATACAATTATGGCAGAAGGTGAAGGGGAAGCTAGCACGTCTTACCATGTTACAGCAGGAGAGAGAAAGAGAGCTAAAGGGGAAAGGCCAGACACTTTTAAACCATCAGATCTCATGAGAACTCACTATCACAAGAACAGCAAGGGGGAGATCTGCCTCCATGATCCAATCACCTTGCACCAGGTCCCTCCCGCAACATTGGGAATTACAATTCAACATGAGATTTGGGTGGAGACACAGAGACAAACTATATCACTGCTCCATAACCTTCTTATATTTGAAAATTTATATATTCCTCTAGATTTGGGAAGTTCTCTCTTATTTTTCCTTTGAATAAACATCCTACCCCTATCTCTCTCTCTCAACCTACTCTTTAAAGCCAGTAACTCTTCAATTTGCCCTTTTGAGACATTTGTTTCTAAATCCTGTAGGTGTGTTTCGTTCTTTTTCATTTTCTTCTTTTCTCTCCTCTGCATATTTTCAAATAGTTTGCTTCAAGCTCACTAATTCTTTCTTCTGCTTGATTCATTCTGCTCTTAAGAGATTCTTGGGCATTCTTCAATATGTTAATTGCATTTATTAACTCCAGAATTTCTGCTTGATTCTTTTTAATTATTTGAATCTCTTTGTCAAATGTATCTCATAGGATTCTGAATACCTTATGGAATTTTATTGAGTTTCCTCAAAACAGTTTTTTTTTAAATTCTGTGTCCAAAAGGTCACATATATCTGTCTCTCCAGGAGTGGATCCTGATGCTTTCTTTAGTGTGTTTAGTGAGGTCATGCTTTTTCTGGATGGTCTTGATGATTGTGGATATTCTGGAGGTCCGGGCATAGAAAAGTTAGGCATTTATTATAATCTTCACAGTCTGGGTTAGTTTTCACTTGTCCTTCTTGGGCAGGCTTTCCAGGTATTCAAAGACACTTAAGTGTTGTGCTCCATGTTTTTGGTCACTGCAGCTGTATCTGCAGTATAAGACACTCCACTCTAGTAATACTGTGGCTCTTGCAGACTCATAGAGGTTGTGCCTTGGTGGTCTTGGATAAGATCCAGAAGAATTATCTGTATTACTTGGCAGAGACTCTTGTTCTCTTCCCTTACTTTCTCCCAAAAATAATGGAGTCTCTCTCTCTCTGTGCTGAGCTGCCTAGAGCTGGGAGAGGGGTGACATATGGACTCCTGTGGCCACCACCACTGGGACTGTGCTGTGTCAGACCTTGGCCTTACAGAAGGCCCATGATAACTGCCTGGCTACTGCCTATGTTCACTGAAGGCCCTAGGGCTCTACAAACAGCAGGTGATAAAGCCAGCCAGGCTTATCTCCTTCCCTTCAGGGTGACAAGCTCCCCCTCAATGCCAGGGAGGTGCAGAGATGCATCTGGAAGCCAGAGTGCAGAGTCAGAAACCTTAGGAATCTCCATGGTGCTCTCCTCTACTGCAGCTGAATTGGCACCCAAGCCACAAGACAAAGTCTTTCTTACTCTTCCCTCCCCTTTTTACAAAGAGAAGCATCTCTCCCTGTGGCCCCCACCAGCCCAGGCCAATAACAAGCATTACCTGATTACTACCAATGTTCATTCAATGTCCAAAGGCTCTTAAATCAGCTTGTGGTGAATGTTTGCAGGCCTGGGACTCTCCTTTAAGGGAAGTGAGCTCCCCTTTGGCCCAAAAAAGGTCAAGAAAGGCCATCTAAGAGCCAAGGCCTAGAATCACGAATTCCAAGAGCCCACTTGCTGCTCTACCCTACTGCGGCCAAGCTAGTACCTAAGCTGCAAGACAAGGCTCCCTTTATTCTTTCGTCTCCTTTTCTGAAGCAGGAGTCTGTCTCTGTAGCCACCACAACTTGGAATGTGCTGGGTCACACTTGAAGCCGGCACGTCTCAGAGCCTCAACCAAGGCCCACTGCAAGTATTGCATGGATATGGCTGCTGATTATTCAGGGACTAATGGCTCTTTAGTCAGGAGATGATGAATCCTCCCAAGACTAGGTTCTTCCCTTTAAGGCAGCATGTTTCCTTCTGCCCCAGGTTATATCTAGAAATGTGACCCAGTAGCTAGGGCCCAGAATGGGGTCTCGCGACTCTGCCTGGTACCCTATCCTACTGTGGCTGAGCTGGTATCCAAGTTGCAAAACAAAGCTCTCTCTTTTTTTTTTCTTTTTTGAGATGGAGTCTTACTCTGTTGCCCAGGCTGGAGTGCAGTGGCACGATCTTGGCTCATTGCAACCTCTGCCTCCCAGGTTCAAGCAATCCTCCCACCTTAGCCTCCCAAGTAGATGGGATTACAGGTGAGTGCCACCACAACCAGCTAATTTTTGTATTTTTAGTAGAGGTGAGGTTTCACCATGTTGGCCAGGCTGGTCTCAAACTCCTGACCTCAGATGATCCTCCTGCCTCGGCCTCCCTAAGTGCTGGGATTACAGGCATGAGCCACTGCCTGTAGAAACAGCCAGGTTACATCTTGAATGCTTTGCTGCTTAAAAATATCTTCTGCCTAATCATCTCCCTCAAATTAAAAGTTCCACAAATCTGTAGGGCAGGGGAAAATCGCCACCAGTCTCTGCACCCAGCCTACAAAGCTCTATTTTCTCTTCCCTCTCTTCTTTTCAAGCAGAAAGAGGAAATCGCTCCTGGAGCTGTGAGTTGTGCTGACTGGGGTTGGGGGAGAGGTGGTGTAAGCACTACCTTGGTGACCCTGGCTTCTGTTTGACTAGGTTGCATGCCCTCCAGATTCACTGGCTCTGAGCCCAGAACAGGACCAGGACTTGCCCAGGAACTTCAGTCATTGTGGCCTACATTATCTTTCAAGTTTATTTAGGACCACAGAGCAATTTAACCCATGGTGGTAGAGGTAGCTGAAACTCAGGTTGCAACTGCTAGAATGGACGATTCCTCTCTGGCTAGAGCTGGTCTAAATGCTCCCTCTATGGGCACCAGCTGAGTTCTGCCCAGTGTTACCTTCTGCCTTGTCAAGGAAGCACTGAGTTCATCACAAAGTTCCACAAACACTGCACTCTCCCTCCCCTAAGCATACAGATTCTTTCTCCATGCCATGCAGCTGCTGCCAGGGGGTGGAGGAGGGGTGGTATTGGCAATTCAAGACCATCTTTCCTACTCTGTACAAAGTTCTTACTCTTCCCTCCCCTTTTTTACAAGCAAAGGTGTCTCCTCCTATGGCCACCACTGCCTCAGACCCACACAGACACTGCCTGGCTAGTTAAAACCAAGTTCTGCGATTGCTCACCTTATTTTTTGGCTCTTATGAAGGTACTTTTCTGTGTGGATAGTTGATCATTTTGGTGTTCCTACAAGGAGGCTGATTGGTGAAGTCTTCTGTTAGACCATCTTGCTCTGCTGGGATCCTTCAAAATATATTATAGATGAAACACTAAAACCATATATTCCATTAAGATTTCTGCCTAGAATAAACGCTAATGTAAGGACGACATATTCCAATTATATTTTTGAAACACTGGACCTAGTTCCATTTGCCTGAGTTAAGTAAAAATCCACTGCCTCAAAAGCACTCAAAGTTTCCTACACATATACACCTCCCTTATCCCAGAAAAAGAAAGAATGGTTTCTGGAACTGAATCACTTAGCAATTGCTTTTTTGTCCACAGCTGACACAATCTTGGAAAATGTGATTCTTCCTATAGAATAGAAGCCCATAAATTAGCCCTAAGGTAACAATTCAGATAATTTCAGATTTGTCATGAAAAATTCACAAAGTAGTTCTCTTTTCTACTCATTAATAAAAGTTCTATTTTCTTTTCTTTTTCTCTTCTCCAGTTCACCAGAATTGTTCTCAATTAGCTAAACTGACATTATTTTATCTTTTATCCCTCAGTCAGTCAACAAACATTGATTGAATGCCTGTTATGTCCTGCTTACGTACCAGCACCAAGGACAGTCGCATTTCTTGCTCTCATGGAATTATAGAGGCAGAAGACAAATAAATATACAAGTATACATCAGTTGCAGTTTAAATGAGAAGGGCCTCACTAAGTTGAACATGAGTTTTAAATAACAAGGAAAAATTCAGCCTTGAGACATTGTAAAGAAAATGTATTCCAGCTGGAGAGATTTGCAAGGGCAAGGCCCCAAGACTGCAGCAAGCTGAGTATGTTTGAGAAACAAACCAAAACCCAGTGTAGATGGAGCATCCTGAGTGAGGAGAAGGACAATAAAAGATCAAGCTAGGAGGTAGTCAGAACCCAGAACTTGTAGCAGTTTTTGGTCAGCAATAAAGAAGATGATCAGGTTTTACTCCAAGGAAAATGAAAAACTATTGGAGATTTTCAAGCCAGAAAGTGGAACTAAGCCATAATTTACATTTTTGAAATAGTATTCCAGCTACAATGTGGTTAATGGATTATACTGTTGAAAGTAGACACAGAAAGGAAAATTAGGAAGTTATTACAGTAATCTAAATAAGAGGCAATTATGGCCTGATCAAGGATTTTAACAGTTGAAGAGGAATTAAATTTAATTTGGAAAGTCAGCTGAGAGGACCTGTGGATGGATTCAATGTAGGGGATGAGGAAGAGATAAATGAGGGGTAACAACTATGTTTTAGACCACACTTCCAATAGGGTGGAAGATGCTAATACCTATTAAGAAAGGGGAAAAACAGTTTGGAGCACAGGGAGGAGGGAGGAAGAAGCAATCAAGTGTTCCTTGTTAAGCATATTAAATTTGGAATGCCTAGTAAAGTGATAGTTTACAGACAAGGAGCCCAAACACAATTTTCATGTTCTAACATTTAAAGTTCAGTCCTTATTCCAAAGTGAATCCAACTTTAGACAGGACCTCAGAAATTATTTTATTCATCTTGCATTCACAGCATAGAACTAGCCTACTTACTGATCAAACACAGAGTTAACCTTGTATGTATCATTCTGCATCCTTGCTGAGTATTATTATAGACAGTAATAACAAAAATAATGAAAGTATTACCATACAGAGATCTTCCTCCAGTTTGTTTAATGTTAAGAATCACTTAGCACTTTTTATGTTCATGGGTGATTTATTTAATTAGGTGAAACTTGATTCTAAGAGCTTGTCTTCAGAGAGGAGTTAACTAACAAGGATAAATAAATTTATGTACTGGAAGGATTGGCTTCCAGTACATAAAAAGGACATTACTGAAAATCTGTTGAAACCCAAAGAGAGTCTATAGTTTAGTTAGTAGTGTTTATTGTACCAATATTTATTTCTTAGTTTGGATGACTGTATTATGGTTATGTGGGATATTAATACTAAGGAAAGGAGAGTAAAGGTATACAGGAACTCTCTGCAATATCTTTGCAACTTTTGTGCAAACCTAAAATTCTTCCAGAATAAGAAGATATATAAAAACAAACAAAAAGATACTGATATATGTCATGTAACCAAAATGGTTGAAGTACCTCACAAGGAACTAGAACCAAGAAAGAATTAAATAGTGCTGATAACCATATGCAGAATATTCACCTTTGATAGCAACAGAAGAAACACAAATCAACATGAGATAGAATATGCTTCTTATAAAATCACCCAATTTATAATGATAACCAATACTGAGTAGAGTTTGGGAAAAAGATCCCTTTATACACTGCAGGGGATATTTATCATGTCAGTATCTTTATATTTAAGCTAATAGAAAACTTGCCCCACATTGGAATAGGAAGGAATTTTTTGGCTCGAGAATCTGAAAAGTTTAAAGTTAAGTAAAGTTTCAAGTGAGAACTGGCCCAGTATATAAAAATTGAGGTTCTTTTTGTCTCTCCTGACTGCTTGACCCTAATGTTATCTCCACATATGCATGGGACTGTAGCAATTCCCACAGCTGTATTTTTCCTCTTTGTACCAGGAAGCCAAGAGAATGGTTTTTCTAATAGTTCTGAAAAAGAAAATATTTCTCACCTCAATGGCTTAAGTTACGGGTCCGTATCCCTGAGCCATTCACTCTGGCCTGAAGGATGACTTCACAGGGACCAATCCCTCTAACACCCTCTAGATGATACTATGAGAGGGAAGGTCCATTAAAGGATAGAGGAGGTGGAGAACACTATTGATAGTTCCTTGAAGGAGTGCTATAATATAATGTAACTTTTATGGAAGCCTTTTAAAAATCATGAATTTCAAGCATTTCCAGCATTTGCATTTATCTCAAATAATCAAAGTTGTACAAAGAAAGAATATATGCACAGGAGATATTCTGGTAATTTTATACATATAAATTCTGAAACAAACTAAATGGCCAGCTATAGTATGTTTGTTACATGAGTTACAGTGCATTGCTCAATGGACTATCATGTATCTGGTAAATGTGATGTTTTAAGAGAATATTTACTAGTAAATAAAGATCATTCTGTACTAGTAAGTTCAACAAATGAGTATTGATGGTCTACTGGGAGACATCAATGAACAAAAGAAAAATATGTCTGCTCTCTTGGATTTAAATAAAAAATTAATAATATTACAAAGAACATGACGAGTTTTTTAAAAAAACAAGATTCTCAGTTGCATGTACACATGAATATCTGCAAAACATATGCCTTCATACACGAATATTTACAAAGTTGTACATCAATGCTAGGAGTAGCTTTCTCTGGCTTGTGCTTTAAATGAGATTTGTTTTTTCTGTTTGGTTCTTTATTTTCCAAATTATCTAACATAAAAATGTATAGTACTCCCTTTAAATCAGAAAATAAGTAACAAGTTTTTTGTTTTTTTGTGTGTTTTTTTTTTTTTTGAGACGAAGTCTCGCTCTGTCGCCCAGGCTGGAGTGAGTGGCAGGATCTCGGCTCCCTGCAAGCTCCGCCTCCCGTGTTCACGCCATTCTCCTGCCTCAGCCTCCAGAGTAGCTGGGACTACAGGCGCCCGCCACTATGCCTGGCTAATTTTTTGTATTTTTAGCAGAGACGGGGTTTAATCTTGTTGGGATGGTCTCTATCTCCTGACTTCGTGATCCGCCCACCTCGGCCTCCCAAAGTGCTAGGATTACAGGCGTGAGCCACCGCGCCCAGCCAAGTGTGTTATTTTTTAAAAGAGTAGATATTGACTTCTGCTGATGCCTTGCCGTTTATAGAATACCTGCTACATGCTTAGTTTTTTTCTTTTCATTCTTACATACTTTGGGGTTAGGTGAGGAAAATGGAAAAGAAGAGAGGATGTTGAATCCTCTTATTCTATACTGAGAACTAATTCTACCTAATTTGCTCAAATCAAACACTTCTTACATCAAACCTCATTCATTTTAGTAAATGTTGATGATAAATTTATATTCTATAAGATAGAATTGGTATTTTTAGATCTGAGAAAAACTAAAATTGGATGCAAGGAATGGACGTTACCTATTTTTATTATCTAAGACATGATTGCAGAATGAATTATAATTTCTATTACAGAATTCCCACAGCATGACTTCTGTCATAGATTAAAAATGATTCTCATACTGTCCAAGACATTTTATATTAACCTTGGTGTGTAAATTCCAAAGCCATTCCCAGAATAGAGATGTTTTTAAAGAAATTTCCCATGAGAAAACAAAGCATCTGAGTTTTAGTAATAGCAAAAAATGAAACATTCACTCAAATGACCAACTTTTCTGAGTTAAATACTCACTACCATCATCAATGGTAAAAACCTCCTTTGCATGTATGGGCTAAAGTTTTTAAAGAACGCTTGTCCTGTGGAATTAATTCCTATACACACATCATATTATGTATTAAACTGAATTTGATGAACTTTGACCTCTTGGGGTCGAACAATTGGTCAAATAAGACCATAAAGATTTCTTGGAATTTGTTGGATGAGTGATGAGTGACTCCAAACTTACTCCCAGGAGCATTACGACTAAGTTTCTATTGCATCACGTATTGAACAAAAGTCTCTGAAAGCCCTTTATAATCTGGAAAGTTTAGAAAGGTCTTATGCATGTGAGGTGTTTTCTGAACATTCTGACATCCTAGTTTGAAGGATTAATGACTCCCTCCTAATTCCCGGAAGATTCTGTTGCAAAGCTGGCCTCAGATTTATCCCAGGAAGAAACATGAACAAGTTGCTCACTAGATCTTTTGACACTTTTCCTTTTGTTATTTTTTGGACACCAACTATGGAATCTTGATTCATCAGTAATAAATATCAGGTGCATCAGTTATTTTCATGAACAGGATGCCCAGTGAAGTTATACAAGTGTCAATTCAAAATGTGTTTGCAGATACTGGGTAATAACATATTTCCACTATATAACAGATCCATAATCATTTAGTATGGGGGACTGTTCAAAATATGTGGAATGAAACAATTGTTTCCAGAGTAGTGGAGCACCCATTTATAAAACAACTGAAGGCAGCCTAGCCTTTCCATAAGAGATTTAACTTCCTTTGAAGTAAGAAACTATGAAGGAACAAAGGCCAATGACAAGCCCATATCTACTTAATAGATCTTTTCTGCAAAAAAGTAATTAGAAATAATACCAGAGATAAGTAGATTAAAGTAATTATTAACTAGATTTTTTATAAATTTTATTATCAATATTTTTATGAGTTTCTCAGAAATGTGAAACTTTTTTTTTTAATTGAGGCAGAGTCTCACTCTGTTGCCCAGGCTGGAGTACAGTGGCGCGATCTCGGCTCACCGCAACCTCCACCTCGCATGTTCAAGCGATTCTCCTGCCTCAGCCTCCCAAATAGCTGGGATTACAGGTATGCACCACCACACTTAGCTAATTTTGTATTTTTAGTAGAGGCAGGGTTTCTTCATGTTGGCCAGGCTGGTCTTGAACTCCAGACCTCAGGTGATCCGCCCTCCTTGGCCTCCCAAAGTGCTGGGATTATAAGCATGAGCCACCATACCCGGCAAATGTGAAACTTTTAATAATCTGTAATCTCAAGATTTGGAGAACACGTAGCCTTTTTAAAAAAAATTTTAAAAGACTCAAACACGGTCCAGAATCAAGGTCCATAGAACAATAGCAGTCAAAAAGTCTTAAGTGTAATTTTTAAATTTTTCTGCAAAAC
The DNA here is from genome assembly GCF_000001405.40 of Homo sapiens. NCBI lineage: Eukaryota > Metazoa > Chordata > Mammalia > Primates > Hominidae > Homo > Homo sapiens. Next base: position 56,003,724 of record NC_000006.12, read on the forward strand.
ATTCTAACAATAACCTCCAACTATTTAATCCAGTAGTTAAACATAGAAATACTCAGCTGACATTCATGATTCACTATTAAGAAACCCACTCAGCGGAAGTCCAGGAAGATGTTCTGATGCCTAATACAAATGACAGTGCACAAATGGTAATTAAACCTGAAAAAAAAGAGTCTATTCTGGCAGTTAGAAATCACATATTGTCCTTCTACTGCTGTAACAGAATATGCTATTAGACAACAAAATGTACAGTGTATAATTGTGTGGTTTATAAAATTAAATTATTTAAGATTAAAATGTAGAAGGAAATAATTAACTAATAATCAAGTAATTAATTGTTTAGTATCCACAAAGATAAGTATCATTCCTGGCACTGTGAAAAACACATTAAATTGTCCTGGCCTTGCTCTTCAGGAGCTTACACTCTGGGCAGTTCAGGTTAATTTGGATTTTGCACCTGCAATTATCAAATTCTATTGTCTTCTACTCAAATTATATTTACTGTAACACTAGCAAAGCTTGAACTTCAGGATCTTTCATGTGCATGGATATCTTTCAAGGCCCTCGAAGGGGCCCCAGCAGTGTATTTACATGGTGATATGTTTTTGCTCATTTAACTGGAACCAGGTGAAACTCCTGTTTCTTTCCACAAGGACCTTTTCTGCGTCATACTTTTCCTCATGTTGGGTGGTGCTAAAGTGACCATGGGCATTCAGGGGATCTGGCTAAGGGTATTTTCAGTTGGGGAATTCCTTTAGTTTTGATTTGGTGGGATATATTCATGCAGTTTGAAGTCATTCTCTGGTATGGTTAAATACTCGTTAACCACCTCAGTGTACACATGATGTTCAGGAACTATCATACTACACCAACTCATCCAGCATCAAGGCACAATGATGCAAGACATAAAAGTCATGATTCAGAAATGTCCTGTGGCATCTGGCACCGGAAATGTGTGGGTAATAAAGAAGAAACAAAATTATTCAGTTTACTTGTGACCATATGAATATCTTAGATGAATTCATGCATAATTGAATCTAATAAAATGGCAATGTGTTTTTAAATTGTTCCAATATTTTAAATGTATTATCTTAATAACATCCATTAGATGTTAATAAAGTACATTGTGTGTTATTATTTGTAGCTAACATTTTCACTATACCAGACATAGTTCTAATCACTTTGCGTTTGCTTGACTCTCAAATTAAACTGAGGAGATAATATTATTATCCCATTTTACAAACAGAGAAACAGAGTGACTTAGCTTGCCTGAAATCACACATTTTTCTAATACAAAATGGAACTAAATTTGAACACAACTTTCTTACTAGTATTCGTTTACTGGTAATATTTGTTTTTCTTTTTCTTTCTGCCCTTTGCTACCATAGCACTTCTCACCTCCTGAAATAACAAACAGGGGTAATAAATATAAGCGATAAAATCAGTAGAGAGTCTTCTAACATTCAAAAGGAAGCTTTTTTTTAATTAGATCACCTAGAATTTAGACTAACATAGAAAACTTCTTTATCATCTTCCTTTCCCAGCAGGTGCATTTCTTTTAGCCTTCCAAAGGATTTGACGTTATACTGAGATTTTAGTTTCAACTCCATAATTTACATGGACCCAATCTCCTACCGCCACATAGGTATAACAACCCAAGTCCCTGGAGTATTAAGACAGCACACCACTACCCATGGCCAGAGTACCTGGAGCATTCCATGCAGACCATCAAAACTTCATTTTCTGCCTCCTAAGTATTTCCCTAACTTTCTTTTGAGCTCTTCTATCTATTTTAAGGAATACTGTGTCTCTAGCATTTCCGTGTTTTACCAGGAGGATTTTCAGGGTTTTTAAATTTAGAAACTTATAAGAAACCACCTTCTCATTTCTGTTTTCCTTTTTCCTACCATCCACTGAGTCCCTACAAACACATGTTACAACTTCCTCTTTTTATTTGTTCAGAGCATTTCTTATGTCTTATTCACTTTTTCTCAGGCCATACATTTTTTTTTCCTTGCCTGGAGAAGGGCAGAATGGTTGGTGGGAAACAGGAGTTTGGGGAGAGAAGGATAAAAACATATTGATTAAAAAATGTTAACAATTTTTCCTTGTAACAGAGAATGACTAGATCTTCCAATCAGGTTTCCTTTTCCTGGGCAGTCAGGAAAATGGTATTTCCCAGCCATCCTTTCCATTAGGCTGAAGCCATCTGAGTTGATTCCAACCAATGGAGTGTGAAAGGAAGAGGATGCTGCACTTTCAGGTCTGGCCCAAAAACCTCCAGAGATATCCTCCATACACTCTCTCTCCTTTTTCTCAAATGCTACAGCCACTATACTCTTTGGAAGAAGCTTGGACCCCTGAATTACTGACCAAAGGCAGCCAACAAAGGAGCTACCTGACTGATAGGGTTTGCCTCTGCGTACTCGCCCCAATCACATGTTGAATTGTAATCTCCAGTGTTAGAGGTGGGGCCTGGTGAAAGCTGATTGGATCATGGGGGTGGTTTCTCATGACTTAGCACCATCCCCCTAGTGCTGTCTCAGGATAGAATTCTCATGAGATCTGGTTTTTTAAACGTGTGCAGCGCCTCCCCCTTCACTCTTTTTCTTCTGCTCCTGCCATGTAGGATATGCCGGCTTCCCCTTCACCCTCCACCATGATTGTAAGTTTCCTGAGGCCTCCCCAGCCATACTTCCTATGCAGCCTGTAGAATCATGTGCCAATTACTCTCTTCTCTTTATAATTACTTAGTCTCAGGTAGTTCTTTACAGCAATGTGAGAATGGATTAATACACTGACCCATCCTACAACTGGGTGTCAGTGATGAATTAACTCTTATTGTGCTTAGCCACTGAATTTTGGGAGTTGCTGGCATTAATTATCCAGATGAAAATATTCCTACTACAGCTATTTGAAAACCACAGTTTTAAGCTGAGATGCTCAAATATATGGTAAATAAAATAAGTGACCCCATCTGGAGTCAGATTTGTTCATGATTTTACTTAAAAATGCATATGTAGAATCTCATTTGTAAGTTTATGTATCAATTTTTATAATTGTCTATTGAATGTATATTCCAGTAAAACATCAAAATTTCAAGTGCCCTCAACTTTTAGACATTATCCATTTATTTTGCCTTAAATATTGATTACAACATTTCTAGCAGCTGTATATTTGTGCAGTAGCAATCCCAAATATGTTCACCAATTTAAAATAAAATTGATGACTTCTTGGAATCTGAAGTAAATGACTGTCAGAGAAAGCAGAGAAGCAACTCCTCACCCATTCCCAGCACCAAGCTGGATTTCAAGCTGGCCAAGATATACAGATGTGTGCATACCTCTCTGTGTATTCTCTAGAGAATAAAGAATATAAATACCATCAAATGCATACAGATTAATTCTTTATCCAACTAATGTTTCTAACTAATGTTTACTGTCTGTGCATGTGTGTCTATGTATCTATTTTTAAGAAAAAGCAAAATGTTTAAAACTGAACTTAATAGCATTTTCATATATTACAATAGCTTAAACTGACTAGCTCTAGAAAAATCTATTCCCGGATAAGTAAGAGTTTGAATTCAAAATGAAAACTACAGATTTATTTTGTTTTCTCACATTTCACTGTAGCATGGTAATTGTTTGAAAGCTTTGTAACATTTTGAAATTGATGGCAGTTACATTTTATTTCTTTGGAAAGCTATCTTATGTTGTTTCATAACATTCATTTTCTAGTGGGGAGAGACTTCCAAAATTTTCACTTTAAGAATGGGAAAACAACGAGATACCATCTCACACCAGTCAGAATGGTTATTATTAAATCAAAAAATAACAGATGCTGGCGAGGTTGAGGAGAAAAGGGAAGGCTTATACAATGCTTAGTTCAGCCATTGTGGAAAGCAGTGAGGCAATTCCTCAGACAACTTAAAACAGAATTACTGTTAGACTCAGCAATCCCATTATTGAGTATAATTATACCCAGAGTATAAATTGTTCTACCATGAAAATACATACACACGTAAGTTTATTGCAGCACTATTCACAACAGCAAAGACATGGAATCAACCTAAGTGCCCGTCAATAGAAAACTAGATAAAGAAAATGTGGTACACATACACCCTTAGAATACCACGCAGGCATAAAAATGAATGCGATTATGTCCTTTGCAACAACATGGATGGAGCTAGAGGCCATTGTCCTAAGCAAACTAATACAGGAACAGAAAAATCAAATACACATGTTCTCACTTATAAGTGAGAGCTAAGCAATAAGAACACATGGACACAAAAAGGGGAACAGACACTGGGGCCTACCTGAGGGAAGAGACTGAGCGGATCAAAGAAAATACCTACTGGATACTAGGCTTATTACCTAGGTGATGAAATAACCTGTAAACCAAACCTTCATGGCACACAGTTTACCTATTTAAGAAACCTGCACATGTACCCTTGGACCTAAAATAAAAGTTTTAAAAAAAAGAAAAGAATGAAGAAAGAAAGGCAAAGCTTAATTACCTTGCTCGAAGTCCTAGAGACAGCTGCTGGTGTCTGATCTGCCTATAAAATCTAGTGTCTTGCTTCCCATTTCCCTCCTGCTTTTTGTCTCATTAGAGAGATCCTCCTATTCCAAAATCAATCTCAAAAGTTTCGAAATTATCTTACATTCTACTTTTTAAAACTTTCGTATACATAATCTTAATAATCTTAATATTTGAGAGCAACTTTCCACATTCACAATGTCATATATTTTCTACTTTTGTGATTTTCTAAATAAAATTACCAACTAAAAATTTCCTCAAATGTATGCCTATAGAAAGCTGTGAGTATTATTTCCTAATGGAATCCCAGGGTCATAAAATCTTTAATTTCAATGAAGGAATTTTCAGTTGTTCTTAATCTTTTTATAGCAAAAGTGTCATACTTTAATATTAGGATGAAATTTGAATTTCCAAATGCAATGAGAAACAAACAGAATTTTGTAAGCCAACTCATGCAGAAGTTCTTTTAGATAAGAAATTCTCGAGTTTTTAAATGTATTTTTAAATTTTAATTGACAATATTTATGGGGTACAATGTCATGTTTTGATCTATGTATACATTATACAAAGATTCAATTAAGCTAATTAACATATCCATCACTTCACCAATTTATCATTTTTTTAATGGTAAGAATGTTAAAAATCTGTTTCAGCAATTTGAAATACGCAATGCATTATTGACTGTAGTCACCATGCAGTGCAATATGCCACTAAAATTTATTCCTCAGTAGTCTAACTTAAATGTTGCACCCTTTTATCAACATTTTCCCTTTCCCAACCCTTACCCTTTCCCTTATCCTCTAGTAATGACCTTTCTACTCTGTTTCCATGTGATCAACTATTTTAGATTCCACATATAAGTGACATCATACAGTATTTGTCTTTCTATGCCTAGTTTATTTGGCTTAGTGTAATGTCTTCCAGTTCCATCCATGTCCCAGATGACATTTCTCCCTTTTTTAAGGCTGCATAGTATTCCATTGTGTATTTATATTAGATTTTATCTATCCATTCATCCATTGATGGACACTTAGGTTGCTTTCATATCTGGGCTATTGTGAATAAAGCTGAAATTAACATGGGAGTGCAGATATATCTTCAAAATACTAATTTAAAATCCTTTCAATAAACAGTCGTGCATCACTTAACAATGGGGATATGTTCTGAGAAACATTTTGTTAGGCAATTTCACCATTGTGCAAACACCGTAGACTGTACTTGCACAAACCTAGATGGCATCGCCTACTACACACCTAGGCTATATAGTATAGCCTGTGGTCCTAGGCTACAAACCTTTATAGCAGTTACTGTACTGAATACTATGGGCAATTGTAAGACAAAGGTAAGTATTGCATATCTAAACATATTTAAACATAGGAAAAGTACAGTAAAAACACAGTATGATATCTTAGGAGACCACCATCGTATATGTAGTCCACTGTTAACCAAACATTGTTATGTGGTGCATTACTGTATACCCAGGAGTGGGACTGCTGGATTGTATGGCAATTCTATTTATAGTTTTTTAAAACCCTCAAAGATAACTCACACTCAGAAGCTGTTCGTCATCTGACTATAATTTTTTTCTAGAGTTTAATAAACCACAAATTGGCTGCAGAATAGATGACTTCAGCTATTTTAGCATTAAATCTACATATGTCTAAATGGCATTCTTGTTTCTTTTGGTGAGGCTAGCCAAGCAATGAAAATACCTTCAATGTTAAAGAAAAAAAAATGTTTCTGGGTTTAAACTTACTATTTAATGGGCTAAACTAATTTTCAACTTTAAATATTAGTAGATGAATAAATCAATTGAAGAATTGTTATTAGGTAAGATTCACATCATTTGTTTCCTGTCTCTCAGGGCCCACTGTCCTTTGTTGCCTAATGTCCAGTATCTTCAAAACATTTGTTTCGTAAATTTTGTCTGTATTTTTCTTTTTCTTGCTATTGTTCCAGGAGGGGAGGTAGTTTCATCCTCTGTTACTACTTCTAGGCTGGAAGCTGAAGTATTTAAACACATTTTAACAAGAAAGGATTCAAGAAAAGTTTTTGAAAGAGGGAAAGCCTTGAGGTGAAATTTTACATGGTGACTTACTAGTCATTACGAAATGGCTCAGAAAATAAGAATGAAAATTTAACTGATTTATTATTTAACCCAGGCACAAGGAGATTGGTTTAGCCTACTTAGAAAATATGTGGAAATTGGCCACCTTACTTATCAGTAAGCTTAGGGTAATTTTTGCTGCAGACACAAAGCAATCCCTCAAAAGTTTATTTATTGCTCCATCATAGGACCCAGGATGATGGAGCAGCCTCTCTCTAGAATATAACTAGTTTGATGGCAGAGATAAATCAGAAAGTGCTGAAACTACAATATGTCTTATAGCTTTGCTCAAACAGGAGACAAATCATGTTCACCCATCTTTTAATAACCAAAACCAATGACATACTTATCGTCATCTAGGAGGCGTGGGAACCTAGAGTGGGAGAGATTAAACTGAAGGAAGATTTTGTGGTAAGGGGTGATATGTGGGGTTGTTAGAAGAAATATTTGCCATATAGAATTATTGGTGATGGCCTGGATACAGTTTTGTATGAACTGAAAACTAAACGGAATAAGAGAAGGAGAAAAACAGGTATGAAAGGACTAAGAATTGGGAGGATCTAGGACATCTAATTAGAGAGTGTCCAAGGGGGTTCAGCGTAATTACTTGCTTGGTTGTCAAGTTTTTAGGCTCTATCCTTGAGTTTTTTATGTTGTCATACACAAGGCCAGATTGATTTAGGTAAAAACAACGCTCTTCATTTAAGAATATACGGAGTCCTCTTTTTTCAGCAGTAAGTCAAGGCCTCGGTGGTTTTGGAGAACAACTGCAGCTAAAGATTCAACTTGGGCCTAAAGGACTGACAAAGTTTGTGATATGTCTGTGATGCTAGCAGAGAAGTCATTAGAGAGGCTACGGAAGGTCGTGACGAGGTTGAAATGCCTGCTATTCCAGTACCGAGAGCAATAGTGGAGGCAGAAAATCTTAAACTGACAAGCAAGGGAATTAGTGGAGTAACTCTTTTTTGTCGTATCGGTGTCATGAGGGGAAAAGGGAGCTCTTTTGGTCCAAATATGCAAATTGAATTTTGGGAGTAAGGAAAACTAGTGTGCATGTGCCTGTCCAATTAGCAGGTAGACACATGTAGGTAGAGGATCCACAGAGGAAGAAGAGACCTTGTGCAAAGCAAAACTGGAGATGCAAAGTAAAAAGATGAAAAGGAGTGCTGAAAGGGGCGTCTTGTACCTAGACTCCTAGGGATCTAGCTAGGGCAGCAGCCGTCAGAGGTTGTAATGGGGACTGATGAGGTAACTGCATAGAGGGAGAGGTTCGATTTTCATGGTGTAGGAGAAAACATTGAGTATCAACGAGCAACCTTTCACTGTTATTTTCGGGGCTGGATATAAGTAAACAAGAAGAGGGCTTTGGAGATGAAGAGTAAAGGAACATTGAGAAGGTGGAAGGCTACCTAGGGGAATTCCAGTGGGTCTTTGCTGAGAGATACATAAAGGAGCAGCCACAGGAATAGTAGTTTGTGTTGTGAGAGGTCTCAATATGTGGGGAGTAGAGTTGATATAAGGAGAAAGGTTTTTTAAGTAAGTGCAGAGGAGGGCGGCAGCTTGCTGATGTGAAATGTCTGGGGAGGTATTCCTGGACCTGTTTAGAAAGTAAATGAGTTCTTCAGGAGGGTAAAGGTGAGGGCTGTTAAGGGAAGTTCGGAGGTGTAGGGAGACAGGAGATGTTGCCTAGTCTGCATGTAAGACGGGGACAGCTGTGTAGGCGCTGGAAGAAAGGGAAATGCAAAGCCAGTGGTTGTTCGCTAAGGACGGATTAGAAACGGCTAGGAGAGAATGAGTAAGGTTGATAATGTGGTGGAGATAGCTGGGGAGAGGTAGAGGGTGGCATAAGAATGGGAATGAGAATAAGAGTGAGTATAAAAGTAAAGAATAGAACTTCATCAGGGTGAAAGTATCGGAGGGTCCCCTGCCAGCAAAGATCATCTATCCACTCTAAGAGGGAGTTAAGAGTTGCCAGCCCTGGGCTAGGGCAAATCCTTGAGCTTGATGTGTAGGGAAGGGAGGGGGCCTGAATAATCCCTGAGTAGTAGTAGAATAGCAGATGGAACACTGAGAAGTTATTTCCTGAGGATAGATTTCCACGATGGAAAGGAAATGATAGGTTCTAAGAGGCGGGCTGGTGGCTTGTACTATAGCATAGTCTGCCTTTGCTGGTATGTGGCGATTAGGCCTGGTGGAACTACTATCAATAAACCAAGTGTGTTCAGGGTGAGGAACAGGAAAGAAGGAAATATGGTGAAATAGGGTGAATGTCAGGTGGATCAGAGAGATACAGTCATGGGGGTCAGGTGTGGTATCCGGAATACTGTGGGAGGCCGGATTGAAGTCCAGGCCAGGAACAATGGTAACTATAGGAGACTCAACAAAGGGTGAGTACAGCTGAAGGAGCCAGGGAACGGAAGGTATATGTGTCAGGTGTGAGGAAGAAAATAGATTTTGGAAGTTATGAGAGAGAGTGAGTTGAGTATAGTTTGTGATTTTAAGGCCTTTAAAAGTATTAAGGCAGCGGTAGCTGCTGCACGCAGATGTGAGGGCTAGGCTAAAATAGTAAGGTCAAGTTGTTTGGACAGAAAGGCTACAGGATGCTGTCCCAGCTCTTGTGTAAGAATTCTAATCTTACTAACCATGCCTAGGAAGGAAAGGAGTTGTTGTTTTGTAGAAGGGATTGGGGTTTGGGAGATTAGCTGGACACGATCAGCAGGGAGAGCACGTGTGTTTTTATGAGAATTATGCCGAGATAGGTAACAGATGAGGAAGAAATTTGGGCTTGACTGAAGTAATGGGGGCTGTCTGTGAAGCCTTGCGGCAGTACAGCCTAGGTAATTTGCTGAGGCTGATGGGTGTCAGGGTCAGTCCAAGTGAAAGAGAAGAGAGGCTGGGATGAAGGGTGCAAAGGAATAGTAAAGAAAGCACGTTTGAGATCTAGAACAGAATAATGGGTTGTGGAGGGAGGTATTGAGGATAGGACAGTATATGGGTTTGGCACCACACGGTAGATAGGCAAAACAATTTGGTTGATAAGGCGCAGATCCTGAACTAACCTGTAAGGCTTGTCTGGTTTTAGGACAGATAAAATGGGGGAATTGTAAGGGGAGCTTATAGGCTTTAAGAGGCCATGCTGTAGCAGGCGAGTGATAACAGACTTTAATCCTTTTAAAGCATGCTGTGGGATGGGATATTGGCATTGAGTGGGGTAAGAGTGATTAGGTTTTAATGGGATGGTAAGGGGTGCATGACTGGTCGCTGAGGGGGGAGTAGAGGTGTCTTATACTTGTGGGTTAAGGTGGGGAGATACAAGAGGAGGATGTGAAGGAGGCTTTGAACTGGGGGAAAAGGTGGCAATGAGATGTAGCTGTAGCCCAAGAATAGTCAGGGAAGCAGATAATTTAGTTAAAGTGTCTCAGCCTAATAAGGGAAATGGGCAGGTGGGGATAACTAAAAAGGAGTGCTTAAAAGAGTATTGTCTAAGTTGGCACCAGAGTTGGGGAGTTTTAAGAGGTTTAGAAGCCTGGCTGTCAATACCTACAACAGTTATGGAGGCAAGGGAAACAGGCCCTTGAAAAGAAGGTAATGTGGGCTGAGTAGCCTCTGTATTGATTAAGAAGGGGACGGACTTACCTTCCACTGTGAGAGTTACCTGAAGCTGGGCATCCGTGATGGTTTAGGGGGCTTCCAAGGCGATTGGGCAGTGTCAGCCTTCAGCCGCTAAGCCGAGAAGATCTGGGAAGGAGTTAGAGAGCCTTGGGCCAGAGTTCCAGGGGCTCTGGGAGTGGCTGCCATGTGAGTTGAACAGTCCGATTTTCAGTGGGGTCCCACACACATGGGACGCGGCTTAGGAGGAATCCCGGGCTGCGGGCATTCCCTGGCCCAGGGCCAGATTTCCAGCACTTGTAGCAAGCTCCTTGGGGAGGAGGTTCTGGAGGAACTCCTGGCCACTGCGGTTCAGGCATTTGGAAGTTCTTGTGTGCTGGAGATGTGGCTGGGGTTTGTCTCACAATGGAGGCAAGGAATTGCAACTTTTTTCTATTATTGTACACCTTGAAGGCGAGGTTAATTAAGTCCTGTGGTGGGGTTTGAGGGCCGGAATTTAATTTTTGGAGCTTTATTTAAAGTCGGGAGCGGATTGGGTAATAAAATGTATATTGAGAATTAGACGGCCTTTTGACATTTTAGGGTCTAGGCTGTAAAGCGTCTCAGGGTTGCTGCCAAACAAGCCATGAACTGGGCTGGGTTTTTCATATTTGATGAAAAAGAGCCTAAAGGCTAACTGATTTGAGAGAGGTCAGATAAAGAAAAAGGAGCATTAACCTCGACTATGCCTTTAGCTCCAGCCACCTATTTAAGAGGAAATTGCTGGGCAGGTTGGGGAGGGCTAGTCACAGAACGAAACTGTAAGCCAGACTGGGTGTGAGGAGGGGAGGTGATAAAAAGATTATAGGGTGGAGGAGCTGAGGCTGAGGAAGAATTCGGACCTAGCTCGGCCAGGCGAGGAGCAGCCTGGGGAGGAGGAAAGAGGTCAGATGGGTCTGTAGAAAAGTAAGATTAGAAAGACTCAGCGACACTTGGGGTTGGGACTGAGGGGACAGGCAAGAGGGAATGAAGGAGGATTGGGGACAAGTCGCATTGGGAACAGAGACTAGGGAGGGAACAATGTGTAAAAGAAAGCCTGGACTTCAGGCACCTCAGACTGTTTGCCTATTTTACGACAAGAATTATTTAGATCTTGTAGGATGGAAAAATTGAAAGTGCCGTTTTCCAGCTATTTGGAACCACTGTCGAGTTTGTACTGGGGTCAAGTGGCATTGCAGAAGAAAATAAGGTGTTTAGGTTTAGGTCAGGTGTGAGTTGAAGAGGTTTTAAGTTCTTGAGAACACAGGCTAAGGGAGAAGAGGGAGGAATGGAGGGTGGAATGTTGCCCATAGTGAAGGAGGCAAGCCCATAAAAATGAGAGAGTAGAGACATGGAGAGAAGGGGTTGGGGGGTTCTTGCCCTCCAGAAAAGCGGAGAAGGGGTAGAGACATGGAGAGAAGGGGTTGGGGTGTTCTTGCCCCTTAGAAAAGTGGTACTTGCCACTAGGGGTGAAGGAGAAGGGGTTGGGGGTTTCTTGCCACCCAGAAAAATGGAGAAGGGGTAGAGACATGGAGAGAAGGGGTTGGGGGGTTCTTGCCCCCTAGAAAAGCGGTACTTGCCACTAAGGGTGAAGGAGAAGGGGTTGGAGGGTTCTTGCCCCCCAGAAAAGTGGAGAAGGGGTAGAGACGTGGAGAGAAGGGGTTTGGGGGAGTTCTTGTCCCCCAGAAAAGCAGTACTTGCCACTAAGGGTGAAGGAGAAGGGGTTGGGGGGTTCTTGCTCCCCAGAAAAGCCGAGAAGGGGTAGAGACACAGAGAGAAGGGGTTGGGGGGTTCTTGCCCCCCAGAAAAGCAGTACTTGCTGCTAAGGGTGAAGGAGAAGGGGTTGGGGGGTGCTTGCCCCCCAAGAAAAGTGGAGAAGGGGTAGAGACATGGAGAGAAGGCGTTGGGGGGTTCTTGCCCCCCAGAAAAGCGGTACTTGCCGCTAAGGGTGAAGGACCAATGCAGGCATCCCCACGTGGTCAGACACCTCTGAAACGTGGGTGAATAATCAGGCAGGTGTCCCTGCGTGATTAAACACCAAGGGAAAACTGTCTTCCCGAGTCCGTGACCGGCGCCGGAGTTTTGGGTCCACGGATAAAACACGTCTCCTTCGTCTCTACCAGAAAAGGAAAGGAACGGAAATTAAGAGAAGGGAGAGATTGAAGTGTGGCACCAAGATTGAAAGGAGAAAGAGGTTGAGGGATAGTGAGAGAGGTTGGAGAAGAGAGTAAAAAGAGGCTGCTTACCAGATTTAAAATTGATGAGATGTTCCTTGGGCTGGTTGGTCTGAGGACCCGAGGTCATAGGTGGATCTTTCTCATGGAGCAAAGAGCAGGAGGACAGGGGATTGATCTTCTAAGGGAGGTCCCCCGATCCGAGTCACGGCACCAAATTTCACTTGCGTCCATGTGAAGAGACCACTAAACAGGCTTTGTGTGAGCAATAAAGCTTTTTAATCACCTGGGTGCAGGTGGGCTAAGTCCAAAAAGAGAGTCAGCGAAGGGAGATAAGGGTAGGGCCATTTTAAAAGATTTATAATTACAGTCAAAGGGGGGTTGTTCTCTGGCTGGCAGGAGTGGGGGTCACAAGGTGCTCAGTAGGGGAGCTTTTGAGCCAGGATGAGCCAGGATAGGGAATTTCATAAGATAATGTCATCACTTAAGGCAAGGACCAGCCATTTTTACTTCTTTTGTGGTGGAATGTCATCAGTTAAGGCAAGGAACAGGCCATCTGGATGTTTATGTGCAGGTCACAGGGGATATGATGGCTTAGCTTGGGCTCAGAGGCCTGACAGGGCCCGTATGTAAGGTTTCTGAATATTGAGAACAATAATAAAATCGACCATGCTCAGTAAAAATTAAACTAGTATTTCTTACCCTCTTTTGGATTCTTAGGGAGGTTTGGACTCCCTTTTCAGAAAAGTCCAAATGTATAACAAAGATAAATATTTCTCATATAATATCCTGGGCTTTGTGAAACCCCTGTAATCTACCCAAAGACCAAAGGCAATTGGCTCTAGGTTAAGAACCCCTGATTAGTTTTGATGTTTTATAGCTTTAGACCTGGAGAAATTTTAGACAATTGTTATAATTTTTTATACAATTGAAAGGTGGTATTTTGAGAAAGCCAGAGTATACTCTAATCCTGCTGACTATAAATCATAATCTGTTTGTATACACATCAAAATATTCCATGGACTAAATATAAAGGAATGTATTAAACATTTGTGATACATAATAATTAAAAAGTTATTTAATCTACCATTATTTATTTTGTACTTTCAGAAGTATTCATTGAGCCATCTTAACAAAAAAATGTTCTTTCGTCTAAAGCAAGTTTGCTAAACTTCATTTGAACTTTTAAGTCAGTCACTTGATTGAGCCTCTGAGAATAACAGAACACCTGTTGACCAAGCAATGTTACTTCTGCTTCTTTTAAGGCATCTTGCCAAATTTGTCATACTGTGAGACTACACATGCTCCATTAAAAGAGAAGACCATGAAAATATTGAAATAAAAAAATAAAAGAAGTATTATTTCATTTCTGTTTTGATGAATGGGAAAAAAAAAATCAAGAACAAGAAGTTCCAAAGAGGCCGAAGAGTAAATTATTTCCGTTTAGGACACAATTTTATTAATCCCATTTTGATCTGTATTTTTGTAATTTATAGTGATCATCATAAAGCATATGAAAACAGGTGAGAAAATATTTACTGATTTAAGAAAAAACATTATTTTCTGATTTTTAAATATTTATATAGTTTAAAATTAAAAATTTATATTTAATAACAATAAAAATATACTACCTGAATTTTCTTAGATCTTTTCAGGACAAGGCAGAAAGCAAATAAATGAATAAAACATGATACAATAACTGAATGGACATTGCAATAATCAGGTTCCCAAAATTCAAAATAGAAACATTCTAGGAAAATTTTATTTACAAATATGGAGGAAGGGATCAATACCCTGACCTTACTCTCCAGCCTCCATCTGATCTACTGGGGCTTCTCATTGATAAAACCCAGCTTGAAGAAGCCAGAAGTCAAGAACACCATTTGATGTGAGGACTGGATTTGGAAGGACAAATGGGAGATATCCAGCCCAAATTAATAAATATGGAATTAGATGATTTTGAGGAAATTAACTAATATGATCATATGAGTGTATCATACTCTAGATATATATCTTTTAATTTCAAAATAGCATTAAATCCTATTTCATCATTGTTTTCCTCTACTACTCCTATGAAGTAAAAGGAGGGGTGAAGAGAGAGGGAGCAGCTCCTCAGAGACTCACAGTCTCAATGGTCTATAAATTCCTTGCAGCAGGATAGTGCAACTTATGTATATTTCGATCCTACACCTGGCATGTATTTACCACACAAGAAATATTTATTGAATCAATTGAATGGATAAATGAACAAATTACATTTAAATGGGATGGGATGAATGTAAATAAATTCTAACAGCAAAAATGAAAATCAACATAACACAGATTGTTAATCCTAAATGTAACTTCTTTGGTGGTTTCTTATCAATGAATGTGGAAGAGAAATACTTTAATTCTTTAGCACCTTGCTCTAGGTTTCAAAATTATTATCCCTTTAGGTAATCTCCTACAATTTTCTACATATCTAAATATACAACAGGCCCTATGTTTTCAATTTGTTTTATGGTAAGAAGGTTCTCAAAATATATCATTACTAATTCCTCCAGTTTTCTTTGGGTATTCTATTATAACATATGAATCTCTAAATGAAAACGGGGTGATTTGTTGGAATGAACGAGTACTCACTTAGGCCACCCAGAGAAAATAAATCTCAACACGTTCATGAGAGCCATGGGAGCCTTGTTCTCTTGGCCGCAACTTGGCTTACCCAGAGAGCAATCATCTTTAAATAACATAAGTAAAAGTCAAGGTCCCTTAGAGACCTAAAACGTGTAGCTAAACCCATTTGTAAGTAAGTTTTCACTTGACTGAAAACACTACTCCATATGTAATTCACACTGTGAAAGCCTGTATCCTCAGGCTAATTATGAAGTCATTCTTCTCTGTCCTTTCCTTTTACTTCTCTCTTTTCTTCTATTCCAGGCAACACCAATAAAATATTCTCAAGTAACATAGTCAGTTATGTGGAAAAGTAAGGAAGGCCACAAGCGTATGTATAATTTGCCAACTCTACAGACTTTATCATGGAACCTGAGAATTTCTGGTTTCTGTGTGTTTGTTTTTTGTTGTTGTTGTTATTATTGTTGTTGTTCAAAGTTTATGTATTCTACCTTAAGCATAGGTATGACAAAAATATCATATATAGGGTGGATGGTGAAGGGAGAAATCGAAGAAAAGTAAGAAGTGCAAGAGAAAAGAAAGAAGGGGGGAAATGAAGAGAATTTTCTTCTATCTTTTTATTCATTCATAATTCTTGGGTCAGATTTTTTTATATCAAAGTAACAAGTGGAGAAAATGTGCAAGGGAACTAATACAGGTAACTCCAAATCTTCCAGAATCTTAAATAGATCATGGTTGTAGTTTGATGGACTCTAAACTAAAAACGAAAAGGAGGTTTTCTAATGCAGGCATTTCTTATTAATTTGGGTGAACTCTAAAGAAGAAACAAGGACTTAGGGGAAAATACGTAAACTCCAAAGGAAAGAAAGACCATGGACTTTGGAGTCAGATTATGTAAGTTTGAGTTGTAGCTGTGACTTCAAAGGGGTCTTTTGACAAAGAAACAGGATTCTGATCAGTTTTACAATTCGATATCTGTAAGATGAGGTAAAAACAATGACTAAATAGAAGTTTTCTTGGAACAGAGAGAATTTCTTCTGGGTTTCTCAGTAAGAATACATTAGGTGATGCAGGAAAAACAAAACAAACAAACAAAATATTATTGGCATATGTGACCTGTAAGAATAATTTCAACACTTCCACAGTGTTCCAAACATTTTGAGGGCTAGTTGAGTTGCTTCTTTAAATCAAAACATTCATCTTTGGATGGTTGCCTTCAACAATCAACCAATGTAACTAACAACCTTAGAAAGCAATTCAATGCAGTTTATTACCAAAGGGTATATTTTGATGACTAGTTTATCTAAGAGGTTACAGTATGAAATTATATTGTTTAAAGCTAGGCATTCTTTGGGTGACTGAGGTCTTAATGGTAGGAATTCGATTGCATCACTTCACTTGAAAACTTAAAAAAATGTTTTCAAACATACACATATCCTGGGATATGAGAAGCTAATATGGGTTGAGCATAGTAGAACATTGGGGAAAACACAAGATGAAAATGTCAAAGTAGGCAGGTATAAGATAACACAGACCCTGCTTAGCCATGATAAGAAATTTTATTTTAATTTCAGAGCAACACAAAGCAGTTGAAAGGTTTTAAATAGAGGAATATATTTCTATATTAAATTTATGTTAAAATCTTATGTGCTAGGCTATAATTTTATAAGGGCAAGGGAAGGAATCTTGTCTATTTATTTGATCCCTAAGCATCTAACTAATGCCTGATATTTAGTACTTGTCAAGCTAATTTATAAAGGCCTTTATGGTTGATTAACAATGCTTGTGGGGAATGTGGCAGATATCACTCTTCAATGATCCTTGCCTCTTGGTATTCATTCTCTTGTGTCATCTTCTCTCTTTGAGTGTAGACAGAAACCATGACTTGTTCTAAGCAATAAAAGTGTCAAATGTGATAAAATATCATTTCCATGATTAGTTTAAATAATATTGTAACTTTCATCTTCCTAGCTGACTCTCTCTGTTGCTTTCTTTGCTTGTATGCTTTGATGAAGCAGGGTGCAATGTTGGAGAGATCCACATGATAAAATATAGCCAACAGCCAGCTAGGAAATGATATTTTCAATCTATCAACCCTTGAAAAACTGAATTCTGGCCAATTTATCCAGTTGGAAGATCTTTCCCCAGTAGAGCCTTCAGATGAGACCCTAGCCCTGGCCAAAACCTTGAATGCATCATAAAAAACCCTGAAGCAGAAGATCCAGTGAAGTCATACCCAGACTCTTGACCTAACCAAAGTGTAATGTAATAAATGTATGTTGTTTTAAGCCACTACATTTGCACTAATATATTATATAGCAATGGATAACTAGTATGGAAGGGGTGAAGATCAATTCATAAGAACTCATTCTTTTCTGGGAATCTCTTTAACATACAGATGTGAGTGTTCTGAAATCATTTTTGGGCTAAGAGACCAGACACCCTGACCATATTATTAATTAATTCATAGGTAGTCTTCTGACCTGAACTGGGACATTAAGAACCTGGCTTCCAAGAATTTAATGCTTGAAAGAGAGAGATAATAGGGTAGAAGTAAGTCACATCACTAGGGTCACTCCAGAAAAAAAAGGCTGAAGAACTTCTATTTCTGAAGGTATAATTTAGAAAGTAACATTTCTGCCACTGGCAATGTAGGTGAATTTCAAAAAAAATCTTCTACAGATTTAGACAAAATAAAAAGAAAAACATAGAATCTATCCATAAAATCATTTCAACCATAATTCAGGTATAAGATAATGATTGCAGAAATTTATGCCCCCTAATTAAATTTCTCTAACTCAAGGAATATGCCAGTTCTGGCTGAGCACAGAGGCTCATGCCTGTAATCCTAGCACTTTTATGACTCTACAAAGAACTCACAATAAGAAAAAAGAAAACAAAAGTGAGAAAACACCATTATCTATGGTGCTGCCACTTGATTCTTCTACAGAATAGGGCAGCACTAAGGAATAGGGATGGAAGACAGACACAGTAAGCCTTTTAAGTTCCTGGAGACCAAGTTACATGAATATTGTAATTAAGCCAAGTTAAAAGAGATATTGGATCCAAGAAAAACTCCGATAAAATATTTAGAAATCTACTTTTTGACATAATACAGGGGGATAAACCTGGATTATAATTTACTATGACTTTTCATGAATCCTGAATCATCTATCAATGCAGTTACTAATACACAAAAATCACCAACAATCTAATAGAGAACCTGAAAGTTTCCTTTCTAGTTAAAAGAAGCAGTATTTTTGGTTCATAGTTAGGCACTAAATGATACTCAAAACTTCAGTGTCTATCCAGGGCGTCAGGAGGCAGCAGTTACCCTGAACAGAGAGACGGTAATCTAATTAGCATGGCATTCTTTGCTGAATGGTGAGACCATGGAAATTTGAATAGCCACTTTCCTTCTCTTAAATGTGTATTCATTATCAAAAGAAATGGAGAAACTGACTTGTAAAGCTGGAATGAGATGAAAGATTGGTTTTCTGTGTGGTCTTTCTTCTTGGAGTCTAATTCAGACTATTTACAAAGTCTACCAAAAGCATAACAAAGAACAATGGCCAGAACTCTGAATTATTTCAATCCCTTTCTTTTTTTATCCCTCAAGTTGGACACAGATATAACCATCAAGATCTAAATTTCCCCCGTCATTTTGGAGAGAATGTCTTACTGAAAGTCTCATGTGTAGATTTATGATAGAACTTGGCCCAATATCCTGTCTTAAGGGCATTCCGTTTTGTTTGTCATATTTTTCTGGTTCAGCAGCCGTTACTTTACGTGTTGTCTGTTAATGTATCTGTTAGTATATTCTGAAAAAGACTAAAATTATAGAAAGAATTTTGAAAATAGGAGAAATAATTTCATTTTTAATGAAATAATTGTGCTTTGGAAAAATATGAATAATTGGCTATCTAGATACCACAGAAGTTATGAGATTTACATAAAATATTTATAGAGTCTAACAATCTTAGATATGATAAAGTCCAACCCTGTTGTTTTACAAATAACAAAGCTGAAAAAAGGACTTGGAAAAAATCACACAGCTGGTTAGTTGTGGGCAATGTGGCTTAGGACAGGGATGCCACACATTCACCACTTCCTCCCTCTACCCAGTACACACTGCTTTCCATACCTATCCATGGCAAAAATTGCTAATCAGTGTTTTTCTTGCTGAACATAGATGTGGCCCGAAACTCATTCTCAACAAAGTGTTCCAGATAGGCCTTGTTATTTGGAATTCATACTTGAGTTGAAGCTATTTGTTAACCCTAGTCTAGATCTTTGTCTCTTGTATTCCAGTTCAGCCTTTTAATATTTATTATGCCGTAATTTTCACTGTTATGCAAATAATTTAGATAAAATATCAGTTCTATAATTATAAATGTGTGCAAATTGCACTCATGCATTTTAGGAATAAGTACTTAAGATTTTTGATAACATATACACATTGTGAATATATAACTCATCTTGGCAGTTTTTTCAGAAAAATTTAATGAAAAGAAATAATTCGGGATTAATTGTCATAAAATCTGATTTGAAAGCTTGTTAAGAGCTGTGTTTACTGGATAACATTACAATTATACGCCACACATGGTTTTACTAAAACAAAATGTCAAAGTGTTTCAAGAAGAAATCATTGTTTCTTGTTTTCACACTAGTAGCTAAAATAATTCCATAAAGAAGTCTCATGACATTAACATAAAACATCAAACACAGTTACAAGGTCTGTCTAAGAAGACATACAGTCTATTCCCTTCACTAATAAGGATTATATACCATGTGTAATAATTTGAAGGCACTTAATAAATCATTTTTTAAAATCCAAATCTATCAATTTTTTGTTTATATCCAATCTTGCAAAGGAGAAAAAGGATGTAGTCTATTAAAGGAAGGGATATCAACATACAATAGGAAAGAAAAACTATAGTGATTATAGCAAGGCAAGGCATCTTAATGGAGAGTGTTTTAAACCAAAACTGTGTTACATTCAGCTACATGTGGCCTGAGGATGCCTCTGTAGTTTCAGTCCTTTCAGAGGGAATTGCAACCTTAGTATGTAAACTAATCTAAAGCCTACTTTAGGAGGTTACTTTTGTAACAAATAGCTGAGTCTCAGCCAATCAAGCAGCCAAGCTTTAGTCAATCACGGGTTTCCTATTGATTGGATCATGTTCAAACAAGGCAAATGCCTAGCTGTCACCAATCAAGCGGTAACCAATCAGACTGTTTCTGTACCTCACCTCTATTCTCCATCCATAAAAGCCGCCTTCCCACATTGCTGAGTGGAGCTCTCTGAGCCTCTTCTAGTTCTAAGGACTGCCAATTCTTGAACTGTTCTTTGCTCAATTAAACACTGTTACATTTAATTCATCTGAAGTTTTCTTTTTGGTTTGTTTTTAACACCTGAATTCATGTTATCTAGTGATCTGTGTTAACCCAAAACTAAAATTATGACTCCAACTAAAGTCCCAAACCTACTGAAGCCCTGATAGTGGAATGAGAGGGGAATGCCTGTCACTTAAACCTCCTTTTATCTGGTACTTTTATAGCTGAAAAGAGTAGAATATTTTTTTAAAAAAACATATTTTTCTACCTAACAATTGTTTTATTCCAAAATGAAATAATAATATTCAAAAATAAAAAATATTCAGAGAAAATTTGTGCTGAATATACAAACTAATTAATTGAGCAGCTGAAATTCTGCTTCAGAAAACCAGGGCTAAAAATTTAAGCGTGGACAGGAATCAGGATTAGTTAGTTGGAGGGAATAATTTAGAAACACTGCTGCCAAGGTAACCTTTTCCTAATTTGAGGAAGATCATCACATTCCTCATATGCAGTGTTGATAAATAGTGGCAAGAGATGGAGTGAGGAGGGTTATGAAAGTTAGTTATTTTCCTCTGAAGTCTTAAGTAGGTTGTTACTCACATGAAGTCCTTGATCCCTCCATGAGATAGATAGACAAGGTATTTTCTCCAGAGTTATTCTGACTCTAAGATACAGAATTTTACCTCTGAAGTGAAATTAAAAGGTGACTGATAATGTTAGTAGATTTGTGAGCAGAGAAGAAAGTTGTACGCAGATTTTTTATATCTTATTAAATCATTTTTGAATACAGCTTTCATAAAATCCCTTTGGAAGAAACTGCTAGTTTTCATCAAAATCCACTTTCGCTTTCTTCCACGACAAAATATTGTCGTTGGGCACATAGTCTAGCTGGGAAGACACTTCCCAGACTCTTTCGCAGCCCAGTCTGGCCATGTACATAGAGTTCTCTCCACTGCAATGTAAATAGAGATGATGTGAGCCATTTCCTTGTCTTTGTTTTGTTTTAATACTGGTATTTATTATTTTTTCTCCTGTCCTGTGCACTGGAATGCACATACCTGTGACCCAGTTTTTAGCATACAGATGAGGACAATGCCCTGGGGGAAGACAGAATAATAAGGTAAAAGAGACCTGGGTCCCTGAATCACTGTGCGGATCTGAGATTTCTCAACAATATGGTTTATCTAAGGATTGTTATGTGAGGGAAGAATAAATTAATTTTTTCTTTAAGTCAAAATATTTGGGAGCTTCTTTGTTGTAGTAGCTTTTATACTAAAAGATTTTCTGCAGATATTTTTAAATTATTATAAAGTGTGTGTGTGTGTGTGTGTGTGTATGTTTAAGTTAGATGTATAGATATAAATGAAAAAACAGTGACTATCCCTGTACCCTTCACTTATAATAAAACATTACCAACATGGCTATATCTCTTGCATACTCTATATTAGTCCAAATTTTCCCTTCCCTCAACTTCCAAAGTTACCATCAAGTAATCTTGAATTCGATGTTTATTATTACCACACGTTTTCATAGTTTTACTGAATATGTATTTTCCAATATATAATGTGTAGCTTTATTTGCATGTTTTAGAATATTATTCAAATGTTATCTTTATCTGCTTGGAATCTTAGTTGCAAACACAAAAGAATCTACTTTGGCTACTTTAACTACAAAAGTAATTTATCATAGAATATTATGTAGTTCATAGACTCTCTAAGATCCTAAGAAAGTTAGAGTCTGAAAATATACAGTCCAACACATCACAAAATCTTATCTAATAAAAACACTCATGCTTCTAATCAGCAACCATGAAGCTGTGGGATGTAGAGGAAATATTTTTGTTTCTGCACTGTCTGGGCTTTCTGAATATATTTCCTGAAAACTCAGCATCTTGGGATAAGAGCCAGGCTTGGGAAGTTAATTTACAGTGGAGTAGATAGTGAGAGAAGTCCAGAGAGATTTAGCTAACTCTGGGTAGTTTACATTTTAAGAGAAAATGAGTCCCAGGACCTTGGAGAAATCCATAGCTTACAAAAAACCAGAGAGATATGCAAGGCTTATGCAGCCCCTGTAAAGATGTATGTGCATTCCAGAAGGTGAGAGTGAGTACTCAGGATCCTTTGCACTCCATCTCTGCAGGGCAAAGGTTTTTCCCCCTTTCTGGAGGGAAGGGGGAAACAGCTGTCTCTTCCTCCTGTATGGAAGAAGAGAATTCATTTTTCTCACTGAGAAACTATTTAGCTACTCATATACAAGATTTTTCCACCTGGCTTTCATCATATCACCCCAGAGGTAAGGACTAAAGTAAGGGAGAATCACATGCTTATTTATTGTAAGGTAATAAATAAATAAATAAATAAATAAATAAATAAATAAATCTCTGATCCAGAAAACTTCAGGTGCACATTCAGAATAAAACTAATAAAGATGAATAAAACAATCCCAACAATGTCTGGGACCAGATGCTAGAAATTCTCACACTGCTTCTCCCTAAAAGCACTATACGTCACCTCTCTAGTAGCCAGATGCTTATGTCAGATTACTGGGGAAACCGGCTCTGAGGTAGAGATTTCTGTGCAAGGAGTTTATCAGAAAACACTCTCAGGAACAACACCTGTAAGAGAGTGAAGGCAGTAACATTGGGTAGAGAGAGAAAACTGTACCAGAGGCCATAGTTAAGCCCTTAGGGAGCTTTGAACATTCAGAGTTATCCCCAATTTAGACCAAGAGGTTGGCCCCCCAAATTTACCAGTCATTAGATATGAGCTGTCTGGAGAGGGGACAGAGACAGGTTTTCTTTGGCTGCCCTCCAAGAACAAGACTCAGAGACAGACTAAGCTGATTGCTATCAGCAGCAACACTCATGGCAACTGCAAGATGAGTGCCTTAACCTTGAAGAGGGAATCTTGGCAGTCCCCTGTGACATCAACCATAACAAATCACATCTTCCAAATGTGGCTATCTCCTCACATTCTCACATTGCTCACTTCTAAATCTAAGACCTGCATGGATGTATCTGATGGAAGGACTTTCAGAAGCATGGTAGTCAGAAAAGGCATATCTAAATCCACGTGTGTATTCCAGTAAGAGCAAAGGGCTTTCCTGTCCACGATAGAAAGTGCCCATCATATTAATATGTTATCAACTGGCTGCCAATCCTCCAGAGTATGAAACTGTAGTTTGATAGGTCAGGAAATGGGAAGTGGGGAGGGAGGTGGTGTCAGCATTGGGTACTACCACTGAAAACCTAGGTACTTAGCAGTGTCAGTAACCTGGTGAGCTCTTATGAAGGAACATCCATGTTGAGCTGGAAAGCCTTCATATTAGAAAAGATTTACAGTCATTTCAGACTATCGGTGAGAGTAGACACAGACATAAGTAAAATAAGGTTTACTTATCTAAGTAAGACATTCTTATCCTACTATAGAAAAAAGTTAGTGCAATCAGAATATGGCAAAGGGATCAGGACAATTGTCCTTTAATAAATGTTGGTATGTTGGTATAAATGTCCATGTTCCCCTAAAAAAGAAAATAATTGCAGGTGAAAAATCTGATTGAAACTTATGTCAAGGTTTCTGGAAGCCCAAATGCTCCTCTTCCACCCCAGTCGAATATATTTAAACCTAGAGAAGTTCTTCACACAGACTAATCTGGATAAGTGCCAGTGACTATACTACCCAAACCTGGTAGATTATATTAATCTGGATGCTATACAACATAAAATATAAGACTAGATTACAGTATAGTTCAATCTGCAATTCCATTATCAAGGACTCGTTGATCACCCTTGGCATCTCTAGTTTTAGTGCCCTCCTGAAATCAGGGTTAAGAAACTGGAGCAATGTTGTATCTATTGAAGCTATTCCTGTTGACCCTGAAAGTGTACTGCTGTCTCTGCTGGGTGGAAGCAACTCTTTCAGAACTAGTTATTGAAATGAGGGGTGGGGATGGGAGTGGTGAGAATAGCATTTTTCAGATCAATCAACTATGAAGGGCGTGTTAATTTGATCTGGTAAAGACTGTGTTAGTCTGGTCTTATGTTGCTATAAATAAATGCCTGAGACTGGGTAATTTATAAAGAAAAGAGTTTTGGCTCACAATTCCACAGGCTGTACAGGAATCATGGCTGGGGAAGCTTCAGGCAGCTTTCACTCATGGCAGAAGGCAAAGCTGGAGCAGGCATCTTCACATGGCTGGAGCAGAAGGAAGGGGAGGTGGTGTGGAGGTGCCACATACTTTTAAACAAACAGATCTCGTGAGAACCCTATCACGAGACAGCTGGACTGTCACGAGACTAGAGGGATGGTGCTAAACCCTTAGAAACTATCTCCATGATTCAATCACCTCCCACCAGGATCCACCTTCAATATTGGGGATTACAATTTGGCATGACATTTGGGCAGGAACACAGATCCCAACCATCTCAGAGACTACATCTACAATGGAGTTACCAATTTACTAAGCCTACATACATAACCTTTATTCTCCAAGACCCAAGTAAAACAGGTAAGCTAAATGAGCCTGTAATAAAAATAGCCACATCTTCATCTTACAGTTTTTGATAGTGGAATGAGTCTCTATAGTTCCCTGGAGTTGTAGTACTTCTTACATTTTGGCAGGGAATTAGTATTGCAGTGTCTACTGCTTGACTCTTCTTCCATTTTCTTCATGTCATTTTGGAAATGTGCTGAGTATATCTAATCTAACAATAATTCTTAAACAGGAGGTAAATAGTAGGAGGCTAAGTTTTCACCTGATAGGCCCACTGTGACATGGTCTTGAGCCAAAAGTCCATTTATTTCCATTTAGTAAACCCTAGATGTAGTTTTATTTATTTTTATTTAATCTTCACAACCAGTATTAAGCCCGTATTAAGTTCACTTGTCTGAAGTCAGAAAGTTGGAAAACTAGGGCCATAACTCAAGTTTCCTGATGCTTAGTTCTTTTCTCTTTCACTTTATCAAGCATTAGTGATGACTAATTATTATGACTTTTGACCCTAGAGAAGAAGGGCCATTTACATGTAATATGATGTAGTCTTAAGTACCAGGAAAGCCAAAATAAGGTTACATCTTTTCCAATAAGTGCTCCAGTCAGAACACCATTTACATGTCTTTATCATCTTCCATTGAGAAGAGTAATAAAAATGGGAGAACTCCTGATCTATAAATGATGTTCAGCCTGAAGATTTTTCTAATTAAAATTTCACACATAAGAATGAATATCTCTAACTTTCATGACAAGATGTTGACTTGATGATGCCTACTGCAATTGTGCCTTTTTAGTCTGACTGGCAGCCTCTATCCAGTGCAAGTTCCTATAGCACAACTGGGATTTAAACAAGCCCCGTGCCAGAAATATTTACCCCAAAGGTTTCCCCACTGAGTGCAAAATAAGCTTGCATTTAAGCAGCTCTATTTCAGTTGCTGCCTAATGAAACATTTAACAACAACAAAATGCTTTCTTAGCAAATATGTCATAATATAGAAAGAACTATGGTGCAGAAAGACACATCATTTATGAGAAGCATGGTGCAGACCAGGAGGTGAAATGGGACAGTGATAACAGTTTATAAAAATTATAAAGAACTTTAAATATCTTTTTAAAAAACCTGAGCAATAGGAGTTTGCTAAGTTTGTATCTTTTATGAGAACAGAAAACTTAGCCAAATTTTAAGGGTGAAACGCTCACCCAGGAAAATCTAGTAGAAGAGAAATGGAAAACTCATGTCTTTGAGTAGGAAAACTGATGTTATGAACATATTCAAAAGCAAATTATCCTGGTAACAGAGCTTTATCATTTTGTATGCCTTTGGATATAGATATGATTCCATATTTCAGACTGGCCCATTCTCCACTTTAAAAAGGAAAGAGAAAAGGAATGGCAAACTGCTAGGTTGGCTGGGACAAATTATTTCTCAATAAAGAAATTGTTGCCATATGGCATCTCATTGCACTTTGGTGGCCCTTAACTCATGGCATAAGGGAACATGATAAGAAAAAAAGAAAAAAAGTTATCCTTCTGTAGCTGCTCCCTACTCCATTTCATGAGAACAATTCCCTGTTTTACAACAATGTACCCTTGAGTAGAAACTATCAAAAATGGCAAAAGGAGTTAAAAATCAATCCAAGGACAAAAAGGGCTTGCTCTCCTACAAAAGCTGCACTTCTCCTTGCTGCTGTTGTGTGAAGAAGGACATGTTTGCTTCCCCTTCCACCATGATCATTAGTTTCCTGAGGCCTCCCCTGCCGTGCTGAACAGTGAGTCCTTTAAACCTCTTTCCTTTATAAATTACCCAGTCTCAGGTATGTCTTTATTAGCAGCATGAGGATGGACTAATACACATGGTATGTCTTTTTTCTATCCATCTACTTTCAATCTATATGTGTGTTTATATTTAAAGTTGGTTTCTAGTAGACAACATATATTTGGGTCTTTTTTTTAATCCACTTTGATTTTTTGTGTCTTTTAATTTAAAATCCAATTACTTTTTTAAAATGATTGAATTAGGCCAGGCGCGGTGGCTCACGCCTGTAATCCCAACACTTTGGGAGGCCAAGGCAGGTGGAACACAAGGTCAGGAGATCGAGACCATCATGGCTAATACGGTGAAACCCTGTCTCTACTAAAAATACAAAAAAAATTAGTGGGGCGTGGTGGTGGGCACCTGTAGTCCCAGCTGCTCGGGAGGCTGAGGCAGGAGGATGGTGTGAACCTGGGAGGCGGAGGTTGCAGTGAACCGAGATCGTGCCACTGCACTCCAGCCTGGGTGACAGAGCGAGTGAGACTGTCTCAAAAACCAAAACAAAACAAAACAAAAAATGATTGGATTAATATCTACCATATATGTTATTGTTTTCTATTTATTGCACTTGGTCTTTGTTCCTGTTTTTCTCTTCTATTCTTTAAGCCTTTGTGGTTTCCACTGAGCATTTTTTAATGATTGAATTGCCCCAAAGTTTGCATTATATATTTAGTAACTAATCCAAGTCCATGTTCAAATAACACTATATCACTTCACAAGTACCGTGGGTACCTAACATTAACAAAATGATCCTAATTCCTCCCTTTTTTTCCTTTGTATTATTGCTGTTCCTGTCACTTATTTTATTTATACATTAAAAATAGATAAGAAAATATACTATACATAAGTGTAGTCAAATACATTATTGCTATTATTATTTTGAACAAAGTGTTATCTGTTAGATCAATTCAGAATAAGAAAAATAAACGTTTTTATTTTTACCTCCACCTCTTCCTTCTCTGTTGTTATTTTCTTTGTGTAGATCTAAGTCTTTGACCTACATGACCTTTATTTTCTCTAAAGAACTTATTTTAACATAATTACAAAGCAGGTCTACCAACAATAAGTTCCCTCAATTTTTGTTTGAGAAAATCTTTGACTTCTTCATTTTGAAAGATAATTTCTCAGGGTGAAAAATTCTAATTTGGTGTTTGTTTCTCTCAACAATTTAAATATTTCACTCCACTCTCTTCTTACTTGTATGCTTTCTGAGATGTCAAATGTAATTTTTATCTTTGCTCTGTATAGGTAAGGTGTTGTTTTATTCCACCTCTGGCTTCTTTCAAGACTACTTCTTTATATTTGACATTTTCTAGTTTGAAAATGATATTCCTTGGTGTAGTTTGGGTTTTGTTTTTGATGTTGCTATTTTGTATTTATCCTGCTTGGTGTTCTCTGAGCTTTGTGGATCTATGGTTTGGTTTCTGACATTAATTTGTAAAAATTTTCTATTAATGTTGCTTTACATATTTCCTCTTTCTCCTTTTCTTTTCCCTTGGTATTCCAATTATGCCTGTGTTAACTTTGGAGTTGTCACACAACTTTGAAATTTTATTGTGTTTTTTCACTCTTTTTTCTCTTTGCTGTTTATTTTTAGAGATTTTTATTAAAATATACTCAAAGTCAGAGATTCTTTTCTTTTCTCAGCCATGACCAGTCTAGTAATAAGCTCATCCAAGGCATTCCTTAGTCTGTTACAGTGTTTTTAAAATATCTTTGTTACTTCTTTTTAGCTCTTTCTTAGAACTTCATCTCTCTGCCTACATTATCCATGTCTTCCTGTATGCGACCTACCTTATTCATTAGCTCCCTTAGTATCTTAATTATAATTGTTTTAAAAATTTTGATGTGATAATTACAACATAACTGTCATATCTGAGTCCAATTCTGCTGCTTGCTTTGTCTCTTCAAATTGCGTTGTCTGAATTTTAGTGTGGCTTATAATGCTCTTAATAGTCAAACATGGTATACTACTGGGTAAAAGGAACTAGTGTCAGTAGGCCTTTAGTAATGGGCTGGTAAGGTGTCAGTGAAGGCGACATTTTCTGTAGTCCTATGATTAGGTCCTAGTCTTTTAGTGAGCATGTTCCCCTGGACTGTGGACTTCACAAGTGTCTGTCAGTCCCCCACTCCTCACCCCTTTAGGTAGAACTGGATGGCTAGAGCTGGAGTTGGATATTTTCATTTCCCAGGTCAGTTAGGCTCTAATAAAATCCCAGAAAATTAGGTCCCAGTTAAATACTTGCTTTTTTTCAAGCAGATTTTGTTAAGAAGGACAGAATGTATGGTGGTTTTTAAATGGTTCCATTGCCCCTCCCTCTGCTGGAAGCACAAGAGGTTTTTTCTCTGATATTCACTGTGAGAACCTTACAGAGCCTCAGGTGATCAAAATCACAAAAGTGTGGAGGTCTTTTAATGACACGGTCCCCTTAGAGTTCTTATCTCTCAGACTTGTCAACACTGAGCCTCCAGCAATTCATCAGTTATAATAGTCCAAGTTTCTCCTGGCACTGATTCCCACAGAGGTTTCTATTAGCAGGTTCTCAAGTAAGTTGTGATTCTCTGTATTCCCCTGTCAGTTTCTTCAGTCTGGGGAGCAGTGGTTTGCCCTGTTACCTCCTTTCTCTGTGGATCTAAAAACAGTTGCTGATTTTTCACTTTGCTTGGCTTTTTACTTATTGTTAGAATAGAGTGGTGACTTGTAAGCTTCTTATAAGCCAGACTGGAAATCAAAATCCCCAAGAGTATTTTTTAAGAGGAAAAGGATGGTAAATCATTTGTTATGAGCGGAGCATACTAGAAGCATTTAGATGCACAATGGCTACTCAAGATCCTTGTGTATTGTGGTTTTACATTTTGAATTCAAATGTAAAATCAGAATTCATCATCAGAGGACTGATGTCATCTTCATCCCTTACTTCTGTAAGCCAAAGTTTCTTCAATGGAGAGCAACTGTGCAGTCGTAGAAGGCAGCTACTGTGATGTCATTAAGATGTTTTTCATACCAGTGCCCCTTTCTTCTGAGAAAATTGGAGACCCACTTCTCTGACAATAACTAGATGAAATGTTTTGTCCTAAAGAACTGTCTTGCCTCCTGGACAAACATAGGAGAAAAGAGGGAGAAAGACAGGAAAGGAGAAGGGCCTCAAGTGAAATACACTAGCGTAGTCACTGCTGTTTATCCTCCACTGCATAAAATCCTCTTGGCACAGCGCACCATGCATGCACAGCTGCATGTATTTCTGATTCAGCTTGCACTGGCAGCTGTTTTCTTCCTGCATCTTGCTGATCTCCTATATTATCTTCTCAGGCTCCAGGAGAAGCTCAAGATCTTTATACTCCCTGTATGTACAACTTACCTCTAGAAATTCCTTCTTTCTTTCTGTTTAGTCTGGTCAATGAACTTTTTATTTCAATTACTTTTTTCCTGGGTCCAGCACATCCTGAGTAGGAAAAAAGTAATTGAAAGACCTTAGCCATGGTCTCAAGACCTTGGCTATGGTCTTGAGAAACTGGTAGCTGCCAATATGGGTCTCTTCCTTGGCAGAGCTGGCTGGCAAAGAGGTTTTGCAGCATATTGGCCTTACTCCTGGCTTAGAGTTAAGCTGTCCCAGGATTAGCTTAAGATTGAGAAAAGTGGGTGAGAAACTTGGTCCAAATCACCTCAAAAGAAAGTCACTTCCAAAGTCCACCTGACTAACCAATCTTTATAATGGAATCAAAACCCAATGCCTCCTAGCACTTTGGGAGGCCAAGGCACATGGATCATGAGGTAAGAAGATCGAGACCATCCTGGCCAACATGGTGAAACCCTGTCTCTACTAAAAATACAAAAATTAGCTGAGTGTGGTGGCGCATGCCTGTAGTCCCAGCTACTCAGGAGGCTGAGGCAGGAGAATCGCTTGAACCCGGGAGGCAGAGGTTGCAGTGAGCTGAGATCACGCCACTGCACTCCAGCCTGGGACAGAGCAAGACTCCGTTCTAAAAAAAAAAAAAAAGAAAGATATACCTAATGCAAATGATGAGTTAATGGGTGCAGCACAGCAACATGGCACATGTATACATATGTAACAAACCTGCATGTTGTGCACATGTACCCTAGAACTTAAAGTATAATTTAAAAAAAAAAACTCACAATGCTAGACAAAAAGTTCAAAATTTTAAAATGAGAAAAAGGGAAAAAAAGAAAACAGAAAAGAAAGAGAAAATAATAAATAAAAAATGAAGAGAGAAACAAAAAATAGTAAAATGATAAAAAGTTTAAAAAGAAATAATATTCCGTCAAGGCGGTTCACGCCTATAATTCCAGCACTTTGGGAGGCCAAGGCAGGTGGATTGCTTGAGCCCAGGAGTTCAAGACTAACCTGGCAACAGGGCAAAACCGTGTCTCTACCCAAAACACAAAAACTACCCAGTCTTATAACCTAATCTCTAAATAAATAAATAAATAGATTTAAAATGTTTTAAAAAGAAATGACAATAATAAACAAAATAAACAAAACCTCCACAATGCCAAGAAGGAAATAAGCCAACTTTCCTCCTGAGGGTCAAACCTATTCAAGTCACTGAAAACTGGGTTCTTAAATCATGGAAACATTTGAATGGGAGGGTGGAATTTCACAACAATGGCACAACAATAAGCATGGACCCTTCAAGTCTGGGGATAATCCACAGTGGCTTCCTTGAATTTTAGTCCCAAGAACACTTTACTGTTTTAAAAAAACTATTATCAGGTACTATGCTCATTACCTGGGTGACAAAATGATCTGTACATGAAACCCCCATGACATGCAAACTACCCACATAACAAACCTGCATATGTTCCCCCTGAACCTAAAATAAAAGTTAGAAAAAAAAAAAAAAACTAAAAACTAAATAAATAAAAACAAAATAAAATAAATTTATTGAAGACCCCAAGGAGCATTTTGTTTATATGGGTTATAGCTATCAATATTTACTTTATTGGAAATTAAAACCTGCAGCATGTTTCAGTGACATCTTCATTTTCAGTTTGAAAAGATATTATAACTTTTGGCTTTTAAACAGCTCATAATGTCTATACTTAAAATATTCTATTTCTTTCTCTTTAAACTGTTTGTTCCAAAACAATGCCAATGTTTTTAGTTGACATTATAAAATTATACAAAAATGTTCTGCTGTGTAAGACACATCAAGGTATATTACTAACATCTATGAAGCTGAGGGGAAGCTGGGTTTCGTCATATTTTCATTTCTTATTAACTGTTTTCCTCAGTTTCTTTGGAATAGATTTCTCCTTCCCACAAGTCATTGAACTCACTATCTACCTTTCTGTATCTTGAAATGCAGAGGTAATAGCTGTAGGTTGACAAAGCAAGTCTTCTACTCTTTCCTTTTGAAAACTAACCATCTATTAAGCTGCACGCAGGCTGGGCAGCACAGTCTGGGTGCTAGATATGGTACTGGTACCTCAGGAGATGGAAGTAAAGATGCTCCCATAGGATTTTTTTTTAATTGTTCGTAGAAGTAGTATAGGAAATATAGGAAAGTGCACAAATAATCAGTGGACAGGTCGGTATGTGTGGTGTTTCGTTTTCTGTTCTTGCATTAGTTTGCTGAGGATAACAGCTTCCAATTCCATCCATGTCCCTGCAAAGGACATAATCTCATTCCTTTTTATGGCTACATAGTTTTCCATGGTGTGTATGTACCACCTTTTCTTTATCCAGTCTATCATTGACATACATGCTTTTCTTTTGGCTATATACCTAGATATTACTTGCGGGCTTATAAGATACGCATATTTTTAATTTTAGTAGATACTGCAGTTTGTACCAGCTTACACACTAATTCTGTTTCTTCTCTAATACCCAGTATTGCTTGCCTTTAAAATTTTAACCTTTCTGTGAAATGTAGGGGTATAGCATTGTAGTTTTAATTTGTATTTCTCTAGTATCTAATGAACTAGAGCACAGTTTCATGTTGTTACTGGCCATTCATCTTATTTCTATGAAGTACTTTTTCAAGTATTTTGCCCATTTTTCTATTGGGTTGCCTGTTTCTCTTTCTGGCTTGGAGGTATGCTATTCTTTATGTATTTTGGATATAAATTTATTGTCAGATATGGTTCTGAATGCATTCCCTCTCCTCCCTACCCATCCATGTTAACTCTCTGACTGCCTCCTACTATTTTACCACTATTTTACCTATTTCTTATTCTTCCCAGTGGTCAGTCTTCGTATCTTTTGAACAGGGCAGTTATACTTACACCTCACAGCACTGCATTAGCTTCTACTTTTGCTTGGAATGTTCTTCCACAGAGATCCACATAGCTCTCTCTTATATGTACTTCAAATCTTTGCTGTAAAGTCATCTTTTTAGTGAAGCCATCTCTAATATCCCTATTTAGTCTTACAACATCTTTTACACATCCCATCTGCCACCCCCATTCATTGCTTTTTATTTTTTTAAAGTTTTGTATTTAGATATTTTCAAACATACACAAAGTTAGAAATAATAATATAAAGACTTCCTCATCTATCATCCAAACATTAATAATTATTAATATTGTTACAATCTTATTATCATAAATACTTCAGTCTACACCTTTAAATCTGTAATTTTCTGAAACACACACATCATGCTGTCATCAAATTTAACAAATTAACCGTACCTTACAACATCAGCTCATATTCAGATTTGCCAGCTGTCCCAAAAATATCTTGTTACAGCTGGTATGTTTGAATAAAGGTCCAAACAAGGTTTTTTTTTTTAAGTGATAAAGAATTAACTTTTTACTTTTTATTCTAACCTTCAAGTCTATTTATAGTATCTTTTAATTTTGTTTCAAAGACCAGAGGAATTATATACATTTCAGAGGAATTGGAAATGCATGTTCTGAAAAGCAGTAGCTAAAGTAAAATTAGTTCCAAATATGATCTTCCTTCAATGTCATGGTTATTCAGACTGTTTATTGGAAGACAGAGCTGAAGAAGCTGTGCCAAGACTCTCATATCTTGAAAATCCAAGTAAAAAAAAATACTTGTAATCCCCTGAGTGAACAGCTTCAAAGTTCATACAAATGTGCTACATTGTCTAAAATATATCAATTAAAAAAATCAACTGTGCTCTAATCCTGATATTTTAAAAAATTATATAATGAAGTTCACAATTGGAAAAAATGTTTACTTCAAGAATTCAACAGGCATACCAGTCTATTAAAATAAATATGTTAAATTCTTATTGTTCAAATGCAGGGTCTGTAATATGTGCTGTACCTGTTCAAAGGCTAGCAAAACTACGTTGTTTATT
The DNA here is from genome assembly GCF_000001405.40 of Homo sapiens. Taxonomy (NCBI): domain Eukaryota; kingdom Metazoa; phylum Chordata; class Mammalia; order Primates; family Hominidae; genus Homo; species Homo sapiens. The sequence continues at coordinate 56,037,718 of NC_000006.12, forward strand.
AATCTTAAGTTGAACTCCAGTGACTTCATAGATTTCACTAGAATTTTTAAGAGCTATTTTGATATGAGCAGAGTGAGGCAGTAGAGGACAAGAAAATATATTGCACTGGGAATTAGGAGATAAAATTTACAGCATATTTTCTACTACTAACTGGGTACTTAACATTAGGAAAGTCAATGATTCTATGCCTCTGCATCCTTCTGTAAAATGAGATAAAAATAGTTGCTTATTTAGTTCACAAATTTGTGAACTTTCTAAACTGAGATTTCTGTAATGATACCAATAACATTTTTCTTCCAAGCATACCATTGCTTTAACAGGCTGTTTTAAGAAATACAAGTGTTTTATAACCTACTTCTTATTTTCCTTTCCTTCCTTTCTTTGCAAAAGCTATAGACATACACACTTAATTTCAAACTCAAACAATTGTATCTAAAGTTCTACATGATGTGTTTTCAATACATGATGTGTTTGGTGGCTATAAACATTGAGGGAGCTGTGGCCTTCTACAATGGGTTAAGGTCATTCTTTCCAGTCATAGCCACCTCCAAGAGGATTTCACCACTCTCTCCACACACAGATTGAAATACAGTGTTGTGGTGCTTACAGCAACATTAGAGACACCCATTGTCCTCATTTCAAAGTTCAGCCAACTCCTGTACTCTCTACAGAAGTCCGCAAAGAGTATGGGACTTCACTCAACTTTTGAAAGTACTCTTGTATATATGTTACTCTCTTCCCCTTTTTCTCATGATCAACATATTAATTCTCTTTCTCTTTCTCTCTCTCTCTTTCTCTCTCTCCACCTCTCCCTACTCCCTCATTTATTTGTCTACTCCTCTACTTTTTTAATAGTTGTCAGGAAACAGTTGGCTTTTCTACAGTTGTCTCAGAAGTGGTCCTCAAGGACACTATGGGAGATGATTGTATCTGAATATTGTAGTATCTCTTTACAACTTGATATGGTTTGGATTTGTGTCCCCACCCAAATCTCATGTTGAATTGCAATCCCCAGTATTGGAGGTAGGGCTTGATAGGAGGGAACTGGATTATGGGGGTGGAGTTCTCATGAAGGATTTAGCACCATCCCGCCTTGGTACTATATGGTGAGTGAGTTCTCACAAGACCTGGTTATTTAAAAGCGTGTAGCACCTCCCCTCTCTATTTCTTGCTCCTGCTTCCCCCATATGCGATGGCTCACTCCCACTTCACCTTCCACCATGACTCTAAGTTCCCGGAGGCCTCCCCAGAAGCTGACGTCACCATGCTTCAGGTACAGACTGCAGAACCATGAGCCAATTAAACCTCTTTTCTTTATAAATTACCTAGTGTTAGGTATTTCTTCATAGCATTGTGAGAACGGACTAAATACACAACTTATTCTGAACTTAAAGTCCCTCAAAGCTTTCTCTCCAATTTTGTTTATGCACCATCATGTGGGATAATGAATCCTATAAGTTTATAACTTGCTATGTAACATGGTACTGTATTTGCTTTCATCCAGCTTAAAACCACAGAAGCTAAGCTTTGCTGGAAGTAGACACAGATACTATCGGAGTATAGCTAGGCTGTGATTCAGGGAAGCTGAATTAGAAGCTGAGCTGGCATAGAATGCAAATTTAAAGGAGGACATTTAAATGTTCATATGCCAAGACTGGCTAATTTGGTAGGGGGCTGGCACCTGCTTTTACAACAAATCCAGGGTTCATTGCATAAGAAAATTTCAGAGTTTTCCTTCATATCTTTCAAAAAATCAGACACAAAGGATAAATTGAGTCTCTTTTTTCTTTCTTAATTCTAACTGCCCATTTTACAAACATGATCATCAAAGAGACATACTGAGGTTTAGTATCAGATTTCACATTTTTATATATGTAAGGAAAGTTCTCATCATCCTTACACAATCTCTTGAACACATATTTGTTTATTTAAGATGGCAGTAGCCCTATGCATTGTGAGCACCTTTCTCTTTCTTATGAATGTATTTGTTTAGTCATTTAAACAATATTTTAATTGCTTTTTTATTGTTGCTTTGCTATAAGTTTCATTTAATAACAACTGTGTTTGCCAAATATTCAATAATATCTTTAAACTGTATGTAAGCTTGCTACTGGATTTTTTTCTAATACCTACTTTTTATGCTTCCAAAATCAAATTACTATACATGAGTTTGAGTTTTTTCCCTATTTTAAATAAAAAAGAATATCATCATTTTTTTAAAAGGTGGGTATACAGGATGAACAAATACATTATTCATGAGGTAAAGATGATATAGAACATAGGCTTTTCTTTGTCTTAACAAAAAAAGAAATATACAAAAGTTGCATTAATTAGTGTTCCTCAAGAACACTACTGTTTCTGAAGAATATTACACTAGTAAAATCTTTAAGAATAAAAGATTCACCACTCAAGTAAGTTTTGGAAATATACATCTATCTTTGTTTTAGAGTTTCTCAATGTATATGGGCATATTCATGCCTCTAAGATCTGCTGTTCAAAAACATGCTTTGGTTTTCCTTCCATTTCTCTAATATAGTTCATATGATATGCCTTGTTTAAAATTAGCATTTCATGGAATACTCTTTGGGAAATGGTAAACTAGTATCATTATACCTAACAGCAAGCGAAACTTGAAAATACATTTTTCTCAGCTGCAGTTAGACTGTATATTGTAGAGCCAATTTTCTGTATGCATAATTTACCCACTGATTTAGAAACAAGGTTATAGCAGTGGAAGTTTCATCAGAAAGATGACTCATGATAAGTCTTGAAACTCCTTCCCACAAGTTGTATCAGTATCATTTAGCCCACATTTGAATATAAGTAATATAAACTAACAGTGGCTTAAAACCTTTTAAAAGGACATCTGCCATTGAGTTAACAAGAAGTTTAGCGGTAGAAAGTCCTAGAGATGGTTTAGTAGCTCAATAATATGTTTACGGTTCTATCTTCCTAAACTTCCATCCTCAATGTGTCAGAAACACTTTCCCCTAGTGTACGTAAAACAGCAGATCCAGGCATTGTAGCCCCATATGACAAAATTATAGCAGAAAGAAAAGGAAGGAGCAAGAAGAGTTCCCCCGTGCTGCATTCTTTTCAGAGCAGAAAATTTTGATCAGAGACTCCCAGGAGTTTTTCAGAGATAGCAAAATGGATTAGGACTGCAGTGATCTACTTCTCATCCAAAACATTTCTCCTTTTGGCTTAAATGCATTGCTGCCTGAACAAACTAGCAGCTGTCTTAGAAAGGAATGAAATAGAATGTCTTTGGGGGAGGAAATCAAGAGTGTCTGCCACATTCCTTCTTAAAAATTGTACATGTTCCAAATACTTATCTGTGGATACAAAGTTGCAATGCCAAGAAACCAAAGTTTGTGTTTTTGCCTCTTCCTATATTTTCAGAACTTTTCACATATTACAAATGTTTCTGGTAATGCTCATAGGAGTCATAATTAGCCTGCCAGTTATAGACGATATCTGGCATTCATATATTCTTCCACTTTTGCTCATGTTCCCTTGGGGCACAAACTATCTGATGTCCACAAATCTACTTGATCAGTTCTGGTCATTCCCATTTCTGAGTGTGACATCATGAGCACACCAATGTCTGTGCCAAGGCTAAAGTCTCACAATACCATTAACAAACCCAGTCACAAATATGCTAAGGCATTGAGGGTTCTGCAAAAGTCAGGGAGAATGACCCCCCTCATTCTGAACCCCTTTGCGTCTCTGAGAAACAAGAGAGTCGCTCAATAAAGCAATGAAACAGAAATGACATAGGTTATGAGTTTACTATTCAAGCATATTAAAATAGATGTTGTGACTATGTTCAACTATATAAAGGGAAGCATGTATCTAAAGCAGATCAAAAGAAAGGATATAAAAAATACAATTCCTAGAGATGAAAAATACAGAAAAATACAATATTGAAATAAAAATTTATTAGATGGAAATACCAGTGGATTAGACATTTCAGAAAAAAAAACAGTAAACTTGAAAACTTAATAATAGGATCTATCCAAAGTGAAGCATAGAGGGAGGAAAAAAAAATGCTGAGCATCATGATTAGCAGAACAAGATTACTTGGTCTAACATATGCCAAATTGGAGTCAACAAGGGAGAGATAATTGAAGAAGTAAAGGTGAAAAATCATCCAAATTTAATGAAAACTATAAAATCACAAATCCAAGAATCTCTACAAATCCCGTGGAAGATAAACATAAAATGCATGCACTCACACATGGGTGTAGACTAACAAGCAGCATAATAAAATTTCTTGAAACGATTGATAAAGGCATGCTCTTGAAAGCTGTCAGAAAAGAGACACCTTATAAACAAAAGATCAAAGATAGAAATAACTGCGGACTTCTTTCCATAAATATGCAAGCCAAAATAGTATCACCAGCAGACCTGCACTACCACAAATGTTAAAGGAAGCTCTCCTGAGAGAAAGAAAATGATAGCAGTTGGAAATTTGAATCTATGCAACAGAATGAAGAGTTCCAGAAGTAGCAAATAGAAGGGTAAATACTCTTTCTCATTTTTAGGTTATTTAAAATAATATTGACCATATAAAGCAAAAATAATAAAAATGTACTGTGGGATTTATAGAACAGGTAGAAGCAAAATGTATGTCAATAGCATGTAGGATGAGCAGGGAAAAGAAAGTATACTCATTATATTGTAAATGGCATAATATTATTTTAATGTAGACTATATTAAATTAAAAAATGTATGCTACAAACCCTAGAGATACTGCTACAAAAATAAAATGCATAAGTGTAGCTAATAATCCAATAATGGTGATAAAAAGGAATACTAAAATATACTCATCACATCAGAAGGCACAAGTAAGGGGAAAAAGAAATAAAGACCAGATGAAACAAAAAAATAGAAAGATGATAGCTATACACCTAACCATATTAAAAATTAATTAATTTAAGTGGTCCAACCCTGGTTGGTAAGCTTCAACCTATGGGACAAATCCAGCCTGCCAAGTGTTTTTGTAAATAATGTTTTGTTGGAACACAGCCATCCTTGTTTGTTTACCCATTGCCTATGACTGCTTTCACACTACAATGTTAAAGCTGAGTAGATTCAAGGAGAGACCATATGGCCTGCAAGGCTTAAGCTGTTTACTATCTGGCTCTTTGCAGAAAAGGTTTCCTGACTCCTGATCTAAATACTCCAAGTAAAAACAGAAATTACCAGACTGGATTAAAAGAAAGATCCAATGACTGCCTACAAGAAATATATTCTGGATATAAAGATACAGATAAGATAAAGTCAAAGGATGAAAAAAACTATTACTATGCAAACGCTTTTCAAAAGAATGCTGAGGTGTCTATATTAATGTCAGATAGTATACTCCAGAAGAAGGACTTTATCAGGGATAAAAAGGGGGCATTTATAATGAAAATAGGTCAATTCATCAAGAAGACATAACATTCCTAAATGTGTGTGCATACTGTAAGAGAGCTAAAAAATGCAGGAAGCAAAAAACTGACAGAATTAAAAGGAAACACAAATCCACAATTACAGGAGATCTGTATACTCCTGTCTCAGGAACTGAGAGAACAAGTAGATACAAGATTATTAAGAATGGAGAAAGTATGAACAATACTATTAGCCAATATGGCTTTATTTATAGAACTCTCAATCTGATGACAGCAGAATACCCATTATTTTCAAGTGCAAATGATGTATTTCCAAGGCAGACCATTTTCTGCTTCATAAAATGTCTCATTAAATTTAAAAGAATTGATAGAGTTTGTTTTCTGACAACAAAATTAAATTAGAAATCAATAACACAAGGACATCTAAAACATATCCAAATATGTGAAAATCAAATATCACAGTTTTAAATAACCATCTGTTATGGTTGGTATGTGTCCCTCAAATATCATGTATTGGGAACTTAATGCCCAATGTGGCAGCTTTGAAAGGTGGGGACTTTAAGAGGTGACTGGATGATGAAGGCTCTGCTCTCATGAATGGATTAATCTATTCATGGACTAAAGAATTAACAAGTTAATGAATTAATGGGCTACATGGGAGTACTGGTGGCTTCATAGGGAGAAAAATAAAAACCTGAGCAACCACGTTAGCACTCTCAGCCCTCTTGCCATGTGATACCCTGTACCGCCTCGGGTCTGTGCACAGGTCCCACCAGAAAGAATGCCCTCACCAGACGTGCCCCTCAACCTTGGACTTTCCAGCCTCCACTATGAGAAATAAATTCTTTTTCTTTATAAATTTCCCAGTTTCACATATTCTGTTATAAGCAACAGGAAACTGACTAAGGCACCATCTGTCAAAGAAGGAATCACAAGAGGAATTAGAAAATATTTTGAGCTTCATGAAAATAAAAAAGCAGTATATCAAGATTTTAAAATTTCACTAAAATGATGCTTACAGTAAAATTGATTTTCTTATTTCTTAAAATAAGAAAGATCTAAAGAAATTCAATTAAACAATATCTACCTTAAGCAGCTAGAATAAAAGAGCAAATTAAATCCAAAGTAAGTCAGAGAGTAAAGCAATAAATGTAAGAGCTGAAAGTAATGAAAGAGAAAATGGGGGAAATGTAGAAAATTTATATAACTAATATCTATCTGATTCTTTGAAATTCTACAAAAAGCTACTTGAACTAGTAATAACAAGTGCATTTATTAGCAAGGTCCAAGGATAAAAGTCAATATACAAAAGATCAACAGTATTTTGATAAACTAGCAAAGAACAAATGGAAAACGATGTCTAAAACATGGCATTTATAATGGCATCCACAAACATGATTTACAGATAAATTTTGTTAAATAATGTGCACAAACCTATACAATGAAAATTATAAAACGTTTCTGAGAAAAATAAAATGGAGAGATAAGTAAATAAAGAGATATGCTCAGGGAAGGAAAGACTAAATATTTTTAAAATGTCAATTCTCCTTAAAATGACCAATATATTTATTACAATCCCAATCAAAATTCCACTGGATAAGCTTCCATTGGACAGTGCTATTCTAGCAGAAAACAAAGTAAGTAATATTTGCAATCTCTGGATAGGTAAAGATTTCTTAAATAGAACATAAAAAAGTACAAATTATAAAAGAAAAATTGATAAAATTGTACTTTATAAAAATCTTATAACTTCTACTCTTTGATGGACTACATTAAGAAAATAAAAATGCAAGCCACAGACACGAAAAAAAATTTGCAATATGTAACAAAGGACTTGTATCCAGAAAATACAGTTGCTGACAAAGTTTAGAATATACTTACAATATATCCCAATAACTCCACTTAAGAAGAATAAAAACATATTTCCACACAAAGACTTGTAAATGAATGTTCATAACAGTGTTATTCAGAGTAGCCCCACACTGGACATAACCCAGTTGTCCATAAACAGGTGAATAAATAATCAAAAATACAGTCATACAAAGGAATACTACCAAGTAACAAAACAGGAATAAACTATTGATACCACATCATAGATGAATCTCAAAAACATTATAATGAATGAAGGATGCCAAGAAACAAAAGATTACATAAAGGATGATTCCATTTTTATGTAACTCTAGAAAAGAAAATTATCATCTATGTGATAGAAAGCAGAGCAGGGATTGCCTGGACCTGGAGGAGGGATAAATTACCTGGGGAAAGGCACAAGGAAACTTTTTAAGGGTGATGGAAATGTTCTATATCTTAATTGTGGTGATGGTTTCATGGGTGCGTATGTTTGTCAAACCCCATCAAAATACAGACTTAAAAATGGATGCATTTTATTGTATGTAAACTTTATACTTCAATAAAATTTATTTTTAAGTTACTGATTATATTTATTAAATATACACAGTAAACAAAATTAAGTTTCAGTTTCTATTTGAAGCTTTTTATAAGCAAAAAGAATGAAAGGAGAAAAAAGAGAAAGGCAAGACGCAGAAAAAATAGAATATAGGTCAATTTCAGTCTCTTTCAAAATTGTAAAATGAGGAGGTGGAATAATTATTTGATTTATTTGGATTTGTCTATTTTTATTTGAAGTGTTTTTTGTGTAATCAAAACTACAAAACCATTGCAATTATTTTTGTCCTCAGAATTTTCTTTCCTCTGAGTAACATCATGTACAAATTTCATTACATAGGCATTTAGACAGATTTTCATATAAATACATATTTGGGAAAGAATGTTTCTTTGCCAATTTCCAATGTAGAAATTAGATAAATACTAGGCATAAAAAGTTATGTGGTTGAATGCTTTTCTTTAATTTCCATGCCAAAAGACCAGAATCTCTAATATTGAACAAACTCTTTTAATTTTATTAGCAGTTACTCTTGTGGAATACAGAATTTGGTGCCAGAAAATCACATTATTCCACTGACAATTAGATAACATGGCCATATCTTTAGAGCACCAATATTAAATTACTGGAACATCAGAAAAAAATGAAACTGTGAATTATAATTTTCCCTAGCAACATATGTGTCTTTTTTTCCTGTTTCCCACTTCCCCACTTTTTCCCCAAACTGACTAATTTTCTATCTAATGTTCAGTGTTTTTAGGGCATAAATTAGCCCAAGTGCTTAAAATTTAAAGCCTTATTTTCCCATTTCCTATAAAGCAATATAGGGTTTTGCAGTGTTAACAAAAGGGACACCACATTGCTTATTGTTTTGCGCAAATTTTAAAATGGAAAAAAGTTTGAACACATCCTTTCTACATAGATGTAGTAAGTTTCATTGAAATAATACAAATCTTTTTTTTTTCCGAAATCACAGAAGAAAGCAAATACTTTTATTTTTCTCTATGGAGTTATTTAATGAGTTAATGAGTGAGTACATGAAATAGGAGTAGTAACTTACAAAGTGTACCCCAAAATGTCCTAAAAATTCTCAGTTAGCTGCAATTCTCAGCAACGGTGAGGCTTGATTCTAAACAATCCTAATCAAGTTGAATAGATTTATTCAGGAAAAAAAGTTATCACATATTTCAGGAAGCAGAGGAACAGAGCAACAAGTTGTTGCCCTGCCAACAGTGACCACAGAAGCCACAGCTAGACGGCGGCAGCCTGTTCGGTCACTGTATAAAGAAAGCAGTGGGCTGGGCACGGTGGCTCATGCCTGTAATCCCAGAACTTTGGGAGCCTGAGGCGAGTGGATCCCCTGAGGTCAGGAGTTTGAGACCAGCCTGGCCAGCATGGTGAAAACCCGTCTCTACTAAAAACACAAATTTTTTTTTTGTATTTTTACAAATACAAATTTGTATTTTACAAATACACTGGGTGTGGTGGTGCACATCTGCAATTCCAGCTACTCGGGAGGCTGAGGCAGGAGAATCACTTGAATCTGGGAGGTGGAGGTTGCGTTGAGCCAAGATCACGCCACTGCACTCCAGCCTGGGAAACGAGAGTGAAACTCCATCTCAAAAAAAAAAAAAAAAAAAAAAAAAAAAAGAAAGCAGTTCCCTGGCTAACCCAGGGTAATACTGGTGCCACCAACAGTGACAACAGCATTTAAGTAGCAAGGGTGAAAATATCGAATTCTGTTTTACACATTCACAGTTAACTGATGGTAGGACATTCTGTGAAGAGACTGCATTAATTCTGTTATACAGAGGACTAGAGAGACGTTTAGGATCGAAGAGAGGAGACCTGATAATTGTCTGTGTGGCTCAAATTTGTTTCAATATGTATGCAATTAGCCACAAAGGACAATATAGAGGCCAATGTAAAACTGCTGTCTCCACTGGTAATCATATAACAACAGCCTACTGTGTGTTGAACAATTGTTATGTATTTTTAATTATCATATTTGGAAACAATCCTGAAATATTATTGCTATTCCCTTTCAAAGATGAGGCTTATCACAACTAATTTGGTTTATCACAGCGACTCCCTTTCAAATACTGAGGCTTATCGCAACAAATTTCAAGGCCGCACAGGTAGGAAATGTTAAAAGGTCTGTCCCAAACCTGGGATATTAAAGAACTTCTGGTTCCCATTTTGTGTTCTTCACATTACTGGGGGAACCTAATAAAATAAGCCAATCATCAGAAAGTTGTAATAATAATAACTAACAATTATCAGGTACTTATTATGTTCCAGCTACTCATCTAAGAATTTTACTCTATTAATTCACCCAAATCCTAGCACTACAGGCCACATCATAATTCTCCTTTATGTGATCTTTATACTAATAAATATGGTTCAAAAAGAATTTCAAATCAACTTTGGCAAAAGGTGTACTTCAGAACATATTTTTAAACACTGCATGAGGTTTGCCTTTAACAAGCTCACTGTCTCATAGGGACAATTGCAATTACAAAGAACAATTGCAATATAGGATTAAAAACAAAAAATGTTATCATGGGGCCTTATATAGGATATTAGTAAGAACACTTGGGAGAGGTCCAAAAAAGGACCTGGAATAGTCACTCGGAATGAAACCTGCAAATAACATTCCAAAAGGTAGAAAAAATTCAGTGCAGTGAAAAATTCTGCCCAACACAGTGATGGAATAATTAATTGGCCTCCAATTGCCAACTAAGTATTGTATTGAAACAGGAACAATAGAGAGAACATGCTTTAGTTATAGTAAAACTGAAAACAGGAGCTTTGGAGCCTGGCAGATCTGAGTTTGCATTCTAGATTTGTCACTGCTTATTAGCGTGAAGCTCAGTGTTTTCCTTTATGAAATGAAAACATTACCTACTCCTAAGGAAGCTGTGAAGACTCAGGGTGGAATGTTTTTGAAATCACTGAATCAATAGCTGTTGTGAGTGTCTCTGCTGTGGCTTCCTAATGTAACTTTCTCCTTTAGGGAGCTCAGCACTAATGTCTTTCCTCCAGGCTCTTAGGACTCTTAAAACCTGCAAGGGCCCATTAACATTTCATGGGGACAGGCAATAACATTCATCTCTTTTACTCTCTGGGTGTTATTGGAGATAGCGATCATTTCCTATGTGAGCTTATGCCTCTAAAATTTTACTAGTTCGCCTTAAAATGAACAAGAGAATCATGGGATGGTGTGGGGTAAAACTAGTCAGCGCTAGCTCTCTTTTTCCCTCTTTTTCCTACGTGGGTGCCACTTATTCCTATAATGAGATCTTCCCCACTTCCCAAGTCTGCACAAGGTGTGAGAGAGTCCTTGTCAGTTAAAGGAAAGCCAGAATAGCTGCTTTCACTTAAATTTAGAGAAGCTGAAAAGTAGGTTGTCTTAAGTGGAATTAAATATGTTATTATCAAAAGAACTCAGCACCATCCTAGGATTACAGGCATCCTGATAATCCTCCTTCAGGTAAATGGGAAATAATTTTAGATGTTTCTAAACTTTTAAAGAAAAATTTTAGAAAATGTTTGCTTGGTTCTTAACATTCTTTCTTTTTATCCACAGCGACCACCATCTTTAACCAAATATTTTCTGTTTCTTCCACATTACTCTTTGGTAGAAACAAAATATTAATTAACCTTAAAACTTTGCATCTAAAAATGAAAAGTTAACTCCCAAGATCTGTGATAAAAGCCATCTTCAGCCATTACACCCTGCTCCTTACTCTCCACTATTCTCTCAATTTTTTTTTTTAACTAGGCCCTTTGTTTCCCTGGACTCATAATTATAGAAATAAAACATGGGGAAATACGACTGTATTTCAGTCTTTCATTATGTAAGCATAAGGAAATTCATCTTTGAATACATGTAAGTTCACTGCTGTCATGAAAATGTACTCTCCATGGTTTTTCTCCATGAAAACCATACAAACACCAATCACTACTCTTCTATGTTCCCACTCATTCCTTTCTAAATACTATCTGAAGTCTATTTATTGACTAGGGTTAAGCCTCTCCAAGTTAAACTTGAGGATGTTCTCTTTCCAGTGAGCCACTTCATACCAAACAAGCTTCCCCCTCTCCTTTTTGCCCCTCAATTGTGAAGGAAACAGTCCTTTCCTTTTTCAAAGCACTGAGAAATCCTCAAAGCTCAATTGTCCAGTGAATTCTTTCTAATTCCAAAGTTTAATGAACCTTAAGACAATACATTTCTGACAGCATTTCTGTAATTACATCTAATACTTCTGATTTTCTTAGTTTCTATCACTTCTTGACTTCTCATTTAGGATGAGTTATTAAGTGTATTTCTTAATCTCTGGATCTAGAAATATTTTTGTTTTAGCTATTGCCAGACAAAGACATTCCCAGTAAGAGCCTTATAGAGTGACCACAAATGACTGACAAATGAGTTGGACACTGTTGCACAAGTTTCTCCCCTTTTTAATAATCCTTAAGGTGAGCTCAGAGCTTTTTTAAGAATTTTTTTAATCACTAAATTCACCATGAGGAGAAGCAGGTGAAAACCGCTTAAATTAAACCAGGGATACAAGGGGCTTATATCACTTCGTTTTCAGTTCTCATAGGAGAAGACAGTATGAAAGAAGTCGACCCTATCTTTGGAGACAAGACTTAGATTTGAATCCTTGCTGTTCTCTTTAATTCCTATGTAACCATGAAAAATCTGCACGTGAGGTTCTTTAATATCTAAAATGAATAAAATGCACATACTTTATACAGTCAATTCCAAGATAAATAAAAGCATTATTAAAGTTACAAATTCAAGTTTGTTGCTCCAAAATCCCTGGGAGAGGTCACAGATGGAAAAATCAGTTTCAAACAGATTTTCCTCTAAATCCAACCCACACACAGAGATCCTCATTTACTCCTCTACTCCACAACTCCTTTAATCTCACTGCTTCATCCTTAAGGCAAGGAAAATCACATCTAAATTAGATATTGCATTCTTCCAAGCAACCACTAAACAATTGCTAGGATATGTCTCTAAAAGCTTCTACTTACTGATTCTGGTTGAAGGGCTCTGGTGTTTCTTCCTAGAATTTAGAGGAACTGCACATGATCTGGGGAGACTAAAGTGTATCCTTTTATCTTAAACAGCTAATTGGATTAACAGAGAATTTCCATCCAAAATGACACCCATTACATATACTTTCATTTCCTCATAAAATATAGTTCATTTTACTGTAGTGTCACTTCATAAAAACAAAGCTCATTCATCACATTCTGACACCTGTGGTTTTGACATATGCCACTGCACTTTAACAATTAGATGTTCCAAAAGGATCCCAGCACCAGCAAGATAATATTCTCCTGAATCCTTAAGCATCAGAGAGAAACAGATAAATTTCACTGTTGTAATCAGTAAAACCTTGTTGTGAATAAGACTTGCGGGTGGAGACTTCTGGTCACTATCAGAGGTAGAGAAAAAAACAGACTGGTGCATTTTGTCCCAGTTGAAGTTGAAAGGAATATTTCTGCATTCACATTTCAGACCAGAGTCGTCACTCTGACCCTGCCAACATTTCAAGAGAGGCCCCTAAGATGAGGCCTTTATCCCTGCAAACAAGCTTATTCTATGTCCGACAACAAGATCCAAAGCCTAAAACATTTTGTTCAGGCATTTATTTCACACTATTTAATGGTAAGCCTCCAACTTCCTCAAGTCACTGGGGGGGCTGTGTGTACATTCTGGAAGTTCACCATGATTATAGTAGAACTAATAAATTGATGGTCTTTTTTTTTTTGTAAACCCTCTGCTTCTGTCTCATACTCCTCTTATTTTCACCATCATCCTCAGTGCCACTGAAATGACTTTTAATTAGCTTCTCCCCTTGCATTCTTGCTTGGTTTCATCAGCAGTAGTCACCCCCTTACATGCAGTTTCAATTGTCAAAGTTTCAGTTGCCTACCACCAGCCTTGGATGGAAAATTTTACATGCAATAAAATATTATGTGTGTGTGTGTTTGTAAGAGAGAGACCACAGTCACATAACTTTTATTAGAGTATATTGTTATAAGTGTTCTATTTTATTATAGGCTATTGTTGTTAATCTCTTACTGTGACTAATTTATAAATTAAATTTTATCATAGGTATGTACTTACAGGAAAACAACAGTGTATATAGGATTTAGTGCTGTCTGTGGTTTCAGGCACCCCCGGGGGTCTTGAAACATAACCCACTCAAATAAGGGGGGACTACTGTATTTTTTCTGCGACCAGAGTGATCTATTTCAAATGCAAATCTCTTCATGCTACTTCCTCCTTAAAATTTTGCAAGATATTTGATATCTCTTCCTTCCCTCTTCATCCCTTCTCCTACTCCCAGCATCTCTACACTTATCTTTTACCTCTGTCCACCATCAGTTTCCTGAAATCCCAAAATGTAGAATTACTTTCCCTCCCATTGAGCTACGTTCTCAGGCTCAAGGCCTTTATACAAACTGTTAACCCACCTGGAAGCCAATCCAATTACACTAGAACCTCTGGGTGGGGCACAAGCAAGGGTATTCTTTTAAAGCTCCCTAGGTGCTTCTAATGTACAGCCAGTGTACATTTAAACCCTTGCTTTACTAAAAAAAACAAATTCAGAGAAGTTATCAAGTTTATCCAAGATCACATGCCACAGGATTCTTGTTACCTTTGTTTCCCCAAAATAAGGTATCTCATAATTAATGATTCTTTGAATGTCAATCACAGCTATAGACACTTTCTAAATTTGATTTTTAAATATTATTTTGAAGTAGCAACTGAACAGGGGATGCAATGGGAAAACACTTGCACTGCATGTCAGTTCTTACCTTCTTCAAAATGATCCTACAGTCAGCTATTTCAGGTTGTCATTTTTAGTTAAGATATCAATATGGCTGCATAGTATTCCATGGTGTATATGTACCACATTTTCTTCATCCAGTCTATCATTGATGTGCATTTAGGTTGATCCCATGTATTTGTTATTGTGAATAGTGCTGTAATGAACATAATGTGTGCGTGCAACTTTAAAATAGAACGGTTTATATTTCTTTGGGTATATACCCAGTAACGGGATTGCTAGGTCTAGCAGTATTTTTGGTTTTAGGTCTTTGAGAAATCATCATACTGTCTTCCACACTGAACTAATTTACATTCTTACCAACGGTGTATAAGCATTCGTTTTTCTTCACAACCTCACCAGCGAAATCATGTTCTTTGCAGGGATGGATGGAGCTGGAGGCCATTAAACTTAGCAAACTAACCCAGGAACAGAAAACCAAATACTGTATGTTCTCACTTATAAGCGGGAGCCTAATAATGAGAACACATAGACACATGGAGGGGAACGATACACACTGGGGCCTACTGGAAGGTGGAGGGTGGAGGTTGGGAGGAGGGAGAAGATCAGGAAAAATAACTAATGGGTACTAGACTTAATACCTGGGTGATGAAATAATCTGTATGACAAACCCCCATGACACAAGTTTACCTATGTAGCAAACCTGTACAGGCACCCCTGAACTTAAAGTAAGCTAAAACAGATACTAATATGAGAATTTTGGAATCTGTAAAATTTCTCTGTGAAAACCTACTTTTGAGAAGGCATAACCCAGGAATAACACAGTGGGTTATCATTTATGTTCCTTATTTCAAATGTGTTATTAGGGGCAAAATAAAACTTTGGTTAAGATATTCCAAAGATAAATCTTTGCAGCTAAATTTAAACTATGAGTTGATTTCTGGTCTTTCGCCTTAAAACTACAGAAGTGAATCTGAATCTGAGGCATCCCTCTGTGTTCCCCATTCTGTTTCCCAGTCCTCAAAGACGAGGCTCTCAGTGCTTTAGGCACAGAGGTGCTAACCTTTTGTGTTATTTCATACAACCTATTGTGCCTGGATTATGGTGACATGTCCTTTGACTATTAATTGCAATCTGTAGATAATGATAAGAGCAAGTTTCTGCCTCCCCAAGGTGAGGCACAGCCAATAGGCCAGATCTATAATTTAGGACTACCAGGAGTGAGCTTTGAACCTTGCCTTTGGCGATAACGTTATCAATCAGAAGAATTAACCAAACCTCCTAGCTGAGGACTTTAACAAATGGAACTATGCAAAGGTAAAGCAGATAGGCAACACATCAAAATATAAACGGCTTAATTGTGATTTAGGTATTCAACTTATGAGAACAATTTTTTTCTTCTTTGGAATAATTAAGTTGTAAGAAAATAAATCTAGCCATACTTTTAAAAATGAGAAAATGTTCAGGCTAAAGATATATAGTTATAACTTATAAGACTTACAAGATTAATATAATGAAGAAGAGATTATCATAGTGTGTGTGTGTGTGTGTGTGTGTGTGTGTGTGTGTGTGTGTGTGTGTGTGTGTGGCTGCCCTCTACTGGGGACCGAAGGACGAGTTCTCAATTGAGTTCTCCCAGCTCAATTTCAGTTGAAAATCTCTTCATGACAAAAATTAAATCAAGCACCTAGCAAAGTTCTAAGCACCAGAGACAAAGTATAGTACCACAAGACTATAAATCCTAAAGGTTTTTTTTTTTTTCTAAATTGACCCTACTTTACATTTTAGAGGAAAATCGTTGAAATTATGCAAAGACAGCCTTTACTGAGAATGATTTTTACCCTTAAGACTGAGAGTTTCATTCTGAATTGACATTCAGGATGAATGCCAATGAGTCAGATCAGCTTTATTCAGTATCAGTTACACACATATAAAATGATTTTAGTACTTTTAAAATTTTTTCACTCTCAAGATTTGGTAACCTTGGCTGGGCGTGGCAGCTTACGCCTATAATCCCAACACTTTGGGAGGCTGGGGCAGGCAGATCACTTGAGGCCAGGAGTTTGAGACCAACACTTGAGGCCAACATGGTGAAACCCTGTCTCTACTAAAAATACAAAAATCAGCTGGGCATGGTGTTGGGTGTCTGTAATCTCAGCTACTCGGGAGCCTGAGGCAGGAGAATCACTTAAACCTGGGAAGCGGAGGTTGCAGTGAGCCGAGATTGTGCCACTGCACTCCAGCCTGGGTGACAGAGCAAGATTCTATCTCAAAGAAAAAAAAAAAAAAAAGGCTGGGCATGATGGCTCACATCTGTAATCCCAGCACTTTGGCAGGCCGAGGCGGGCAGATCACCTGAGGTCAGGAGTTCAAGACCAGCCTAACCAACAGGGAGAAACCCGTCTCTACTAAAAAAACAAAATCAGCCAGGCATGTTGGCACATCCCTGTAATCCCAGCTACTCCAGAGGCTGAGGCAGGAAAGTCACTTGAACCTGGGAAGCAGAGGTTGCAGTGAGCCGAGACCATGCTATTGCACTCCAGCCTGGGCAACAAGAGCGAAACTGTCTCAAAAAAAAGAAAAAAAAAAAGATTTGGTAACCCCATATTTTCTGTCTAGTTCTAGTAAATTGTATGACTTTATTTCACTGATGAATTTCTTTTGTTTTCTCTCATTTAATCTTTTTAATACTATGAAGTAAGTATTATTAATATCCTCAACTTATCATATGAAAGAATTTAAGTACAAAGATGTAAATAAATTTTCTGAAGCCTCGCAGCTAGAAACAAAACGTAGGAATTTTGATGCAGGAAATCTCAGGACAGAAGCCATGCTCTCAGCAACCACACTAAAAGGCCTTTCACGTAACATGGTGCTGAGCACGTAACATAGTTATGTTGCAAAAATGTACTTGCAGAGCAAGATTATTCACCTATTCATTCTTGAAAATCAGCGTGTTATGAGTTAGTCTTAAATTTCTCCAAGGCAAAACTATGACACAATGTATGCCATGCTAAATTATGGAAATATTTCATCCTGAGATGCCAAATTTTAAAGCAGAAATACTGAAAGTAAATATAGTTTACATTCCATAGATTTTGTTGTTCTTGGAATTCTTCATGCTTTTTCTAACCCTCCACCCTTTGCTCATTTTCATTATCTTTACATGACTTAGTTATGCCAATACCTCCTAGCCTACTATAATCTGCACTACTCTGCTTGGAATGCCATAACAAAATATCATTGACTTGCTGGCTTAAGCAACAGAAATTTTTGTTCATACAGTTCTGAAGGCTGGAAGTTCGAAATTAGGGTGCCAGTATAGTCGGGTTCTGGTGAGGTCCCTTTTCCAGGTTGCAGAGAGTCACCTTTCACAATGTACTCACATAGTCTTCCCTGGATGTGAGAGCTAGAAGGCCATGAGGTAGATGAAGCAGATGAAGGGAGGGAGGGTAGTAGGGGAGAGCAACCTCTTCCTCTTCTTATAAAGCCACCAATTCTATGGGATTAGGACTCCACCCTTATGACCTCATTTATCTTGGTTACCTCCTGAAAGCCCTATATTCAAATATAGTCACATTGGGGGTAAGGGCTTCCATATATGAATCGGGGGCATACAATGCAGTCCATAACATCATCTTTTACATTTCAATTGCATTTTCTCCATTCTTAGAATTAATATATTGGAATCACCTGTACACTTACCTGTGTCTCGTTATACATGTGTTCCCTCAGGCCAAATTCTAACTATATTGCCATTGTATCCCAGGCACCGAACCTATCCATGTGGTGAGTACTGTTGGATGAATAAATCAATGATACCAAATGGCTTTATTCTGATTCTTTACCAGCTCTTAGAAGCAAATGTCATAATTAAAGCAGGGGTGATAGGTTTGTTGGCTTAAGCAGATACCTGGGCCTTTACTGGAGATAAAACACCAGAACAAGCCTTATGCTCATTCAGCCACTAAACATCATAAATTTTAGTCCCCTCCAAAGTCCTCATCAAAATAATAGAATTTGCACGACAATAAAGTTAAACACTGGGCAACAGCCATGACTGTGCTAGGAAGCAAGTGTTTCAACTGTTCAGGTGTGTAGCACACCAATTCAATTTGTAATTTCTTATTTCAGGTGAACACATTTTTTAAGAATAGGCTGAATGATTTCATAAATTATATCCATTGAATAAATGACCATGCAATATACATACCATACTCAACAATCAGTTAAAATTAGGTATAAAAAAAGACATTGTAATCAGGCCTGTACAAAACTTTATTATACTCTGAATAACAAGCATGTAACAAAATTTTGAGCATGACAAGGATGAAATATTTCAAATTCTGTTTCTTACAAAAGCATTAAGCACAATACACAAAGACTGTTCATAATATTTTACAGTCAGCTAAAAATAACAAGACATTCTAGGATTTCAGGAGTTTTCCTTTTCTTTCAACTAGAGCATTAGCTTTATTTCCATTAGCTTTGCTACAATGAAAATTAACATATATGGACATACACATATAAGTGAAATGGAAAATGAAGGCATACAACAAACATTCCGATTAATCAACAAGTATAAAATAGTCTTTTAGTACTTCCAAACTTACATTTTCTTTGAATGTACAATGAAACTTTTTGTCTAAAATGTTTTTAATGTTAATTTTGACCATTCCCAAAGTAATTAATACTCTTTCTTAGCACCACCATTAATCTAATTTTAGAGTTTGAAATGAATTAAGAAACACTCTAATCTTATTCAGAGGTGCTATTCACAACACCGAACAACAGGCAATCCACTGCCCCTTATCAAGGCTGAGACACTGTAGTAAATGAGTAGTTCACCAATACTGTCTATCCCAGGTGAATATCAGCCCTGATCTTACTTCCAATGATGAGATACATGTTTTGGCTTATGTAGTAGCATGAGCTATGAGATAGGAAACATGAAAGTCACATGGACATGAAATTAAACTCAAATCTCTACTGCATGGAGGCTGAATGTGAAATATTTCACAGTGACTAAAACTGACTGGCTAACAGGCAATGGTGGATTTTTATATTCAACTTTGATTAACATAAATGGACTTTACAAGAAACCCTTGAGATTTAATTAATGCTGCTAATCCAAGGGCTCCAAATGACTGAGGAGCCTTTAAAATCAGTATATGTGATCTTTTATATTTTTTTCCATAAGAAAAAAAAAATAAAAACACCGAGGTACTTAAGTTTCTTTTCAAGGGATTACTGTTGGTTATCTTCCTGAGATGCAAAAGACCACAGAAAAAGCACCATGCCTAGGCTGCTGAATGAGGCATCAGACACTAATAGTTTGGTCCTTTTCTGAACGGATCTCTTCTGGCAATTACACTAAAACATAGTGATGGGTCGCAGATGCCTGGGGGGCCTGGTTGCCCTTGGATTCCAGGTTTTCCATGGTCTCCATCTTTGCCAGGGAGACCTGGGTCTCCTGGAGGACCTTCTTTGCTTATTCCAGGAGGGCCCTCTGGACCTAAGATGGGACATTGGCAAGACGTAAACAGAGGACTTTAGTTTTTTATAATGAAATAGCCAATTCTGCAAGAAACTTAAACTGAAAAAAAAAACCTTGAATATTTTATATATTTGCACTAATTATATAGTAGAGGCATTTTCTTGATAATTCTACATGTCTTCTGCTTTGAAAAGAACCATCCAAAAGTTAAAGTTATCAGTAATTTTTGAAAACTAGGCTAAGCATATTAACATAGTAACCATGCTACTGATTAAAACATTTAGCTAACATTATAATATTCCATTTTGTGTATTGTCCAATCTTATTTCTTCCTTTCAGCCTATCTTTTACCAATATTATTATAAATTAACAGGTGATACCTACGTAAGCCAAAGCTGAGTCATTTTTGTGCCGTATTTGCAACAAAAAACTGTTTCTATTATACATATTTTTAGTTTCCATATCTAAATGCATTATTCTTATTACTTTAGTATTATAGTCATCAATATCATCAATACTCATAGGTATTAAAGCCCTAATTTGTCAAACATAGCCTGATTAGTTCAATTAGCATGCTCAAGGAAACAAAAGCTAGCTTACCATACTGGCCTTTTAAAGTTGATTCAAAATAACAAAAAATATTCAGATTTTGGGAAGGAGCACAGTGGTTTGGGCCACTTCTTACTCCTCTACTCCCTGCTACTACTACTAATAAACATCTATTTACCACTTAACTGCAATTGTAAGTGTTGTTCAAAGTATTTTACATAAATAGTATTAAGTCATTTGATCAACTCCAAAGCCTATTAATAACATCTAATCATAGCATACATTTATTGAAAACATAACTGTGATTGTCTTGCACTGTTCTGAAAGCACTACATATAGAAAGTATTTAATCTCCCAATAACGTCATGATGGAGATAACATTATCATCACCATTTTACCAATGAGGAAACTGAGACATGGCAGAGTTAAACTGCACAGCTAGCAGAGATTACTTAACCGCTTCAGCATTTCTCTGCTTCCCTGAGAGTCATAAAGACTAAACAGTGTTATACACCAGATAAGCAGGGGTGACTAAAATGATTCTAGAACTCTTCTAAGGAATAGATATTAAACTATCTAAATGATAAGCAAGAGATAATATTGAAGGATTCATAAATTGAGGATAATATATGAAAAAATATTCCAGAAGTTAGACTTCAGTGTGTTAAATGTGAATCACTCAAAAAAGAAAACAGATGTCTCAGTTTCAATTTATTTCACATAGATCTATGATGACTTTTCTTAAAGCAAAATGAGCAGTAACACTTATGAGCAGGTAGCAATTCTCACCTGGGGGACCAGGAGGACCTTGTTCTCCAGGATACCCAAACCCTTGGCTCCCTTTTTCCCCATTTCTTCCTGGTAGGCCTGCAGGGTGTCAAACATCTGAGTAAGTTTACTTAAAATCACTGCCTTCTAGATTGTTTCATTCAAAGCTGTTAATATACACATGAAAGAAAAATGTCTTTTAAAAACCAGCTTGCCATCTATTTTTTCTTACTAATGGAAAACAAGTTTTGAAGCAATAATTTCTAAAATGATCAGTGGTTTAGATCCAAGACTTAATGGGAATCAAATATTTAGAAAAGAAAATGGTTTGGAATTATTAGCCCTTTGTGTTAATCATAGTTTTTTAAAATTACTTTATGAAACATCTAAATTGCTTATATACTATTAAACAAAAAGGAAAGAATTATCAATCAACATTTCACATAAACATTCAAAGGCAAGGAGAAATTCTGGGCTATTAGGAAGTTTTATCACAAAACTTATTTTTTCCTATAATAGAAAAAAAAATGAATAAGGTAACAGTGCAGAAAGTTACCAAAGTCAAAATAAAGGAAATGGCATCTGTGATTTTCTATTTAAAAACTTTTCTAGACTCAAGCAAAATTTCTCAGTACATTGGCAACATTTTCTAATTTGTAAGTTTATGTGTTCATAAATTTGACTTCTCTTTTTGAGAATATTGCATTAAGAAAATAATTTCTCTTTAATTCAGTTGGCAAATTATTTAAAGACGAGCATTTACAGATTTTTTTATCATGAAAAAAGTTAACTCGACTATTAAATGGATATAGGGTATGAATTTTTAAAAAAAGACTTTTTAAAATTCATTTTCTTGTTGAAACTAACTGCATACCTTTTAATCCTCTGACACCTGGACGTCCAGGGACACCCACTAATCCAGGAACACCATCTCTTCCTGGCAAACCAGGTAATCCTCTGGGACCCTCTGGGCCTATCGGACCAGGTGGCCCAGGAATACCCGGGGAGCCATGTTGGGACAGGCAATGATCACAATTTCTAATTCTTCCACTCTGAAGTAAGACTGGTAGCTGGGCTTTCAAAAACAAAGAAACCCCATCCCTTATGTTTAAATGGTGAGTTGGTGTTAATTATATTTTTAATTTTTTTCAGTTTACAGAGAAAAAACTACGAACATTGAATATGTGCATATTTCTTGGCCAATAATTTCACTTCTAGGAATTTGACTATGGAAATATTCATTGCTCTGTGCGGTAATTTTATTAGAGCAATTGCTTAAAATAGGGGAAAAAGTGAAAGTGCCCCCAAAAGAAATTGGTGGACTATATTCATATTTATGAACTAAATTATCAAAAAATATGCTACAAAAGAAAATTCAAATAATGGCAAAATAATAAATGTCTTTATTAAAAAGATTATAAAAGAGTATATATGATAAATCTTTATAAAAATACTCATTGAAGAAAAGTAGATGAGGCTTATAAATGTTATCTGTTTTCTTCTTCACCTCACTTATATCCTCTACAATATGTCCTAAGAATTTGTATTACTTTTGTAATTTGAGAAAAGTTATTAAAATGCTATATTTGATACCTACCTCTTATTACATCTGTGCAAACTTGTCGAATAAATTGTTCTGAAAACTCTCTTCCCTGCATCAAAGTGTTAGGGGTTATAACATGCACATAAAGAACATGAGCAAAAATCAATGAAAATGTAATAACTGTGAAAGAAGCAGAATACATACGGGCTTCCCATCCAAACCTGGGGGTCCCTGAGGACCTGGATCCCCAGGTTGCCCCTTAGGACCTGCGGGCCCCATCAAGCCATCCACCCCAGATTCTCCTTTTGATCCAATGGCACCTCGGACACCAGGTTCTCCCTTTTCACCTCTCTAAAAGCAAAAGAAATCTTTACAAGTTCTATTTAAATATTTCAGGAGGTATAATTGCATCATGAAGCTCGTTAAGGATGTGAATATGCATGTATACATATGTAAATATGTAAGGTATGTAAGGAATAGCCGGAAATATTGTCATTGACCAGAAGGGAAATTTCATGTCATATTAAACTGTCATTTATCCATCCATCCAACCAGCCAGACCTACAAGTATCCACAACTGATTGAGTATATTGTATAGGTAATACGCATACTGCCAGAGATAAAACAATGGGCATAACACAGTCCTATTCACAAGGAGCTTGCATTTTAGTGGGTCCGACAGATACAGAAATGTACAATATTCTTTATTCAAAAATATGGAGAAAAAATTCAGCTCCAAGTCTGGAAGAAAAACCAATAATATTGACAATTCACATTTCATATCAAATTCAGTATAAATGTACATATTCTGAAAACAATTAATTGGGAACTTCTACTGAAGAAGATGAAAAACATTTCGTTTTCTGGTTTTTACTCAAAAGCTAGATTTATATAGTATTGAAACCCAAGCAAAAAGGACCGAAGAAAGAGAGCAAGAGAGCATAATATATGAAGAAACATACCTCTCCTTTTGCACCATGATGGCCTTGAATTCCCTTTGAAAATTAATAGAAAAAATATAATAAATGTGCAAGCTACAGTACTGTAATGTGGCATCCACCTTTTACCACATACTTAATTAAATTTAAAATTTCAATTTGGAAAATATTGATAGCATTAGTGACAGAATTACAGACCCTTTTTGCCTTTTAGAGAAGGCTAATGACTAGGAAATATGTTGACTGAATAATATAAAAATTTTAATTTGCTTAACTGTTTCCTTCTTAGATATGAATATTTTCAAATGCTGCAGGTTGAATCATGTGGGTAAGAATGGGATTCTACTGAATTTAAAATATAGTACTATTTTAATAATAATAAAAACTCAAATCAGATTAAATATTAGGTATATTTTTTCTTGTATTCAGTGATTAAGATGACTAGTGTATTTTCCCAAGTTTATGTTCTTAAAATTAAATTTTGATTGGTTGCTATTGACAAAGGATGGGTTAAAGCAAAGATACCATTAAAAGTGACTAGTAAGACAGAAAACTCCCAGCTGTCCTGTGCTTAAACCATTCACTGCCAGTAATTAAGAGACCAGAGAAGCAATGTCATCTAAAAGATGGTATTTTTTCACAGTGATATAAACACTGGGGAGCCCATGCATGAAGCTCATTCAACTATAATTACTAGCTACATCTGGATGGCTCCATTAAAGTCTCTCCCACTCCTCTTTTCCATATTTATTTCAGTGGTGTATTATAGAGGAAAAAAACTCTCAGGAAAGGTATTAACATTTTCCATTTTTGAAATTCATTGTACACCTGGGCTCAAAAATCTCCTAATATTCACTCAGGAAAAAAGATAAAACTTTAATAACAGGTAGGTTTTCATTATTCAACTTTAAAATAAAAAATCAGTGTTCTGCAATTTAATATGAAATTTAATGTATAATGTTGCACACAATGAAGTCTGAGTTGGGGTATATCTGTTGATTAATTTTCAGGCTCCTCAAACATGGCTATCCAAATTAGACAAAGAAAAGAATTAAATAAAAATCATCATAAAACACCAAATATTTAGTTTTTATATATGAATCTTTTAGTAAGTAAAACAAACTTTGTATGGTCATACTTGAATTTTGTTTCTGAAGAAATGCGGGAGTGATCCTTACAAGATATAATCCAACAACTAGGACCAACATAAGAGAGACAAAACAGTTAAGTTCTCAATATGGGAATTGAATTAGAGCTAAAACTAAAAAGAGCTGTCATCTGAGAACACATTAAGATGATTCTCTGAGAGAAATATTCACTTTGACTCCATTCACAAAACGAGGGCCAAAAAATACACATGTGTTGTGCTTGGTAGAGTGACAGGTAACTAAGACTGTGTTTACATGAAGAGTTTGGGATGACTATTCAGCTGCTGAAAAGCAACAGCTGCTCTGGCCCTGGGTACTCCATGTAGGCTAAGCTCCTGGTGGTGAGAAATGTAGCTTCCAACCAATCTAGGGCAGAAGCTTTCTAGGGAACCCAAATCCTGCCTTAGGAGAGCACACACACTCTTTTCCTTGAGAAGTGAAAAAGTTAGTGGAAACTTAGAGAAAGTGTGATCCATAAGCCAGTGAGCTAGCTAAGTTGTGAGTTCAAATTCTAAAGGAAATATCCTTCTTTTCTGAGAGTTATTGTAAGTAACATTTTTTGATAAAAGGTCTGGGCTGTAGAGGTTAAATGAAGGGAAGAAGGTCCTATGGGAATAGCAGTTTATAGATGTTTTGTGATTGACTTAAGGAAACTCAGAGAGTTGATCTGTGTTGCCAGGTTGGGGAATAGGATGGAGTTGTTTGTGTCATCAAGTGGGTCTGAGTCAAGTGGAGGATCATGAAAACTGAAAGACATTTTATTGAACATAATTGTACTCAGGCAATTCCAATCATTCCTCCTCTTGGTTACTTTTACTTTTACTTTTATTGTTAGCTTCTAAATTCTCAATTCTTCTTAACATCTGGCACTCCCCTTCCATCCCACGTTGCAGATAACCTTGGGGCCCTATGCTTACACTCTTCCCAATGGTCTCTCAGACTCCTCCAAGTAAGGAACACAGAGACCCCTGTCCTTGGAGACATCACTACCCAGTTTTATCCCACTCTCTCCAGAGTTGGTGTAATTGCAGAATCTTTCTCCCACTCACCCTCAGAGAAAGAGGTCCACCCCATGGGAGGACTCACATATCCAGCTTGCCCTTTCAGACATGATCAAGTTGGAACCATGTCCAGCATTCTGCAGCTACAAGCAACACAGCAGCAAACATGCTATCTAAGTACCAATCTCCTTTATGCCTTTGTCCGTCCACTTTGGCTCTGACTGAACTTACAGTCACATGGCAATCTCACTGAAACATCACCTAATGAGAACAGTTTAGTCAAGAAAGAAGCAAAGCCATCTTACTGTGTGTCTGTTCTACAACACTGTCTCTCAGGATAGCATTTTAATATATCTCCAGAGCAGTAAATTGTCTCTCTGAACAAACTAAAGGGAAACAAGTACATTTCTCCACCACATGTGGCCCCAACTGATTTTCAAGAAGAAAAGCAAGACAAACCAGCAGGGATGAACAAGCTGCCATTGTGTGACTGGCTGTCTCTGGCCAATAACTACCCCCAAGAAATGGGTGGAATTTTCTACCTGCAGTCATTTGCTTGGACGCATTAAAAAACAAAATTCAGAGCCACCAGTGTTATCAGTATGGGAAAGTGAAAACACAAAACAAATAATGAAAGAAACTCATTATCACCACACTACCTACATGTTCAACCTTATATGCTTAGAATGCATACTATATTGTCCTTCTCCCCACCCATTTTTATTTGCAAGTAATCCTCTCTCAGCATTGTCCAGTTATGTGACTTGTTATTTCATTTTTTATCAGAAGAAAACCAAAAAATACCTGTTGCCCTGGAATTCCCTGTCTTCCATTTTCTCCCTTTTGACCCTTTAAAATAAAAAAAAACATTATTGATTAGTTTGCACACTTACGATGCAATCACATATGCAATACAAACTATGTATTACCTTGAGTTCCAGAAGAAACGTAACAAAAGCAGCGATACAAATATATAAATTATGTGAGAGATGGGAAAATCAGTTACTCAGCGAAAAAGAAGAAGAAAAGTCATCCTAATCTTATAGTTAAAGTGGACAGAGATAAGGAACAAATTACTGATTTGGGTGAAACATGTAAATAATTCTAGACAATGAGGATGTTCTTCTAAGTCCATATTAATAGTGGGAAAATAGTTTAAAAAGTCAATGTATATGGACATTTTATTAATTTCAGTGGCAATTATGTTCATTGTTGACTATGGACATGTGAGGACAAGAAGATCTCTTTAAAATTTTATTTTTAAAAATTAAAATATACTGTCACATTTTAGTAAAAAAAAAGCCATTTAAATGAAGAGCTTTAAAGCAGCATAAATAACAGAAAAATTAATAAAGGTATAAACACATTTATCTATTCAATAAGTATTTTTGGGTATCTACCATTCATGGGACATTATGCTAGACTCTGAAGCACTACTTCATCCTTATATTTATTGCGCAAAATAATTAGCAGTTTCTAGGAAGACATACACCTAGATAAGGTAATCGATGAAAGATCTAGTGACTACAATTTTACATCACCCTTGCCTAGTAATGAATTCATCAATTTAATTAAGTGAATTGCTAACATTTTTTGAGCAGCACCTATTTGCTGGCACTTAGGGACACTGAAACAAAGATATCATTGTGGCCTTCAAGTCACTCACTGTGTGGTAAGAGAGATAAGCAATTAAATCTAGAATGATGAAAATACTGCTGATAAGTCTACAATGTATAATTAAACATCTGGGTTGGATATTATTGGAACTTAGGAAGGGGCATCTGACAGAAAGGGTAGGGAATGTGACTCATCCTTTGTGCAGCCTTGAGGGGTGAGTAAGAGGTAGCCAATTGGAGAAAGGATAGGAGGGTGTATCAGGGAGAGAAGACACAGGTGAAAGGCAGGTAGTTTCTTTTGGCTATAGCAGCAGAGCAGGATTGGATAAGAATGGGTGGAGTGGCAAGAGATAACACTAAAAAAGATTCAGTCAGCCCAGAAGGCATTTGATGGCACAGGCTTTATCTTAACATGTGTGGGGCACGATTAAAGGACTCCTAAGCAGATATATAGCTTAGCTATTTTATGCAAGTAAAAGTGTGGAAGAAGGAAGTAGACTGGACTCAAGGAGACCAGTTAGGAAGATATTGCAGTAGCCCAGGACCCCTGACAAGAAATAACTAGTACAGTCAGGAGAGGTAGAAGGTGTCAAGTTCAAGAGATATTTAGCATCGATTATCATGACAGGAAATCTGTGAGTACGAAGCGGTTTATGGGGAAAGATGACAAGTTCAGTTTTGGACATACTGAACCTGAGGTTCCCATGAGTCATCTAAATGCAGTACCAAGAAGGAAATTAGAATATATGGGTCTAGAGCTCACAGACATTTACTTAACATTTACCTCACTCCCAACTTCAATCTTAACTTAAAGGAATCCTATATCATAGTACTTGAAGATTTTCGATAAAAATTGTCTAAAAAACAACTGAATTTTGTCATACCACTCTAAAACATCTTATGTATGTTATGAAGAATAAGTTCATTAATAGGAACTGTTATAATTGTGGATATAGCAAGTTTTGCCTATGACTATTTCAATTTGAAATTTTCTGTTACGATTCCAGAAATTCTACAGCATTCAGAATTCTACATTTGTGGAAATGTCCAGAGTATTTTTCTTTATATTTTCAGCTTATTCTGCATAGCAAAGCTCAGACACTATCACTGAGACTTACAAACTTAAAAACATCATTAAAATACTGTCTGAACACTTGATTGGTAATTTATGGTTGGAAAAGTTTTATATTTCTAAAACTTAAAAGGTTGAAAGAACATCAGATATAATTTATCCCAGATAACTATTTCATTGACTCAGCTAGTGGCATCTTATTCAAAAGTCAGTCTTCAGTGAATGAAAAAACCCATTCCATAGACACTTTAATTGAGGTGAAACTATCCTTGTCTCCTGAAGTAGTAAAATAGGTCTCCTCTTTGCCTTTGCTGCTAAGACACCCAAAACTAAATATCTTTCTAAATCACCCTAGATTTCCCTAGCCTGTTATAATTTTCTGGTTTAATTTTCCTTTCACATATTGATTTGAATATGTTTTATATTTAGGGTTAAAGGTTTTTTATCAAACTTTTGCCATAAAACAATTTCAAGTCATTTTTGGAAACACACTGTGTGTGTGTATATATATATATATGTGTGTGTGTGTGTGTGTATGTGGTATATATATATATGTATATATGTATATAAATACATATTAGAAGTATATAATAAAATTTATGTCTTTATTTTGTTGAATCATTTTGTTTCTAAGTTTTCTGCAACAGCAAAGTGGTGAGGAATTTTAAAGTCAAATTTGGTCTTGTCTGAAAAGCTCAATAGCAAAAGGAGAAAATAGGATTTAACAACTTTATATTAATGTTGAAACAGAAAGGAATTTAAAAGTAAAATAAGAACTTTTTAAAAGCTCTGATTTTATTGCTCAGCCTACTAAAAAAAAGCAAACAACATACCTGAATACCTTTTTCACCTTGATTTCCTTTGTCCCCCTACAAAAAGGCAGTTTGATCTGTATCATAATCTAGCATATTCTGTACAGTTTCAAATAAACATATATTTTTCTCTGCTGAAGAAAAACAACATCTCGTGCAAACTCCACAAGTGCCTGTATACACAGAAGTTGACTCCTAACACAATACTTGGGAAGGGAGCAGAACCACATTATGTCAAAATGATATTGTAAAAGAACACTTTTGTATGCTCCTACATTTGAAAGAAATTTCACCACAATCTTTAATTTCCCAGAAAGGAGAAAACTTCTACATGGTTCACAGTTTTAGGTTAGACAAACTAACAAGAGAGGACTTATTTTGACAAATGTTGTTTTATGAAATCAAACTGAAAATCTTCCATTAAGCTATTAGTAGCCACAAGTTTATAGGAAACAATGATAAAGTAAAGCATAACATTTAAGTGCTATTTTAGAAAACATATATTTCAAAAGTGAGCTTTTGGAAGAAAAATTATATTCCATAAAAATAAGTTTTATAGATTATCAGCTAGAAGGGAAATTAGAAACCAACTTATACAATGCCCTTGTTTTTATAGATAATGAAACAGCCAGTTAAGCACCTGCCCAAAGCTAAACTTGGACACGGTTTCCAAATTTCCTTTCTATTAATACTTCACCGTACTATCTAAACATAGAGTACAGTTTTGCATTTCAACAAAAAAATACAGATTTTCTTTTAAATGGCAACAAGTTCTGAACAAGAAAATTCTCTTCATCCCAAACATATATTCGTAGTAGATTTACTTAACATTTACTAAGAGTCTAACACTTGATGGCTGTTATGTGGGGACACTTCTGTCTCAGCTAGTGCTGCCTACTGATCATCAGAACAAAAAGCCCAAGGATCATACTGTGTATGATCTAGGCACCATGTAGACAACACATGAGGGATAGAAAATAAGATGTTGAAAAATAAATAGCAAGGGACATGAAGATGGAGACATAAGAGTTTGTGTCTTTTCCAGAATAAAAACCGATAGATTTACTTTTAACCTGAAACATTTGTATTTGCAGTAGCATGGACTTCTCAGGCACACAGGCATCAATTGTTGCTCAAAACCTCCAAACAAATAAAAGCATATATTATTTATATACATACAAGTCAAGTTTCCCTTACTTGACCAAAATGAGAGAGAGAGAACCTAGTTTTACTGTCTTTCCTTGCCAAAATATTTTAAATTAGTATATTTGACTTGCATTTTTAAACTCCTTAAATTAATTTTAAATAAACTTCTATGTAACATAATTGTTTCATAGATAGGAACTTCATGGTCAAACATTTTGGACACAAGTTTTATCCTTCCAGAATTTGATCCGGTTTTGGCAAGAGGGGTATTTGCATTTTGATAGGAATGCCTGACATTGGACAATTTTCCTCAAAAAATTCTTAGCTCCCCTGGTTTGTGAAAAAAACCTGAATTTACAGGATATTACTTAATTGTACATTCATATTTTCTGATCTGCATGTCTTTTCTAAGGTCTTCATCTAGGAGACAATACCCATGTGGGTATATAAAAGATGCCACAGCTATTAGCATGGGGCTGAACATATTATACATACATCGAATATATAGGGTACTTTATCATTAAAAATATATTAATAACAAGTCCTACTTTAAGAATTTCACAAAAGAAAAACTTGTTTGCAAGTAACTGGTTAAAAGCGAACTGTATCTCCTAACCAATGCATACCTTTTTTCCTTGAATCCCGGGTAAACCCATGTATCCTGGTTCTCCTGGGGAACCCGTTGCTCCTGGTTCTCCCTATGTAACACAGAAATTCCAGAAAGATCACAGATCTACTGCTTATGAAAAGCACCACTGTTTTTATCTCTACATATCTCAATTTTAAAATGAATGGTTAAAAAAATGTATTGACAGTTACTACTACAGAAATAGTAAAGAATAAAATGTTTACTAGAATCCCAGTAAAATTTCTTGTATTTTTCTCTATCTTTTCCAGTTGAAAAATTCTCACAGCATTTCATATTTTAAAATTCTGTAAATATTTGTTATTTTTATGATACTTTATAATTTCAATAATAAACGAAATAATAAAGTTGTAAAAATAATAAACACAAGTATCTCTTTTTTGTTTACCTATTTACTAACACTTATTCTCCTTGAAACTGCTTTTTCTCAAATTGCTACTTTAAAAAAAGCTTATTTTCTTGTTACAAAATAATAGAAATAATAAAAATTATTAAAAATCTTATAACCCAATATTTTTATTTTGTTATGTATTTTTTCTCTAACTCTAATTCATAAACACACATATATAGTTAATAAAATGTGCTCATATACATGCATAATTTTATCTTTTAATCTCTAAATATATTAATATTATAAAGTTCTTATGCTATCATATTTTTCATAACATAAGTTTTAATTATGGAAGAGTATCCATATTTATCAACTGTATTTTATTTAATAAAATTCTTATTGTTAAACATTACAGTTTTCACAATTTTTGTTTTTATAAAAAATATTGGAATGAACATCCTGGTAGTTAAATTTAATTATTTATATGTATTTATTTACATATGTGGAATATTATTTTGTTAGAAATAAATTCTTGAGCTATTTTTCAGTACAGGGTGTATTACATGAGTTATCTTAATTCCAGTTCTCCACTCTCCATCATCCTATAGGAATTGTCCTTTCTGAAATAAAGTTTTTTGTTTTAAAGTCTTAAATAAATTATTTGCAAGCACGTGTTAATAATGCATTGACATATTTAGGATATATTTGTAAGAGATGCAACATAATCCTGAACATGCTTCATGGTTCTGTTTCGTTTTGTGTTTTACCGTTAGTCCAAAACTCTGTAACATCAACTAAAGATCACTCTCTTTTTTAAAAGAAAAGGAGGCTTTATTCTCTTTGCTTACTGTACTTACTTCCTAGCCATCAAATCATTCTCTAGATTTTTGAAGGTTGGAAGTGTATTAAAAATCCCATTGAAATAAACATCAACCCATGTGGTTTGGAGGAAACTGGTAAAGGCTATTGTGAGTTCTATATCAAAGATGAAACTCCCATAAGCAAACAAAGAACAGTATCATTCATGAGAACTACATGCTCCTGTTTTCAGCTGTTTAAGGGAAATCTATTCTCTGGACCAGAAAGTAAGTTCATGTTTGCCTACAATTTTACAATTTTTCAAAAAATTAAGCCAAAGTTTATATCTTTATTATCCAATGACAAAGTATCTAAAAAACAGAAATGAAACTGTATTGACAATTTCATTTCAGGTACCTTAATTTCATGATAAAGGTAATCCTTAACTTCATGTATCTCTTCAGAGATATAAAATGTTAATTTTCTTAAATAATGAGGGGAATTTACATTATAATTTCTTTGAAAATATTTTCAAATGCATCAAAATTACCTTGAGCCCAGAAGCCCCAGGCATCCCTTGAATTCCAGGTTCACCTTTGCTTCCCTGTCAACACATCAAAAACATTGGAGTTTTTTAAAAACAATTCTGTCATAATATATCTGATATAGACACTTAAGGGAATATATGTAAAATAACTTTTACATTTTTAACTTTCCGATTGTTTGATAGACTCTGTACATTAGACCTATGTATTAAGAAAAATGAAAAAATCTTTTAGGCAAGGAAGGGGTTCCACATATTCATAAGCCTCTCTAAAAACCTGTGTTAAAGCTGGTAGCTTCAAGTATAAGGGAGGAGAGTCAAATCTTTAGTGGCCAGCACTAATAAGTCCAGCCACCACATTGCACAGGTGGGAGACATGTACTTTAACAGCATCCTCCGGGCTGAGATCCTCATCATTATCCTGTCTCACTTTCTCAGTAGGACTCATCTTCAGTATGCAACTGAAGGAAAGAAAAGTAGCTTCAAATGCACAATGGCTTTTTTTGAAGAAGTGTGAATCAGAAAATGTTTAGTTTGTGCTTTTTCAGGATTCCAGTGCAGTTCTTTCTAACAGATGGAAACTTGGAGTACAAGGCTGAGTTGACAGGGCAAAGAATGTAATACAGAAAAGGAAAAGTGGATAGAGAAAGAGAAAACAAGTCTTCTGGCTAATAAGGAGAGATTGTCAAATGTAGTTCTGGTTTTCAAATACTTTGATACCTGATATCACAACCCAATGTCTGGCAAAAGCCCATAATTAAGCAGGTTGGTGTGACACCTAGAAGGGGAACACAATAATTACCCACAACCAACTTGGGTTTACTAATCAGTGAGGCAAACCAATGCCATTTTCAGCTTTTAAAAAAGTTTTGTAGGCTGCTCATGGTAAGAAACATGTGAAGATCACATTAGATTTAATTAAAGCATTTAGCACATAACAGTGTTATTGAACCACAGAATGATTCCTTAAAATTTCTAATTTTATAAGTTATTAAACTGAAATTCACAGACATGAGATTTGTTGAAAGTTATCTGACTCGATAAAGCTAATATATTTTAATATTATTTAGATAATTATTATCTTTTTAAGTTCTGGGTTATATGTGCAGGATGTGCAGGTTTGTTACATAGGTAAACATGTGCCACGGTGGTTTGCTGCACCTATCAACCCATCACCTAGGTATTAAGCCCAGCATGCATTAGCTATTTTTTATGATGCTCTTCCACTCCCAACCTCCCTCCCCTACTAACAGGCCCCAGTGTGTGTTGTTCCTCTCCCTGTGTCCATGTGTTCTGATTGTTCAGCTCCCACTTATAAGTGAGAACGTGTGATGTTTGGTTTTCTGTTCCTGCATTAGATTGCTGAGGATAATGACTTCCAGCTGTATCCATATCCCTGGCAAAGGACATGACCTCGTTGTTTTTTATGGCTGCATAATATTCCATGGTTCTTTTTGCAGTCTATCACTGATGGGCATTTGAGTTCATTCCATGTCTTTTCTATTGTGAATAGTGCTGCAATGAACATACGTGTGCTTGTATCTTTGTAACAGAATGATTTATATTCCTTTGGATACATACCGAGTAAAGGGCAGATTTTTTTAAAACCAAAACATAGTATAGTTAAATAGGCTTATAAATGTTTCTGCAGCTATTTTTAAGTATTATAATATAAATTAGAGGTTTTCTAAAGATCTGCCTCAGTTTCAGCCTTATCTCTGCCCTACTGAATACGTTTTTGTCTCACCCTAGAACTTCTATCAGTGATATTGACAGCACAAGCCACAAACATAAGCTGACAAAACTAGCAGAAAGAAACGAATATAGAGGTCAGTACACTATGATCCATGGGTTAAATCCAGCCCAATGCAAGTTCTTAAAGTTTAACCAGAACATAGCCACACCCCATACCCATTTGATTAGGTATTGCCTGTGGCCAATTTTGCACTATAATGATAAAATTGAGTAGTTACAACAGAGACTTGTATGGCTCTCTAAGCCTGAAATATTTACTTTCTGTCCCTTTTCAGAAAAAGTTTCCAACACCTAATATACAGCAAGAAAAAAATTAAAATATTTTATTGAAAAGATTATGTGTATTTTTAATATGTGTAATTTTAACTTCTTAGATCTATTTTTAACAAAATAATTGTACAAGCACAAGATGCAGAAAACCAACTTTAGAGTAATTCATGTAAAAATAAACAAACTGTGATACTGGAAATCCTCACTGGCCTACCCAGCCAAATCAGCAGAATCTGCTTAAGTGGTAGACAGCACACATTGTTCTAAAACCTTTTACGGAAAGTCCAACAGATACAATTGACCTTCAACACAGTGTGAGTCAACAGTGTGGTGTATCTAATAAAAAAAAAAAAAGCTGATGAAATTTTAGGCTGCATTCTTAAGAATTAGAGAATCCAAAAGACATTGAGAGAGCCCATTGTGCACCACTTAATAAGGGGTATTTTCTTACAAAATGACCTTGAGAAACTGTGGAGACCTGCTTAGCAAGTTCAGTCATTCCAGCAAGTCAGTCACACACAACTCTGTGTGTACCTATAGCTGCTGGAGCCCACAATACACCAAGGATCCACAAGGGTCTACCACTGATGGAAGAGCAGCTACCTTTTCTCATTATTGGGCTCCCATGTCTTTTTTTTCTCTCTCTTTTCTAAATACTTTAGAAATTAAAAGTAAAATAGAGTAGGTCATCTACTCATATG
The DNA here is from genome assembly GCF_000001405.40 of Homo sapiens. Taxonomy (NCBI): domain Eukaryota; kingdom Metazoa; phylum Chordata; class Mammalia; order Primates; family Hominidae; genus Homo; species Homo sapiens. The sequence goes on from NC_000006.12 coordinate 56,073,465, forward strand.
CCAGGGTCTATTCCCCTGAGGCAATGCTTAGTCAAAGGTTGACTGCTTCTAAAATAGCAATTCCATCACTTCCTTTTAGAAGGCTGTCCTAGAATCTATTTGCAAAATAGTTGGGAACAGTTTTCTGAGTGTTTTGTCTGATCCTCTGGTTAACCAAGAAAACAAAATAGTTATCGTACCACAGGATTATATATAGCTAGGAAATGGTCAAATAATGACATTCAAAGAGTTTCAGTTCTACCTTGAGAATAACTAACCTCATATCCTAAATATATTTGTTAAGCTTGCCTTACTTATTTAAAATCTAAAAGTAAAGATAATATGCTCTTACTCACAGAACTAGTATAATTTACAAGGCACTCTATATACATTCCACTAAATAAAAATACCAAAAAGAAGACTAGAAAACTGATATTGTAAGAGATATTCTTATTCATAACTATGAATGCTCTAGACTGGTGGTTTTGGCACTGAGCTCTATAGAGCTCTAGTATTCCTCAATACTAGACACCAAGACACCAAAAAGGGAGAAGGGGGCTGAGCAGCAGGAGATTCTGGACCCTTTCCAACATAACAGGATGAGCTTTACTTTAGCCTGTTTCTTAGGCTGAGCCTTTCCAGATTTAATTCTTACAAGTGATTTTTTTTCATAGAATAAAAACCACATTTAAAATACAATCAAGGTAGTAGTAAAATTTTCATCAAAGTTATAAATGGCCACTGTGATTATACAAAGTTCCCAGTCTTGTTTATTTTATCATATTTACCTTAGATCCCGGTGTTCCAGGCTGGCCTGGTGAGCCATTGCTTCCCATTAAACCCTACAATTTTAAAAAGGAATTTCAAGAGTAACTTAGAGAAGATTATTAAAAAATATTAAATCAATTTCCAAGTTACACATTCTCATAATTAATTCACTAAATTATAATACAGATCTGAAAATATAATACAATATTTAGAAAATTACTCCACCATACATCCATAGAGGATAATAAAAGTAAAAAATCAAACTATGCAAGATAGCATGAAGGCTAGCAGAGCGCTTATGATTCTATTGCTTACAAAAACTACAAATAGAGAAAATGGAGAGCTAGTAAAAGAAAAATATAAAGGAAAATTTTTTTTCTACACTTTTTCTTTTGTTAGGATGGCTAAAATTAGGTGTCTTCATAGATGTTATCCTGATTAACATTACTTAGAATTCTATTATCTTGAACAATATTTTAAAAGAGTTACATTCTAATAAACTCTCTGGATAATCTTTCTTCAGGGTACAAAATGGCCGTATCTTTAATCATAACATTCAAAATAAAAAATGATAACTACTCTTTCAATTAGGACTTGATTTAATTTAGATTCTACTTTAAATACTATTATACATATTTAACACACTTTACAAAGGAAAAGGGATTAAAAAATTATATCATTAGAAAATATAATCTCAATATGAACCTATAACAGACAATTTGATTCATATATTAAAATCAACATCACTTCTAGCAATAAAGTTAAAATTTGGGGGGGGATTCTTGCACACATGAATTTTCATAATTTTGAATCAGTTTCATATGCCATCTTCACTCTTGAAAATTCTGAAATAATTTACTCTGTTTTAGGAGCTTCCCATACTATGTCTTCTATACATATTCTTTCCCATTAGTGTAATATGTTTGTAAATTTAATTTAAAATAAAAAAATCACTGAGATTTAGACTTAATGGTACTTAGTATTTTTAAATTAATAGCTAGAATACATGTTTTCTAATTTATCTACAGTTAGGGTCCCTGATGTTTTTTTGGGTGGCCAACTTTTTGAGAAACTGAAGAAATCTTTACTCTTTTAGAAAAATGCACATAGACATAATATGTTTCATACAACAGAATGGAATTCATGGACCTCAAATATTTTATTGCTGTATCCCCTACATTTTTATGAACTCTCGAATATGAACTCCTAGTAGGTAGTAGCAACACTGCAAACACTTTGATGTATGATGATAATGACATCAACATACAGGCATCCCTGGGGCTCCTTTTTTTCCTTGCTGTCCTGGAGGCCCAATTTCTCCCTAAAAAAATCAAACATTAAAAACATTATAAATTGTAAATTATCAATTTATTTCAAGAAAGCTTCTGCCAAAGCACAATGGAATGACAATTGAATATCAATCAGTTCACCTTTTTCTGCTTTCTCTTCCACTACAGTAAGGAAGGAGCAAGGCCTTAAAGACCTTGGCATAGAGTCTGAGGATTTACTCTCAATATTTTTATTATGACATTTGTAGTAACATTTGCCATTCTTTCAAAGGAAGACCTAGTAGCTTAGATGGAGTTGGTAAACAACAGAAATAAAAATCAGGTGAAAAATTTTTCTATTTATCATAGAGTTTAAGAAATATGATAGTGAACATAAATTAATAAAGAAAAATAGACTAAAAAAATAACAGCATTAGACTTCAACTTCCAGGGATGCGGCTGACTAGGTCCTCTAAGTCCAGAACAAAAATCCTAGAAGGAACATCCTCTGTGAGAGAGTGCTGGTCTTCCAAGAAGTAGGAGAGGTATTCAAAGATCTCTCATTTTAATGAAATATACTTTGAGTTGGGGCTATAATTATGAGAATTTGAACTATACAGAAACCATGCCAGAGACAGAACTGTAGAAGCCAAGAAAAGTGGAAGTATCTGAGGGTGGATCTTCAGCTCTTGGGAAACTGAATGCTGGCCAGCCATGGAAAGGAAGCAGGAATCTTCAATACCTATGATGACTCAGCACTTTCAAATGGGGCTGAAATGGTATCCATGGCTACCAGCAAAAGGCAGGTCTTCATTTCCTAGTTAGGCTGACAGGACACCCTCTAAATTAAGATGAAGCAATGAGCTCATGATAAACAATATAGAAACAAGAGACAGCAAGATACAGGAATGAGAATAATAAGTAATAAATAATTAACTGCAGATATTAGAATTGTTAGAAACAGAATTTAGAATTAGATATGAGATTTTTTTAAATTAAAAAAACAGAATCATGAAAGACTATTAGTACTGAAAATATAACAAGAGACTTCAAGAACAAAAAGTTGTGGTTTAAAAAATTATAAACTCTGAAAGTGAAAATTATGAGTGTTTATCATTTTTAAAAAAAATCAATTGATCATTCTAACAGATTAGACACAATAAAGAATAAGTAAACTATAAGGTATATCTAAAACATTTAACCAGAATGTAAGACAACCAAAAATATGGAAATATGGTAGGTAATGCTAAAAAGAGATGTAGAGCATAAAATTAGAAGAAATAAAATAAAATGTCTAACCAGAATTCCAGAAACAGAGAATGGAGCAGAGGTCATATGGAGATAATGGTGATTCTTTCCAGAACTACTGGAAATAATTCCACAGAGCAAAGAAGCAAACTGAATTCCCAGCAAGATGAATAAAGAGATATCCATATCTAGACATATTGTAGTGAATTTGAAGAACACTAAAAACAAATAAAATACCTTAAAAGGTTCCAAAAGAAAGAAACAGATCACTTACAAAAGAATGATAATTAGAATGACAGCAGATTTTTCAAAGTTAACAATGAAAGCCAAAAAAACCATAGAAGAAAATCTTCAATTTACTAAGAGAAAATAATTGTCAACCTTGAGTTGTATAGTCTACAAAACTGTCCTTCAAAACAAGAGCAAAATAAAGAAGTTTGTAATTAAATAAAAACTGAAAGTTTATTACCAAGCTATCTGTACTAAAAAGACATTCAAAAATATAGTTAAGTAAATTAACTATAAAGAAGTAAATTATGCCATAATTATGTTAGAGAACAAAGTTGAAAAGTAACAAAGTAAAGGAGGAAGCATATAATGTAAATCTAAATTAATATTATCTATATAAAACAACCACAAAACAATATATACAAATTTGTAAAGCCAAAACAACGTCTTCTAAAATTATATAATATTTGAAAAATTAACTGTTACCACAAATGTAAAACTGTATTTTATTGTAGACAACAATGCATTAAATGAGCAGATCCAGGCCCAAAGCTAACTCTCATGAATACTTACCTTTTGGCCCATTAATCCTCGGTTTCCAGGAAATCCTGGGATTCCCTAAAAACAAATAAAATAGATTTTTAACTTATAAAAAATTGAAGACTTTATCATTAAAGAAGAAACAGTCACAATTGGAATTTTAACTGGTAAATAACATATTTTCAAATGTATACATATTATAATATTGCTATTTGTAATAATCCAATATGGAAAAGACAACTTAGGAGATATAGCATTATATGAATATTACTGATATTTAGAGCTTTAAATAAAGGCTTTTTGAAAAAGAAACTATGAGGAAATTCATCTCAGTTCTTGCACCCCAACACATGAGTGATAAAATTAAAATGATGTTTCATTTGAACACATTCTTGTATTCTAATGAATCATGCAAGAAAATCTGTTAAATGATATAAGTTCTGATTTAGCGCAACAGTTCCACAAGCCCTCAGTGTCACCACCTTAGTTAAAAATTAATTTAATTAAATGATTGCCTCCCACCTGAGCCTTGAAATACCCAAGAACCTAAATATTCATATAAAAAATGGCAATCTTTTCTCTTAATAACTCCCTTACTGATGCAATCATGAAGAATATGAAGACCACAGTTTGTGAAGAGACATAAAGAAGTACAGGTCACTCTTTCACGTGGCTGAACTCATATGCACATGTCTGTAGCAACATTCAGAAAAAATTAATGTTAATTCTATCAAGTTAAGAATAAATTTAGCACATTTATTGCTTGCAGAAGAGTTCTATTGTCTGCCTTTTGATGCATTTACCCAACATGATCATTTATCATGCAAAACAGTGATTGTACTAATCAATTTTTGCTTTTTATTCCATTTTCTTAGCACCTATTTTGGTGACATTTGAGCTGAAACAGTTAACAACATTTATATTTATACAAATGTATTGACACTGAAAGACAAGAAAATTGGGTCACATCTGTATGACTTTGCAAACCCTCTGCACTAGCAGGCCTTCCAAAGGAAAGCAGTACTCTTCAGTAAATCACAGCAGGTGCTAGAGCTGCCATTGACAATGAGATCAAGTGTCTTCTTCTATTGCAGGGAGAATCTGCCATTATCTTTATTTTCACACCCTGAGTTTATAAATACAACCTTTATTGATCAATGTGCTAATCGCAATTATAGGGCAAGACATAAACACATAGTTCTAGTTTTAAAATCTGAACTCAAATCATACATTGGAATTCAGTTTGATTCTATTCAGCTCAATTCAGTTTGCCACTTCACTATACCATTTGCAGAGAACAAAAGTGGTATGTGAGCAATGACTATCAACAAGGGACTCACAATCTAGTTGCAAAGACAGGCCTTTATAAACGTAAGTAGAGAATAATATGAAAACAATAAAAATACCTTGAAGTAACAATATAAAACACAATCACAGTACACCTAATAAGCACTCTAAAACATAAAGTAAAAGTAAAATCACTGAGTTATGAATATAAAATGAATTGTACCTTCTTAGGCAGAAAATGTATATTCTCAATGCAATGAATTAAGATAAACATTATTCAAAATAAGGGCCTCCATTTGAATGAACCGTAATTTGGTGTGAAACCACCCTGTGACCTCCTCCCATTCAAATACCCACACACGTGTGAAAATTCACTAAAAGTTGAGATCAAGTTCTGAATTTAACTAAAATACGTGTGTAAATTCTTCTCAGAAGGAAGGTGGCTATACATTGTTCTATGCTGGAAAACTGGTACAGTTCTGTCAATGTAATAACCTTGGCTCCCAGAGTCCCTAACGGGCACATGTGATTACCGATGACAGTGTCAGACCTGAGAAGCTGAATTTCTTACTAGTCTTTAATTATTTAAAGTTTTTATCACTATTCAAGTCCCTGTGCCCTTACACAGTCTGTGATGTTAGCAGAATTAGTTACAGATATCCTGAAGACAATCCCAGTGTTAGCAAGTTCACATCCTTTCCCTGGAGAAAACAGTTATACCCAGGTTTCCACGAACAGCACCTTGGCTTCCACCTCCTCAAAGCCCTTGAGAGCCCATTTCCCCACAGTTTACTCCTTGGATTTGATCTGACACTCTTTTATCTGAGACACTCTAATACTGAGCTTGGTCTGTAGTAGAACATAGCCACAAATCTTACATTATTTCAATATATCTGCTATTAAGATTATTTGGGGGAGATTCCAGACTATAAAAAAATTCCTTTTCTTTTTGTTCATCCTCTCAAACTGGCCAAAAATTTACATACATTTCATAGATATGTATGTCCATGAAGTCCTAATGGATCTTCTATGTCCAATTATGCTAAGAATTATTACTTCTTTTACAAATACCAAGTAAAAATATATAAAAACTACAGGATATCAAAAACAAAACATAGGCCTGATTTATCTAAGGAATTCTTGGCAAAACTAATATAATACCACAAGCATGCACAGAATACCAGCTTATTGAGGGAGAGGTTAACCAGGGAAACTGAAATCATTCAGAGCTATATTAGTTAATAAAATTCTCCAAGTTAATATTTTCCTGGGCTCCCAATATGTGTATTGAAATTGACTAAACTTTGCTAATTTTAAGTTAGCAGTAATATTATCCAAAAGCATTTGAAAGTTAACAGTTTGTTGATCGCAAAGTATTTAGTGACAATTATTTTATAGAGCAAATGTGTTTCCAAGGAGACTATTTTCTGTTTCGCTGTGGTTTTGGGTTCAGGCAACTGTGACAATGTCCAAGTAAAGACAGAAAGAAGTAAGAGTAAGTGGACATATTTCCTCTACTTCTGTGATTTCAGTTTGGGTTTGAGGAAGAGCAGAAAGTCAACCAGAAAATCCTGCATAATGTTGTGGTTAAAGAATGTTGACACAAAAAATTGTTCTAGAAGCTTCTCTGTAACCATTTAAACCACTGCTGTACAACAAACAAGTTGTTAAGAATAGAAATACATACTTTAGAATAAAGGGTTTGACTTCTATTTCCTAGAGAATACTTTGTAATGAAGGGAATGTGTCTATGACAATATTACTTAGAAAAGACAAAATATCACAGTATACTCCCCATATGTAATGAATGTATTTACTTATCTATGAAATTGGACCATCTTAGATCAAATTTGCTTTTAAGTAATGCAATATTTTCAATTCACTAAAAAAGATCTAAACTATTAATGGTATTTTTATGTCAAATTATCTACCTTTCTACACAATGGTAGAGATATTTAATATCCAGTTATCAAAATATCAGAAGTATATTACATGTTTTCTTCATTATATCAAGAAGTGATTTATTCATTCTTAAAGATTCAATGAAGAAAAAATTCACATGTTGAAAGTATCATTCTCATTAACTAAAAAGATTCCAATCTGATTATCAGTAAAGAGCATAGTAGAAGCCATAGGAAGCAGCTAAAAAATAGATGCTGGAGTCAGCCAGCCCATGTCCTAATAGCAGATCCACTCCAGGCCAGTTATTTAAACTGTAAAATCTCTGAATCCCAGTTTTCTTTGTCGGGAAAATAATAAAACCTATCTCATAGAGTTGGTACATTCTATCAATTAGCTTTCACAAATATTTAGCTCAGTGCTGGCATGACAATGAACAAATTTTTATAACTGTCTCTTCACAGCTCCTCCCTGACCTTTGAAAGTTGTGAAATACTTGAAGTCAACTTTTTTCCATGTCTCTACGTTTTGTCCTCTTTCTCCATTGTAAGGCTTTTTCTTTTTTCTTTTTTTTTTTCTTATTGGCTTTCTACCTTGCCTTTCCCTACTTGCATTTCCAAAAATGTCCATTATATGTAGGATGATGCTAGCAATCTAAAGTCCCCCACTCGGGGACGCCAACAAGTCGGCATTGCCCCCCATTCAATACCTTTCCTTTTCATGTTTGGCTGATCTTGATTACAGAGTAATACTATCATGACTTTTGCTTTTTAAATATTTTAAATAATTCATCACTATTTGTTCATAAAAAGATGACCAAGAGTATTAAATATATTTGTAGTTGAACCCTGCAATGTTTTTCAATTATTTTTTTTCCACAGTAACTGGCAGGCCATTATGAATGATTTACAACAGATTATTCTGTGGTAAGGTAACTATAGGGAGAAGTAACTTACACTCGCAGTTGCCAGACCTAAAAGAAACCAATATACAAGTACTTGCAATAAACCCTTGATAAGGAAATGAACAGTTTTCTATTCCCATATTATGCTGTAATTAATCTTTAAGGAAAAAAAATCTAAGAACGTTGGATGAACTTATTCACCCTGGCCTGTAGACAAGGGCCCACTTGGGACAGGACCCAAATTACCCAAAGATAAACAATTTAAGTAGAAAATACTTTAGCCAATAAATATAGGCTACTCATGTTTATAATAAAGCAGAAAGTGTCACAAGTTTCACCTTATAGGCTACAAAAAAAGAGAACAAAGATATCATAGGAAGGAAAAGCCATTTGGAGGCCATTTTCAAGGCTACTGCAGTAACTGGCATTTCTTTTCCACACCTAAAGGCATTTCTACATTTTTATAAACAAATAAAATAGTCTGAACAATGTTACGTTGCAAAAGCATCCTTTTCCAGGACAAGACAAAATCTCAAATTCTTAGCAAATTAAAATAACAAACCCGAAAACTCAGACAAGGACGAAGACTATCTGGAGAGGAAGGGAAAGGATTAAGAGATCTGGGACCCCTGTCACATGGTGGGAAAGTCATGTAGCCACCAGAGCCCAAAGGTCCAGGAAAACCACCTACCCCTTTATATCAGTAAGTGAAATGCATATGAAATACATGGATGTGTTAAAACAAACAAACAAACAAACAAGCATGTATGTATAGACATATGTAAAACTTAAAATCAATTCCATTTTGAAAGAGAAATTTCCAAAATAATACCAGAGTTGTTCTAAAATGGGCTCTGATCCTCTGAAAGCCTGAAAAGTACCTACCACATTTTTGGGGTACATTTTTTGTTACTACATAACTCAAAACAAATTATGGTCAATTTCTCATTAAGAAGAAAACTAAAAGTGAATTTTTCAAAGACCCTTTTTAACTTTAGAAACTTTAACTTGGTGTTGAATAGAAGTTAAAATAGAAGTTAAATCTTTTCCAGAGAAACCGGAAAATTCTACTATTTTTTTTGAATTTTATATATAATAGAGGTAATCATACCAAAATATTTTAAAGCACCATTAACCATCCCCACCAAATAAAAAATGAAATTAGTTTGATAAAGAAAACACACTAATAAGTGAATTTTTAAACTTAATTTATACGATAAAAATAACTAGGTATTTAAAATTGTATCTAATCTAATATCTTCTATATCTTATTTATAACCTCATATTTTTGAAATGTGTATGCTATTCCATCTAAATCTCTATACTAGTTATTGCATAACACAGCCCATTGTGAATTTTATGTTTATATAATATAAATCCCATTTTCTTATAAAAATAATGAAACAATTGACAAGCATTGATTAAAGTAAAAAAAATTAAATATGTTTTCTATTGATTCATAACCAATGACCACATATTTAGTGCAATTAAAACAACACACATTTATTATCTTACAGTTCTGTGGGTCAGAAGTCCAGCATGGGTCTCACAGGGCTAAATTCCAAGAATCAGCAATGCTGCACCCCTTTCTGGAGTCTCTCGGAAAGAATCTGCTTCCTGTGCATTCAGGTTATTGGCAGAATTCTGTTTCTTGCAGCTGTAGGACCAAGGTAGCCATTTTCTTACTGGCTGTAAACTTGAGGTCCATTTCCAGCTTCCAGGGGCAACTACATTCCTTGGTTTACAGCCCCAAGGAATCTATCCTTCATTTTCTCTATCTTCATATGGGTCAGGTCCTTCTTCAGTCACATCTTTTTGCCCCATTCCTGCTCTGTATTTTTCCACTTTCAATTACTCATGATCAGATTGGGCCTCCTTAGATAATCTGGAATAAAATTTCCATCTCAAGGACATTAACCTTAATCACATCTACAAAATCTCTTTGCTGTGGAAAGTACCAGGTTCCAGGGATTAAATTATGGCTATCTTTGGGGAGAGGAGGGAGTTGTCATATTTTGCCTACCACAGAAATATTATCTAATATCTGAGGACCAGATAGTTTCTATGTAATTTAAATTCCTCCAAGGCATTAAAAGGATGATCATCTAAATTCAAATTATGAAGCTACTAATACTAAGTCAATAATAATACCTAAAAAAGAAATCTACAAGCTGATGTAATTTGTTAAAATAAATGCAAATGGACTTACTATAAGGCTAGTAAGATAAATATAGCCATGTGTCAGAACAAAAGTAGAGCATGGCTAAGTAGGGTTTGTCTCAGCATGCAAGAAATGTCCAATATAAAGAAATATATCCGTATAATATACTATACTAATAACATTCCCATATTAACAATTTAGAAGAAAAACACACAAAATCATCTCAAAAGATTCATTATTAAAAATTTATCATGCAATATTTGTGAAAACTCCCAATAATCTAGGAATAGAACTAATATTTGAAACCAAAGTCTGAATCAATCAGAAACCCATTTTAAACATCAGATTTGGTGAAACACTAGACATTTCTACTTAAATTCAGGAATAAACCATAATTTATATTTTAAACCAGTAGTCACACTTATAGGGATATATCCCTTGGGGAAAATATTGCCTAAGTATGCAGAAAAAATATATATATATAAAAAACATTAATAAGAGAGATTAGATTGCTTTATAGCTATGCTATAAATGAAATGAGATAGATTTTATATTGTCTTATAACCTTATATGGTAAATGTTCATATTACAAAGTTAAATAAAAGTTTCAGTGGATCCAATTTGTTGTTTAAAAAAATTGTGTATGTTCTTATGTATTTGTAAAGAAAAAGTCCAGACATAATCTCATTAAATGAGTAACAATTGTTACTGCTGGGAATGGGAATGGAATTTGGGTAAGTGAAAGCAGACTCAAATTTACAACACAACTTCTATACTTTTTGAGTACTTAAGATAAACTAAGTAAATAAATATATGTAAGAAGTGATAAATAATGAACAAAAGGATTAGATAAAACTAATAAAATGTAGTCAAATATACAATACATAATAATAAACAAATGAAAAGTTGGCCCACACAAATTTCTTGTCTTAAAAAGTTCTCAAAAAATGTCTAAGAGTTATTTTCCTCACATTTAAATCATTCAAGAAATTACTGTTAAACGTTGGTCTTTCAAAATAAAAAAGTAAAGATATTAAAGGTTGCGGCTATCATTTGGTAAGAGAACTAGAACAACTGGAAAGAATTATACTGCAGACTCAGAAATCAATACTGGGGAGATCTTAATACACCTCCCTGCTATGATCTCCCTGTGTAACACATTTGCTAAGTTTTCATGCCTTGGGAGTTATTCTTGCAGATAATTTTCACATATTGCTAAGTACACTGTGTTGGACAAAGGCATTCATATTGCTCAGGGAAAGATAATGCTGTGTTTAAGGAGCACTTTCTTTCACAGGAGAGCTAGGAATTCGACATTTGGCAAAATCAGCTTTCCCAGGCACCATTTCCCCCATTTTCCCACAGTCATAGAACTTTTCTAAAACAAAAAATGGTAATATATTAGATCTATAATTACAGATTGTTACTTTTGTCTATTACATAAAATTTTTTAAATCTGGAAAAAATAATAACCTAAAAATTTCATTAAAATTGAAGGTATAATAAAACTAATAAATTTAAGTTATCTAATTTCTATCTTTGTAAGGATTTACCTCTCTCATATAAGCAAGTTTAGTCCTCTTCAATTGCATATAGATGTATTTTTGTTTTACAAAATAGATTTGTTCTTGTTATTTTTGTCAATAAACAAAACACAAAATATTATAAATAAGCAAAGGAAACCGAACCCATTTGGAAATATAATTTCATATTATCATTTATGACAACATCAAAGCTTATTTAACCAGACAAATACATATTAAAGCATGTATGGTCTGAAAAATATTAAAATGTCAGAATTCTTTTCTTGTACCAATATCACTAAAACTGATTGTTCTCCTCCAGTAGGTAACTTTTGTCTTCCTACTGTGTTCATATTCCTCTTTTTGATCTACTTGTTTCAAAGTCTCTATATCAGTAGTTATTAAACTTTACATCAGACTCACATGCAGTTGCCATTAAAAATCTAGTTTCTTGGGCTTTGACCCCAAATTTTGATTTATCAGGAGCAGAATGGCCCCTAGAAAACTGAATTTTAATAGGCATTTCTAGTAATTTTGAGGTACTCTGTGGATCAGAGCTTGAGAAATAGTGTTCTTTATATATTTTTTTCAAGAGATATACAGATCATTTCCAAGAGAGTATCATTTATTTATATATAAATATATTTATATTCATAATACAGATAATTTTCAAGATTCTCATTTACATATAGTCTCATATATTTTATATTATATATAAAAATATCTAAATTATTTATATATAAGTGAGACTCTCCTGAAAACTATCTGTATTATAGGTATTAAGCTTGGATTGTCATCAGGGGTTTTAAATTTACGATTATCTACTAATTAAATTTTAAAATAATCCATTTTATGCCTCTGCTTAAAAACCATTACATATACATTATTTTTCCACCAAGCTATAACCTTTGAACAAAATTCTTAACACTCTGCCTGTCATGATTAAATGTGCTTATCTTTAATGGATTTTAGGAGTTTTAACCCACCACACGATTTTTATATACAGTTGACCCTTGAACTACACAGGGGTTAGTGGTGCCAAACCATTGCACAGTTGAAAATCCACGGTTAAATTTTGACTCCCCCAAAATGTAACTATTAATAGCCTAGTTTTGGCTGAAAGCATTACCAATAACATAAACAGTCAATTAATACGTGTTTTGGATGTTATATGTATTGTATACTATATTATTACAATAAAGAAACTAGAGAAAAGCAAATGTTATTAAGATAATATGGAAGAGAAAATATATCTACTATTCATTAAGTGGAAGTGGATCATCATAAAGGTCTTCACCCTCATCATCTTCATGTTAAGTAGGCTGAGGAAGAAGAAGAGGAGGGGTTGGTCTTGCTGTCTCAAGGGGTGACAGAGACAGATGTGGAAGGGGTAAAAGGGGAAGCAGGAAAGGCAGGCGCACTGGGTGTAATTTTGTGAAAGCACACTGTAATTTCTGCCCGATTTTTTGCTTTTCATTTATCTAGAAAGGTTCCTATAAGGCAGCAATCCTTCTTCCACTATTTGCTTCAGTGTCAGTACCCATATCATAGAAGTGTCCATGCCGTAAAAGAAGTCAAAAGCAGTCTTAAATAATCCGAACCATTCTGCCAGCTTGTCTAATGTCAATTTGTTTTCTGGCATTGCTTCTTCTCTGTCTTCTTCCCATAGTCTGGCACTGGTTTGGAGCCACTCATCACCATCAAGTTGTCTTCTGTTAATTCCTCTGATTTGGTGTCTGTTACCTCTTGAATCTCTCCACGATCCATATCTTGGGACCCTTGTCCCTTCACCTTTTGTTTTGTTTTGTTTTGTTTTGTTTTGTTTTGTTTTGTTTTGTTTTGCCATATCCACAATCTCTTTTGTGATTTCCCTGATTGGTTGTGTCATAAGATCATGTACAACATTTAGACACAGTTTTCTCCAGTAGAATTTTATGTTTCAGGCTTCATGGCTTTTTCTGTAACAATGACAGCATCGTCAGTGGTGTAATTCTTCCAGACTTTCATGACATTCTCTCTGCTGGGGTTCTCTTCTATAGCATTGACAACCTTTCCATACAATACCATGTGTAATAAGCTTTAAAGGTCCTCCTTATTATACAATCTAGAGGCTGAATTAGATACATTGTCTTAGGGGGCAAGTAGACCATTCAGATGTCTTCAGTATTGAACTCATGGGGTTCTGGGTGGCTGGAGACATTGTCTAATATCAAAAGAACTTTAAAATGCAGTCCCTTACTAGCAATGTACTTCCTGATTTCAGGGACAAAGCATTGATGGAACCAATCCAGAAAAAGCATTCTGTCATCCAGGCTTTCTTGTTATACAACCAAAAGACTGCCAGCTGGTGTTTATAGTTTCCCTTCAAGGCTTGGGAGTTAACAGCTCTAAAGATAAGGGAAGTCCTGATTATAAACCCAACTGCATTTGTACAAAACAGTACAGTTAGCCTATCCTTTCCTGACTTAAATCCTGGGGCTTGTTTCTCTTCCTTACTAATAAATGTCCTTTGTGGCATTTCTTTCTTCCAGAGTAGGACAATTCTATCTGCATTAAAAATTTGTTCAGGAAGATATCCATTTCTCCTCAATGAGATTCTTAGTGGCATCTGGAAATGCTTGTGCTGCTGCTTTGTTGGCAGAAGCTGCTTCTCCTGTGTTTGACAATTTTTAAGCCAAACCTGTTTTTAAAATTATCAAACCATCCTTTGCTGACATTAAATTCTCCAGCTTTTGTTTGAAAAAGCTGGAGAATTGATAAATTCTTCATCTTTGTTTTGCTTTAATTTATCATATAATAATTTTGCTTTTTAGGCCGGGCACAGTGGCTCACACCTGTAATCCTAGCACTTTGGGAGGCCGAGGTGGGTGGATCACCTGAGGTCAGGACTTCAAGACCAGCCTGGCCAACATGGTGAAACCCCGTCTCTACTAAAAATACAAAAATTAGCTGGGCATGGTGGCACATGCCTATAATCTCAGCTACTGAGGAGGCTGAAGCAGGAGAATTGCTTGACCCCGGGAGGTGGAGGTTGCAGTGAGCTGAGATTGCGCCACTGCACTCCAGCCTGGGCAACAGAGTGAGACTCCATCTCAAAAAAAAATAATTTTGCTCTTTAAAAATCATATTTGTGTCTATTAGTATGCCTTTCTTATAGCAATCCTGCATTCACATAAAAGCTGAATTTTCAATATGAGACAAAAAGGAATTTTGCAAAAAGTACAAAGTTTTTGCACCTGCCAGCATAGCTGCAGCAACAGTTTCACAAATTTCCTTTTCTTTTTTTTACAATGGTCCTTACACTGTATTATCTCAAAATGGTGGGCAATTGCAGCAGCAGACCTCAATCTATGGTACATATCAAGCAATAAAACCTTTTCTTATAATGTCACAACTTTTTTTCTGCTTTTTGGGAGCACTTCCAAAATCACTAGTGGCACTTCCTATGTGTTTCATGATGTTATTCAGAGTTTACAGTATTGCACTAAACAATGAAAAATACGCAAAAAACCACAAGAGATCTTTTTCTTTGAGATAGTGTCTCACTCACTCTACCACCCAGGCTGGAGTACAGTGGAGTGATCTCTGCTGAATGGGGCCTCGACCTCCCAGGCTCAGGTGATCCCCCCACCTCAGCCTCCTGAGTAGCTGGCACTAGGCACACATCACCACATCTGGCTAATTTTTTGTATGTTTTGTAGAGATGGGGTTTTGCGATGCTACCCAGGCTAGTCTCAAACTCCTGGGCTTGGTCAAGTGGTCCGCCCCCCTTAACTCCCAAAATGCTGGGGTTACAGGCTTGAACCACCACACTCGGCTGAGATCACTTTTTACTGTAATACACAATTTATTGGAAAGACAAACTGCTCCCATGGAGATGATTAGCATCACATGGCATTTTAAGCTGATACCTGCAACAGTTGAGCTCACCAAAATAGCAACAGGAGGTGGCTATGAAATTATTACAGTAATACAATATGCACTACAGTTAATTTTAGGCAGTTATGATTTAATATTGCATCTTTACATTTGTATACATTTATCTCAACTGCAAATGGCACTATGTATGTTCTGTAAATGTTTGTGTATGTAAGTTGTGATCAATTTTAAATTTTTATTATAGTAAATAATACAGACTAACATCTATATATATTTTTTGCACTCATGGCATAACTTTTTATTTTAAAAAAATATTTCTATGCAACATGGTTCATCTACAAGTTTTTAAAACTGTCAAAACGTTCCAAAAAAATTTTTCACTATATGTATTGAAAAAAATCCACATATAAGTGGACCCAAAAAATTCAAATCCATATTGTTAAAGTCAAAGTCTGTTTACATGACATCAACCCATAAAAGTTAGACTTGATATCCTGTATACATGGTAAGTTTCCTCTCATCCATTCTCTTCAAATCAGAGATGAATATAATCAGTCCCCATACCAGTGAGACTACTGAGCCTACATAAACAATAATGAGATTCTATTTACTTAGAGGATATGTTATCCATTCTAAGAATTAATCATACATCATCTCATATTTGCAATTGCATTTATTCCTCTTGAAATTTCAGGGCTCAATAAAGCCTCTTTCAAATTATAAAGAAATGGATAGAAAAGAGAAAAAATCAAATAAAATACGTTAATGCTTATCAGTGGTTCTTACAATAACAATAATTTAAAGGACTTCTGGCTGGGCGCAGTGGCTCACGCCTGTAATCCCAGCACTTTGGGAGGCTGAGGAGGGCGGATCATGATGTCAAGAGATCAAGACCATCCTGGCCAAAATGGTGAAACCCTGTCTCTACTAAAATACAAAAATTAGCTGGGCATGGTGGCACGCGCCTGTAGTCTCAGCTACTCAGGAGGCTGAGGCAGGAGAATTGCTTGAACCCAGGAGGCAGAGGTTGCAGTGAGTCAAGATCGTGCCACTGCACTCCAGCCTGGCAACAGAGCAAGACTCCATCGAAGAAAAAAAGATTTCTTAGAACAACACAAAAAAATGATCAGTGCCGTAGACACAGAGCTTCTAAATTTAAAATCAACAATGTTACTTTATGTTATTGTTTGATGGTAGTCCAGTTTTGCTATGTCAATGATATTTATGTCATTTATGATAGGAAAGAATAAAACAGATCTGTGATTAAACCTGGTGGGACTTTATTAACTAATTTGTACAGATAATGAGCCAACATTTGTGTGTGAGGTCAAAATTAATGACACAATATTTTCACAGTCACTACATTGCCAACTGTCATATTGTAGAAGACCAAAAAGTTACAGATATTGCTTACAAATTTAGTCAATCCTACAGATAAACTGAGCATTTACATTATTTTAGATAAAGCCTATTTCAAAATGCATTATAAGAGTTATTCTCAATTAGATTTTAAAACATAATTACTATGACAATAAATTATTATAATAGTTTTATGTAGTAATATTGTTTTATAATAATTATATACATAATTACATTATTACAATAATAAATACAATTGAATTTTCAAATTGTACTATCCAAATTGTTACATGTGGGTTGCCTTCACACTAAGAACTGCTGTGTGAAATTTGTAATAGCAGATATATGAGTTTCAAGTTAAAGTTGGTTTACTCGGCACATACTTGGTATGTACCACTCCTGGAGCCTGAAAAAGGGGTGAGAAAAAGTATTACAAATCTGTACAAAAGACTGAAACATCTTACCATACAATTGCAAATCAAGTAAAAACAATAATAGAACTAGTGGGTTTTTCTCCTCTTTCTTTTCAATCTAAATAAAAAATATAGTCAAGCAGGCAAATAAAGATACCTCCACTTTACTAGCATCACAAAGTAGATTGGTAATTCCACATGGGAAATTATCACAGCAATTCATCATTAATGTTCCCCAATAATTTTATGCATGTCTTCTGCATATATGCATAAAACTGATATGCCAAATAATCACGCTGCAGAAAAGGTGATTAAACAAAAGATCTACTTGTCTCTTAAGTACATGGTAACTTGGACTGGCTCAGCAGTAAACATTACATCATAAAGACAAGCATAACATGTGGTTAAGCAAGAATTTGAAAGGCATGAGGAAAGGAAACAATAAAAGCCTCTATGAGCCAGTGTTTCAACTACACTACAGTGATCCCCATGTCTTTATTCCTGGAAAAATGAGACAGCAAACATTTCCAAAATAAAACTGCTAAGGCCATCCTTCATTAAGAAATATGCACTCACCTCCATAGATCCAGGAAACACGGCATTCTTTTTCTCCTTTTCATGGAGCTCCAGGGATCTCAGCTCACAGTAGAACCCAGTCCCTGCCTACAAATTTTCACTGTGAGCCATAAGGCTCCCTGTACACAATGGGGCTAGCTGGTGAGCAGAGAACTAGAAAGCAAATGATTTAGATTGCCTGATGAAAATGTTAACACCAAATACAACATGCCATCAGGATTGAGCACCAGGACAAAAATAGCTATGACAAAGCAGCAGTGGAAACTATTCTGCAGATAATTTGGTTGGCAAGAATTGACCAAAGAAGACTAACTCGTCAACATGATAACTTGGTCTAACATTGAATTCAGTTGAAAATGAGTATTTTCTGTTACGGTTTTTTCAACTACTGGTAAATTTATTCTACTGTTGCCCTCATGTTGCTCTGTCCTCACCATCCACCTAGCTGCCCAAGATAAAATCAGAGTGATTTTAGGAAAAGAAAATTCCAAAATATTAAGTTAGGAAAAGAAATTTCCAAAATATTAAGGATTCTTTGAAGCAATCTTGTCCTTTATTCTTAGAATAAAAACCAAAATGTAGTCTAGCAAAGTTGGCATCTTTTAAAAGAAAAAAAAACACTAAAAAGCACTCAAAATCTAGGCCTCAATTGTTGTTATAGTACAAAAACAATAATTATTTTTGTTTATGCTCATGGGAGAACATATGTTTATGTTTATTATGTTTATGCTCATGGGAGAACATAAAATAAAGGCAAGAAAAATGCAACATAACAGACAACAAAAACCCAACTGGGGAAAAATAAGCGAAGTAATTGAAACATAATTAAACCATACGATTTGTATCCATGCAGATCCTTTTTTACGCATACATATTTATATATTGTTTAACTATTATATATAGCACATTAAGTATCATCCATTTAATTGCTTCAAATTTACAATATGATAACACAGAGAAGAAATATGGGCTAAAAGTTACTAAATACAACAATGAAAAATGTAGGAAAATGAGAAATAGACAAATTAAGTTTTTAAAAATACATGATAATTTAACAAAATTGATAGTATAGAAAATATTGACTGAAGAGTCTTGCTTTCAAATTGTCATTGAAACAGACTTGTTTATTGACTTGCTGAAGCCCAAATATTTTTGATCAACACATATGCTACCAACAGTTTGCAATATACACCAATACATACTCACATACATTTTTATATAGGTTCATTACATAAAATGATTAAGAATTAGACTAAATGAAAAGCCTAGTGTACTAGTTTCCAATAGCTACTGTAACAAATTACCACAAACTTGGTTTACACAACAGAATTTTATTCCCTCACAGTTCTGGAATGCACAAGTCTGAAGTCAAAGTCTTTTCAGGGCTGTGTGTCCCCCAGAAGCTCAAGGGAAGATTCCATTACTTGCCTTTCTCAATTTTTGGTCAGTGCCAGCATTCTTTGGCTTGTGGATACATCACTCCAATCTTAGCCACCATGGTCTCATTACTCCCTCCTCTTCCCTATGTGAAATTTTCCTCTGCCTCTCTCTTACAAGGACACTAGTGTGACATTTAGGGTCCACTGGGATAAGCCAAGATAATCTCCCTATGACAAGATACTCATTCATATCTACAAAAGACCTTTTTTTCAAATAAGGTAATATTTACAGATTCTGGGGATTAAGAGCTGATGTCTCGGGGAAGGGTAATTTTCAGCCTGACACAGTCTACCCTCTGGCCTTCAAAGATTCACATTCATCCCACATACAGTATACATCCACCCCAATCCAATGTCCACAAAAGTCTCAACAATTTACAGTGAATTTCAAATTCTTATCTAAATTAATAAATCGCTCTGAAGTCCTAAATCTTGTTATCTAAATCAGGTATGGGTATGATCCATCCTAGGACAATATCCCTTTCCATCTGTGAACCTATAGACTACAGAGCAAGTTATCTATTTCCCGATTACGATGTTAAGACAGGCAAAGGATAAGTTATCAACATACCCATTCAAAAAGAAGAAAAGGTCGCTGACCCTCTGCAATGTTGAATCCAGCAGAAAAAATTCCATCAGATTTCATGACCTAGGAATACCCCTCTGGGCTTGAGGCCCTGCCAGCCTTGGAACCACTATTCTTTTTTACTTGAAAGATAGTACATAATTGAAGTTGAGTAGTTTTATCAGCCTGCTTCCTACCTATAAAAATTTTGAGCGTCCAACAGCCTTCCCTCACTTTGTCTTGTCTCTGTACCTTTCATTCCAAACTGGCAGAGTTTCTGCTGATATAACATTATCAAAACCTTGTAAGTTTCCTGTATATATAATGAGGATTTACACAATTAGACAAGAGGCTCCTCCCCAGGTTTTTCCTGGATAGTCTCATATCTTTATATGTGGCTTCCACTGGGCTGGTTGAATGGATTCATGAGTCCTGTACCTAATCTCTTTTGCACTAGCAAACTTTGTCTAGCCACAACCTTAACCTTTTTTCCAGCATGCTTGCGTAACAGTGAATCTGCTAATTTTAACATCTTTTGTAATCTATATAAGCAGGATATTTCCCAAATCACCAAGTGCTGGCTCCTTTTTGCTTAACAGTTCTTTCCTCAAATATCTTTTTCTCCTCACACTTTACTATAAGCAGTAAGAAAAAAAAAATCATGCTCTATCTTCAGCACTTTGCTTGGCAATCTCGTCAGCTAAATATACAAGTTCATCACTTAGAAGTCTTACTTTCCACACAACTGCAGGACATCATTTAGCTAAATTTTCTGCCACTTTATGACAAGGTGTCACTATTCTTCCAGTTTCCTACAGCATGTTCCTCTTTCCTCCTTTATCAACAGTGTCTTTAATGTCCATTCATCTAGCAACAGTGTGTTGATGATGCTATACATATTTTCTAAGATGAGAAAGGCTTTCTCCACATGACTTCCACTTCTTCACTGAGCCCTCACTATCAATCTTTAACATTCATATGTCTACCAGTAGTCTGTTCAAGGCAATATAGACTACTTCTACCATGTGTCTCAAAATTCTTACAGCCTCTATACATTACCCAGTTCCCAAGCCACTCTACATTTTAGGTACTTAGGTACTTACTCCCGGAAACAAAATCTGCATCAGTCAGGGTTCCAGCAGAGAAACAGAACCAGCTGAGATATATGAATGTATGTATACACACATATACATGGCAGAGATTTGTTGCAAAGTATTGGTTTATGCAAGAGTGGGGACTGGCTAGGCAAATACCAATCCATGAGACAGGCAATTAGGAGGTGTAAGTTGGAAACTCTCACACAGGAGCTGACGCTGTAATCCATGGAGAGAATTTCTTCTTTCTCTAGGAAACTTCAGTGTTGCTCTGAACTTTCAACTGACTGGTTCATGCCCACCAGAAAATCCCAGATAATCTCCCCATCAGAAGATCTTTAACTTAATCATTTCTACAAAGACCTTTTTATCCAAATAAAACCATATTTACAGGTTTCAGAAGTTAAGATCTGATATTTCTGAGGGGGAGGCATTTTTTAACCTACTACCACTAGTATTTACAGAAATTCATCTAAAATTTCCTTGGATCTGACCCACAACTTTTTATTGAAATTTTATTAATTTCTATTTTTACAAGCCTATTATTTTCTAATTATCCCAAAATATAGACCTTCTCTTTAAATGCCTTTGTTATTATTTAGATATGTTCCATTTAAACATACTTTAGGATCACTTGCACTAGCCAAAACTGGTTCTTTGTGTTCTATTCCCTGTTTACTGTGTGGTGTTCCTCTGTATCCATCCATGCAGTAAGACTTTTGAAGAGTCATCTCTTATCTTACCCGCATCTAATGGATCCTCAAGCCCTGCTAGTACCTGTTTAGTTCATTTCAAATCCGTCCCACTCTCCCCCTCCCAACTCTGACCACTCTCACTTTAGTTGTTACTAGAGGTGACAGAGCTCACTAACTGCTTCCAGTCAAAAGTTTTAAGTAGGGAAGTAGGGCTCCCATTACTCTCAGAATTAAGTGCAAACAGCACAGACACCTAAAGCCCTTCCTGGTTTGGCCTCTATCTATCCCTAAAAGCTCACCTACTGTTTCTGTCACTTCCCTTTCATGTACCGCATGGCAGCCTCAACTACTGTCAGTTCTTCTCAGAGTATGCTTTCTTCTGCCTCTATATTTTGGAACATGCATGCTACACACTCCTGCCTTGCCAGGCCAAACAACTAGCACACTCATATTTATCATCCAGAATTTGGCCAAGAGAGTTGTGTTTTTAAGAAGCCATCCCTATGCATTTTAAATAGGTGAACTGTATGTGAATTATATCTCATAATATTGGTTTTTTTGTTTTTGTTTCTTTTGAGACAGAGTCTCACTCTGTCACCCAGGCTGGAGTGCAGTGGCATGATCTTGGCTCACTGCAGTCTCCACCTTCCAGGTTCAAGCAATTCTCCTGCCACAGCCTCCCGAGTAGGTGGGATTACAGGCGCCCACCACCACGCCTGGCTGATTTTTTTATTTTTAGTAGAGATGGGATTTCACCATGTTTGCCAGGCTGGTCTCAAACTCCTGACCTCAAGTAATCCACCTGCCTTGGCCTCCCAAAATGCTGGGATTACAGGCATGGGCCACCATGTCTGGCCTGCATTTTTTTTTTTTAAACAATGCATACCTTTCGACAATGCCTACAGCCTCATGTAAGGTTATACACATCTTCCACAGCCTTTCAGGCTCCCCCCATACCTATGTTCATACCATTCATACTGTGTTGCCATCTATTGGCTCATTTGACTCCTTGATGGCCAGGCCATGATTAATTAATCTTCATATTCTCCTCAATTAGTACAATGTCTGGCACAAAGTAGACACTCAGTAAATACTGCTGAATAATTGAAAGAATATAATCTTTAAACATAGCAATTCATGGTTGAAACAAGTTATAATAAATCTATCTGGTGTTAGACCTGAGTTTACAGTTTCCTGAATTGAAGTTAATTAGGTATAATTTACTACTTAGAAAGTAAATTACTTTTAGGATTGACAAATACTAGCTTTCAAATTCAAAGTACTGACATGTGAATGTACTTGTATTTTGAAGCAATATAATCATTTCCTAATAAATTATAGTGCTAGCCATTAATTTTAATTCTGGGAGTTAGTGTTCATATGTATCAATCTGCTTACAGGGATGAATCACCATTAAACTGACATAAGCTGTGTTTAATTAGCTTTAAAGCATTTTTCCAAGAGCTTCTGTCCTTCCATGTGAAACTCCATTAATTTTCTTGGCTGCCACATTATAGAATAAAGTGAATATGCCCTTTATAGTAGAGCCAAGTCATTTATTACAACTACTTAAAACCATTATTTCCACACAATGGAAGAATGTTTATTTCTTTGTGTCACAAAATATATAAACTTTATGGATTTTTTTTCTATTTTCAAAGCTTTTCCACAAATGATAAGAATCCATTTGCACAGCATAATAAAAACCAAGTTTTCATTAATTGTTAAAAAAAAAATAGCTTGTTACGCTATCTGTTCTTATTTGGAAGAAAATACAGACCAGAAGAATTGTTTCCAGACATCAGCAAATTTGAGACACTTAACCTATGAATTGCTTTCCTAACAGGATGCATTTCCTGGCATAGGAAACTTGGCTTCCTCTTTGCTATTCATCAAGAAAGAGAGGGGAATGGAAGAAAAGAAGTAAAGGAACCTCTCCTGTGTTCCCCAATCCATTGGGCTGGAGTGGGAGAGTCTCACTCAGTAACTCCCAGTTTTTTACCCACTAGATTTAGGAGAAAAAATTCATCTCAATAACGTCTACTACCCCATTCACATTATTCTTTGCCTCAGCACCTTGTTTGTCTATCTTTTTGAACTTGGTAATTTAGTTTTTGCTTGCTTATCCTTTTACCATCTATCTCCCCAACTAGGCTGTAAGCCTCCATGAGGCAGTCACTGTGTTTCCCTCACCACTGAAGCTAAACATTACAGGGGTGGAAGGAATATTGGGAGGAAAGAAAAAAAAGAAAAGAAGGAAATGGTTAAAATCTAAAGGGCCACACTCCCTGGAATGGTAAATTATTCTAGTGCAACAACTCTAGACAGGAATAAGTCTTGAATAAAGTGGGAGCAGGCAGGGCAAAAACAAACCCAAATCAGTGTCTGCTTGGCGATAAAACTGAGAAACAAGCAGCCATGGGAAAGGAAAGCATCTTCTAAGCACTCCTCATTTTATATTTTTTATATATATATAAATATATATAAATATATAAAAATATATATATAAATCTATATAAATATATATAAATACATATAAATATATATAAATATATAAATATATATAAATATATAAAAATATCTATAAATATATAAATATATATAAATATATAAATATATAAATATATATAAATATATAAATATATAAAAATATATATAAATATAAAAATATATATAAATATATAAATATATATAAATATATATGTAAATATATAAATATATAAATATATATAAATATATATGTAAATATATAAATATATATAAATATATATAAATATATAAATATATATAAATATAAATATATATAAATATATAAATATATATAAATATATATAAATATATATATAAATAGATATATAAATAGATATAAATATATATAAATAGATATATAAATAAATATATAAATATATAAATATATATAAATATATAAATACATATATAAATATATAAATATATATAAATATATAAATACATATATAAATATATAAATATATATAAATATATAAATACATATGTAAATATATAAATATATATAAATATATAAACACATATGTAAATATATAAATATATATATGAATATATATAAATATATATAAATATATAAATATATATATAAATATATATAAATATATAAATATATAAATATATATAAATATATATATATATATAAATATATAGATATATATAAATATACATATATAAATATATAGATATATATAAATATATATATAAATATATAAATATATATATAAATATATAAATATATATAAATATATAAATATATATAAATATATATAAATATATAAATATATATATAAATATATATAAATATATATAAATATATATATAAATATATATAAATATATAAATATATATAAATATATATATAAATATATATAAATATATAAATATATATATAAATATATATAAATATATATATATTTTGAGACGGGGTCTTGCTCTGTCGCCCAGGCTGGAGTGCAGTAGCGCGATCTTGGCTCACCGCAACCCCCACCTCCCAGGTTCAAGCGATTCTCCTGCCTCAGCCTCCCGAGTAGCTGGGACTACAGGCACGTGCCACCACGCCCTGCTAATTTTTTGTATTTTTAGTAGAGACGGGGTTTCACCGTGTTAGCCAGGATGGTCTCAATCTCCTGCCCTCATGATCCGCCCGCCTCGGCCTCCCAAAGTGCTGGGATTACAGGCGTGAGCCACTGCACCCGGCCTATGTTTAATATTTCTTTTATCTTTTTAGGTTTTATGAAGATATTTCAATAGTATCATGTTCAACGTAAATACGTGCTCCTCACATTGAATTATGGTCTACACAGACTTGCCGGTCAGTCTGCCCTTTCTAACATTGTTTCTACGGGAGAATGAATTACAGATTCCAAATAACTAACTCACAAACATTTAGAACACAGTCACAAACTAAATTTTTTTTTTTTTTTTTTTTTTTTTTTTAGAGGGAGTTTAGCTCTGTCGCCCAGGCTGGAGTGCAGTGGCGCCATCTCGGCTCACTGCAAGCTCCGCCTCCCGGTTTCACACCATTCTCCGGCCTCAGCCCCTCTCCGAGTAGCTGGGACTACAGGCGCCCGCCACCACGCCTGGCTAATTTTTTGTATTTTTAGTAGAGACGGGGTTTCACCGTGTTAGCCAGGATGGTCTCGATCTCCTGGCCTCGTGATCCAGCCGCCTCGGCCTCCCAAAGTGCTGGGATTACAAGCGTGAGCCACTGCACCCAGCCTTCACATCCTAAATTATATCCAAGCTCTCATGTCTATTATCTCTTATTTCCCTCTTCCTCTTTTTCCTTCTTTTCTTCCCATTAACCTTTCCTTCTCTCACCTCTCTTTGTGTTTCTTATGCTCTTTCCCTCATACACGCACACCCACATACACACACACACCTACTTTATATTCTGAAACAATAACATAAACAAATAATCACACCCAGTCTTATATCCAGTTACCAAGTCTCATAATTTTTCTTAAATAACAGCAATTATGGCTCACATATGTTGAGCTCATGCTACCCTATTGAACCCACTCCATGCTTATTAATACCCTAGTCGAGGCCTTCTACTTCATGCCTGGTCTGTCAAAAGAGCCTGCTAACTAGCACCCTGTTTCCAGTTTCTTCTCCTTTCCAATCATTCCACACACACCAGGAGCTCATACACTGCCTCTAAAACAGTTCTTTTTACTATGTTCTCTTTTTTTCTCACAAAACTTCAATGACAAATGAATAAGGTTTACTTTTCAAACTTGCAGTCAAGGTTCTCCATTTTATGGCCCTAGCCAAGTTTCTACCTTTACTTTCTAACACGCAACAGAGACCCTTCTCTGCAGATTCAGGACCTCATTAAGATCATTTCATTATTTCCTGGGCACACCTTTAACCATCTCACATATGTGTCTTCATTCAGATGAGTTCTCTCTTTCCTGTCTTCCTTTGATTCCCAGTCATCCTTTCATGAACAAATCTGGCACAAACCCTTGGTAAAATTTTTTCAAGCACCTCAATAACAGGATTACCTTCCTATACTCTTTCAGCACTTAGAATAGCCCCATGCATTTGTGCAATGTTTTTACAATTTTTAAAAATTTCCTACGTAAGCTTCACAACAACCCTATGAAGTAAGCACTATAAGCATCTACACTATTCACACTTAGAGAAAAATATTCAGGGATGTGAAGTGACTTCTCCAAGCTCATACTGCTGAAATGTAGCAGTAGTCATCTCCAAACCCTGGCTTTCTGACTCCATATGAGATTCATATTTGGCACATAATATAAAGAGTTGGTAATTATTTGCATCATTTTTTTCAGTCTTCCAAATTAAATTATAAGCTTCTGGAAGGTAATAGCATTATATAGAACTTGGCCCAGTACATAATCATACACAAGATGAAATTCAACGAAAATTTTATTAAGTAACTTTCAGAGTAGTTTAATCCCTCTACCCTATTTAAGAAGCTTTGGTGATACCTCTCTCCCTCTTATGTACAATATTTAAATTCTGAAATCTCAACTGAACACTTTGTGATAAATGTGATACAAATACACCTCAGCTATTACTTCAGTTCTTAACCTAGCTCCGCACAAGGCAAATTTCAAATTTCTTGAGGGTAGGTACCTTTGATGAATAAAATAAGATCTGCTGGTATTTAAATGTTGGCCACGAGTTGTAGGAATAAAATGTGGGGGCAAACTATATTTTTAAAACTCACCTGAAGTTCAGAATCACCTGGGACATGTGCTAAAAATGTAGATATCTAGGATTCAGATTCAGTACTTTCTTAGTCATGTTTCTCTACCCCTGATTTTTATTGAACACAAGATCCCAAAGAGTATACTATGAAACAATAGATGAGTGGTAAAGTGACATCGACTGAAGGCTCAGCAACAGACCATGATGTTTGTGTTAACCATGCATTTCTTTGGGCATGAGTGCTTGTGGTTTGTGACTCACACTGTTTGCAAAATTCTTCCTGGTTTCTAAAAGAGGATTCAACATTTCAATATTTTATGGTGTTTCACAAGCAGCTTCTACAACATCTAAAATCTGGAAGTCACTGAACAAATAATAGGGCATCTGAGAGAAGAATTTAAATAACCAAAAAGGATTTCGTAACAGGAAAAGAACTTCATCTTTTAGAACTGAAATGAGAAGGTACTCACAGGCTCTCCCCGTGTTCCATCCTGCCCCGGAGCACCAGGGGATCCTGCTTCTCCCTTTTAATGATTTGACAAAAAGAAATAGAGAATTCAGTTTTGAGGTCTGCTTACCAAAATAACAATATATAACATTACATATTAAAGAACATTAAATACAAACAGAAAAATTAAAATTACTTCTGGACTACTGATATTAACTTTTCCTGACATCAAATAACTTTTTCAGAAATTCATAAAGTGACTATATAAACAACAAAAATGTGTACATAATGGCAGATAATTAAGTTATTAAATAACTGTGGTACTGTATAGTCATTCTTATGAGAATAGACCATCTTACTTCCAAGGTAAATGTGACCAATATTCTATATCAGTCCTATTCATATATACTTTTTCATTTTTATTTTAAAATTGATCACTATGTTGGACCTAATTTGACCTTGCCTTCAAAGAGTTACATTTTAAAGTAAAAACAAAACTTTCATTAGGAATGGAGTTATTTATAGGTTATTAGTTGAAATTATCTGGCACTTTAGTATATACGTATTTAAAATAAACATCTATAATGCATATTTTAGGTAGCTGTTAAATTATAATTGCTTTTAGTGATATATACCTTTACATTACTATGCTCAGGTTAAGCATCTTATTTTACATCTACGTTTTGGAAGCTAAATTTTTTTCCTAAATGAATCAATTGCTAGTGAATACAAATGTATCTGACACTTCTTCTACTAAAACAATAAATATTAGCTGAATATAATCCTAAAATGTATAATATCTGCAGATTAGTACAACTATTAAACTATCTGAGCAAAATAAAGGATAGCAAGGAAGAGCCTGTTGACACATATACACACATGTACACACCCCAGACTTTTTGAAATCTAACAGTCATTATGAGCCATGCATTTGTTTCTGTCCAGCAAAATGCTGCATCACAACAAGCAAAGTTCTCTGCAAGCAATTTGCCACACTTGTTTCATACCAGAAAGAACATTTTATCCTAGATGAAAGCAAGATAGGAGGTAAAATAAAAGCATTTTTTCCCGTAAATGTCTCAAATACCTGAGTTGAAATAAGTTTAAGGGAGAAAGAGTCTAAGAATGCAATGCACTGAAGCATATTATAACACTGTCATCCATAATTTCATATTCTAATGAATTTCCCAAAATTATAGAAAATAAAGCACAGAAGCACCTCTAAAATTTGGCAAACATAATCAGTACTTAGAAAAAAATTCAACCATATCACATTACATAAACAACAGTTCTCCCACTTGTATGAATTCCTGCATTTTATTAGAACTGTGAAATGCCAACTAAAGCCAAATATTTCATCTATACCAGTTTTATTTATAAACACTAGTTGAGAATAGAAGGAGCAAAGATTAATGCTTTCCTGAAAATTAACCAAATTAGAGGGAGAGAAGTTACTGCTAATCCAATAGCTCTACAGAAAAGCATATAAAAATATTGGAGGAAAAAATGTTGGATCCACTTAGTTTGAAAGCTAGTTTAAAAAGCCTGAAAAATTCAAGACAAGGGATATGTTAGATCCTAATACTATGAAGAAATAATGCAATATTTTATCTGAACTTAACACTCATATCAATAGTCAGAAGGAATCTCTCCTATTAGTAGTTCTCAAATATGGTCCTCAGACCAGGCAAGATCAACTTCTTCATTTAACATGGGAACTTCTTCAGAATATAAAATTTCAGGCCATACTGCAGCATATTAAGCCAGAATCTCTGGGTGGGGGCCAGCAATCTGTGTTAATAATTCTTCCAGGTGATTCTAATGCAGCCATTTG
The DNA here is from genome assembly GCF_000001405.40 of Homo sapiens. NCBI lineage: Eukaryota > Metazoa > Chordata > Mammalia > Primates > Hominidae > Homo > Homo sapiens. The sequence goes on from NC_000006.12 coordinate 56,103,284, forward strand.
AGAACCAGCCCTGCTATAAGTCATTAGATCATTTAACTTCTCCTACTTCCAGGTACTGTCATATGTGACTTATAAAACAATCTGTGGTTAAATTTTCTGTATTTAAAATAAAGAGGGTAAGGCACTTGCCAAATAGTAGAAACAATTAATTTGAAATTATTAGGTTGGTGCAAAAGTAATTGCAGTTTTTGCCATTAAAAGTAATGGCAAAATACATGATTAGATGACTACTTTGATTTATAAAATCATGACTACTTTGATTTATAAAATCTCTACTTTTTTCTATCTGTCCATTGACCTAATATCATTTTATTTTAATTATCAGGAGTTTTAAAAACGTAAGTAGCCATCAGCAAGGTTCATCAATAATGAAGTTCCACAATTATTTGAGGATTTAACTTATTATGTTCTTCTTACTTTATATTAGACACTTAACATATTAACTGAATAAAATATCACATTCTTTATTATCTATAGCAGTGATTCTCAAAATTTAACTTCATCTGAATCACCCGGAAGGTTTGTTAAACTGCAGATTGTGGACCCCAACCCAGAGTTCCTGATATGGTAGGTCTGGGGCAACCCCTGGAATCTGCATTTCTAATAAGTTTACAGAAGGTGCTGAGACTGCTAGTCTTGGACAACACTTTGAGAAACACTACTCTAGCCCAGATCTCAAAACAGACTTACAGACTCTTTCTGCACTTATGAATCCCTCTCTTCTATGAACTAGTATAACATTATATAGCTTTTCACTTAGCACTGAATTTTATTATGCTAAGTTGTTCAGCAGGTGTCTTGTTTATATGTGTTATTTGCTTGACTTGCACATTCTTTTAAAGGTAGAAAACATAATTTATAGGAGTTTTTTTAATCACCTACAATACTTAGACTAGTGCCAAACATAATATAAAACTACAAGTACCCTTCTTTACAATCATTGGAGTATATCAAGGAAGGAGGAACAGACTCTTTATTCTTCAATGTTCTATTTCAAAGGGATAAAGGAAATGGGAAAAACATTTGTGGATAAAGCGCTAGCATTTACTGTTGGACAATTATGCAGTTAGTTATTACAAGATAATGGCCAGTCATCTTTACCTAAGAACACTCTCTTCATTTTTTAATAATGGATTTTAATAATGTTTCATCAAGAAATGAAAGGATAATTTCTACTTGGCATTTTCCTTGAAATAATCAAATGCAAGATACAACCAGCCTGTGAAATTTAATATTGTTACCAGAACTTAACCTGATCACTTGATTACTTTTATGACCTGGATAACCTGGTGCAGGTCAGTTTGTTTGGCATTTGAAAAAGTATAAAACATGGTCTCATATCCGATTTATTGTTTTTCTATTCTGTTATTAACTCCCTTCTTGATATAACATAATTGAGAAAATGTCATGCTTAACATTATTTCTCAATCTAATTTCTACAGCTAACGTCAAAAATGATTTATTCCACAACAAGACAGTTCTTTAAAAAAAAGGAAATTTAACTAAAACCAGGCATGTGAAACTTGCATTCCATGTGTATTTCCTTTCATGCTGTGGTCTTTGGTATTTACCCCAAAAAAATAAAAGGATGGAAAGTAATTTAGTTTGCTTATAGCAATCCTCAAAATCAGGTGGAAGGTATGGTTTACTGATCATGAAAATATAGTTTAATTTTGAGGAAGATCCTTGCTTTGTTAAGGAAACACTTTATTTTGACTTTGATCTTATGGCATAGTTTATTCTTCATTTGTAAACAAATCACTAGCATGCCTGCGGATGTATTAAAGATGTAAGACTGAGGAAGCTTCTCCTAGCTGACCAAGTAAACAGACAGGACATTTGGAAGGTATCATGCACATCAGTGAGCATACGAACTAGACCTGGAACCCTCACTCTGCCATGGAACTAGCTGTGCATGTTTAACTAAATCCCGTCCTCTCTTTGAACCTGATGTTATGCATAAAATGCCATTAATACTCCAAACTTCATAGATTTGTTTTTTAGGAAAATAAAATAAGAGCCTTTGTGAAAATGCCTTATGCAACTCTTGGCACAGAAAGGGAGATCCACTGCCACCAAAAAGTTGAGGTTTTAACAATCCTTTATTCACGATGTATTTTTGGCTATATTATTTTCAAATAATATATGTTATTTCAATACTTGAACTGCTATAGTTTGTCATTATAATTTTGGCAAAATGAGTATTTTTAAACATAAAGCCAATCCTTCTTTATTCTAGTTAAGATATCATTAAAAACAGTAGGGTCAATAGTTTCATCATTATTTTCTATAACTAGGAGAGAATATTTGGGTATAACATGATTTCCAACCAGTTGGTGAGCAGAATTTTCATTGGTTGTTGTTATGGCCATGTCACCTTGGACAAGTTATTTACTCTAGTTCTTTGTTTCCTCATCTGTGAAAGGATAAATTTTTTCCACTTACAACTGATAATGATTTATGAGATTAATGAGAAAATACATGTACAGTGCTGTAAAAAGAGCCAAGCTCTTGGAAATATCCAATGAGTTACGCCTTTTGTTATAATCTCTCCTTTTCTGTCTTTGGTTCTTTGCATATCCAGCTTAAATACCACATTTAATTATTTCAACCACTTTCTAACTAAAATTCTTGTCCTTTACCTCACTCTGCATCCACCATACTGGTTTATGCAAATTCCAGTGTTGAGTAAACCAAACTGAAAATAGCCTCAGCCTATGCTTACGTTCAAAGTATGGCTACGGAGGAAAAATACTATAATAATCATACAGATTATAACTTCCAGCTTCAACTGGACTTCAATGCAACTTCTATATTTCCTTTATCTCTTCTCTGCCACATTTTTCATGTATATAGAAAGTTTCTGCTATATAAAATATTCTCCAATCAACAAAAGCTTTTTTCTCCTTCTGCCAACATTCTAAGAAAAAACAGGATACAAACATTCTGCCACCAAACCAACACACTTACCTGCATTTGCACCCATCCATTCCTTTTATTTTATTACAGTAAACAGGAGTCCTTCATTCAATCTAAGATAATTCCTTACAACTCTGTTCTATATCCCATTCTTTCCCCTTCTCTAAATAAGATGGAGCTTCTTATCTGTGTATAACTGCTTACTCAACTTCTTCCCGTGAATGTGCCACAAGAATCTAAAATCAACACATTATGTTTCTCACTCCTCCACATCCCCAGCAGAAAACACACCAAGTCCTACCCAGCACTCATTAACTAAAGAAACTTCTAACTTCATTATACATAAAAGAAGAGAGAATCTACAACTAAGAAGACCAGCAAGCTATCCAAACATGTACAACCCTGTTTATTATTACAGGTCAAAATATATACAGGATAGTTCAAATTTGAAAAGAATTGGCAGATAATATCCAAAACAGAGAACAAAAAGAAAAAAATAATAAAAACTTTTCATATTTTCCTCACACAAAAATAAACATAAAGAAAACTGAAACAAAATACTGTAACCTGGATTAACAAACATTATACAAGTTTTTTTTTTTGAGACAGAGTTTCGCTCTGTCGCCCAGGCTGGAGTGCAGTGGCGCCATCTCGGCTCACTGCAAGCTCCGCCTCCCGGGTTCACGCCATTCTCCTGCCTCAGCCTCCTCAGTAGCTGGGACTACAGGCGCCCGCCACCACGCCCGGCTAATTTTTTTGTATTTTTAGTAGAGACGGGGTTTCACCGTGTTAGCCAGGAGGGTCTCGATCTCCTAACCTCATGATCCACCCACCTCGGCCTCCGAAAGTGCTGGGATTACAGGCGTGAGCCACCGCGCCCGGCCAAGTATTTTTATTAGTTAAAAAATTCAGAATAAAAATGTATAAAAGGAAGATATGAAATAAGAATTTATTCAGGAATCAAAAAGACAAAATCATCTCAGATGAGAACGATGATTAAATTACTAGAAACCAAGGGAGAATAGATTTCACTTAAAATTATAAACGTCAATGAGGAGAAAACAAGCATAGCCAATAAAAATAGACTTTTGAAACACATTAAAGGCTCAGAAACGATAGAAGACAAATAAATTTCAATATATCTGTAATTGGAGTCCTTGAGATACAAACCAAAAAAAAGTAACAGAATTTATATTTAAAACTATAATTCAAAAGAACATTCCAGAAAAAAAAAAATCCCTGAATCTTCCTTTCTAAAGCTTTTTGGAGTAACTGGGATTTTAAATTCTGAAACATATGCTATTAGACTTTAAATGCAAAATTGTTTTTGTTTTAAACTCTCATCTTCATAGGAAAAAGAGTCACAAAGGAAAGACAATTAGATTGGCATCAGCAACACACATGTTGGCAGTGTAAGCAATATTTCTAAGAAATTCAGAAAAAAAACAGTGAAAAGTGGTGAGACAAGGGTTTTATAGGTAGCCAAGCTGTCATTCAAATAATAAAAGTGTAGAAAAACATACTAAAATATCAAGAATTCAGAATACTGTATTCACAAGCCCTTCCAAAGGAGGAAAACCTTTATTAAACCCAAATGTGACCGTGGAATATTGGTAAAGGTGCTGGTGACAAACACTGAGTATATTTAATTGCAGATCTGAAACAAAGATAAAGTGTAAAAAGTATTTTATAAATATTATATAATCTGATAAGGTAGAAATAAACAAGAAGAAAAGATTAAAGAAAAGGAGAAAATAGAATTCATTAATTTCCACATAGATAATAGGGTATAATTTAAATTTAACACAACAAAGAGTTGATGCTCAAGGTATGTAAAGGGAGAATAACAGAATTCTGAAACGGATATTTACAAGGAATAGTAAACGTAGTATAAAGACCACTAAAATAAAAATATAAATTTTCCTAAATCCCAAAGAAATTAAAAGCAGAATAGGAAAAGTCAACAAAAACACATTGAGAAAGAAATATAGTCAGTATAGCATAATTTACATAATAACAAAATTACAACGTGAGTATTTTGACAGAGATAAGACCAAACCTATCAGACAATGGGTGAAAATAGACTTAATCTATTAAAATAAAAAAATTCAGATTGCTTTAAGAAGCAAAGACCAACTCTACACTTGATACAAGAGACACAACTAAAACAAAGTGACTCAAAAAGCTAAAGCTAGACAATAGAAGGATGGGCGAAGGTGCAGCAAGCAAATAAAAATAAAAAGAAAACGTGTAATCCTGATACTGGAGAAGGTAAAATTCAAGTGAAAAATTATTAAAGGAAACAAAAAATATATTTTATAATGCTAAAGCCACAATTCAAAATGAAGATGTAGGAGTTAAAAATATCTATACAATGAATAACGTAGAAACTACATTCATGAAACAGAAGGTGAAAGAAAAAATAGACAAAAATGCACGAATAATAGGACACTAATATACCACTCTCTGTTCAAGACAGGCCAAACAAACAAAGAATTAAGTTATAGAAGATCTAAATAAGATATTCAATAAGGTAGTTCTTATGAATGTATATTGAGTTTTACACTCTGAAAATAGAGATTTACCTTCTCATATGCACAGGGAACATTCCTGAAAATTAAACATACAATAAGTCAAAGAAAAAATTCACTAAAACTTATAAAGAAGAAATTATACAAACATTCTCTGATACAGCACAATAATATCAGAAATTAGCAACAAAATCTAAATAAAAGGATTTTCACCCTAAAAAGACTTTTAACTCTTTAAACAACTTTTAGGAAACAGAGAAAAACTAGAATTACAAAATTTATTTTAAAAAAAGTTAATGAAAACATTGCATATCAGAATCAAGGGGATACAACTCAAACAAAGATGAGAAAAATATTCAGTTTAACTACTTAGATAAAAAATAACAAAAAACGAATGTAAATGAATTCAATTCTCAATTGCAAAAGCTAGAAAAAATGTAGGAAAAAAGAATAAAGAAATAAAATAGGATAAAAGTAAAAAACAAAAATTTAATGAAGTCAAAAATCAAATTACAATGTTGGATCTTTGAAAAAATCCAACACAGGAGGGAAACCAGAAACATATAAAAGTAAAAAAAAGAAAAGTAGAGAGTGAAAGCATATGTATTCAAAGTAAGAAATGATGACCAAGGGAGAATAATCATTAAAACAGAGAAAACTTTTTAAAAATCATGAGAGGAACTTGCACAATTTTATACAAGTCACTTGAAAAATATAGATGAAATAATAGTTCCCTAGGAGAGTGAAGCTTATTATTATTGACCCTATGAGAGAAAGAATGCTTAAACAGACAAATTCCCATGGAAAAAAATAAGAGAAAGTTATCCAAGAACAAAAAGAACCAGGCTCAAATGACAGAGGGGAAGAGTAGGAAATATTCTGCAGTGCTTGATTTCAATTGTAAAGTATCAATAAGAAATTATCATTACAAAATAATATCAGGAATGAAATAAAGGACATTACTAAAAACCTACAGACATTAAAAGGACAAGAATAAGGCAATATTGTAAACAAAATATGCCAAGAAATTTGCAAGTTAAATGATATGGACAAATTCACTGAAAGGTACAAATTGCTGAAGGTTGCTCAAGAAGAAAGATAAAATCTAAATAGGTGTATTATTAATTAAAATGTTCCTTAGACACACAACACACCTGCAAAGCTCAGGCCCAGAGGGTTTCACTGGTGAATTCTACCAAACATATAAAGAAGAAATGACACTAACACTACACAAATGCTTTTAGAAAAGAAAAGCCAGTATTGTTTTGATATTAAAGCTGGACAAAAATATCACGAAAAAGAAAACTGCTGATCAAAATCATCCATGAACATAGACACAAATAATATGAAATAAAACATTTGCAAATTGAATCCAGTAATGTATAAAAAGAATATTATAAGATAACCAATTGTGGTTTATCCCAATAATGCAAAATTAGTGTAACATACAAAAATCAATGTTGTATATTAAGAAAATATGAGAGGAAAATTATATAATCAAGTCAGTGAAGGCAGAAAAAGCTTTTTTTTTTTTTTTTTGCAAAATTCAACATCTAATCATGATATTTTAAAAGAAAACTCTCAATAGACTGGGAATAAAAGGGAATTTTCTCATCCTGATGCAGGGCTTTTATGTAAAACCAACAACTAACATTCAATGTTAAAAGACTGATGGTTTCTACCTAAGGTCAGAAGCAAGGCAAAAATATGTGCTTTTATCCCTTCTATTTGTTATTGTATTGAGGGCTTGTTTAGTGAATAAAACTATTAAAATAAATAAATTTCATATAAATTAGTATAGAAGAAGAAAACTGTCTTTATTTGTAGTCAATATAATCATCTATGTAGAAAAACCTGAGAAATCAACAAAAAAAGTTGCAGGAACTAATAAGTGAATTTAATAAGACTGTAGGATATACAATCAATATACCAAAACTAACAATATTTCCATATGCTAGCAACAAACTGAAAAATTTTTCAAAGTCTATTTATGAGTATGAAGAAATACAATAAAATACTTAGATATGAACTTAACAGAAGACTTACAAGATCTGAAAACTATGAAACTTTGCTGAGATAAAATAAAGAAAACTCACATAAGTGAAACAATATACCATGTTCATGGATTGAAAAATTCAATATTGTTAAGATGGCAACTCTCCCCAAATAAATTTAGAGACATGAAGATGCTCTTCCCTCTAAGATTTGGAGCTTAAGTCTACACCCCACCTTGAGTAGGGCTTGAATTTGGTGACTTGCTTCCAAAGAACAGAATATGGGATGAAAAAGTAGTAAGAAAGCTTGTAAATACTATAAAACAGGTGATCATCATTAATATCACCAATGAATTTTCATCTGGGTAGCATGTACATTCTGATTTGATAAAAAGGACACTTGAACCCTCTGTTATCCTTTTCCAAAAAAAAAAAAAACTATAATCTGAATCTAATCATGAGGAAAGCATGAAACAAACTCAAACTGAGTGATATTCTACAAAATACCTGGTCAATACTCTTCAAAACCATCAAAGTCATGACAGACAAGAAATGACTCATAAGCTATCACAGATCAGTGGGAAATAGGAAGGCATGACAAATAAATGTAATGTGGTATCCTGGACTGGATCCTGGCACAGAAAAATTACATTAGTAGAAAAACTAATGAAACCCAAATAAAGTATGGAGTCCAGTTGACAGTAATGTGCCAATATTGGTTTCTTAGTTTTGACAAATATACCATAGTAATATAAAATGTTAACTTCAACAGAAGTTGGATAAAGGGTATGAGGAATTCTCTACTATATTTGCAACTTTTCTGCAATCTACAATTATTCCACACTAAAAACTTTGGCCAGGCATGGTGGCTCATGCCTGTAATCCCAGCACTTTGGGAATCTGAGGTGGGTGAATCACCTGAGGTCAGTAGTTTGAGACCAGCCTGGCCAACATGGTGAAATCCCATCTCTACTAAAAATACAAAAAAAAAAAAAAATCAGCCATGCATGGTGGCAGGTGCCTGTAATCCCAGCTACTCAGGAGGCTAAGGCAGGAGAATGGCTTGAACCTGGAAGGCAGAGGTTGCAGTAAGCCAAGATCGTGCCATTGCACTTCAGCCTGGGTGTCAAGGGTGAGACTCTGTCTCAAAAAAAAAAGAAAAAGAAAAAACTTTAACACATCCCACAGGCTCTCTTGGTAAAAATTTTAAAACTGATACTAAAAATAATATGGAATTTATGTAAATCTATAATATCATTATGATTTCTAAAAAAAAAAAATTAGAGGATTTACACCACACAATTTCAAGGTTTATTTTAAAGCTATAATAATTAAGACTGCGTTGTTGAGGAAAGAATATGGGTATAAATTAGTGGAATGGAATTGAGAATCTAAAAATAGTTTCCCACATATTGATCAATTCATATTTGGCAAAAGTTCTAATGTAATTCAAAGGGAAATGAAAGTCTTCAATAAATGGTGCTAGAATAACTGAATCTCCCTATGGGAAAAAAATGAGACCTGATTTTTATCTCATACCATACATATAAATTAATTCAAAATAAATCAGGAGGGAGGCAAGCAAGATGGAGTAGAAAGCTCCACCGATTGTCACCCCCTCCCAGCAAGAACACCAAGTTAACAATTATCTACAAAGAAAAAACACTTTCAAAGAACCAAAAATCAGGTGAGCACTCACAGTACCTGGTTTTAACTCCATATTGCTGAAAGAGGCACTGAAGAGAGAGAAAAAACAATCCTGAATTACCGATGCCACCCCTCCCCCTTCCCCAGCAGAGGCAGCATGGAGTGGAAAGCATTTCTGGGTGCTAATGAAGGGAGAACACAACAATTGTGAACCACTGAAACCAGTGCTCTCCTGTTAAAGCAGAAAGGAAAACCAGACCAAACTCAACTGATGCCTGCCCACAGAAGAAGTTTTTTTTTCTTTTCTTTTTTCTTTTTTTTTTTTTTGAGACGGAGTTTCGCTCTTGTTAGCCAGGCTGGAGTGCAATGGCGTGATTCCGGCTCACTGCAACCTCCGCCTCCCAGGTTCAACCGATTCTCCTGCCTCAGCCTCCCAAGTAGCTGGGATTAGAGGCATGCACCACCATGCCCCGCTAATTTTGTATTTTTAGTAGAGATGGGGTTTCTCCATGTTGGTCAGGCTGGTCTCAAACTCCTGACCTCAGGTGATCTGCCCGCCTTGCCCTCCCAAAGTGCTGGGATTACAGGCATGAGTCACGGCGCTAGGCCCAGAGGAAGCATTTAAACCAGCCCCAGCCAAAGGAGAATTACCCATCCCAGTGGTCTGAACTTGAGTGCCTGTAAACCTCACCACCAAGGGCCAAAGCGCTTCAGTCTCCAAGTAAACTTGAAAGGGAGCCTAGGCCATAATGTCTGCAACTCATAAAAGAATCCTAGTGCTGAACTAGGCCCACAGACAGTAGACTGGGGAGGCACACAACATACTGAGACCCACATTGGGGCAGCCAAGAGAGTGTTGACAGCATCCTTCTCCTAACCCCAGACTGCAAAGCTCATGGATCCAAAAGAGACCCCTTCCTTCTATAATCCTTGAGGAGAGGAGAGGAAAGAGTGAAGAGGACTTTGTCTTGTATCTTGAATACCAGCTCAGCCACAGCAGGATAGGGTACTGGCCAGAGTCAAGAGGCCCCCTTTCCAGGCCTTAGCTCATTTCTAGACATTTCTGACATTTCTAGACACACCCTGGGCCAGAAGTAAACCCACTGCCTTGAAGGAAAGGATGCAGTCCTGCCAGCATTCATCACCTGTTAACTGAAGAGCCCTTGGGCCCTGAATAACTAGCAGCGATACCTACGTACTACACCAAGGGCCTTGGTGAACCTCTGAGACTTGTTGGCTTCATGTGAGACTCAGCCTTAAGCTGTGGTGGCTATGGGGTAAAACTCCTTCTGCTTGAGACAAGCAAAGGGAAAATTAAAGGAAACTCTGTATTACACCTTAGGTACCAACACTGCCACGGGGAAGTAGAGCACCAAGCAGAGTCTTGAGGTCTCCAATTCCAGGACTCGACTCTTAGACAGCATTTCTGGACCTGCCTTGGGCCACAGGGGATCCCACTGCCCTAAAGAGTGAGTCCCAGGCCAGGCAGCATTCACCATAAGCTGACTTATGAGACCTTGGGGCTCAAAGAAACGTCAGTGGTCATCTGGCAGTACTCCTCATGGCTAGGGGTGGTGGTGGATATGAGGTGAGGCTCCTCTGCCTTTGAAAGGAGAGAAAAAAGTGAGAAGGACTGCGTCTTGTGGTTTAAGTGCCAGCTCTGCTGCAACACAACAGTATACCAGGTAGACATCTAAGGCTTTTGACTCTAGTCCCTAACTCCAAGATGGAACTTCTGGACCCATTTGGGGGTTGGTGGACCTCACCATCCTGAAGGGAAAGACATAGGCCTGGCTGGCTTTGCCACCTGCTGATTGTAGGGTCATAGGGCCTTGAACGAACATAGGCAGCAGCCAGAGAGTGGTCAGAGCAGACACTGGGTGAGACCCAGTGCTGTGCTGGCTTCAGATCTGACCCAGAGCATAGTGGTGGTGGTTACAGGGGTGCTTGTATCACTCCATCCCCAGCTTTAGGTGTATCAGAACAGAGACAATGTGTTTGCTCTTGCTTTTCTAGTTCTTTTAATTGTGATGTTAGGGTGTCAATTTTGGATCTTTCCTGCTTTCTCTTGTGGGCATTTAGAACTCAAACAAATTTACAAGATAAAAACAAACAACCCCATCAAAAAGTGGGCGAAGGACATGAACAGACACTTCTCAAAAGAAGACATTTATGCAACCAAAAAACACATGAAAAAATGCTCATCATCACTGGCCATCAGAGAAATGCAAATCAAAACCACAATGAGATACCATCTCACACCAGTTAGAATGGCAAACATTAAAAAGTCAGGAAACAACAGGTGCTGGAGAGGATGTGGAGAAATAGGAACACTTTTACACTGTTGGTGGGACTGTAAACTAGTTCAACCATTGTGGAAGTCAGTGTGGCGATTCCTCAGGGATCTAGAACTGGAAATACCATTTGACCCAGCCATCCCATTACTGGGTATATACCCAAAGGACTATAAATCATGCTGCTATAAAGACACATGCACACGTATGTTTATTGTGGCATTATTCACAATAGCAAAGACTTGGAACCAACCCAAATGTCCAACAATGATAGACTGGATTAAGAAAATGTGGCACATATACACCATGGAATACTATGCAGCCATAAAAAATGATGAGTTCATGTCATGGAAATCATCATTCTCAGTAAACTATCGCAAGAACAAAAAACCAAACACCGCATATTCTCACTCATAGGTGGGAATTGAACAATGAGATCACATGGACACAGGAAGGGGAATATCACACTCTGGGGACTGTTGTGGGGTGGGGGGAGGGATAGCATTGGGAGATATACCTAATGCTAGATGACGAGTTAGTGGGTGCAGCGCACCAGCATGGCACACGTATACATATGTAACTAACCTGCACAATGTGCACATGTACCCTAAAACTTAAAGTATAATAATAAAGAAAAAAAAAAAAAAGAACAGAGACAAAGATTCTGTATGTTTGGGAGAAAGTAAGGGAAGAGAAAAAGAATCTCTGCCTGGTAATCCAGAGAATTCTCCCAGACTTTGTTCAAGACAATCAAGTTGGTACCTCTACAAGTCTGCAAGAACCACAATGTTACTGGGCTTGGGGTGTACCCTAAAGCAGAAACAGCTTAGATCACAACACCCAAGTCCTTTCAGATAACTGGAAAAGCTTCCCAAGAAGGATGACTACAAATAAGCCCAGACAGTGAACACTACAATAAAGACCTAACTCTTCAATGCCCAGACACTGAAGAACATCTACTAGCATCAACACCATTCAGGAAAACATGACCTCACCAAATCAACTAAGTAAGACACCAGGAATCAATTCTAGAGAAATAGAAATATGTAACCTTTAAGACAAAGAATTCAAAATAGGTGTGTTGAGAAAACTGTAAAAAATTCAAGATATGCAGAGAAGGAATTCAGAATTATATTAGATAAATTTCACAAAGAAATTGAAATAATTACAAAGAAACAAAGCAGAAATTCTGGAGCTGAAAAATGCAATTAGCATACTGAACAATGTATCAGAGTCCTTTAATAGCAGAATGAATCAAGCAGAAGAAGTAATTGATGAGCTTGAAGATAGACTTTGGAAATAAACAGTCAGAGGAGACAAATAATAATAAATGATAGAGTATGCCTACAGGATCTAGAAAATAGTCTCAAAGGGCAAATCTAAGAGTTATTGGCCTTAAAGATGAGGTAGAGAAAGAGATAGGAGGTAGAAACTTTATTCAAAGGGTTAACAGAGAACTTCCCAAACCTAGAGAAAGATATCAATATCCAAGTACTTGAAGGCTATAGAACACCAAGCAGATTTAACCCAAAGACTACCTGAAGACATTTAATAATCAAACTCTACAAGGTCAAGGATAAAGAAAGGATCCTAGAAGCAGCAAACGACAAAAATAAATAAATAACATACAATGGAGCTCCAATATGTCTGGTAGCAGACTTTTCAGTGGAAGGCTTACAGGCCAGGAGAGAGTAGCATGATGCATGACATTTTTTAAGTGCCAAAGGTAAAAAAAAAAAAAAAAAAAAAAAAAAAACTTTACCCTAGTATAGTATATCCACAAAAATATCCTTCAACATGAAGGAGAAAGACAGGCTTTCCCAGACAAACAATAGATGAGTGATTTCATCAATACCAGACCTACCATACAAGAAATGCTAAAGGCAGTACTTTAAACAGAAAGAAAAGAACATTAATGAGCTATAAATAATCACCTGAAGGTAAAAAACTTACTGGTAATAATAAGCACACAGAAAAACACGGAATATTATACACTGTTACTGTGGTGTGTAAATTCCTCTTATCCTAAATAGAAAGACTAAATAATGAACCAATCAAAAATAATAACTATAACAACTTTAAAAAACATAATCAGTACAATAAAATATAAATTGAAACAATAAAAAGTTAAAAACCAGGGGCACAAAGTTAAGGCAAGTTTTTATTAGTTTTCTTTTTGCTTGTTTGTTTGTTTATGCAAATAGCATTAAGTTGTTATCAGTTTAAAATAATGGGTTATAAAATAATATCTGTAAGGCTCATAAATACATACAATGAATACACAAAAAATAAAAAGCAAGAAACTAAGTTATATCACCAGAGAAAATCATCTTCACTAGAGGACAATAGGAATGAAAGAAAGAAGGAAGGAAAGACCAAAATACAACCAGAAAACAAATAACAACATAACAGGAGTAGGTCCTTACTTATAAATAATAACATTTAATGTAAACAAACTGAACTCTCCAATCAAAACACATAGACTGGCTGACTGGATGAAAAAACAATACCCATTGATCTATTGCCTACAGTAAACACACTTCACCTATAAAGACACACATAGACTAAAAATAAAGGGATGGAAAAAGATACTCCATGCCAACAGAAACCAAAAAAGAACAGGACTAGCTATATTTATGTCAGACACAATGGCTTTCAAGTCAAAAACTAAGAGAAAAGGGTCTCTATACAATGATAAAGGGGTTAATTCAGCAGAGGATATAACAATTTTAAATGCACCTAACACCCAAGCATCCAGATATAGCAAGGAAATATTATTAGAGCTAAAGAGAGTGATAGACCCCAATACAATAATAGCTGGAGACTTCATCATTCCATTTTCAGCATTGGACAGATTTTCCAGATAGAAAATCAACAAAGAAACATTAGACTTAATCTGCACTACAGACCAAACGAATCAAATAGATATTTACTGAACATTTTATCCAAGAGCTGCAGAATATAAATTCTTTTCTTAGCATGTGGATTATTCTCGAAGACAGACCATAGGTTAGGTCACAAAACAAGTCTTCAAACATTCCAAAAATGGAATAATATCAAGCATCTTCTCTGACGATAATATAATAAAGCTAAAAATCAATAACAAGAGGTATTTTGGAAACTATACAAACACATGGAAATTAAACAATATGCTCCTGAATGCCCAGTGAGTCAATGAAGAAATTAAGAAGAAAATTGAAAAAATTCTTGAAGCAAGTAATCATGGAAACACAGCATACCAAAATCTATGGGATACAGCAAAAACAGTAGTAAGATGGAAGTTTATAGCTCTAAGTATCTACATCAAAAAAGAGAAAAAAACTTCAAATAAGCAATCTAACAATTCATCTTAAAGAATTAGAAAAGCAAGGCAAACCAAACCCAAAATTAGTAGAAGAAAAGAAATAATAAAGATCAGAGCAGAAATCAATGAAATTGAAATTCAAAAGCACAAAGATCAATGAAACAAAAAGTTGTTTTTTTTGAAAAGACAAACAAAATTGACAAATTTTTAGCCAGTGTAACCGAGAAAATAAAAAAGGATACCCAAATAAAATACAGTCAGAAATGAGAAAGGAGATATTATAAATGATACTGCAGAAATTCAAAGGATCATTAGTGGCTACTATGAGCAACTATATGCCAATAAATTGGAAAATATACATGAAATGGACAAACTCCTAGATACATACAACCTACTGAGATTAAACCAGGAAGAAATCCAAAACCTGAAAGGACCAATAACAAGTAACAAGATGCAAACTGTCATAAAAAGTCTTCCAGTAAAGAAAAGCCTGGGACCTGATGGCTTCACTGCTGGATTTGACCCAACATTTAAAGAACTAATACCAATCCTACTCAAACTATTCTGAAAAATAGAGGAAGAAGGAATACTTCCAAACTCTTTCTATGAGGCCAGTATTACCCTGACACCAAACCAGACAAAAACATACCACAAAACAAAACTACAGGCCAATATCTCTGATGAATATTGATGCAAAAATCTTCAACAAAATACTAACAAACCAAATTCAACAATATATTAGAAAGATCATTCATCACAACAACCAAGTGGGATTCATCGCTGGGATAAAAGAATGGTTAAATGTATGCAAATCAATCAAAATGATACATCATATAAACAGAATGACAGATAACCATATGATCATTTCAATTGATGCTGACAAAGCATTTGATAAAATTAAATATCTCTTCATGATAAAAACCCTCAAAAAAGTAGATATAGAAGGAACATACCTCAACATAATAAAGGCCATCTATGACAAACCCACAGCTAGCATCATACTGAATGGGGACAAAAAAATAAAAGCCTTTCCTGTAAGATCTGAAACATGACAGGGTGTCCACTGTCACCACTCTTATTCAACATAGTACTGGAAGTCCTAGCTAGAGAAATCAGACAAGAGAAAGTTATAAAGGGCATCCAAATTGGAAAGGGAGAAGTAAAATTATCCTTGTTTGCTGATGATATAATCTTTTATTTAGAAAAACCTAAAGACTCCACCAACAAACTATTAAACTGATAAATTTGGTAAAGTTGCAGGATACAAAGTCAACATACAAAAATCAGTAGCATCTCTATATGCCAATGGTGAACAATCTGAAAAAGAAATTTAAAAAGTAATCCCATTTACAATAGTCACAAATAAAATTAAATATCTAAGAATTGAAAGATCTCTACAATGAAAGTTATAAAACACTAATGAAAGAAATTGAAGAGGACACCAAAAAATAAAAAAATATTTCATGTTCATGGGTTTGAAGAATCAATATTGTTTAAATGTCCATAATACCAAAGGAATTTACAGATTCAATGAACTTCCTATCAAAATACCAATGACATTCTTCAGAAACATACAAAAACCAATCCTATAATTTATATGGAATCACCAAAGACCCAGAATGGCCAAAGCTATCCTAAGCATAAGGAATAAAAGTGGAGGAATTACATTACCCGACATCAAATTATAGTACAGACCTATATTAACCAAAACAACATGGTACTGGCATACAAACAGATACAAAGACCAATGAAACAGAACAGAGAACCCAGAAACAAATCTACATACCTACAGTGAACTCATTTTTGACAAAGATTCCGAGAACATACACTAGGGAAAAGACAGTTTCTTCAAGAAATGGTGCTAGGAACACTGGATGTTCCTATGCAGAACAATGAAACTAGACCCCTATCTCCTGGCATACACAAAAATCAAATCAAAATTGACTAAAGACTTAAATCTAAGACCTCAAACTATGAAACTACTACAGAAAAACATTGGGGGAAATCTCCAGGACATTGATCTCAGAAAAGATTTCTTGAGCAATACCTTACAACCATAGGTAACCCAAGTAAACATGGACAAATCATGTTGAAAAGCTTCTGCACAGAAAAGTATACAATCAACAAAGTGAAGAGATAGTCCATGAAATTCAAGAAAATATTTGCGAACTACCCATCTGACAAGAGATTAGTAACCAGAAAATACAAAAATTTCAAAGGACTCTGTAGAAAAAAAATCCAATAATCTTATCAAAAGATGGGCAAAATATTTGAATAGACATTACTCAAAAGAAGACATACAAATGGCAAACAGGCATATGAAAAGATGTTCATCATTGATACTCAAAGAAATGCAAATCAAAACTAAAATGAGATATCATCTTACTCCAGTTAAAATGGCTTTTATCCAAAAGGCAAACAATAACAAATGCTGGTGAGGATGTGGAGAAAAGGGAACACTTGTACACTGTTGGTGGGAATGTAAATTAGTACAACCACTGTGAAGGACAGTTTGAAGATTCCTCAAAAAACCTGAAAATGGGTTAGGCGCAGTGGCTCATGCCTGTAATCCCAGAACTTTTGGGAGGCCAAGGAGGGTGGATCGCCTGAGGTCAGGAATTCGAGAACAGCCTTGCCAACATGCCGAAATGTCTCTACTAAAAATACAAAAATTAGCCGGGCATCATGGCAGTTGCCTGTAATCCCTGCTACTTGGGAAGCTGAGGCAGGAGAATTGCTTGAACCCAGGAGGCAGAGGTTGCAGTGAGCTGAGATCATGCCATTGCACTCCAGCCTGGGCAACAAGAGCAAAACTCTGTCTCAATTTAAAAAAAAAAAAAAAAAACTAAAAATGGAGCTACCATATGATCCAGCAATCCCACTGCTGGGTATGTACCCAAAAGAAGAAAGGAAATCAGCATATTAAAGGGATATCTGCACTTCTGTGTTTCTGGCAGCACTTACAATGGCTAAGATTTGGAAGTCACCTAAGTATCCATCAACAGATGAATGAAGAAAATGTGGCACATACACACAATGGAGTACTATTCAGCCATAAAAATCAATGAGATCCAGTCATTTGCAACAACATGGATCAAACTAGAGATCATTATGCTAAGTGAAATAAGCCAGGAACAGAAAGACAAACATCACATGTTCTCATGTATTTGTAGGAACTAATAATCAAAATAACTGAACTCATGGCATAGAGGGTAGAAGGATGGTTACAGAGGCTGGGGAGGGTAGCCATCAAACTATGAAAAGACATGGGGGAACTTTAAATGCATATTCTTAAGAGCAAGAAGCCAATCTGAAAAGGCTACATAATGTATCATTCCAACTATATGATATGCTGAAAAAGGAAAAACCCTGGAGAGAGTAAAAAGATCAATGGTTGTGAGTAGTTGAAGAGAAGAAAGGATCAAAAGGTAGAGCCCACAGGATTTTTAAGGGAGTGAAACTATTCTCTGTGATACTACAAGGTTATTTTGTCATATGTATATATATATACATATACATATATATGTATATTCATATGTGTATATATATATACATATACATATATATGTATATTCATATGTATATGTGTATATATATATATGTATATGTATATATATACATATGTATATATTTGTCAAGTGTACAATACCAAGAATTAACTCTAACATAAACTATGAACCTTGGGTAATAGTGATGTGTCAATTGTAACAAATGTACTACTCTGGTGGAGATGTTGATCATGGGAGAGCCTGTGTACAGGGTTGGGAAGTGGCAGGGGATGTGTGGGAATATGCTGCACTTTCCATTCAATTTTGCTATAAACCTAAAACTGTTGTTAAAAATAAAGTAATTTAAACAAAAAAAGTAAATAGCTTTTTTTTTCAATTCATGAATGTTTCCATTAAAAATTTACAAACAGACAAGACAGAAAAACTTCATTGTTTTTAGGAGACCCATGCTAATGAGAAAATAGGAGACATAACCAAGGTCAAATATGAAGGGTAGTATGAACCTATAAGGAAGGCAAATATCAAGAGTGAACTGACCTCAAAATGTTGAACCAAGTGATATATTCCTACAATAAAATACTATTAGCATTAAAAAGGAATGAAGTACTACCGATACAAGCCAAAGCATGAATGACCCACAAAAATGTCATGGTAATTGAAAGAACAAAAGGCCATATATTACATCTTTCCATTTACATGAAATGTCCAGAATACACAAATCTGCACAAATCTGCAGAGACAGAAAACAGAGTAATAGTTGCCAAGGGTTTAATGTACGGGTAGTAGCTTGTTGAGAAATGGGGAGAGACCACTACATGGGCATGCGGTTTCTTTTTTTTTTTTTTCTTTGAGATGGAGTCTGGCTGTGTTGCCCAGGCTGGCGTGCAGTGGCGCCATCTCGGCTCACTGCAAGCTCCGCCTCCTGGGATCATGCCATTCTCCTGCCTCAGCCTCCCGAGTAGCTGGGACTACAGGCGTCCACCACCACACCCAGCTAATTTTTTTGTATTTTTAATAGGGCATGGTGTTTCTTTATGGGATAATGAAAATGTTCTAAAAATTGACTCTAATGAGGTTTCATAACTCTGTAAATACACAAAAACTATTGAATTCTACACATTAAATGGGTGAATTTTATGGTATTTCAATTATATAGCAATATAGCTGCTAGAAAACAGTGAACTGATGTTTACATTTGCAGGTACATGAATGCACATACTACCCAGATTAAGACTAAAAAGGAATCTTAAAGCTGTGTTCAAATCAGGAAATGAATAAAAGAACTAATTCCTTATTTAACACTTATTTTTTGCCAGGAACTGTGCTGGGTGATTTGTCTTACTCAAGTCCCTTTCATACCATTCTAGATAGGTAACATTTACTCTATTTTCGAAATAGAAACTGTCAAAATATTTGCCAGAGAACATACAGCTAGTTAGAGAAAGTCATTGCAAGCTGGAAATCCAACTCCATTCTATTCTCTAAGCTCTCCTGCCTCCCAAAAAGAATAGTCCCATTTCTTGGGGTATATGGATTTATGCTAACAGAGGACAAAATATTAATTAAAATGAATGCTTAGGTTGCAGGCAAAGATAAAGTCTGTGTTCTCTCACATAGTCTAGATTATAAACTGTGTAAGAGTAGAAGCCATGATGGCTTTATTCTCCTCTATATGTCTAGTTTCTAATAAATATCAATAAAATCTGTTCAATTAAATAAGTGAGAAAATATGAAACCACTGAAGCATAATTAACAAGAAGGAACCAATGACTTTAAAATGGGCTCCCATATTTTATAGTCAGGTTACTACTGTCTTAGGAAGTGTTGCCTCAAAGTATACTCTTCGAAGAATCATGGATATTTGAAAAACTTTCATAGCACTTGAAGTAAATAAATGAATAATTTTTCCTTTGGAAAACACCTACAGACCAAGAAAATTTGAACTGAATTTCTGAGCAACTTTGGGATTCAAAGAACTGACCGTTAGAAAACAAGATAACATCCCTATGTCCAATGATTGACCAAATGGCCTCTTCAGCTCTGATGGCTTATACAAATCTTCTCCTTAGGTATCCAAATCAGCTAACTCCTAACTTTAAGAATATGATGGTGCTAATGGACCACCCCAAGGGCATGTGCCCTTGAGTTTTTTCATAGACAATGAATTATTGACACTTTGCAGTTCCCCACTTACTCTAATGCTCTCATGCCCATACCACACAACTGATAAAGAAGCCGGGGTTAAGAAGACAGTTTCCCAGCCCACTGAAACCTCAATCTTTGGGAGACACAGAAAAGAACCTCTGTTTCTAACCTGCCAAATAAACCAATCTGAAGGGTTTATTGAAGAAGTTCAACCTTGTAATATCCTATGATTCACTTCTGACACCTAAGAGTCCACAATAAAGTCAAAAGAAATTCAGTAGCATTTTTAAATTACACGTAAAAAACCTTTTAGCTCATGAATTTTATCCCAATGCCACATGTTAAAAAATTTTAATATTGGTACATTTTTCTTATGTTTCCTCTCAAGATACAAAAATCTTTTTGTTTTGTCCTTTTTTTTTTTTTTATAAATACCTTGAAACCGGGACTACCCATTAATCCATCCTTTCCATGTCTTCCTGGTTCTCCCTAAAAAATAAATACATATGCTTTAATATATTTTTGCACTAATTTTTTCTCTTTAAAGACAGATACTATAAGATAGATTTTATTTAAAGCAAAATACTAAGAGCTTTTTTCTATCAAACTCACAGCAGGTCCAGGGAGGCCAGGGAAGCCAGCATTCCCCTTTTCACCTTTTGCACCCTGTATCGAAAACAAACACTTAAAACACAATCTTTACAATAATGTTTTCAAGTTCCAACCAAAACTTAAATAGAAAAGCTACTAAGTTAACATCATTATGTAGTAAAAACTCATGGAACTACAACTCATGTTGACTCTGCAAAGCACTATTTTACCAACCCAGTGGATGCAATATCAAGACATTAAAAATGTTGATAGATGCAGAATTATCATTACAAGCATCTAAACATAGAAATAACATCTTGGCAAAATTAAAAAGCAATGGGTATTTTAAATATTCTTCCCTCAGTGTGAGGAACTAGAAAGGCCCATAACATCAAATTTCAGTGGACATGTTTTTTGTTTGTTTGTTTGTTTGTTTGTTTTTGAGACGGAGTCTCACTCTGTTGCCCAGGCTGGAGTGCAGTGGTGCAATCTCCGCTCACTGCAAGCTCCGCCTCCCGGGTTCACGCCATTCTCCTGCCTCAGGCTCCCGAGTAGCTGGGACTACAGGCGCCCACTACCACTCCTGGCTAATTTTGTTTTTGTATTTTTACTAGAGACGGGGTTTCACCGTGTTAGCCAGGATGGTCTCGATCTCCTGACTTCGTGATCTGCCCACCTTAGCCTCCCAAAGTGCTGGGATTACAGGCATGAGCCACCGCGCCCGGCCTTCAGTGGACACGGTTTTTAAGCAGCTACTGCTTCCTAAGGAATCTCTCACTGTAAATCTGTAAATCTTTTTTTTTTTTTTTTTTTTTTTTTTTGAGACGGAGTCTTGCTCTGTCACGCAGGCTGGAGTGCAGTGGCGTGATCTTGGCTCTCTGCAACCTCCGCCTCCCAGGTTCAAGTGATTCTCCTGCCTTAGCCTCCTGAGCAGCTGGGACTACAGGCTCACACCACCACGCCCAGCTACTTTTTGTATTTTTAGTAGAGACAGGGTTTTACCATGTTGGCCAGGCTGGTCTCGAACTCCTGACATCATCATCCACCCCCCTCGGCCTCCCAAAGTGCTGGGATTACAGGCGTGAGCCACCGCGCCCGGCCTGTAAATCTTTTAAAAGCTCAGAATGATCAACAATACAACATAATCTTATAGGATACCATACATAGCAGTCTGCAGTCACCAGCTCTTTTTTTCTTTTTTTTCTTTTTTCATTGTTCTGAATTAATCCCCTAAGAAGGGTGAACAGAGCTAACTGTTCTAATGCTGGGTTAGAACTGCAATTCTAGTTTTCTGTTTCCATTACATTAAAAGTTCAATATGAATACTTTGTTGTGTGATCTATACTTCCCTTTTTGCCATAAAATCCAGGTGATCCTTTGTCTCCTTTGGCACCCATTTCACCCTAAAAGACAAAATATAAATAGTGAATATTTAAGAAATATGAATATTTTTCTTATAAAGAAAAAATACAGATTATAAGCAAAAGAGTTTAATATGCCAAAAGCAAAACAAAATAGAAATAAAATAATTTAAAGTTTGCTTTAAAAGGCCCTCATTTCCAGGCTTTATAAAGAAAAATTTAAAAAATAACATTTAGTGCTATAACAAGGCTTATAGTTTAAGGCCTATATTTAAGAAAACTTGTATACAGTATAACATCAATTTTTAAATACTATAAAATCATATATTTATAACTGGAAACTTTAAAGGGAATTTTGTAAAGTTTTATATAAACTAATATTAATCTTAGCCCATTGTTTACTTTATCTCTAATTATATATGAACATTTATTTATAACATATTTGTAATATAAAAGTACTTTATATTTGAATTAAAAAATGGCTTTGCTATATTTAAAAGAAACAGATTTCTTCAACCTTTGATCCTGGCATGCCATGAAGCCCAGGAAAACCAGGAAGTCCACGATCACCCTGAAAATAAAACTGAAATTAATTACAAAGAAAAACCATTCCAGCCTAAACAATATCATCATCTATTCTTCAACCTCACCCTTGTCAAAATCCACTTCAAATCTATCTGCAAACAGTTAATTTCATATCAGCATTCAATTATCTCTATGAAAAATTATCCCTACTTTTCAGGGTTTCATTTATAATCAGAGAAGATAAGTATTTTGGAGCTAAGAAAATCTCACTAGCAATCCTGACTCCACCCTTAGTTAGCCACCACCTATTCTGAAAAAGTCTTAGGCTTTTACAGGGGCAAGACACATGAATTAATTGAAATGATCTAATCCCAACACACTCAGGAAACAGTTAACCTCTGAGGTCCAATCCAGCTCAGTAATGAAAGGCCCTAAGCATAAAGTCTAAACACAGACTAGGATTCTGTGGAATTTTTAAAAATTGCTTATCTTACTAATTACTCATAGAAGGTATCTGTTCATATGTGTCTATGAACATGAAGGCCATAAGTTTTCTCCAAAAGAGAAAAGACGAAGAAAAGTCATAACAACTTGTTATTTAGTAGATATAAGTTTAGTACTTAGTTCAGTGGGATATGTTGGATGATACTGCTTTAGCTTCAAAATCTTAATTGTGGAGACATAGTAAATAAAGAACCAATGACTTTCATGGCAAAATTTGGGTCAGATTCACTTTTATCTAGACAAATTAAGATTACACACAAGCAATCAATTATACTCCTAGCTTGTCTGGTAGACATATTAAAGATTATATCATCTGTGACTGATATAATTTTTATAAAAGTTATTGATTCATATGATTTAAAGAGTGATATATTTATTCAAGGCTTATAGAACCCTCCAAAGGCAACTCTTTTTATTCCAAAGCTCCACATCTCTTTGAGTTCAAATCACCAAACCATTGGTTATAGCTACATTTTCCATTTTCTTCATTATCTACTGACTTCCCACCATGAATGCAGAGGATTAATCTCTCATAGCATCCAACACCTCCTCCCCATCTCCACTTCTAACAGACAAAAATCCCCTTAATCCTCAATTACAGCTTTGGTTAAATCAGTAGTCAGGGTTTATTTTGTTAAGACTTGCAGATAAGCTATAAATATATTCTCATTACTTGCCTTTTCTTGCCCAAATGTTTATCTTTCCTGGAGTCAAATATGGCCATTTTAATCGTTTAGTTTCCTATAAACTGATTGTTATATTGAACTCCAAAATCTTTCCAACTGTCAAAATCACTTCTGATTGTATTCATTTGCATTGAAAATTTTTCTTTAATAAATATCTCCTAGACCTGTCTCATTTCAGTATGAATTTGATGTTCTTTATTTCTGAGTTCATTATCTTGTTTAGGGGAATATAATATCCAATGGCTTCCTGAGAAGGAATACACGGGAGATTACTTTCTGATACCTTAAATCTCTGAAAATGTCCTTATTCTATTCATTTATATAATTGATGATAATTTAGAATTTTTAAATCAGACGTTTGAAGGCTCTGCTTCACTCAGTTCTTGAGTTCAATGTCACTAATAAGACGTGTGAAGTCTGATTCCTGAACATTTGTATGTAGCCTTTTGTTTCTTGTGTGTTTTTTGGAGCCTGGAGTGGGAGGGTAGGGATGGTAGGACTGGTGCAGTTTTTTCCCAAAGAAGCTTGCAGATCTTCCTCTTGTTTCCAGTGTCTTGAAGTATTATGCTATTATACACTGGTGTGGTCTATAATCATCCATTATGCTAGGTACTCTATAGGCCTTTTCATCTATAGAGAACTCATGCCCATAAACGTGGACATCCCAGACTACACTTCCAAGCTCCATCCCCATCCATACGTCACATAAACAGGCTCCTCTCAGCCACCTGTAAGCATAGGGGTGGACACACAATTGTGCTGGAAGGTCTTTAGGAAGACAAAGGCAGGAAAGGGGACGGCAAACCCTGGAAATGGGATTGGGGTAGATTGTTCAGGGACTGTCAGAATCTAAGATCCAGAATGTGTTTTTTGTTTGCTTGTTTTTGGTTAAGCTCAATGGTGTGATGGAATGTGTTCTTCAGGTTCTGAAGACTCCTCACTCAACACTGAGGAACACAGCTGAAGCAGGGTGTAGCAGGGGTTCTGCCTCCCTGAAAGCATTCATGACAGGGTTTTTTCAAGTCTTCCTCTCCCTGTCTTGTATCAGTTTCTTCCAAGACTTTCTGTTTGTTGATCTTTAACGTTCCTGTGATATTTGGTGATTCTTTATTGTCAGCTCATATGGAAGGTGATAGGAGAATCTCTCCGTGGGTAGAGTTCAATGACTCTGAACTTCACTGTAATGTGGTCTGGCTGTGCCATTTCATTGGATGCTGTTCTAGATGTCAGTAGACTTCCCATACAAGGATCTTCTATGTCTCTAGTTTATAGGACTGGCTGACCGCATTCTGGAGGCCACGTAGAGAAAGAGGAGAAGGAGGTCGCCACATGAGTAAACTATCACCAATTCCCATTGTTTTTGTTCTGTTTTGTTTTTTGAGATGGAGTTTCGCTCTTTCGCCCAGGCTGGAGTGAAGTGGTGTGATCGCGGCTCACTGCAACCTCTGCCCCCCAGGCTCAGGTGATTCTCCTGCCTCAGCCTCCTGAGTAGCCGGGATTACAGGTACCCACCACCATGCCTGGCTAATTTTTGTATTTTTAGTAGAGACAGGGTTTCACCCTGTTGGCCATGGTGGTCTCAAACTCCTGACCTCAGGTGATCTACCTGCCTCGGCCTCCCAAAGTGCTAGGATTACAGGCATGAGCCACCATGCTCAGCCTACTCCTATTGTTTTAATTTTAGTACAACTCTCCCTCCTCTCCCCAGGCTAGAGACCCTCAGCTTTCTCTTCTCCAGAAAATAAACTTTCGTGTTTCTGCTACGGTGGAGGACAGATTCACTTGGCTACACAGAGTTGAGGAAGGGATAGTGGGATTTAACTCTTCTTAAATGGACATTCAGTCATGTTTGCATTTTTAGCTCTGCTTTCACCTCCACTTTAGAAACATTGATATTATCATTTCCGGAACCTGTGGAGTATCTGTGCATATGTGTGCATGTGTACATATAAGTGTGTGTGTGTACTGGCAAAAGGGGGGCCTCTGTTATATAAATCAGATCTCTTCTAATTTTAGGATTCAGCTTCCCAGTATCCTAGAATGCAGATAATACAGTAACTGGTGATATAACCTTGACTTTATAAGTGACAGCAACACTCAGAGAGACTAGAGCAACAAGAGGGAAAAACACAAGTGCCTGAATGACTTTGTAGACAACCAATTATATGAGAAAAATAAACTTCTTTCTCATTTAAACTACTGCATTTGGTCTATTTGTTATAGATCTTTGCCACCCACCTAACAAATACAAAGAATAACTATGTTTCCAGTCTAAAAGGAATCATATTTTTTAGCTTATACTAAATGTCTTTCTCAAGAATAATTGCTTCCTCTGTCACGTGCGTGCGTGTGTGTGTGTTGCTTCCTCTGTCACGTGCGTGCGTGTGTGTGTGTGTGTGTGTGTGTGAGAGAGAGAGAGAGAGAGAGAGACAGACAGACAGAAAGATAGGTAGGGAGAGAAAAGACCCAATAAAAGCCTATAACACCCTAGAACGAATTATTCCCCAAATTCAACAATTTACCCAAACAGAGGACAAAAGAAAAAATAAATTTTAGGGGAAGACCAAATGACACAAGAAAACTGGGTATTCTTTCCCCTACCATATGAACTCCTAATACAAGAACCTAACCCAAACTACCTTTTGAATATATATATTCAAAGTGTGTGTGTGTGTGTTTGTGTGTGTCATTCAGAAATTTTATATCTAAGATCCAGAATGTGTTTTTTGTTTGCTTGTTTTTGGTTAAGCTCAATGGTGTGGTGGAATGTGTTCTTCAGGTTCTGAAGATTCCTCACTCAACACTGAGGAACACAGCTGAAGCAGGGCATAGCAGGGGTTCTGCCTCCCTGAGAGCATTCATGACAGGGTTTTATATATATATATATATATATATATATATATATATATATATATATAAAATTTCAAATTACATATTTATAATTTAAAATTTGAAATTAAAATTTCAAATTATATACATGTATATTATATATATATATTTCCCTTTTGCTTGGAGCAGGAATGGGCAGAGTTCTGAGAGAGAGAAAGAGGACTGGAGTTAAGAAAACAATCTGAGTTGACTCTTTAGAAAACACTACATTGAGATAACCAGTTAAAGGTAGAGCTAGACTAAGATATACTATTAATAAGATGGAATTTAGCTGGGTAATGAATGTTTAATAAAACTATAGAAGAAAGAGGTAAGCTGAGATTCCCTATTAAGGCTGAACAAAGTCCAAGCTATGACTTCCATTCTCTGGCTATAGGTTATAAAAGACATAATATCCAAACTTTCTTTTATTGGAGATGGCAAACAGATCTCAGATGAAGTAGGAAGACTAGGAACATCCACTCATGTTGGGACAGAAAAAAATACGAGGTCTGGACAAAGCTACTCTTATGTGCCGAAGGAAGATTTTTAAGTATAATAAAAAGGTGTAGTATTCATGTTAACATAAATCAGTGTGAGAGAGAGAGAAAGAAGGAGAGAGCGAGCAGCAACAAGTTGTCAGCAAAACTGTTGGGGAATATTGAAACAGTATGTACAAAATATGGAACACAAAAAAGTATGGCTCAAACACATTATACTCAATCAAGTTATTTATAAGGTTTAACAGCAATGGATAGCAAAGAAGAGATAAAGTTGGGCCAAAGCCTATCCAGGATGGGCATGTAACATAAAAGATAAATGGCTCCTGTGTTGGCCTCTGAGCCACTGGGTCATTTGTTACTATAATGCAGCTTAGCCTAAGTTAATTAGTACAGTTGGAATATTAGAAATAGGAGGCTGCCAAAACAACAATATTAAAATGTATATATGTCATTGGCTTTGGGGACAGGTAGTGAGCAATGAAAAACAATTACTGAAGGTTGAAAAAATGGTGTCTTATGTAAAATTGTGGTGAAATAATTGATAAAAAGCCTTGCTTGTAATAACTTGCAAAGGCAAATAATGTATCAAATGAACTTATAGCTAGAGGTAAAGAACTGAGAAAACAGAATGTAAATATATATTATGAATTGACTGTTATTGGAAGTATTTGACAAGGTACTATTTTAAAAAATATATGCGCTCACAAAATAATTGGCCAGGTTGCAAGTAGTAATTAAAAGAAATAGACCAAGTGTAAAAACACTGGGATTGGGAGATACAATTGTTTTTCTCATCTCTAATGTAATGGTGAATGCTTTTAAAAAATAAAAGTCCAGTAAAACTCAGCCTCTGGGAGGGATGAAATCAAAGATGTGGCTATAAACACCATCCTTAAAAATCTCTGAGTCCATTAAGGGGAGGTTCAATAAATCCTGTCAAGCTGGACAGTGTGACGCATGAAAAGTAAACAAAGAGTGTAGTGGATGCCTGATTAATTTAGGTCACCCATTATTAAGTGTAGAGAAGGAGATGTGATTGAAACAAGATTGTGGATGCTGCTATTGGCTGGAATCAAAAGTCAAAA
Organism: Homo sapiens; assembly: GCF_000001405.40. Taxonomy (NCBI): domain Eukaryota; kingdom Metazoa; phylum Chordata; class Mammalia; order Primates; family Hominidae; genus Homo; species Homo sapiens. The sequence goes on from NC_000006.12 coordinate 56,131,750, forward strand.
ACATAAAATTGCAAATACACACACACACGTATACATATACTATATGCTGTTGAGAGAGTTATTATATAATACCACAGGAACCACCAACCTGAACTAAAAGAGACTCTGCCTGTTGGAGACTTAACATGAAAACAAAGTTACCCTGTATTTGCACTATTTTTAATACTTTTTCTGGACTACCAACAAATTTAGACAAATATAGAAATAAGGCTAAAAATAAAAGGAAGAAAAATTATTTTTAAGATTATACCTCTAATATGTCAATAGATCTAATAACCTAAATGAGTAAGAGAAATGAATTCACTTGGTGCTTTAAAAATATAAAAAATAAATAGCTTTTTATATATATAATATAACCAATATAAAATATATTTTTAAAGGGCTCCATTTATAATAAAAACAAAAGAGATAAAAAATTTTTAGGTTAAAATAAAATTGGATAATGTTTGGGACTAATATCAAAAAATTCAAGATTGAAGTAAAAAGAAAAATAAGCCATAATCTTGAATAGCAATTGGAGAGATGTCAATGCTTCTAAAACTAATCCATATGTGCAAAGGGATCCTAACTGAAATGTGAATAGCAATTTCTAAAAAATTGAAGGAAAGATACTGAGCTTTATCTGGAAAAATAAGTATTCAAAAGTAGCCAGGAAATTTTGATTATAAAGAATAATGAGGAAGGATTAGCCCTGCCAATATTAAGTCAGATCATGAAGTGACAATAATTAAAACAATTCTGCAATGGAGAAGATGTAGACAGGTCAATGAAACAGAATGTAAAGCCAAAACACCAGGCCCAAATGAAAGTGGAAATTTAATGGAAATAAATGGAGAAAAAAGTGGTATTCCATGAATACTATGGCAACTGGCTCTTTATTTAGAAAAATGATTTCATAAAATAAGAATGCTGGTATGGTTTGGCTGTGTCCCCACCCAAATCTCATTTTGAATTGTACCTCCCACAATTCCCACTTGTCATGGGAGGAACCCAGTGGGAGGTAATTGAATCATAGGGGCGGGTCTTTCACGTGCTGCTCTCATGATAGTGAATATGTCTCATAAGATCTGATGGTTTTAAAAATGCGAGTTTCCCTCCACAAGCTGGCTGTTTTCCTGCTGCCATTCATGTAAGACTTGACTTGCTCCTCCTTGCCCTCCACCATGATTGTGAGGCCTCCCCAGCCACATGAAACTGTCAGTCCATTAAACCTCTTTCTTTTGTAAATTGCCCAGTCTCAGCTATGTCTTTATCAGCAGTGTGAAAATGAACTAATCCATTAATTGGTACCAGTAGAGTAGGGTGCTGCTGAAAAGATAACCAAAAATGTGGAAGCAACTTTGGAACTGGGTAACCGGCAGAGGTTGGAACAGTTTGGAGGGCTCAGAAGAACACAGAAAAATGTGAGAAAGTTTTGAACTCCCCAGAGACTTGTTGAATGGCTTTGACCAAAATGCTGACAATGACATGGACAATGAAACCCAGGTTCAGGTGATCTCAGATGGAGATGAGAAACTTGTTGGGAACTGGAGTAAAAGCAACTCTTGTTATGTTTTAGTAAAGAGACTGGTGGCATTTTTCCCCTGCCCTAAAGATTTGTAGAACTTTGAGATTATTTAGAGTATCTGGCAGAAGAAATTTCTAAGGAGCAAGGCATTCAAGAGGTAACTTGGGTGCTGTTAAAGGCATTCAATTTTATAAATGAAGTAGAGTATAAAATTTGGAAAATTTGCAGCCTGATAATGTGATAGAAAAGAAAATCCCATTTTCTGCGGAGAAATTTAAGCCGGCTGCAGGAATTTGCATAAGTAACAAGCAGCTGAATGTTAATCTCCAACAAAATGGCAAAAATGTCTTCAGGGCATGTCAGAGGTCTTCATGGCAGCCCCTCCCATCACAGGCCTGGAGGCCTATGAGGAAAAAATGTTTTCATGGGCCAGAGCCAGGGCCCCCTTGCTCTGTGCAGCCTAGGGACTTGGTACCCTACGTTCTAGCCACTCCAGCCATGGCTAAAAGGGACCAAGGTACAGCATGAGCCATTGCTTCAGAGGGTGCAGGCCCCAAGCCTTGGCAGCTTCCATGTGGTGTTGACACTGCAGATGCACAGAAGTCAAGAACTGAGGTTTGGGAACCTCCACCTAGACTTCAGAGGATGTATGGAAATGCCTGGATGCCCAGGCAGAAATTTGCTGCAGGGGCAGGGTCCTGGTGGAAAACCTCTGCTTGGGCAGTGAGGAAGGGAAATGTGGGGTTGGAGCCCCCAGAGTCCCTACTGGGGTACTGCCTAGCAGAGCTGTGAGAAGAAGGTCACAGTCCTCCAAACCCCAGAATGGTATATCTACCGATAGCTTGCACCATGCACCTGGAAAAACCACAGACACTCAATGCCAGACTGTGAAAGCAATCGAGAGGGAGGCTGTACCCTGCAAAGCTACAGAAGCAGAGCTGCCCAAGACCATGGGAACCCCCTTCTTGCATCAGCATGACCTGGATGTAAGACATGGAGTAAAAGGAGAGCATTTTGGAGCTTTAAGATTTGACTGCACCGCTGGATTTCAGACTTGCATAGGGCCTTTACCCCCTTCGTTTTGGTCAATTTCTCCCATTCGGAATGGGAGTATTTATCCAATGCCTGTACCCCTATTTTATCTAGGAAATAATTAAGTTGCTTTTGATTTTACTGGCTCATAAGTGGAAAGGACTTGCCTTGTCTCAAATGAGACTTTGGACTATGGACTTTCAAGTTAATGCTGAAATGATTTAAGACTTTGGGGTACTGTTGGGAAGGCATGATTGGTTTTGAAATGTGAAGACATAAGATTTGGGAGGGAACAGGAGTGGAATGATACGGTTTGGCTATGTCCCCACCCAAATCTCAAATTGAATTGTAACTTCCATAATTCCCACTTGTGGGAGGAACCCAACGGGAGGCAATTGAATCATGGGGTGGGTCTTTCCTGTGCTGTTCACATGATAGTGAATAAGTCTCGTGAGATCTGATCGTTTTAAAAATGGGAGTTTCCCTGCACAAGCTCTTTCTCTTTGCCTGCTGCCATCCATGTAAGACATGACTTGCTCCTCCTTGCCTTCCACCATGATTGTGAGGCCCCCTCCCATGATTGTGAGGCCTCCCCAGTCACATGGAACTTTAAGTCCATTAAACCTCTTTCTTTTGTAAATTGCCCAGTCTCAGGTATGTCTTTATTGTATTAGTGGAAACACACTAATACAAATGCTTACCTAACTTTACTCCAAAAACCAAAAATTAAAGGTAAAAAATAAAATAATAAAATTACAAAAATAAAATCATCAGTAATTATAATCAACATGCTAGAATGTGAAACCTTTCTATTTATATACAAAGATAGGAGAAAAAAAGAAGAAAAAACTATTTTACATGAAAATGAAAATTTTCTCTATGGCTAAAATTCCAAAAACCAAGTAAAAACACATAATACAACCCAGAAAAAATATTTTCACACATACAAACAACAACTTATGAAATGCATATAAAAATCAATCTTTAAAAGGATCACAGCCCAGTAGGAAAATAAAAGATATGAGAAAACCGGCAAATTACAGAGAAGTAACACAATGCCCCCAAATCGCATGTCAAGATACCTTACCCAACTCACTAATAAAGCAATGAAAATCAAACCAGTATCATTTCTAAACTATACAGGTGAAAATTAGAATTAAAAAAAAAACAGTGCTGATAAGAATGTGAGGAAAGATATTCTCATATACTTGTTGAAAGAGAATCAACTTTCTGGGAACTCAATAAGCAATTTAAATCAAAGTTTAACTATGAAGTTAACCCTTTGATCCAATAATCAATTTCACTTCCGAGGACTTTTCCTGTTGATAAACTCATGAAAAACTACTGAGAAATATATTCAAAGATGTTTCTTACAGTCTTATTGGTAATGCCTAAATAATAATAATAAATAAAGAACCAAGGCAATCTTTGAGATTTCTTAAATTTGATAAAAACAGTCCCTACATCGTATAGCTATGATTAACCTTTTCTTTATATTTTCTTTCATGAAGCCTTTCCAATTTTTAACTTTCCTTTAAACTCCTAGAGAATTTTATTTGACTTTCTTCTTTGGCACTTAACATTGACTATCTTGAAATACAGTTACTTTGTGTTATGTCCTTTATCAGACTCCAACCTCTTTGAGGAAACAATTCATCCTTAACTCATTCCTATTTTTTTCTCGGTACAACTACTATTTACTCATATCCAGATTCCTCTCCACTCTCTGGCATATGGGAAATCATACTTACCTAATCTGTTAAAATACATGTGGTTTGCACAATTTGCTCTAGTTAATTAAACATGAATGGTAGTGATTTAAAAGCCAATGTTTGATTCTCTCTGCACCTGCCACCATAATTAGTCATGATCTAGATGGTGAAATATCTGTTAATCTGAGTCTCCCTGTGAAGACAATGGGAAGCTCCTCACTGCTGCTGATAAATATGTAGTTTGAGGAGCAATAAACCTTTGATTTAAGCCACAAGCATGTGGGTTTGCTTGTTACTGTAGCATAAGCTACTCTAGCCTACCTATTGTCTTGCTTGTGATTAATAATAATTTGCTGAATATACAGAATGTTTTCATTTCCCAAAACACAGTCAACACTCTTGGGTGCTCAAAGAAAATTTCAATAAAACAAATATTTGGGGGAGTCACACTCTTGGTCCTATCAGAGTTTACAAGTGATTAAAGTCAAAGAGAATCCAAACTAGTAAGATAATTCCACTTCCCACAGGCTGCTTTCCAAACCTTTCATGGCTGATGAATATAACTTTGATGAGCCTGTCCATCTTTTAAGCCGATCTAGAGTCATAGTCTTCAGTCAGGTCAAGATTATTTTTGGGGCTAGTAAAAGAACATGAGAACTACTATTTTTAAAATTCATTTTAAAAAATGTCTTTGTGTGTGTGTTTCAAATTCACATAATACTTTGCTCAGTAGCACAGATATATAATTTTTATATATGAGTCTACATGTCCAAAAGTCTTTTACTGCAATACATTTTGCAATTTAAAGGTTTGATGACCTATGATCTACAATGAACTATCCCTCTTCCCTAGAGAGAAATGTAGACCATGAACACTCCTATGGCCCAGTCAGCACGACCGTGGGTACTCATTCATCTTCTCCCTCCCCTGCCTATCTTCTTGGCTCTTGACAGGCATTCAGGGATTCTTCTCACAGTGCAGGCAGTAGACTAAAAGAAGCACAAGTCACACAGTGAAAAACTACTCTGGCCAAAGCAGAAAAATGCAGGAAAAAGAAAGCCAGATTGGGATCAAGGTATTTTATTTCAACCCCCTAGATCCTTGAGTAACTTGACACAAATGACTTAAGCTCTTCATTTTTCAGTTCTCCAAAATGTAAAATGAGGATAATTTACTTCACAATTAATCTAAAATGAGCACAGTATGACTTACTGTACTAATCCCACAGGACTTTTTGTGAGGATTTAATGTAAAGGGGAATGCATATGGACAAAATTGATGCAAAACATATCAGGAATAAAATAGAAAAGGGTACACACCACAGTAAAAACCGTGAAAGCACCCAATACATAAAGTTTTGTACAGATCCGTGGCTTCTTTTCCTCTCAGAAAAAATAAAAGCAAAAACAACAACAAAAACACAAATCCTAAGTCTTACACAAGCTCAGGCAATAATGACCTATGGGAAACTATTTTAATCCACTAAAATAATTCCTCTCTCTAACACAGTGATGGGGATTCCATTTGGGGTTTGGGATTACCATTGAACTACTCATGCCTACAAAAGAAATAGATTTCTAAACTTCTACTACTGAGTCTCTGCAGTAGCTTCTCAACGACCATACAACAGAAGACATCCAAAGAGAAGATAAAAATCAAGTTTAGAACCAACAAAATATAAAGCATTCTAAAAAATTCAATAAAAGTTTTAAGTTTCCTTATAATACCAACAGAAAAAAGAGAAAACCAGGACAGAAGAGGAATAACATCCAATAAATAAGGCAAGACATGGAATTAATGGTTCTTCATAATAAACTAAGATGTTAAATCCACTATATTATAGTTTTAAAAGAAAAAAGGTTGAAAGATCAGGAGATAATCCAGATTGCAAAAGCAGCCACAGAATTAGTTAAAACCTGAGCACACATAAGTCAGCACCATGTGTACAGAAAGGACACTCAACAATGCCTAATATCAGAGAATATTTAGGGAGGGCAAAGCTAGTGCTGTTTGGGGAGAAAATCCTCTGAGGAAAGGATTTTTTTAAAGGAAATTGCAGTTTTTGCCATTGAAAGTAATGTCAAAAATCACAATTACTTTTGCACCAACCTAATAGTAACACCACTTCCATAAAAAGTAGAGAAATTTGTTTTCTGAAAACCCGATTGTAACAACTCCAAGTTTCTCCAGATTCAGAGGAAGCAAAATATTTTTTAGAAAAGAGGTTGTGCATATGTGTATGTCTGTATTTAATATTCTTATTATTTACTATAGTAGTAATCATATCAATAATTATTACTATAATTATAAAATATATGCATATATATTTTATATATACATTTATATCCATATATGTTTATACTTCTTAATATTACAATAATAAAATCTCTTAATGAGGAAGGGGAAGAGGACAGGGCTGAATCCTGGAGGCACCCCAACATTTAGAGAATGTGTGGAGGAGGAAGAGAAAGAGCCAACGAGAAAACATGAAAAGGTAACTAGTGGCAGCAAGGAGAAATCTAGGAGCATGTGGTATCCCAGAAGCCAAGAGAAGAAATTGTCCCAAGAAGGAGGGAATAGTCAACAGTGTCAAACACTGTAGAGACATACAGCAAGACAAGAAGAAATAATTGAAAAATACTGACTACTGGATTTCAAAGATGGAAGACTGGTGATCTAAATATGCAGCAGAAGGTTGGGATGGAAGTCCTACTAGAGTGGGTCAGAGAGAGAAATGGCAGTGAAAATGTGCAGGAAATAAAGGCAAACCTTTTGGAGCACTTGTACTACAATGAGAAACAGGGAAATGGCCTGGTAGCTAAAGGAAGATATGTGGTAGAGGAAGTGGGGAGGTTTGGGTGGTTTCAAATGGATCATCCTTTAGGCTATTGGGAAAATTTAACTAGAAAAGAAAATGACTATTGACACAGAAGAGAAGGGCTAGTTAATACACAAAGTAATGGAAAAAGATGGGATCCAGACTGCAAGAGGAGGCCTGTGGACTCCACATGGACACTTCGCCCATAATAAGAGGAGGAAAGGCAGAATATAGGTACATATACGGGTAGGAGGGTAGACATAGTGGGAAGACATTTAGGGAATTTCTGTCTGATTGTTTCAGATGCAGCACTTCAACAGAGAGAGGAAGGATAAAGGATCACTCAAAGATATTTCCAAAAATTTTGCCTTAAGTAATCAGCAGAATGGTGGCCCAATAACAAATCATGATCATCATCACTATCATCACCAATTTATAGCATTTAATTTAGGCCAACCACATGCATGTCCTCATTTAATCTTCACAAAAAGCCTAGGCAGTAAGTAATACTATGGCTTCCACTTTCCAGATGATAAAAACCAGGTTTAAAGAGATTAACAAGTGTGATTTGGGAGGTAAGCAGTCTAAATTCAGAACTAAGCCTATAATCTATAATCTGTAACTGCTTTAAGCCCCCAAATCTCACACACATGCACACTTGTGCACACACACTTGTGCACATACACACACACACACACAAGTGTTTGGGCATGGTGTTATCAGAAAATCACATGGGTAGACTCTCTCCCTGTTTTGGTAATTTTTGTTTGGTCTTCAGGAACACTGAAAGAAGTAATACCACTAACATACTGTTTTAACATGTATTCTCTAACATTTTTTAGCTTTTTTACCCCTGTTCTCTCAAAATATATATTGGAGTTCCTTGGTTATGACTGACTCTATAACAGAAATCACTGTAAAACCACTTAGTTTTTCGATGTTGGAGGCCCAGAGGTAAGGAACTTTATTCAGGTAGGGAAGTCTTACCCATCACATGGTGCTCCGGTCTGGATGCTGAGGACAATGGGAAAGTGAGGCTTTGAAGGGACCACTTAAAAGTTGAATGTACTAACAAAGAAAATAAAATCTATAATTCTTCCAATAATACCCTAGATATAATTATGACATTTTATTTCTTAAGCCCAGAAAAGTCAAGTAATGAGTTTGTACAGAGTCTGGATAGGTTAAAAAATAAATTACTCATACTTCCTACATCTGTAAAATTGAATTTGCCATGGAAAAGTTTCAAACTCAATTTGAAAATTCATAAATACATATCAATTAACCAGCATCACCTAATGTAAGTTTTAACAAAAATTAGTTCTCCATACAATTTAAATATATTAGTTTTTTAATATTGAGGAAGTATTTTAAAGCATTTAAAGTATTTTTTAGATTTCAAAGAATAGCTTTAAAGCATGTAATAAAATTAGTTACCAACTGAAGACTATTTGCTGAGTAAGTATTCCTTTTGATTTTGCAAATTCAGGAAAAAACACCCTGCAAAATCTATGTATATTCTATTGTGTGATATGTGAAGAACAAATGTTAAAGTCAGAAAGAAAGCACATCTAATTTCAATTATCTTAAGTGGAAATTCCTACTGTAGGAGTCTTTGGAGAAAATCCACAAAATGGAAATTATTCTGGGAAAATGTCCTAATGGGGAACAGTATTGTGTGGAACAATCTTCCAAAGGCGACTGCGTGATACCTGGAAAAGTATCCTGCACTGCCACAAGTCAAAGTCATCTCAGGGGTATGTTCTTTAACCCTTCATTTCCAAAAATCAAGTAACCATGTTATAAAGGAATAATCAAGGAAAAACCTTCAATTAACTTACTAAATTATTTTAGCTCTGGGCAAAGAACTCTCAGAAGCCACATGGAATGTGAAGCGGAAACTTGGAAGGTAGTACATGGTGATTTTAGACCCACAATGACTAGGTCAAATCAGAGTTTAACCCCAACAATGAACTTCAGAAAACAATCAACTCTGAATAAAATCCACAACTGGTCTGAAAACAGAGACCTTGCATAAATATACATCTTATTTATCTTATCCAGTAAAATGTATGACATTGTAAAATTCACAGACCTATATTTAAAAGACAACATAATGACCCAAAACAATAAAGCAGTCAGCATAAGATGCCACTAGTAGAATTATAGTTATTCTTTTATTTTAAAGTAAGGAACATTTATTCCCACAAAAATTTAGTTCAATTATTTTAAGATGTACAAATGAAATCCCCCTTTTTATGTTTAGTGTGTAAAACTCAACTAAAGAATGAAATCAGTATGTTGGGGAGATATTTGCACTCCCATTTTATTGCAGCACTATTCACAGTAGCCAGGACATGGCCTAAACCTAAGTTCTGTCAATGGATGAATGGATAAAGAAATTGTGGTATATATACATAATGGAATACTATTCAGCTATAAAAAAGAAGGAAATCCTGTCATTTTCAACAACATGAATGAACCTGGAAGACATTTTTGTTAAGCGAAATAAGTCAGGGACAAAAAGACAAATACCATATCATCTCACTTATATGTGGAATCTAAAAAATGTGGCTGAGCCAATAGGCCACGTGCCAGATAGATACCAATTGTGGAGATGGTCCCTTGGGTATTGGACTATCTGAGGTTAACATGGTAACACTTTCCTTTCACATAACCCACTCCCCTCTAAGAAGGTAACTCCCTGTGGAGCTTAACCACAGGGAGAGAACATGGCATAGGGCAATGCCAAAGTCTGTTTCATTTGATAGTGGTCAATGATAACTTCTTTTATGTAGTGATAAAGCCTTCTATAAGCTTTATTGTCTAATAGCCACTGACAAATTTCTGAGCCCACAAATCTTAGAATTCACCAAGACGCAGACTATTGAATGGAAACCATCACAGCTAACATCCTTTATCTTTGAGGGACTAACACCATTGATTGCATTTTTGTGTGTGTTTACCTTGTCACCATCTCGCCCTGGTTCTCCTTTGTAACCTGGTAGTCCTCGAGCTCCCTAAATTAACCAGAAAATAAAATTTTGTTAATTATCGGTTTTAGTTCACTAAAAATAAAATTTATAAAATGTATATAAGTGGATCACATACTTGTATTCCTGGAGATCCTGGAACACCTGGTGTCCCTGCAATTCCCTGATATCCCTAAAGAAAAATTTAAAAAGAAAAAAAATAATATTTCATCATATTTACCAAGAGAAGTTCTTCGTTTCAGAATTCACTCTTATCTCAAGTTTCTCATGCCTAAAACTTCACTTAGAGACAAATCCAAAATAATAAAGTGTTAAATGCTTAATAAGGAATTCATACCCTTTGATCTTTATGAAATCCTTTAAAAAGTATATAGGGCCCTAAATATTTGTAAATTAATAAAAATATTTAGAAAATCTTAAATTAAGAGGAGAGTTAATGTTCACAGTTTCTTAAGAAATGTACTGGATTTATCAGAAATACATTCAACATATCCAAGAGAGAAACACTTCAAGAGATTGGAGGATTAAACAAATGTGTATTTGTAAACCACCTAATTAATGGCCATCTGAGTTAGTCCCTAGAATAAATTAATCTTTAATTAATATTATTCTTCAATCTTTAAATTACTCATTTTAGAAAGCTGCTGATGTTAAATGTAAGAAGGTGGTTATGACATATCCTCCATGGTCCCCCAAAGCTGGGCTGTTTGCTTAGGGGAGGGGGATGAGAGAAGTCACTCTCATCCCCACTGCTTCTTAGACATCCCTCCTCAAAAACTGGAACTTTGATAAAATAGCACAATTTTTTTAGACAGAGTTGAACTATTTATTGTTGGTTTAGCACATGGCAGCTAAAGTCTCCAAATTAACTTGTAGGCTCTAAACATTTATCTAGGTTTCTTAGGGCTGATTGTCAGGTTAATGGACCACCTGGCACCTACAAACATAATAACCACTATCAAGTTCCATCTTTCTCACATTCTTTATTCAGACTCCATTTTTCTTAGATCTTACTGTTTGGGTACCAGTCTTCATTGTCAACTATGTTAACACAGATCTCATTAATGTTTCCAATTACATCTTCATTCATAAATCTAAAAGCTTCATTTCTATGTGGCTATTCATGGGTGTCTGCACTGGTCTTCATATTCATCCACTCATCTGTCAATATGTTTTTAACTGTAATTTTAGAGACATCACAATTCCCTGTTTTTCTGTTCACATTTTCAAGTATCCTTTCTAATATTCTTTGCTACCTCTAGTAATGAGTTGTCTCTGAAAGATCAGTCTTATTGTTTTTCTCCTTTTACATGCATTTACATTTTCTATTGTGTAAATTGCCTTCTCAGTTACTTATAGAATGAATGACAATGACTATACAATTTTTCTTTTTTTTTTTTTTTTTTTGAGACAGAGTCTCACTCTGTCACTCAGACTGGAGTGCAGTGGTGCAATCTCGGCTCACTACAAGCTCTGCCTCCTGGGTTCACGCCATTCTCCTGCCTCAGCCTCCCTTGTAGTTGGGACTACAGGCGTCCACCACCACACCCAGCTAATTTTTTGTATTTTTAGTAGAGATGGGGTTTCACCATGTTAGCCAGGATGGTCTCAATATCCTGACCTCATGATCCACCCTCCTCGGCCTCCCAAAGTGCTAGGATTACAGGCGTGAGCCACTGCACCCGGCCGACTATACAATTTTTTATCACCAACCATCATCCTTTCCTTCATACTCTATTCAGTTCTTCACAGAATATATTGTTATGATTTCTCCATGACTTCTCAGATTCAAACTTTTTTCTTGAGTGTCTTTGCCCAATCCTTAACCATTGCACTTCACCAGGAAACAATGAGTCTGATTATCAACCTCTCCATACTCCAGACAAAACAACGTGCATTTTTCCAACCCATCATCTGTTCGCTAGACTAGCACTCTCTCCGTCACTGGATTATGAGCCCCCTTGAGATCAAAGACCAGGTTTAATTCATTTCTGTATTTTTGGCATTGAACACATTCTTTGGCACACTTCTGTTGATAGAACATTGGAATAATTTAAAGTCATCAACTCTATACATGAACGTGTAAAAAAAAATCTCCTTCTCCAATGAATCATGTTATGTTTGTGCACCTTTCTGTAGAAAATGGAAACGTTTAGTAATCTCATGTTTCCTGTTCTCAGGATTACTCAAAAGTAAGAAGAAATTCAATCTACATGGAATTTGCTCAGCCCTGTATGTCTACTACTCTAGTTATCACTGAATCTCCTTCCCTCAACCACTTTGGAATCAGATAGGCCTAGAATTCACTCTCAGCTCTGTCACTGCTAGCAATGTACAAATATAGAATTCACTTTCCTCCTTACAACTACTCTTTAATGTAGGTTCTAAATTATCTTTTTTTCAGATGAGGAAATTAAGGCACAGAAGTTGAGTAACTTGCCCAAAGTTACATAGCTAGTAAGTTGATAGAGCCAGTGGGAACATTCTCTATCAGAAAGTGCTTTATGGCGGGTCAGATCTGATCATTGTAGATTGACTCAACTGATTCAAAGAAATCCATTTTGCAAGACTATTTTTAAATTATTTAGAATTCTGAGTGCCCAGAGGAAAGGAATGTTCATAAAATTCCTCAAAAGAAAGTTACCATGGAAATTGGCTATTGATCAAAATGGTTGATCATCTGCAAAGTTCACATTTAATGAATTATTTTTCTTTTACAGTTTTTCAAAAGTTAAGCCAAATGTCATATCTGCCTTACTACTTTTTTAGGAAAATTAATCTTTCATAAAAGATCAAATGCTGCTGTGCTGTCTCTCCTCTTCGAAGAAGTTGATGTGGTATTTGTTATAGAGGACGCATTTCATTTTAACAGATTAAAACAACTTGGAGATGCCCTAACTGTGTTCCCAGCTTACCTCTGACTCATAATGTGACCTCAGGCAGAGTCATCAATCCCCAAACCCTGGGAGGCAACACAGTTAAGTGGAAAGACGATGAATTTGAAATTGGAAAAGAACTTGCACTGAATGTTTGCCCTTCCTTTTACTTTCTATGAGATTTTGGCTAAGTCACTTTGCCTAGCAAAGACTTAGTTTCTTACCATAAACTGTTATTATTATCCACTTCACTTTTGAAAAGAAACAAATGGAGTCACAGGTGAAGATTCTGGCAGGTGTTAGGAACTCAATAAATGTGCGTTTCTTTCTTTTCTTCAGACTCAATGACTATTGTACAAGACCACAAGAATACTTCTGCAGAATGTTACTCCACAGCCTTATCAGCCACCATTAGTACATTGGGAATGGCAGGTCCAGTCATCATCTTTATGATTTAACTCTTTTCCAACATTATACAGATCTAATGCTAAACATGCAAACATGGCCTCAGTGTATTTTGTAATGGCTCTCTTTGTTATATCTTTGGAGGAATTACAATATAGGAATAATAAGTGCTTCTCACAATTTGAGAATGTTGTGATATGTATATTTTTAAGGTTACAATTAGATGCATTCTTAAAGTACTAATTGCAGAAAGAAATTCAAATGCTGTTTTAGAAGCTACAGGAAACATGGTTAGTAACAAAATAAAGAAAACCAAACAACATCCAAGCTGGGGGAATCCTAGGGCAAAACACCAGAAGAAATAGAATGAAATTCAGAAAAACAAATTTTGGACTAAAAACCAGGAAAATAAAGGTTAAAAAGGGGAATATTACAACACAGAACAATTTCCAAGAGGAAAAAGAAATAAAACATTGGTTGACTCATAGCAGGGTCAACCTTAAAGAAAGGAAAATGCCTTAAAACAGGAAAAAATAAGCTTTTTATATACCTTATTGAGTTCTTATTTTTCAGAACACGTTTCATGTCTCATTTTAGAACTGTAACTTTCCTATGATCTTTGAGTGGTTAATACTGTTCAACATGAATTTTGCCATTTTGCATTTATTAGCAGGTCCAAATATCCACCCTACCCCCATCTGCAAGATTTCTGACAGTATTTAAGTCTTTTCCATGTTCACAGAAAACTTCTTTATAAATGAGTCATTTTTTTTTTTTAGGGAAAAAAATATTCTCACTGCCAAATTGTAGGGTTGAAGAAAAGAATACAGAATCAATTTAATTTTCCTCCATGATTCATAGTTACAAAGCTTCAGGAAATATGTATAGCATTGAAATGGAAATTAAGGAAATAAAATCCCCAAATGTGCAAGGGTCACCAACTATTCTGTGCTCAATTCTAATCATGTCATAAAATATTCTGCCAATCTAAATATACACATTTTTGCAAAGTAGTGAGGAGGGTAGAGATATTAGTTTCCTTGAAATACTCTAAACTTAAAAATAAGAATAAATTCCAAAGAAATAATTTTGGATGTCACCCTCCTTTTAAAAATGTAAGAATGTGATTTAAAGTTTATTCCATTAAATAATTTTCTTCAAAGATTTCCAAAATTCCAACAGATAGTCTTGGGTACACAGCCAACGTAACTAGGTAACCAAAACCAAGTGTGTATTTTTAATGTCCACTGTGGAATCTTCTAGTTGTTGTTGGCAGGCTTTATAGCTCTATGCAATTAAATTTCAAGAAAATTAATAAATCTCTGTCATTCTATGTATAACTAATATAGAAACTAGTTTGCTACTTAACCCAACTATTAGTCAAGTGGTTTATATGCTTTTACTGATTGCTTAGATTACTTCATTAATAAGTTCCATTAATATATGTAAAATTACACCTGAGCTAAGTGCTATGAAAGAACTACACTGCTATGGGAGGTGAAGGGCAAGCAGTTGGGAGTTTTTCTAAGAGACAAGGGAATACTAAAGAAAGCACAATGCCTAAGAGGAATTCCTCCAATATGCCATGCATCAGGAAAAGATATACCATATCCACAAAGCCAAAAGAGAGAGAATAAGCAGAAGCAAGCTGAAAAACATATTGGAATGGTAGACGAGGTTATCTGCACAGCTCGTGGGTCTTACAAAGGACTCAAAAACATTTCTACTTCAAATTAAAGAAAACTACATTAACTATAAATGAGATTTAGCCTAAATCTAATCCTCTCTCATATAGGAAAGGTAAACAGTGGATAGATAAATATAGAGCAACATCATCCAGTTTCCTATATTTCCCTTGAGCTAAGCACATAAATGAAAAACATTGCCTACCTTTGACAAATAATCTCTGCAGATAGAACTAGGTCCTTAAATTCACAGAATTTAATTAAACTTTGGTAAACTGCCTTATTCCCTGAATTAGGTTACACTTAAACTTATACTAAGCTTATTTCAAAAGGAGAATGTACAACTTTCTAAGGTAACTTAAACCATCTTTAGTAAATCTTACTTCCCAACATAAATCTCTAGTAATTGTGCTTTTCATACTCAAAGAGAGGCGATCAATAGCTAACCTCATTTCCTCTCTTGCTGTCCTGCTACATTTTTTCCATAGTACTTAACACCATCTGATGTTGTGTGTGTGCATTTATTACCTATTTCTCCCCAGTAGAATGTGAGCTTCAAAATGACAAGGTTGGGGGGTTGTTTTTTGCTTTTTTTTTTTCTGTTTTGTTCATTGCTATATATCCTTAGCCTAGAAGAGTGCCAGGAATACAGTAAACACCCAGCAAATATAGGTATATGACTGAGTGAGGAACAGAATAAATAAGCAAACAAATCAATAATTACTGAGTTCAACCAGTTATCACCAACCGAGAACTCTAATAGTAGAAACAGGCCTACATTCACATGCACAAACTTATCTTTAAAATCATAGATGTTAGATGCGTCAGTGACCAATTCTTTGAAGAATTTAATATACCAATAACATTGGTGTGTATATATATACATACATGTCTACACACATTATTATATATACTACCTATAATATATATCTAAGTAATCTATTTAAGTGACATGTGAGATAAACATGGAATAATCTACATACGACTTTCACAGAAGGAGAATGTTGAAGAAAAATGAATTAGCTGGTCAGGCTCATCTCATGGGTCCTACTTGTTTTACTAACCATTCAACCCCTGCCAAGATACTCCGCAAGCCTGAGAGCTAGTTTTCCTCCCTGTCCTCTTTTTCTCTAGCATCATTCTTGAATATCTGAAAATAGTATCTCTTGTTTGGATTATACGCAAATTCAGTAAACCCTCCCTCATAGGCTGTCTTCTGAGTTTTAAATGCTCCCAGTTATGCTCTTCTGAATGAATTCCAGTTCCTGCATGCCTCTCAAGTGTGGAGTCCTAAACCAAATCCAACACTCCAAGAGGCAGGACTGTCATTTCTTTCAATACAGTTGTCATATATCTACTAACTATGCTAAAAATTATATCAGCCTCTTAGGCAGCCACATTTCATACAGCGATGCCTTTTCACCAAGGTTAAAGCTTTCTCTAGGAAAGCCTTATAAAGGCATAGTTTTAAATAACTAAAAAAGCAATAAACTGCCCAAGGGTAGGATAGTTCATTTGTAGTAAATGGTTCATATTTTAGCTTATTAGTGAGACAAGAGACAGAGAGAGAGAGAGAGAGAGAGAGAGAGAGAAACACATAAAATAAATAAATAAATCTATTTGCCAAGGAGTTCAAACTGAGGTGAGAGTTCAGGTAGACACTGTTCTATCTAGAATGTATTTCATATACTTTGTAAGTAAGCCATCTCTTGTAATTCTCTTCTCCAAGCTAAATAATAGCCATTTCTTTGGCCTTTAATCAGCTGTATCCCATTTTCCAATTCTTTAATCTTCATGGCATTCAGCCCCAAATTCCCAACAGCTCTTAAACTGTTGAGTCCACAACTGGCACCATGTTCAGTTAAGGGTCTGGAAAAAGGAAAGCATAATAAATAAGCTTATCTCATAGGCCTTACTTGTTTTTTTAATTACTCACCCTCAACAAGTGTACTCTGCAAGCCTAAGGGCTGCTTGTCCACCCCGTCCTCTTATACTCTATCACCATTCTTGAATATTTCAAAGTAGCATCTCTTGTTTGGATTATACCTGAAGTTCAGTGAATCTTCCCTCACAGGCTGTCTTCTGAGTTCTGGCCCACTCCAAGTTATACACTTCTGAATGAATTCCAGTTCCTTCGTGTGCCTCAAGTATAGAGTTCTAAAGCAAATCTAACACTCCAGAAGCAGGGCTGTCATCTCTCTCAATACAGATGTTATGCATTTACAAACTATGCCAAAAAATTGCATCAGCCTTTTAGGCAGCCCTATTACATACATTAATCCCTTTTTCATCAGCTTAAATAACATCTCAAAGACAAGTAAGACCCATACATTTATTCCAGTTGAATTTCACTGTAAATAGCTCATTTTCTAAGTTCTCCAAATCTTTTTGGATCTTCATGTTACCTCAAATGCAAAAATAAATTCCCAGTGAAATCAAGACTTAATAGGCATTAAAGATCATAATAAGATAAATTAACATACACGAGTAGCTAATGCTAAAGAAAAATAACACTGGAACTAATAAAAAGAAAACATTACATTCTGGGGAAATTTTACATTTCTAAAAATTAAAAACAAAATTATAAACCAGATTAGTAGTCAGAAGAAACATTTACACCATATATAGCAAAGAATTAATTCTCTTAATGCATAAGATCTTATTGGCCCATATGAAATATACCCTCACTCCTATAGAAAATAGGCAAAGGACAAGAAAAGATACTTCACAAGAAGAGAACTCATCCTAAATGTCAGACTTCTATATCCATCTGCCTACCTAAAATTTCTACTTGAATGACTAACATATAAATTTAAACATTGCCAAAACCACACTCCTGATTTTCCTCACCCAGTTCTATCTCCTCCATTCTCCCATGAATCCATAGTCTCCTTTGACTTCTCTCTTTCTCTCAAACCCATATCCAATAGATCAGCAAGTCCTGTTAGCTCTAACTTCAAAATATCCCCCAAATGCAAGCAGTTCTCTTTACCTCACCACTATCACTCTGACCCTAGCTGCCATCCTCTCACCCCTGGATTGTTACAAGAGCCTCCTGACTTCTCCTTCTGTGTTTGCGCTCATCTTCCTAAAATCTACTCTCAACCCAGAAGCCAAAGTAATTTCTTTTAAAAATAAGTTAAATCACATCGGTCTCCTACTCCAGTTACTCCATTGCTCACTCCAACTGAAAGCCAAACTCATAACAATGGTCTAAAGAACTCTATGCCATCTTCCCTTCCTTCTCCTTCCTCCATATCCAAATTGATTTCCTATTAACCTTCCCCCAACCAGTACTTCATATTTTTGTGGTTTCATCAGTCACGTAACTTTGAAATTCCCCACCTGTGATGACCTCATATTAAACCTCATATTTCTATGAGGTTTAATGCTCCATAGAAGGCTGCCCCTGTCTGCACCTCTAGTTCACTCAGTGGCACATTAAAGAGTTGGGGGAACTGGCTGGGTGCGGTGGCTCACGCCTGTAATCCCACTCTTTGGGAGGTCGAGGCGGGCGGATCACGAGGCCAGGAAATCGAGACCATCCTAGCTAACACGGTGAAACCCCATCTCTACTAAAAATACAAAAAATTAGCAGGGCGTGGTGGCGGGCGCTTGTAGTCCCAGCTACTGGAGAGGCTGAGGCAGGAGAATGGCGTGAACCTGGGAGGCGGAGCTTGCAGTGAGCCGAGAGCGCGCCACTGCGCTCCAGCCTGGGCGACAGAGCGAGACTCCATCACACACACACACACACACACACACACACACACACACACACACACACACACAAGAGTGGGGGGAACTGAATCACGAACTGTGACCCAGTGACCAATCCACTCTTTTGTCTATTGGTAGCAGTGAGCTATCAGTTTTTCCAACTCACTTCCTGAGCCCACTAACATAGAAAATCATCTCTAGAATTTTACAGCTTAGTCTACTTCTCTCTTAGCCAATATGATGGTCTTCATGGAATCCTAGAATATCAGATTAGAGAGAACCTAGGCCTCATCTGGAACCATCTTCTCATTTTCCAAACAGAGAAACTGAGGCCCATAAAAGCAAAGCAGCCTATGCTCAGCAAAGAGTAAAACAACCCCAGATCTCTCTAATGATCAGCTTGGGCTTTTGCTTTAGTAAAGTACTTTACTTCATAAAGAGTAACTCGGCCGGGGGCGGTGGCTCACGCCTGTAATCCCAGCTCTTTGGGAGGCCGAGGCGGGTGGATCACGAGGTCAGGAGATCAAGACCATCCTGGCTAACATGGTGAAACCCCATCTCTACTAAAAATACAAAAAAAAATTGACCGGGCGTGGTGGCAGGTGCCTGTAGTCCCAGCTACTCGGGAGGCTGAGGCAGGAGAATGGCATGAACCCAGGAGGCGGAGCTTGCAGTGAGCCGAGATCGCTCGGCTGCACTCCAGCCTGGACGACAGAGCAAGACTCTGTCTCAAACAAAACAAAACAAACAAACAAAAAAAGAGTAACTAATGATAACAGAAACCAGAAATGAGCACTGTAAAAATATAAACTTCTATAAACTCATAAGCTAGTGCTATTTCCACATATGGCCTTCTTTAACAAATCAATGTATAAATCTCTGTAATGCCTTCAGTAGCTGTACTCCTCTGAATTACCTGGCAGGATATATAAATATTTCCCCTACCTCTTTTGTAATGTTAAAATTGTAAAGCAATAATATATTCAGACACTGTGATAATAGAGGTTATTTAACTGACAAAGAACTGAGAAAGAAATGGAAGGATCTGAAATAGCTCTTTAATTTTGGTTGAAGGCACTTTTCAATTATGAAAATTAGTATTTCTCCAGAGTGGAATAATTTCCTATTTAAAGTTTCAGTTGGCTTGGCCTGGTTATAATGTGTGAAAGAGATTCAAATAGCTTATTGAGGGGGGTTGCACAGAAACAAGTCCAAACAAAGCAGAATTCCCTTCAAATTGTTCCTTCCAAGTTTCCTTGGTCCAGATGGCTCCAATAGCCAGCCAGAGGCCCCACCCACACCTACCCACTCCCACTGGGTGCTGGCCTTGAACACATACTAATGACCCTCAGCTGTTTTGGCTCCCAGGCTTGCTTGTTCTTCCTGCCTGACCACCCAACGTCACATTCCCTACAGAGGAAAAGAAATATGGGGGAAGTAGGGAGACACTGCGGGGAGGGGCTGGATATTTAAGAAAAAGTCATACCTTTGGGAAGACAGGATTTGGGCTGATGTATCAGTTTCCTACTGCTGCTATAACAAATTACCCCAAACACAGCAGCTTAAAACAACACCAATTCACTACCTTACAGTTTCAGTGGTCAGAAGTCTGAAAGGAATCTTAGATAAATTAAGGTACCAGCCAGACTGCATTCTTTCTGGAGGCTCTAGGGGAGCTTCCCTTTTCCAGCTTCTAGAGGCTGCCATTGTTCCTGGGCTCACGATTACCTCACTGTGCTCTCTGCTTCCATCACAGACTCTCTTTCTCTGACTCTGACACTCCTGCCTCCCTTTTATAAAGACTTTTGTGTTTATATCTGGCTGCCCAGATAATCCAGGCCAATCTCCCATCTCAAGATCATTAAATTAATGATATCTGCAAAGTTCCTTTTGCATGTAAAGTAACACATTTACAGGTCTTAAAGATTAGGATGTGGACATCTTTGAGGGACCATTATTCTTCCTACCACAGTTGTGTTTTTCTTTGAGACTACTATCAGATACTACCATAGTTATCTATATATAAAATCATACACACAGACACCAAAACACATACATGTACTAAATGAGATGAGGCAATAAATAATTCTATTATAACTTAGTCAGAGTCATAGAGTAATATCCATGAGTATTATATCAGGCTAACAATAATTCACCTCCAGTGCTTCATGCATGGGAAGATTTTTTTTTTTAAACAAAGAAAACCAAGGGCTGATAGCCTGTGGAAGGCCTGCTCAGCACTCACTTCCAAACATTACCCAGGATTTTTTTATCACTAAAAAGAAGACCTAAATAATTTAGCAGTGCCATCTGGGAGCTCTGTGTCATTATTAGGCATGAGCAGATGACATCAGTGTGTGAACTGCATTGGCTCTGGAGTCAGTACAGCACTTCAGCTGCCAGTCACAGAAAAAGTAGGTCCCAGGAAAGGGGTCTGCAGGCTAAGGAGGCTCACATTTATAAAACTCAGCTCACCCAGTGTAATTAGGGCGAAACTCACATAGGACCTCAGGGAAGTATCTTCAGTGAGATTAAAGAATTGCAGTGAGGAAATGCAATAAAGTCATATGACATCTTAAGTAAAAGTGAGAAAGGAATGGGTTATAAGGGAAATTATAAGGCAAATGTTGGCATATAATGGGGGTCGAAGATAAATACAAAAGAGGAGAGGTTAGGTTTGGAGTCTATTCCTTCAATTCAATTTCATTCAAATAGAAGCTGTCTTATGATAATTCCCTCAATTAAATTCCCCCAAAATAGCCTACTTAGCTATTTCAGTGCTATCAGCTTGACTTCTGTCTCATATAAAGATTTAATTGCCCACACTCTCCATCCAGGCCAAGCTCTACTTTTCTAACTAGAATCAACGCCCTCCAACCTGCCTATGGATTTTCCTCCTGAAAATATCCCCTATCTTCCAAACTTTCATTTTTTTCTTTTGCCTCATTTTCATCATTATAAAAACATGCTACAATATCTCCCATTTTTTAAAAACCCTGACTTTAAAACATTGCCCCAATTCTACTGCTCTGGGTCTCTGCTTCCTTTTATATCTCTCAGAAAAAAAAAAAATCTACATTCACTTTCACCATTTTTCTTATCTCCCTCTCTGTGCTTAATTCATTTCAATCTGTTGTTTGTACTACCCTCCCTGAAATCCTACTCATCAAGGTCCTCAAATACTCCTGTGTAGCAAATCCATGGTCTAGTCTAGGCTTCATTCTTCTGGATCTCTTGACAACAATAACACACCTAATAGGATGACACTTCCCTGGTTTTCCTCCCATCTCACCGATAAGTCCTTCCCAAATTCCTGGGCTGGACCCACTTTCTCTTTTTCACCTGTAAGAGAGCCCTGTGGTCAGTCCCCTGCCACCTTCTCTTCTCTATTTATTTGTATTCACTTCCTAAGTGATCTCATCCACTCTCATGGTTTTGCATACATCTGCATGAAAATAAGTCCCAACTGGCCACCTCCAACCTGTCCAAAAATATAGTCCCAATTCCCCCCTGCTATGGTTTGGATGCTTGCCCCCTTGAAAATTCACATTGAGATTTAATTACTATTGTAACAGTAATAATATGTGGGGCTTTAAGAGGTAGTTAGGTCATGGAGACACTTATTGTGGGAGTGGGTTAGTTACCAAGGGAGTGAATTCTTGATAAAAAGGATGACTGACCCCCTTGTTCTCCTGCTCACTCCCACTCCACTACCTCTCACTCACACTCTCATCTTGTGATAATTTCTGCCAAGACCTTGCCAAATACTAGTGTCATGCTCTTGGACTTCCCAGCCTGCAGAATCATGAGCCAAATAAACCTTTCTTTATAAATTACTTAGTCTGTGGCATTCTGTTATGCAACAGAAAATGGACTAAGACATGTCTATAAAACTTCTGTCTCCCCCAGTCTTGCCCAGTACAGTAAATGGCACCACAATTCACCCAGTTGCTCAAGCTATACTCCTTTGATTCTTCTTTGATTCCTCTCTTCCTTTCATATCCTATATCTAAATTTGCTAGCAATTCTAGTCAGCTTTCCATTAAGAATAACCCAGAATCTGACTACTTCTCCATTCTCCCACCGTATCACCCTAGTACAAACTACTCTTACCACTCACAATCATGAAACAACCTCCTGCATAGTCTCCTTTCTTCTACTCTTGCCCCCATATAATCTACTCTCCAAATAGCATTTATATTTATCCTTCTAAATCATAAAACAGATCAAATCACTGTCTTTCTCAAAGTCCCTAAGTAGATTGCCCTCACACTCTGAATCCCTGTGTGTCAGCTGAAAAAATGCTGCCCCAACAACCACACAACATCACCTTAGCTCTCTGCATTTCCAGGTGGCTACCACTTTTGTTTACCCCTTCAGCCTCCCTACTTTTTAAGAAAAAAAAAATTTCCCCAAGTTTGCTTTCTTTTTTCTTTTTTGAGTTCAGGGGTACATGTGCAGGTTTGTTACATAGGTAAACTTGTGTCATGGGGATTTGTTGCACAGATAATTTCATCACCCAGGTATTAAGCCTAGTACCCATTAGTTATTATTCCTGACCCTCTCCCCCCTCCCACCTTCCACCTTCCAATAAGCTCCAGTGTGTGTTGTTCTCCTCTATGCGTCCATATGTTTTCATGATTTAGCTCCCAGTGATAAGTGAGAAGATGCAATATCTCATTTTCTGTGTTAGTTTGCTAAGGATAATTAACCTCCCTTTTTGGATAATCTTTCTCTAGAGAGGTTTACCTGTTTATCCATCCTCTTCCCATGCAGCACATTTCCCTAGTATAAAAAGCCTCAGCACATTACTACTTCTTCAAAATCTGGCTAGTTGTGGTTTTTTTTGTTTGTTTGTTTTATTTCTTGTTTTTTAATTTCTTAGGAAATCTCTCTCAGGAACTTAAGCAACTCTTTCATCCTCATGGTTAAGGTATTGATGATTTCACATTATATCTATGGTTCTTTCATTCCTCGAACAATTTTGATTCACAATGTAAACATTCCCACTCTTTCGTGGTAAGAATTAATGCCTCATGATAAAGAAAATCTCAGGAAATGCTTCATTTTGGTGACAATTATAATTTGACATTCAAACATTCAAAAGCTAATTCCTTTTCATTTTATTTTGAGACAGACTTTTGTGCTGTCACCCAGGCTGGCATGATCTCAGCTCATGCAGCCTCCGCCTCTCGTGTTCAAGTGATTCTTGTGCCTCAGCCTCTTAAGTAGCTGGGATTATAGGTGTGTGCCACCACACCCAGCTAATTTTTGTATTTCTTTTTTTTAATAGAGATGGGGTTTCACCAAGTTGGCCAGGCTGGTCTCAAACTGCTGGTCTCAAGTGATCCACCCACCTAAGCCTTGTGAATTGCTGGGATTATAGGCGTGAGCCACCATGCCCAGCCAAAAGCTAATTCTTCGTGTTTACTCTTATAAACATGCTGATAGTGACTTAACTGTAAATATTTGCCTAAAGTGCTTTAAAGTTGATTTATGTTCCCTTTACATCTCTAAGTTTCCTTGAGCCTTAGAGGATATTGTATTTTTTAGTCAGACTATAAATATATCCCAGTGTATACATTATTAGGAAAATAACATTACCTTTAAAAGTGTTTTTAATTTGAAAGCTTCCACAGATGTGCAGAGAAAAGACAATAGAATTTCTAAAACCAGCCCTTCATGATACTGAGAACTCACTGGACAATATTTTCTTTGCAGCAAAGATGTATGCAATTTTGAAGTAAGATAACTAAAAGCTGACTAGAACACTAACTCTCTTCCCAAGCTGGCCTTAACATTCTCTTCAACTTGACTAAACTTAGGCAGCTTTCTTCCTGACTGTGGATCCCTGACCTCCCTTTTCCTTAGAGCATTTGCTTTAGAGGACTTAAAATTGTAAATTCCTTCTCTGCTCCTCTGAAATGTAAATACTCTAAAAAGCTACTTGTCAATTTTATAACCCAGAAATGTCTTTCTCAAGGACCTGAGAGCCACCCCTTTGAAATGTAATCATCAAGGAAGATAGTGTCCCCACTATCTTCCAGTCTGTGAGGGAGGGTGTGTACCTAACTTTGATGAGCACCAATTAGTAAAGGGAGATGGCCTGATCACAGAGGAAAACATTTGCAAACTGTGGAATAACTCAATGTGCTTAAGCCTATACTGATCAACCTCCCATCTAAAGTCCTCTACTACTTTTCCATTAACTTGTCCTAGTGCTCACACACCCTAGCTCCTTTCGTTCCAACAGAGTTGAGTTCAGTCTCTCCTTCCTATGGCAGCAGTCATGAATAAAGCTTTCCTTGTCTGTTTAGATTTGCTCAGCAAAACTTTTACTTTGACACTGTAATCCCAGATATACCGGAGATGACTAAGCTTTCAGTACTCACAGGCTTACCATCTTGACCAGGTTGTCCAGGGTAGCCAGGGTTCCCAGGCAGTCCAGGGTCACCCTAAGCAGGAAGCAAACAAACTTTTGAGTACAAAACAACCAGCCACATTGGTGCAGTCAGGATCAATAAAAGTTCAAAACCAATTCCATTATTTGAGGTTTTTTGTATGTTAAAAACAAAAGTAAAAAAAAAAAGCCATATTTTAAATGCTTACTTAATAAATAATGCATTTTATTATACTGAACTTTCAATGATTTATTTATGTGACCACACCAAGTATAACTATAGCAAGTAAAGTATTTTCCACTGATGCAAAATATGCACATTTATGGTAGGATACATTTTTAGAATTCTGAACGAACTGTAAAGTGACATAGCAAATATGGTCTCCATGATAGCAATATTTGACTCATAAGACTTTTTTTTTTTTTTTTTTTTTGAGATGGAGTCTTGCTCTGTCACCCAGGCTGCAGTGCAGTGATGCGATCTCGGCTCACTGCAACCTCCACCTTCTGGGTTAAAGAGATTCTCCTGTCTCAGCCTCTCGAGTTGCTGGGACTACAGGCATGTGCCACCATATTCAACTAATTTTTATATTTTTAGTAGAGATGGGGTTTCACCATGTTTGCCAGTCTGGTCTTGAACTCCTGACTTCAAGTGATCTGTCTGCCTCAGCCTTCCAAACTGCTAGGTGAGCCACTGCACCCAGCCTATAGACTTAATTATATCGTATAGGTTCTACATATATAGATATCGATGTCCTATAATACAACTTAACTCATATTTATTTTAAAAATAGTCTGTAGACCATGTGATCTCTCATGTAGAATTCAAGTTTAAAGCTGCATGACTATCATTTCTTTCAATCCTGTAAGTGTGTTGCTGTGTTACTGTCTATACTTGCAATCTCAGATTAACATAATATTACTATGAGAGCAAGGCCCAGGCCAAACAACCCTATTCCAAGTCCCATAATTCTTGAATACATGTAATATTTAAATGAAGAAAAAAAACTTTATCCTCAAAAACCTAAGATCTTTAAAGAACACTGTTTAATACCACATGGCAATGAGCTCAGTCACACTCTATGGAACTCTTGCGTGTTGCCCAATGGCCAGTACTGACCATTCAGATGGTCACCATCCATGTAAAAAAAACATGAAAGCAACACTTTTTGTGAGGTGAGGGTGTTTTATAATTTAATTCTAAAAAATACTAAAAAATATCATAGGTATCTATCTCTGAATTCGTGAAGTCTAAATGGAGCATCCTGCTGAAAAATATGAAGTCACTGCCGTAAGTATCAGGGTGTTCCTATATAGATGCACATGATTTCTATTAATTCTTCACTCGTGGGTTTTTTCTTTTTTTTTTTTCTTTTTTTTTTTTTTTTTTTTTTCTGAGATGGGGTCTTGCTTTGTCACCCAGACTGGAGTGCAGTGGTGTGATCACAGCTCACTGTAGCTTCAACCTCCCAGGCTCAAGTGATCCTTCCACCTCAGCCTCCCAAGTAGCTGGGGTTACAGGTACAAGCCATCATGCCCAGCTAATTTTCATATTTTTTGTAGAGGTGGGGTCTCATATGTTGCCCAGACTGGTCTTGAACTCCTGGGCTCAAGTGATCCTCCCTCCTCAACCTCCCAAAGTGGTGGTATTACAGTTGTGAACTACTGAGCCTGATCTCTTTACTATTTTTTATCAAGAAATCATTCACATAGAAATCAGTCACCTACCCTGTGATTAAGGGTACTATTACAGAGCCAAATTTCATGGAAATACTACTTCAGACTCCTGGCTAGGGAAATTTGTTCCTGAAACAACAGGAAAAAAAATGGAAAGAACTAAGTGAACTCTAATAAGGAACCAATAAAGCAGGGATGAGCTGTTCACTTAGCAGCTGCCCCCCAAGAGGCTTAGCTTGAGGAAAGGCTTGAGAAGAAGGGAAATGTCATTTTTAAAAGACAGAAAGAAGAGCCGTAAATCCAAGGGGGGAAAATAATGCTGAACCATGTAATGTCTCGCTGAATAAATGTAATTTGTAATTCTAATCCAAGGACTTGCAGTGGTGGCTGGGCATTAGGAAACAACTTTCTGTGTCTCTAGGGAGTTAGAATTTCTCTCTTGTTTTGAGAAGGTGCACATTAATCTCCAGCCTCCCTGCCATCCTTCCTTATCCATGTGCTGATTGGACTTGCTGCCTTTCAAGAAATTCCATGTTTTTCTTTTCCCTGGAATAAATTTTCCTCTTTTTCCACTCTAGAGTTAATAAGAGAAAATTATCCTCACTGCAACTTTCTTACTCCATTTTTTCCTGGTGTCTTTTTCTACTGAAATGCTATGATAGCTCTTAAATCACTTATTCATAACTAGTGTTTTCTCAAAGTTTTCCCTTGGTTAGTCTTCATTTATCACTTGGATTGAGACTGTAGCAAAGTCTGAATTACATTTTTTTTTTTTTTTTGAGACGGAGTCTTGCTCCGTCACCCAGGCTGGAGTGCAATAGCATGATCCTGGCTCACCACAACCTCCACCCCGCAGGTTCAAGTGATTCTCCTGCCTCACCCTCCCAAGCAGCTGGGATTACAGGCATGCGCCACCATGCTCAGCTAATTTTTATAATTTTAGTAGAGACAGGGTTTCGCCATGTTGGCCAGGCTGGTCTTGAACTCCTGACCTCATGATCCATCCACCTCTGCCTCCCAAAGTGTTGGGATTACAGGTGTAAGCCACCATGCCTGGCCTTACTTTTTTTTTTTTTTTTTTTTGGTACAATGCTGGGTATCAAGTAGAGATTCAATAACTACTTTTTGTCTGATATGCTTCAAATACAATCTGTCATTTACCCACTCATTTGTAGAATATCAATTATCAGCAAAACCTAAGATATCAAAAGGATTTGACAGGGTTTAATCTCTATCATCATCAGGCTGAAATAAAAATTTGGCACGGAAAAGGGACTTGTGCTTTTTATGCTGCATACAATTATAAAAAAGATATTTAATAATAATGTTTTCAGTTAATCAAAATTAAGTTCCCAAATGAAAAAATTACCCACAAGATAAATCCAATGTGACTTCATAAAGACTGGTCAACAGTCTTTATGACACTGGTCAACAGCCCCAAGAAGAAAATAATTTCTTGTAGGTTCTGCTATTGCTGTTAGATTTTACTGGTTATTTTGATTATTGCTGTCACTAAGTTATTCGCAAAAACTCAGGTAGGTTTGGTATTGTTCCTATAAAACTGGAAGAATAAAGTAAAATCCTAATTAATTTAGCTGACTGGAGAGAAAGCCAATTTTATTACTGTTAATAAAAGCTGACACTCAACCTTTATTGACTGTTATGTGCTAAGCACTGGTCCAACAGATTTGCATATATTGAGTTAGCGAATTCTCGTAATAATCCTATGAAGCAGATACTTTTATTATTCCCATTTTCTGTGTAGGAAAACTGAGGGCCAGGAAAGTTAGGTAAGTTGCCTGAGGTCACACAGCAGTGATAGAGATGGGATTCAAATCCAACCAGTTCCACTCCAGGGTCCAAGCTCCTAAACACTACCATTCCTGTCCACAATAATACACTGATCAGAACCAGACTGAAGAATGCTAGAAAATTTAATATGGAAAAAAAAATTCCCCAATACATTAAATTAGACACATGACTTATTATTATAAAACTGTGACTAAATTCCCAATCCACCTTATTCTAATTTAGTTGAAACAATTGTACATTTTGAGTTTTCAAAAATATGTACTCAGCTGAAAAGCAGTATCTATTTATGTTTGTTTGAATTTGTGCCACAGGATTTTTAAGTTGTTGACAGGAGTGGAAATGTCATGGACTAAACTAAAACATCTCTGAATATGGTCTCTTAAGTAATGTAAATATAAATAAAGTAAGAAAAAGTTATGTTTATAAAAATAAGCTAATATTTTAAGTTGTTCATCCAAGGCAAAACTTTGGAATACTTCATATAAGTCCAAATACGACGTTTGTAAGCCTTCATTTCAAAAAACCTTACGCCTTCATGCTACCCCTCTGGTCTCCACAAGAGCATCTGACCTAAGACCTATTCCATTCTCGAAAATCAACCTCTTTCCTCCCTCAGAACCCAAGTACCACTCCCTGAATCTAGGAGGACTCTACTCAGTCTGAAAAATTTTAACATAAAAATGTAAATGCCCTTGGCCCTTGAAATTTTCCAAAGGCTTTTGTGTTTAGACAGAGGGTACCTTGATAGTCCCAATGAATCTCTAATTGGCAAAATTACTAGGGTGTAACAAAGGCTATCAACAGAGATATGGCTATAGTAAAATGGTATCTCAGAGCAAAGAAGTTATTAAAAAATTGTCCTAACCTAAAAAAGACAAAAATGTCTTCTTTCCACTTCTGACCTAATACATCTAACGTTTCAGGTTAGAGCAAATGTAGGAGTTTGTTACCACAACTGTTCCTCTGGCTACTGAAGCAGGGGAAGAAGCTGTTATTTGCATGCACGGGTCATTTGAAAGGAAGTTATCTGCAAGCTGGGGTGGACCTGGATCTTTCTCGCAGAACAGAAGCGCGTTCCATATAGGTTAAATGGGGGGAGGGGTGGATCTTATTGTTTTGACAATTTCACAATTCCTTTAACAAAAAGTATTACTATTAAGCACTGTGCCAGACTGGAGTGCCAAAGGAGAATTTTCTTTTTATTAACCTTTATTGTGAACAAAAGAAGGGCTTGCATATACAAATGATTCCAACGGATTCATTAATCATTCCCTATGTTTATCATTAGGGATAAAAAATAAGCCATTCTTCCAGGAGATTACAGTCTAGTGACAGATAATTTTTTGATGCCTGATAAAGAGTTACAATGACAATGATAAGTCTAAGTGTGGTGTACCTTGTCATTTTGACCTGGTTTTGCAACAGTGTTGTCATATTTTCCAGAAATCTAAAGAACTTTAAAAAAAATAACTATCTTAGAATCAGCACTTCCCCATTTATCAACACAAAAATTTCTCCTCTGTTTCAGTCTCGACCCCGCACTCATCTCCTAAAACTCTATTTCTGGTTAATAGAAAAGCTAGATCTGTTCTTTACAGGTCACTCGATTTGATGGACTTCTGCAAACCTTTCCAGAAAGCATATAACAAAAATGGCCAATAAGCCTCAGTGGAACCTAAAGTAAACTTGTCTCATCTGTTTTAATTCAGGTTCTGTTGAACTAATTAAAACCCTATCAACTTTCAAAGCCAGAAAAGAAGTGCAACTTAGAGTGTTGCTAGGGATTCTGTTTTTTACATACAGGTCCATGTTCTGGGTAAGGAACCACTTCCAGGATAAAGAGTCCTAAATGGATGGAAGAGTGTGTGTGTGTTCCTGTCCTCCTGCCAGATTTTCTGAAGAAAATGGAAAGCAGATCAAAAAGGCACGCCAACTTGAAGATTGGTGGAAAACTGCAATTTCACTTAGAGTAGTAGGTGGCAATAGGGCTAGATTATGACTAAGAAAAGAAAATGAAAATGAGAAACACATGAAACTTGGAAATATTAAAAAATTAGAGGCTTCATCAGATAAGACAATGGGTGTGCTAAAAATTTCGTGTAGAAAGTACATGAGTAAAAATAGGTGACACTACAAGACATCTATTGGACCACAAATGACAATCAGAAAACAGCAGAGGCTTCAGGTGCCTCCCAAAAGTGAACAGCCCCTTGGAGACCCTGGAGATGGTAGAGGTGGCTTGAACCTCACTGAGAGTCAGAAAAGCACTCTAGGCTTTGATAGGTCAGACAGCATGGGTCTCTAATTTCTACATTATATCTCATGCAGGTCAAATTACTTTTATGTATAATATTCCAAGGTGAATAAATTATATGAACATATATATTTTTAAAAGAATCTACTGGTAGGACACACCAAGGTGTCTTCCAGGTTATATTCTCCCAGGAGAATTTTATAAGTATTTCTCCTTTATGTCAAGGCATCTAAAATAATAGACGGTTACTTTAAAGATGATTTGAATTAACTCTTCTAAATGCTATCTAAAAATAATTCACAATAATACACTGATTATCATGTATGGCATTCAAATTTAAAGCCAGACAGAGATTTACTTTGAATGACAGATCAAATGTATACTTCTTAAATTCCATATCTTTCTTTATTTTAATGGTTAGGCCTGAAAATGAATAGAAAAACATACATAAAAGATAGAAAGAATTAAATTATCTTGGACCAGCAGAAAATTCAGAAAATTCGCTAATCAGAAAATTCAGTCTAAATGAACATTACGATTCATATTTAACAAAAATGATTATGGTCGCTTCAAGTAAGAGGTGATCAATACACATAAACATTATCTTTTTGCTTAGGGAAACATACTTGCTTTCAAGTTACACATTATTTTATTTAGGTGATATTTTAATATAATGTTAAGTAAACAAGATTTATATATCATGGACAAACCACTACACTTCTTAGTGTCTTACTTAGGCTGTGTCTAAGTGATGCCACAAGAAGCACAACTTACTTAAAAATTTAGCCATTTGCTGGGCGCGGTGGCTCACGCCTGTAATCCCAGCACTTTGGGAGGTGGAGGCGGGCGGATCACGAGGTCAAGAGATCGAGACGATCCTTGCCAACACGGTGAAACCCCGTCTCTACTAAAATACAAAAAATTAGCCGGGCGCAGTGGTGATCGCCTGTAATCCTAGCTACTCGGGAGGCTGAGGCAGGGAAATCGCTTGAACCCGGGAGGCGGAGCTTGCAGTGAGCCCAGATTGCGCCACTGCACTCCAGCTGGCGATAGAGCAAGGCTCCGTCTCAAAAAAAAAAAAAAATTTAGTCATTAATATTAAATTGCATAGAAAAATATTCAGAACATATTATGTATAAAACAACCGGTTATAAAGTAGTACGCACACAATGGCTCCGATCATATAAAAATGTATATGTACATTTGTATACAAATCAATATGTAAATGTAACTGGAACAAGCGCATATATAGAAATATGGAAATGACTAAAAGAATATTCTCCCCAAAAGTACATGATTAAGTGAAATAAATGTATGTGGCTCTATTTTTGAACTAGATATCAAACTCACAATAATAAAATCAATTTGAAATTTCTTACTTCATTTTTTCCATCCAAAAATTATTTTGACAAATTAAGAACTGAGACATTTAAGAATTCAGACCATGTCTTCACAAATGCCCTTTCTTCATTTTTTACCAGATTGTAAGGAAGTATTGTTCTTGGGATCTAGCAGCAGTATTTGGGGGAAAAAAACAACCAAACAAATAATACTGTCTCAGTTTAATGTGGATGACAGATACAGTTTTGGGTTCAAAAGGTATCCTAATCTAGGCTAGAATACACTTGTTTTTCTAGAAAAAAAATGACTAAAACTGAGGTTTTAAACTCTATAAGAAATCAGATAGAAATTTCTCAACAGGATCAATGGTGATTAGGAATTGTATGGTTTACCCAGCTCTTGTTTGTGTGTTTTAACAAAAACAGCAAGTTAGGTGTTACCCACTTTGGGGCCTTGAAGTCCTGGTTTTCCCGGAGGACAAATACAGGGAGCTGGAGTTGAACCTACATCACTGGGACCATTAAGGCACTATAAAGACAAAAATGGAAACAGACAACAAGCATGGAAAGACATATAAGTACATGCACACGTATGTTTATGCATTTATATATTTGTGTAAAATGGCAAAAATATCTTACATTCACTTTCAAATTTTATCTAACCCAACCCAATAGGAAATTCCAAATCACAAAAATCTATAAATATTAAATACATTGAAGTTACATAAAAATGGGTTCCATTTGTCTAATATACATACTTACAGTTGTTGGAAAAGAGCTAAGTGGTCCCACAATACAAATATTACCTTAAGGGGAACAATAGTATCCAAGCCTACCTCTCCATTCTGAAAGAAAAACAACAAATGTGTTTTAAAATGTTTTAAATAAAATTTATAAATTATCAGCCTAATTTACAGATATTTCACCATCCAGATTAGAGATATATGAAGTATGAAAACCAACAAAAACCAAAATATTTCCCTGCATTTATCCTAAAAAGTCACCTATCTATACATGTTACTACTCCATTCATATAGGAGAATACAGAAAGGATATATTTTTTTAAGGTGAGTAGAAGAAGAAAATTAGAACACCAGAGCTGCTTGATATAATAGCCATGCAAGATTAAAAAATACCTCCAGATGAGATTTATATGCTGTCTTGAAATTTTAGGAAATCATTTAAGAACCAGAAAAAAAATGTTGAAACACATCTGAGGAAGTCACAAACTGCATGCATTAAAATCTTGCACTTTAGGAGAGCTTCTCCTAAAATAGTCTGTGTTTTATTAAATAACATACAATTTTAAAAGGAGAATCATCTTTCCAATCAATAAAAATTAGTTCAAAAATAAGAAGGTTGGATTGAAGGTGCAAAAGGCAAACAGGCCACAGAAAGTCACATCTGAGAGTAAGGAAGGAGACATTAAAACATAAAGTGGAAGGGAGAATTCAAAATCAGCTATCTAAAGCTGTGCTTCATCATATGGAAGGATAATGGTAATCATCATATGTCAATGCAGAGACATCAATAAATGAAGTATGCACAATGAATTCTCAAATGCCATAGCTTATTAACACTTTTAAAAGAGATTTATCTTTCAAGTTATAAATATCTAAAACTATAGTGCTTAAACAGTTATTTATCTAGAAAACCCAGAATAAATCCTTTCTAGAAAACTCTGTTTGATTACAGATCTTTTAAATGTGCTGTTCTGTGTCTTCAAGGTTTTAGAACATGTGGATCCATACGTTATTCCATTTGATGGGAAAAAAGAAGATGATGACAACATAACTACACACATTTTAAAAACTATGGTTGACTCAAATATCACTGGGAATTTACATTGTCAAAAAGTTGTGCAACATTCTACCATATTTCCACTAGCAGTAATACACCAATATTTTGCCCAGGGGAAAGGGGATTGATTACACACACACACACACACACACACACACACACACACACACTCCATGCGATGCTATAATATTTTAGCTCATAATCTTTTTCCTCCTAACACATTAATGAAAATAGCTAAATAAATAGAAACGCTGCTTATATTCTAGAACTATAATAAATTTTTACTTAAATATCAACAACAAGAAAAGTATCTATTCATTATTTCACTGACACTTTGAGAAAAAGTGTCAGTGAAAAGGAAAAATAATTATTTCTTGCTCTTCAGAACTGTGCTGTTTGGGGTGTTCTGTCCACATGTTTAATGTACATTATTATATTGTTATATTATATTATACATGATTATATTAAGTATAATAATGTATTTCACACACTGACATTCAAAGCATCCTACATTTTTCTGGAGCAGGTCTCATCTTGCTTTACCTGAGCACTGGAATAGTCATAGTCATAGACGACGGGGAAAAACATTACTGACAGGGCGTGGTGGCTCACGCTTGTAATCCCAGCACTTTAGAGGGCTTAGGCCGGCGAATCACCTGCGGTCAGGAGTTCGAGACCAGCCTGGCCAACATGGTGAAACCCTGTCTCTACTAAAAATACAAACATTAGCTGGGTGTGGTGGCGGGCATCTGTAATCCCAGCTACTCTGGAGGCTGAGGCAGGAGAATTTCTTGAACCCAGACGCGGAGGTTGCAGTGACCCGAGATTGCGCCACTGCACTCCAGCCTGGGCGACAAGAGTGAGACTCCAAATCAAAACAAAACAAAACACAACAAGAAAACATTCCCTTGTGGTCTTTCATTCATACTTGCACAATGACACATAACAATCTCATTTCAATTATAACCTCAAAATATGTTTTGCTTCATGTAACTTCACTTCCACTAACATTAAAAAATAAAATTAAGTCTACATATTAAATTAATACTCAGATAGTATCTGCTTTTTATTTATTGCTTTGAAAGTACTAAAGCAACATCTGGGAAAAAAACAATCCCTCCTACTTACAAATCCAGGAATCTCACATGCTGTCTCCCGGTTGTTCTGTTCTGGGTCACAGTAGATTCGCAACTTTTGGACATCAAACTAAGAACATAAACCCAGTAGAATTAAAGTTGAGGCACAAGCTAATTGTTTTATAAGAGCAACTCAGATACATAGAAACATCCACTATGGTTAGTAATTGTGTAAGGTTTACATCACAGCATTTAGCTAAAACAATGAAAATACAAAATTTTAATACTTTACACTGTAAAGATGTGATGCAACATAACTACTAAAGAAAAATTCCCTAGCACCAAGAGCAAATCGATTTTCTTCCAGAACTCAGTGAGGCTTTTTTAGTACTCCTGTATTAAAAGCTAATCTAAAGAGCATTTTGTCGGACACTTAAAAGTTTTCCCAGGTTTTCTGTGTTTATCTTAAATCTCCACAACATTCCTGATGGTATAGGGTGGACTCAAGAAGCCATCTTTGGTCTTCGCTATTTAGTTGCTGGCATGGAGTGTTGTGTGATTAGTAGGCCCAGCACCTGTTAATGTTTAAATATTTACTACAATTTGACATGTAGCATTAATTCATAGAGACCACATGTGTAAACACGTATATGAAAATGACAGACTCTTCCTTTAATAGAAACAGTGCAGGAGGGACATACCTTTTCAAATAAAGGGTTTTTCTAGAAATGGCATTTACAGACACATTTCTCCATCCAAATACAGATACTCCAGTTTAAGGAGGTATCAAAAAGTCAAAACAAAACTTCTGTAGGTATAATTTGAACATACCACAATTGCTTTATTTTTAAGAAACAGTTTTGTTTGTGAAGAACCCTGACATGAATTAATCTAATTTTATCCTTGCAGCTGCAAAGACATTTTTATAGCCCCACTTACAGATGAAACTATATTTTCTTTTCCAAATTTATTACTTAAACTATGTTTCTCTTGGGAAACATGAAATTAATGTTTCCTAGAAATGTAGAATTCTATCCTGAACCCAGGGGAACATTTTTCTAAATATTCTTATGAAATAGATTAAGTCCAATTCTGCATTTTAATACATATACATATGCATAATTTCACTAATGAACTGACCACATTTTGGTGAACAACTTAAGGGAATTCATAAGTATGTTAAATATGATTAAATGTGGTGAAAACTATTACAAAGGACAGCAAAAGTTTCATTCTATATAATTCAAAGAGTAAATCATTATTTATCTACCTGAACAGTTTCTTCTTTTCCAGAATATTTTCCAATTTGGGTTTGCCCATTGATCAAGATCCCTAAAACTGGATGTAAGGGCTTGTTTTCAATTTGTTGGTCATCAATATACAAAGTCACATCTTGTTCTGTTACTAAGAGACGAATTTGGTGCCAGCCTTCATCAAACAACGTCTACAAAAAGAAAGTGTGGAAGATTCATAAATAAAGCCCCTAACAATATTTTATTTTCTTTGTTCTTACTCCCTTGTTCCTAACCATTGCTGAGAAACTTCATCCCACACAGACTGACTGTATTATACATTAATTCACCCTGATCCAAGGTGGACCTCATATGCTATCCACCAATTCTTTCATTAATCTTTATCTGAGTTCCTATTACATATTTCAAAGAAACTGTCAAACAACTTACTAAAGCAACTACCTCAAAATCATAAATGAGTTTAATAATCTCTGAATCCAAATGGCTTCCCTCCTTGCCTCATCTCATTTATTTCATTGCAACTTTGGGCCCCATAACTAATCAATCTTCCTTGATAATCTCACTCAACTTCTGGAATTCAAACAATCTTGATCATTTTCATTTCTTCCTCCCTAGTTGCTCATTCTCTCTCTCTGTCTCTGAGTGTTCTTCTCCCTCAACCTACCCTTTAATGAGGGCATTACTCATAGGTCTATTCTGGACATTTTTCACCCCCTCTTTGACTCATCCATTCCTCCAGGCCAATTATCACTGGTATATAATAACTACCATGTCTACACTAACAGCCTGTACCTCTCCTATGTGTGGGTCCTATAATTCTAATACTAGGTAGAATAATTTTTCAGGATGTTTCACAATTAGCCCAACAACGTATGCAACAAAATAAACTTGAACTACCCCCCAGAGTTTTCTTCTTGACCCCATTTCCCTACGTAATAGCATCCTCTAAACATAAGTTTCTTTCTTTGAGTTGCAGTAACTAACCAGATGCAGAGTTCTACCCAATATATTTCTTCAACTTGACTCAAATTCATTTCTTCATTTGCATTGTCACTACCATAATTTAGGCTCATGGAACTCTTGTTTTACTTCAATAATTTTCAAATCTATCTAGATCTCTCACCCTTTCATTTCCAAGCCATCCTTCAGATCACCACTAGGATTAATCTCTCTCCCTACAGTTCTGTTAGGGGAGATGTTCCATCTTATTAATTTCTGTATCCCCAGGACCTGGCCTAATTTAAGGATAAAGTTGAAAGTATTATTTATGGACAGAAGAAGAAAAAGAAGTAGAGAAGATTGCCTTGACCATGACACACTATGGTCAAGACCTTTTGATGAAACATTCACTGAATAAAGTCCAAACCACATTATATGGCTTTCCAGGCCCCTCATAAATTGGGCTTACACCTAGATAGCTTTTTCTTCCATGCATCTTATACTGTAAACACAGGAGAGTCACTTTGCATTCTCTAAATAAAAACCCTGCATTTTATTACACACCTGATGACTCAATACTGAATCATTTATTTAATGCGCCCTTATATTCATCTCCATCAAAATGCTATACATCCTTCAAGGTCCAGTTCAAAAATTATTTCATTTATGCAGATTTCCTCTTATTTTATGTTAGAACACATTTTCCCATCCACACTCCACTAACACTTTGTACTTCTATTTCATACCAGTTGCCTTGAATATCCTATTGTAAATACGCTCTTTGAAGGTAAGAAACATGCCTTATTCATTTGTCATTTCTTACAGAATCTGGCACACTGGCTTTAATGAAGACAGCAAATAACAATTTTTTAAATGTAATATAATTACTAAATGAAGAAATTGCATACTTTATATATATTACCATATATATTTCCTAAACTGTGTAATATGGCTTTAGACTATCATAATAATGAGCAAAACTTAATTACTTTTATTATTGCATCTGGATTCTGAAAACATGATTTTGAAAATAAACTTTTTCAAGTTTGTATATTCTATTAAATATGTATTCCATTAGGGTAAATAAAATGTCCTCCTAAATTAAGGTAAATTTCATACCTATTATGTATCTGGTATTTAATATTCTAACAGATATGTCTTCATGTAAATATCCTGTAGAACATGGCAGTGTAAAACAGACCAATATGGACTTTGACGTCAACTAGACCAAAATTTAATTCCTGATGTCATCACTTATTAGCTGTTCTATTTTGAGGGAGAACTTAACATCCTTGAATATTAGTTTGTCTGCAAAATGGGAGCAATGGTTTCTTTATTGGATGGCTATTATAATTAAATGTGCCTGGTACCTAGTAGTAGGCACTCAAAATATGTCAGTTCCCCCTCAGCATTTGTCCCCATATTGATCAAGAAACAATTTTCCTTTCTTTGTTAGTTTTCTTCAACACAGAAACATTAAAATTTAAAGTAAAAATATTTCCAATCATGTTAAAATTATAGCCCTCTTTTCCCCAACACACATAAACCCAATAGTGCTTCCCCATGAATATCATAATCATGGTATTATCCCAGGCATCTTTACCTTAACTTGAGGGTTAGCAAAGGTAACCACTTGTGAGCCATTAATTACGCTGGTTGTTGTAAATAATAAGATTTTGTCCACACCATTTAAGGTAACTGCTATTTGTGGCCTTCCATCAATAGTTAATATTCTCCATAAATCCCAAATTTTCTTGACTTTAAATCTTTGAGTAGACACAAATACATATGATGGAGGAAGACCTTCTGGGAAAACATTGCTAGAAAAAGAAGAGCAAGTGTAAGCTTAAAGAATTCTTGACATGTCCACAGACATATCCCCCCAAAAAAGTTGTGTCAACATATAATGCATACCTTGTGAGTTCTGATAAATCAACTTTTGATGTTACTTCATATCCTTTTATCTTTTTTGGTGAAAGCTGTATTCTTTTCTTAACCTTTTTATTTACATCTAAACCTAAAAGAATATCAAATCCCCTTTCATCACGAGCTGCCACTGGAATTCGTGTTGGACAGACAGATTCTATAAAGCAAAAGCAATAAAAGTTGGTTAATCATGGACTATTCAAACAATAAAAGAAAAATCAAGGGAGAAATACTAGACAATATAGTATTCTATCATTAGAATTATAAAATCTACATATGTATACAAATGTATAGTATATAAATGTATATGAATACATTTTCTGAGAAAATGTAGAAGTATTTTACACATTTAAGAGTGAGATCTTAATATGCTTTTTTCTCTAAAAAATAAGGGATAAAAGTAAAACAAAAATATAAATATTTGTTAATGTATTGTCTTTAGCAAAAAATTG
Source organism: Homo sapiens (assembly GCF_000001405.40). Taxonomy (NCBI): domain Eukaryota; kingdom Metazoa; phylum Chordata; class Mammalia; order Primates; family Hominidae; genus Homo; species Homo sapiens. The sequence continues at coordinate 56,171,424 of NC_000006.12, forward strand.
AGACAATAGCAATATGAGACAATATAACACCTATGGAAAAGAAAAACAATGGAACAGGATTTATCATTCTCATCCAGGATTTCCTATTAACTAGTCATACAACTTTGGATAATGCTTTTAATTTATTTAATTCAAAAATGAACACTAAAATTCTTTTCTTGCATTCTTAGCATTTAAGGGGTAAAAAGTATTTTCTGTTCTTGATTTTCTTTCCAGTTCAAGCAGCTTATATTTCTATAGCTCAAATATCATTAGTCTGTCTCTCTGGAAAAAACTTAACCTGGGTCCCATCTATTCATGAAAGTTCTTCAGACGGACATATTATCTCATCTATAATTATATATTAATCATACTTATAAAGAATATTTTCTTAAGAATAATCATTAGCATTACATAGTCAGCTATATAGGTAATAAGTATGATATACTTTAGCTGAAGTATACAATGACTGAAAAAATTTACTAAAGATGATTAATAGCAGACTTTAACAAGCAGAGGGAAAAGAATCAGCAAACTCAATAATTGGTCATTTGAAATTATCCAGTTAGAGAAACAAAAAGAAAAAGGAAGAGAAAGAGTGAAGAAAGCCTAAGAGATTTAAGCAACACCATCAAGCATACCAATATATGCATTTTGCGAGTTCCAGAAAAAAAAAAAAGAAGAGGGTGAAAAGGGGACAAAAAGCTTATTTAAAGAGATGAGGCCAACAACTTCCCAAATCTGGGAAAGGATATGGATACTCGAATTCAAGAAGCCTAATATATGCTAAGTTAAACCCAAAGAAATCCACACTGAGACACATTGTAATCTAATCGTCAAAAGTTAAAGGCAAAGATCACATTTTGAAAGCAGCAAGAAAAAAGAGACTTGTTATGTACAAGGGAACCTTGATAAGACTATCAGCAGATTTCTCAATAGCACCATTGCAGGCCAGGAGTGGGATGACATATTCAAAGTGCTGAAAGGAAAGAAAAAACCTGCCAAACAAGAATGCTATGTCTGGCAGAACTGTTCTTCAAAAATGAAGGAGAAATAAAGACTTTTCTAGATAAACACAAGCTGAGAAAGTTCATCACCATCAGACCTGCCTTATAAGAAATTCTCAAGGAGTCCTTCAAGATCAAACAGAAGTATACTAATCAGCAACATAAAAGCATAAGATAGTATAAATTTTTCAGATAAAAGTAAATATATAGACAGACACACAATATTATAATACTGTAACAGTGTGCATAAATGACTTTTAATTCTGGTGTAAAAGTTAAAAGACAAAAGCATTTTTAAAAACTGTAACTTTAAAAATATGTTAACAGATATAAAATATAAAAAGATGCAATTTGTGGCATCAGTAACAAAGGACAGGTAGCAAAAATATAGAATATTTATATGTAATTTAATTTCATACCAACTTAAAATAAGTTGTTATAATTACATGATGTTTCATGTAACCCCTATGATAACCTCAAAGAAAATACCTACGGAAGATAAATAAAATGATAAAGGACATCACTACAAAAAAAGCAATAAAACACAAAGGAAGACAGTAAAAGAAAAAAAGAGGGACAAAAAGCTACAGGAAAGACAGAAAATAATTACCAAAATGGCAACAATAATTTTTCCCTATCAGTAATTACCTTAAATGTAAGTGAGTATACTCCTTAATCAAAGTACATAGAGAGACTGAATGGTTTAGAGCTACAGATCCAGCTATATACTATCTATGAAAGACTCTAGCCTGGGCAACATGGCAAAACCCCATCTCTACAAAAACAAAAACAAAAGCAAACAAACAAAAAACAACAAAATTAGCCATGCATGGTGGCATGTGCCTGTAGTCTCAGCTACTCAGGAGGCTGAGGTGGGAGGATTGACTGAGTCTGGGAGGTTGAAGCTGCAGTGAGCTATGATCATGCCACTGCACTCCAGCCTGCGCAACAGAATGAGACAAAGGAAAGGGAAAGGAGAAGGGGAAGGGGAAGGAAGGGAAAGAAAGGGAAGGGAAGGGGGGAAAAGGGAAAAGGGAAAGGAAAAGAAAAGAGAAATGAAAAGGACTCACTTTAAATTTAAGGACACACATAGGCTGTAAGTGAAAAAATGAAAAAAGATATTCCATGCAAATGGTAGCCAAAAGACATCAGAGATGTCTATACTTATATCACACAGTACAAAACTATAACAAGAGACAAAGAAAGATATCCTACTATGATAAAAGGGTCAACTCACCAGGAAGATATAATAATTATGATTATATATGCAGCCAACATCATGATAACAAAAATACGAGGCAGACATATACAGAACTGAAGGGAGAAATAGAAAGAAACACAATAATAGTAGAGGATTTCAATAATGATTAGAACATTCAAACAGAAGATCAATAAGGAAATAGAAGACTTGAACAATACTATAGACCAAATGAACCTAGCAGATGCATACAGAATATTCCACCAAACAGCAGCAGAATACACATTCCCTTCAATTGCACATGAAACATTCTCCAGGACAGACCACATGTTAAATCACAAAACATGTCTTATTTAAGAAGGCTGAAATCATACCAGTATATTTTCCAACCACAATGGAATAAAACTAAAAATTAACAACAGGAGGAAAATTGAAAAATTCACAAATATGTAAAAATTAAATAGCACACTTTTGAATAGCCATCAGGTCAAAGAAGAAATCAGAGACAAAGTTAGAAAATACGTGATGACAAAATCACAACATCCAAAATTTATGAGATGCAGGAAAACAGTACTAAGAGAGAAGTTTATAGCAATAAATGCCTACATTAAAAAAGAAAAAGGATATCAAATAATCAAATAAACAACTTTATACCTCAAGGACCTACAGAAAAAAAAGACAAACTAAGCCCGAAGTTAGCAGGAGGAAAAAAATAATTTAGATTTAAGCAGTAATAAATAAAATAGAAAATGGAAAGAAGTCAACAAAGCTAAGAGTTGCTTTTTTGGAAAAATCAACAAAATTGACAAACCTTTAACTAAATTAAGTAAAAACAGAGAAGACTCAAAACAGGAAGTGAAAGAAGAGATATTACAATTGATGCCACAGAAATAAAAAGGATTTTAAGTGACCACTATGAACGACTATATATCAACAAATTGGTAACCTAGAAGAAATGAATAAATTCCTAGAACATATAACCTACCAAAACTGAAACATGAATAAATAGAATATATGAACATACCTATAACTAGAGATTAAAGGAAATTAAATCAGTAATCAAAACACCCCAACAATAAAAGCCTAGTACCAGGTGGCTTCAGTGGTGAATTCTACCAGACATTTAAAGAAGAATTAATATCTTTCTTAAGATCTTTCAAAAAATTGAAGAGGAGTAAACACTTCTAAACTATTTTTATAAGGCCAGCATTAACCTGATACCAAAGCCAGAAAAAGATACCATAATAAAATAAAACTACAAGCCAATATCCCTGATGAATATAGATGTAAATATCCCCAATAAAACACTAACAAACTGAATTTAACAGCACATCGAAAACATCATACACCATGACCAAATGGGAATTATCCACAGGATGAAAGAGTTTGACATATAAAATCAATAAATGTGTCATTGACAGAATGAAGGAAAAGATAACATGATCATCTCAATGGAGGCAGAAAAATAATTGACAAAAATCAGCACTATTTTATGATAAAAGCACTCAACAAGTAAGGAATAGAAGGAAACTACTTTAACATAATAAAGACCATATTTGAAAAGTTCACAGCTAACATCACACTCAATGATAAAATGTTAAAAGCTTTTCCTCTAAGATGAGGAACAAGACAAAGATACCTAATTTCACCACTTCTATTCAACATTGTACTAGCCAGAGGAATTAGGCAAGAAAAGAAATAAAAGGCATTCAAATCACAAAAGAAATAAAATTATCTCTGTTCACAGATAGCATGATCATAAACATAGAAAACCCTAATGATTATACATAAAAGACTCCATGCCAAAAAAAATGGTTAGAAGAAACCAATTAAGCAAATTTGGAGAATACAAATTCAACATATAAAAATCAGTTGTGTTTCTATTCAGTAACAACAATTTAAAAAGAAAATTAAGAAAATAATCTCATTTATAAAACATAAAAATAAAATACTTAGAAATAAACTTAACCAAAGAATCAAAAACTTGTACACTGAAAACTACAAAACATTGATAAAAGAAACTGAAGAAGGAATAAATGGAAATATATCTTGTGTTCATGGATTGGTAGACAATATTATTTAAAAAGTCCATACTGCCTAACTTGATCTACAGATTCAATGCAATCCCTATAAAAATCCCAATAACGTTTTTTATAGAAGTAGAAAAAGCATTCCTAAAATTTATATGAAACCTCAAAAGACCTCAAACAGTCAAAACAATCTTGGGAAACAAAAACTAAGCTGGAGGCCTCACACTTCCTGATTTCAAAATATATTGCAAAGCTAGAGTAATCAAAACAGTATGGTAAAGGCATAAAAACAAACATATAGACAAATGGAACAGAATAGAGAGCCCAGAAAACACTCTTGCATGCATCAATGAAATTATCTTTGACAAGGGTGGTAAGACTGCCCGACGGGGAAAGGATCTCTTCAATCAATAGTGCTGGGAAAACCGGATATCCACATGCAAAAGAATAACTTTGGACCCTTATTTTACACCATACACAAAAAACAACTCAAAATAAAGACTTAAACATAAGATCTGAAACTATAAAATTTCTAAAAGAAAACTAGGAAAAGCTTCATAACATCAGCCTCGTAATGATTTCTTGGATTTATTCCAAAATCACAGGCAACAAAAAAAGCAAAAATAGACAACTGGGATTACAGCAAACTAAAAAGCTTCTGTGCAGCAAAGGAGAAAAAAAACTCTGTAAAAAGACAATCTATGAAGTGGGATAAAATATTTGCAAACCATATATCTGATAAGAGGTTAACATTCAAAATAAATAATAAACTCTAACTCAGCAACAAAAAAAAAACTGATTAAGGAATTTTATTGAGGACTTAAATAAACATTTCTCCAAAAATGACACACAAATGGCCACAGGTATATGAAAAATGTCCAACATCACTAATCATCAGAGAAATGCAAATCAATACTACAATGAAATGTTACCTCATACATGTTAGGCTGGCCATTACCAAAAAAAAGAAAGAAAGAAAGAGGAAGGAAAAGAGGGAGGGGGGGAAGGAGGAAGAAAGGAAGGAAGGAAGAGAAGGAGGGAGGGAAGGAAGGAGGGAGGTTTCAGTCAAGCAAGATGAAAAAGTTCCAAAGATATGCTGTACAACATTGTGCTTATGATTCACAATACTGTACACTTAAAGATTTGTTAGAAGACTAGGTTTCATGTTAATGTGTTTTATATGAGGGGGAAAGAGAAAAATGAAGAAGAAGAATGAAGGGAGAGGAAAGGGGAGGAAAGAGGAGGAAGGGGGAGGAAAGGGAGGAAAGGGGAGGAAGGGGGAGGAAGGGGGAGGAGGAAGGAGGAGGAGGGAGGAGGAAGGAATGAGGGAGGCAGGAGCAGGGAGGAAGAGGGAGGAGGAAGGAGGAGGGAGAAGGAGGAGGAAGAAGAAGAGGAGGAGGAGGAAGTAGTAGTAGAAGTAGTAGTAGAAAAAGAAGTAGTAGTAGAAGAGGAAGTGGTAGTAGTAGAAGTAGTAGTAGTAGTAGTACTAGCAGTAGTAGCTGCAGCAGCAGCACAAGTCTTTTACACAGATAAAGGAATCATCACCTATCAGAGAAAGGAGAGTATTAGAGACAACTCTTCCAGAGAAATAATAGGTCCATAAAGATGGAATAAACTGTGGTAAATATTATTTAACTCAATAATATTTTGTTGTGATTCAACTACAGCAGAGTATAAAAATAAACAGTATTAGGAAATGGTCATCCTACATGTTAACACTTCAACATAGAAGTTAAGTATGTGTCAAAGAAAAAGCATGTGAATTTATCAAATGATTCAAATACAGATTACATGGTTTGTGGCTGTTGTAATATAGCAATGTTTTAGTTTAATGCATTAATCATACTCTAATACAGTATAAAATGTCAAGTGCAGACTGGGCGCGGTGGCTCACGCCTGTAATCCCAGCACTTTGGGAGGCTGAGGCGGGCGGATCATGAGGTCAGGAGATAGAGATTCATCCTGGCTAACACGGTGAAACCCGTTCTCTACTAAAAAATAGAAAAAATTAGCCGGGCGTGGTGGGCGCCTGTAGTCCCAGCTACTCGGGAGGCTGAGGCAGGAGAATGGCATGAACCCGGGAGGCGGAGCTTGAAGTGAGCCGAGATTGCACCACTGCACTCCAGCCTGGGTGACAGAGCGAGACTCTGCCTCAAAAAAAAAAAAAAAAAAAAAAGTCGAGTGCAGAAAACATCCATATAAATTCCATAAGTGCATTTTCAAAAACATTTTAAAAGATGGCTATTGTGCAACAGATATGTGAACTGATTAGACACATAAATTATTTATATCTTTTCGAGTGTGGATGAAAATATATTTGGCAAGATTTCAATTTTGATTGTGTTTATAGATGATACATTTTAACTAAAAGAGTGTTTAACTCTTCTAAGCACATCTACTCTTTCATGTGTAGTTAGAATCATTAAAATAGAATGCATTTACCAAAATACAGATCCACAGAAAAAGTCTCTGAAGCAAATATTGAACAAACATTTTATCAGTTACATTTATATTTAAAGATAAAAATGAATGATAAGTGAAATTTCTCCAGGAAAAGTCTGTTTTAAGAATGAAATATACCTGGCTTCAAAATCAAAGAATTCTAACTAATATGACCACATATTAAAAATTTAAATCCCATTGGCCTGTTCAGTATGATAAATGTCAACAAAATCTAACTACTAGAGATTCATAAAAAGAAGAACTATGGTGGTGATTTGTACTTATTACAGTACCTTTATTTAAAGTTTCATGGAAGAAGACGTTTAATTTTCTATATTCTCTTAAATATGAAAATTTAAAAAGTTTTTCTCTACCATATCCCACAAGCAAATATGAAGAAAACAGAGGAATTAATGATATAATTTGTTTCCTAACTCATAAACACACAGGATTTTTTTGTCAAATGTGAAGCCACCCACTTTGGGAGTTTTTGTAGACAAACTAATATTCACTTTATATGAATATTACTTTAATATGGTACACTAAATGCCTATAATATTAAAAATAAGAGATACAAAAAATTACTCTCCCCTAAAATAATCTGAATATTAGCATATCTATGCCCTAATAGGATTAATATTTACCAAAACTGGGACCTTCCCATACCATGCAGTTATCATGAACATGAAGTTAGATTTTATGAAATGATATAAACATAATTAATAAACTGTTATTTTCAAATGTTCTGTGAAAGGGAAGTTAAGCTTTTTAAAGTGCAATTTTAACGTTTTCCCCCAACTTTAAAAATGTCAGTAATTTGAAGCTTTTTTCTGAAGAAATAATGAAATTCTAGCTCAGAATTATGTACAAGAATATTCATTTTTGTCATTTATATTAGCAAAACTTAGAAATAAACTAAATGTACAAAAACAGGAAAAATTTAAAATAAATTACAGTAGGAAATTGTCTGCTATCCTATGAATAGAGTATAAAAATTGTATACACAAGAGTATATCATACAAAAATAAAGTATGAAATTATATATGCAATAGTATCTTGATTTAGGCAGAAGGATAAACTAAAACACACTGGGGAAAAAAGGAAAAAAACTAGAATGTAAAGTACAGAAAAACTCATTAACGGGGTGATATGATTATGTGTGATTTATATATATTTTTATTCTTTGTGCCTTTTTCTACAATTTCTACAATAGACATGTTATAATTGAAAGGAAAAATAATAAATGTTACAAAATATTGTATTTTCCATAGATTTGTAACTTATTTCTAAAAACCAAAATTTATCCTAAATACATACAACACAAAAAATTTATGCTCACAGTATAAATATAACATTTATAACATTATAAATGTTGTAACATTATAATTGACATTAAATATAACAATTTACACCAGTGTTAATGAAGAAATTATATCAAAATGTAAAAAGCACAATTATTAATTGCTTCCAAATTATATTAAGGCATTTTAAGGCTTACCTTCACAAAGTTTCTGCTTCATCACTTCCCTTATTTTGGATATTGCAATATAGTCTTCCACATAAAACACATAAGTAGACGAAGGCTTGTTGGCAATAGCTCTAAGTTCGGCATCTTCTGTTTCTGAACCAACACCAATAGCAAATAATGTTATCTTACTATCTCTTGCTGCTTGAGCTGCATCCTTGACGTCATCTTGGGATTTGCCATCCGTAAGTACCACTGCTATCTTAGTCAGAAATCGTGAGGACTTGGCAAAAAGGTAATCGAGCGCAAACTGGATGGCCTTCCCTGTCTTTGTGTTTCCTCCTAAGTAGAGTATGGATTCCACTGCTGCCGTCAAATGTTCTCCTGAATCATAGCTTCCGAGAGGAATCTCCAGCACAGGGTAGTCACTATATTGAACCACTCCAACTTGAATAAACTTCGGCCCTATGTCAAAGTTTTTTGTGATATTGACAAGCCACTTTTTCACTATTTCAAAGTTTTCTGGGCCAACACTATAAGAGCCATCTAAGATGAAAACTAAATCTGTCGGAGCAGTACGACAACCTAAGTGCAAAAGAAAACCATCATAGCACATCTTTTATATAAAAAGCAAAAAGGGAGAGATTTTAAATATATGAGTTTCAGCTATACACTAATATCATTGCTTATTTTAAATTGTCTGTGAAATATGTTTAGCTTAATGCTAACGTGAAATATTACAAAAATATAAGCCAGTGAATAGGGAGAAAAAAATTAAAAACAAATTTTCTACCAACTCCAGGACTTAGCTAACCAATAAAATTTCATCTTTGATATATTAATAGTTGATAAAAGTTAAATGAACCAAGATCACCCAATGAATCAACTCTTGCATTATATCCAAGATGAGTTTCTAAAGGTCTGATGTCTCATATTCAGTGAATAATGTCAGAGCATTAGCTTGTACTAACAATCTATGGTTAAAGGTATAAAGCTATTCCTTGCTTAGTAGAGATAGAGATTCTTGTTTCAAGATACCAGGAAACACATCTGGTCAACACATCCTAAGGTCCTTTTGGGGAAAAAAAAATACCATCTTTGGTGCAAGTTACATTTGAACAAGTTATAAGCAGTTGTGGAAAGAAAAAGACTTCCCCTGTTACAAATGCTAACATGCTAAATGTAAAACAAAGCATGAATATAAAATTATCTCATTATCATACAGGCTATAAATAATAACTATTATTGCTGCTTTAAGAACAGAAGTTAGAGAAGAAGACAAATATAGCTGTTCTTTTCTGCGCATTCTGTTAGCCATTCCAAACTATTGGAATTGCCCCAACGAACCAGTTTATCTTTTAGTCTGTGTCAGTCTCCCAACTCTGGGCCTTTGCAGTTGCTCTTCCCTTTTATTAGAATGTCTTCCTCTTCACCTGACTAATACTCTTGTTTCAGATCCCTGATTGCCTGTCGGCTTTATCATAAAACCTTTCCTGACCTTCCACAGTTAGGTTGCCATCCCCTCCTAAATTTATAGCAGTCAAGAAGTTCCAAAAATAAAAAGAATTGCCAAAATATGGATTTGTCTCAAAAATGTGTCTGTGATTATGACATTATTCCTAAAGTGTTCTACTGCAGGTGGTAGTATCCTCAGAAGGTGTAAGGGACACAATTCCAACAACCTCTGCCATGGCGGCCACTGCCAGAGGTCAAAGTAGGGACAGCAGAAATGGAGTTCTGTCCAGAGGCAAACTTCCTAACCCAAGGGAATGCAATTTTTCTGTTATTTTTGGAAGCTTGGAAGCTGGATGGACTAGGATTAAAGGGTTATGCTTTTATTGTTTTTTGTTTTTTGTTTTTTTTTTGCAGGGAGACGAAAGGATAGAAAAGCTTGTTGGCAGAGCTTTTCAATGTTGGCCCTTCCTAAATACTGAGACTCATTGTTGTCTGAAGCTGTTAGTGTTTGTGTGCCACCTGATTCAGTGGTTTTCACTCTAAGAGGGTTATTCTTGGCCCTTCCTACCCTTCTCCCTGTCACAGGGCCACAGAGCATGTATTTCATAACTGTAAAGTTAGTCAACAGCATGGGCATACAAGCAAATAATGCCATTTATAAGCCCTAGACATAATATCCATCCTGAGAACCTCTTCCTTAGAGAGATGAATGACATCATAGAAAAGGAATGGGACTGAAGAGCAAAAACATGGTTCAAATACTAGTTACTGCCCTCACAAGCTGTATGATGCTAGGTAAGCCCCTTAACTTATTAAAATCCCGTTTTCCACCCAAGAAAAAAACAAAGGAAAGGGCATCCACATTATACAGTGATTGCATGAATTAAACTATAGAAGTGTTAAGCAAGCTTTAAATATTATTGTATTAATAAATTTTAAGCCAAGTTGAATCAAATTGTCAAACCATCTCATTTAACTTTTATAGAGACCTTAGTTAATTTATAGTAGGATGCTTATGAGTTTTAAAATGTGAACATAAGCAAACTTTTTTTTAAAAAAAAGTGTGCTATCTCTAAATGATAGTCTGGGTAACAGAACTATAATTAATATAGCTCTTTATCTCTATAGGCAAGCTTTCCTACAAGCAATAATAACATTCACTGAGATGTACTGTGCTAAGCCTTTGACATGCATTATCTCATTCAGTCCTGATAACCAATCTAGAAGGCTTTCTTTATCTTCCTATCATGCAGTTCAAAAGTGGCTGAACATGGACTCAATACCAGACTGTTTGTTCCAAAGCTTGATGTGTTAATTGAATAAACTATTGCCATAGAGTCATCTCAAAATTATCTCTGAGGGAAGCTTTTCTTCTCAGTTAATGAGTAACATAGCAATTCATTTATTTTAGGGAGTTACAGAATCAAAGACAGTAAGAATGAGATCCTTAAAACCATTACTTGAACTCCCCTAGTTTAATTTCCAGATTAATTTGTTGATAACAAAAAAGGACAATGCTGATAGTTCTTACTTGATCTTACTTCCCCATCTTCAGCTAACACAGAATTCTGAAGAAGCAGCACCAAAACCATGCAGAGAAATGTAATATAGTGAGCCATGTTTCTGTTTTCGTTCTAATATTTTGGTTTTAGGATTCCTAGGGGGAAAAAAAAGGCAAGTTAAATATATTAATTAAAGTCAACATCTAGCCATTATACATTTACATTTTGAAACAAGAGCCAATTGAAGTACAGCTAATTTTGTGACTATTAGAATTAACTTAAATCTGTTTAAAACAGCCAAATGTTAAATATATTAATGCAGGAGGACAATGAATAGTGGCTAAAGACCATGATAAACCTTAATTCTTAATTGTCTTCAGAAAAGCATACACATTTTCTAAAATTTGAGCTTTTTGCAAAATATTTACTCAAATTTATCCTTTGGGCGTAGCCTGTAGAACCTTATCTCATTCTTTTTACTATCTGAATATTAGCAAACATTTTTCTTTTAAACGTGGGTTTGTATTTAAGGGACACTCAAAGAGTATTTAGTGAAAATATGTCTAAGATACAGCTGATGGAATTTAATTTTTAAAATAAGATGTAATTGTAAACATTAAGACCTGTTTTATTTAATTCATAAAGACTCAGTTACATAGTTTTCATACACCATCTAAAATAAGTCCAAGAACTTCATTTCTGGTTAGAATGTAGAAAGTTGCAAGAGATTGTCATTCACAACAATGAGTACATACCAGATAAAGTACAAATTCATATGCTTTTTAAGCCCAGCAGAAATGAAATAATTTAAAGAAACCTAAAAGAACCAAATTCCAGAAGTTATTAACCCTTTGTCATATAGAAATGATTCACAACTGCTTTAATCTCTGGCAGAAAGGGAATACTGATGAGAAGGAATTTGCCACAGCATATAAAAAATCACTCAAAGCTGGTGTAACAGATTGGAAATCTGAGGAGTCTCTGCCACGCAACAAGCATTCCTTCATTCAGCAGTTCCTTCTGGTGAGCCTTAACTAAATATACGGAGTAGATAAGTAGTCCATAGAAAGTTGGCAACAGTATAGAACAGCCTAGAGAGAGTCTGTCCCTCTTCCTCTCCAGGTACCCAGAGACTTCCTCAAATATAAAACAGTGGCCAAGACTTGAAAAGAAGCAAGAAATTTTTATTCCTGATCAGGAGAAAAACACCATAAGCAGATCCAAAGTTTATCTAAATATCAGAAGTAGCAAAAAGTGTTTGTAAAATGGCAGTGATAAATACATTAAAGGATCTAGTGAATAAGATGGAAAACACGTACAAAGATGTGGGAAATTTCAGAAGGCAGATGAAAACTATACAAAAAGATACAAAGAAAAATGCTTGCAGTTAAACAAACATCAGAAAATGGTTTATGCAACGGGTTTACCTGCATCCACTGGAGGAAAAGATAAGTAAACTTGAGGATAAGTCAATAGAAATTATCAAAAAATGAAACCCCAAGGCATAAAAACATGATAAAAGGAATAGAGCATCTAGAACTTATGGAACAATATCAAGTGATCTTGATTTAGCATATAAGTAAATTTTTCTGGTGAAAAGGAGAGAATGAAGAAATATTTGAAAAGACATGGCCAAAAATTTTCCGAATTAATGAAAGCCACAATTCTCGGATCAAAGAACTTCAGCAAACCCCAAGCGAGACACAAAGTAAATCATGCCTACATACATCATATTCAATCAACTGAAAATCAAAATAAAATATAAAATTCCTAAAAGTGGCCAGAGGAAAAGTGATACATTACCTACAGAGGGACAGCAGTAAGAATTTTAGACAGAAATTTTCTGGTAATAAACTGAGCATTCAATCAGAAAGAGATAAAAATCCTAAATGTGTAGACATCTAATATTAAAGCTTCTAAATATATGAAACAAAAAATGAAAAAAAATAAGCAGAGACACATTAAAAATAATGTGAAGTTTTAATATCCAGTCCTCAGTATTATTTAATTAGAACAGAAAAAATTAGTAGTGGAACAGAAGGTTGGGACAACACTATTATTAACCAGTTTCACCTAGTTAATATTTACAAAACACTCCAACTAACAACAGAAGAAGACACATTGTTTTGTAATGCATATGAAACAGTCACCAAAAAGACAATATGCTGGAGAGAAAACAAGTCTCAGATTTCAAAAAATTGAAACCATACAGATTATGTTCCTTGACCAAAGGGCATTTAATTAGAAAATATTGGCGATGGCATCTGGATATGAAGTTTTGCGGAAATGCTTTTTATTAAAAATGTAACTTATTAATAGATAATTGGACCAGTTTCAATAAATAGTATTTTTCTAGGACTTTGGCTATTTCACCTGTCCACTTATCATCTTTCTATTATCTGTAGGATCTGTAGTTGTCCTATAGATTTTCAGAAGTGAAAGTCCTAAAATACTTTGAAATTAAGCAACATACTTCTAAATAATCCATGAGTTTTAAAAAGTCAAAGGAAAAGTTTTTAAATATTTCAAACTGAATAATTTTTTAAATCAAATATTTTGTGATACAGCTAAAGCAGCACTTACAGAGAAATTTTAGCTTTAAAAGCATATATTAAAAAAAAGAAACCAATATCTAAGCTTCCACCTTAAGAAGCTAGAAAAACTACAATAAAAAAGTAGAAAAAAAGTAGAAAAGTAGAAAAGGTATAAAAAACTATGAAATATAAATTTGAAAGACAATTAAAAAATAAATAATTAAAAAGTTAATTCTTTGGACAAATAAATATATTGATATGCCTTAGTAATTATAACCAAGAAACAACAGAGAAAACATAAATAATTGCCTAAGTCAGTATTCAAATAGAAAGCACCACTACAGATTGTATAAACATTAAAAGGGTAAGTGGACAGGCGAAATGAACAGTCTTTTTTTTTTTTTTTTTTTTGAGACGGAGTCTCGCTCTGTCGCCCAGGCCGGACTGCGGACTGCAGTGGCGCAATCTCAGCTCACTGCAAGCTCCGCTTCCCGGGTTCACGCCATTCTCCTGCCTCAGCCTCCCGAGTAGCTGGGACTACAGGCGCCCGCCACTACGCCCGGCTAATTTTTTGTATTTTTAGTAGAGACGGGGTTTCACCTTGTTAGCCAGGATGGTCTCGATCTCCTGACCTCATGATCCACCCGCCTCGGCCTCCCAAAGTGCTGGGATTACAGGCGTGAGCCACCGCGCCCGGCCTGAACAAAGTCTTTGAAAAACACTATTTATTGAAATTGGTCCAATTATTTGTTAAAGAAGTTAAATTATTAATCAAAAACATTCACACAAAGAAAACTCCTGGTCCAGATAGCTTCACCAGTAATTTCTTCCAACAATTTCTACAAAACAGTCAAGGGAAAAAAATAAAATAAAACTATTTGTTTTGGTGGAATTAAATGAAAATAAAGGAGAAGTGAACTCCCCCCAATTTTTATTATGAGGCCAACATAACCCTAATTAAAAAGAAAACCTAGACAAAGATATTACAAAGTAAGAAAATTACAGTCCATTGATTTAGCATACAAGTAAATTTTCCATTATTCTTTATGAACAAGGATATAAAAATCTAAAACAAAATACTAGCTAATTAAATCTAGCAATATAATTTAAAATATCATGACCATGTGGGATTTATTAGAGAGATGCAAGATTGGTTTAACACTCAAAATTCAACTTATATAATGTACTTTGGTAAGAGACTAGAAAAAAAATCACATGAACATCTCAATTTATTGGTAGAGCATCAAAAGTTCCTAACAAAATTTAATACTCATTTATGATAAAACTTTCAGCAAACTAAGAGTAGGACTTAACCTATGAATGTGAATGCTGTCTATAAAAAAATCGACATACAACATCACATTGAGTTGTGAAATACTAAATTCTTTCCTTCTTAAATCAGTAAGTAGCTAAGGATACATTCTCATACCATTTCTATTCAAAAATGTACAAGGATAGTTCTAGCTACAGCCATGGGCACAAATGAGAAATAAAACATGTAAAGATTATAAAGGAAAAAATAAAACCATCATTTTTTATGGAAAACGTGATAATCTACATAGAAAGTGGAATCTACAAAAACAATAGTAGAACAAAGTGAATTTAGCAAGGTCACAAGACACAAGATTAATGGTTTCTTTATTGGGAAAAAAATACCATTTTCAATAGTATCAAAAGTATTATAAATGTGGAAATGAAGCTAATGAAATATGGAAAGACCCCCGTACTGAAACATTGCAAAATTAAAGAAACCAAATAAATGGAGAGATCCATATTCAGAATTAAAAGACTCAATATTATTAACATGTCCACCCTCCACATATGTTCTATAGATTCAACAAAATCCCAATTTTTTAAATTAACAAATATTCTAAAACAGATATAAAATGCAAATGATTTTGAATTGGAACAGTCTTGAAAAAGAACTCTCTTAATAACAAAGTTGGAGAACTGATATTAACTGATACTGACTTATGTCAGTCTGCTTTCTGTTGTTATAACTCAATACCTGAGATGGAGTAATTTATAAAGAAAATACATTTATTTTTTATAGTTCTGAAGGCTGGAACGTCCAAAGTCTAAGGGCGAAATCTGGTGAGGACCTTACAGCTGGTGGGGGTTTTCTGCAGAGTCTCAATGTGGTGCAGGGTACCACATGGTGAGGGGGCTCAGGAGAGAGAACCTACCTGGCTTTTTATAACAGAACTACTTTCCTGATAACTAACCCACTCCCATGGTAACCCACTAATAAACTAACCCATGAAAAGGATGTATCTAACGGTGAGAACAGAACCCTCATGACCCAATCACCTCTTAAAGGACCCACCTCCCAGTACCTTTACACTGGAGATTAAGTTTCAACATGAGTTTCAGAGGGGGCAAACATCCAAACCATAGCAACTTACTATAAGCTGCAGAAATCAAGAAAGCATGGTACTATATTGACATAAAGATAGGCATAGAACAGAACACAATAGAGTTTCGGTAACAGACCCACACTTACATGGTCGATTGATTTTCAACAAAAATGTCAAAGTAGTTGGATAGAAAAGGAAAGTCTTTTCAACAAACATTGCTGAATCAACTGAATAAACACATGGAATAAAATGAACCTGGACTCCTACCTCATTTCACATAAGAAAATTAAATGGAACATAGATCTAGATGTAAAAACTAAAACTATAAGTCTTCAAAGAAAAAACATAAGAGAGTATCTTCACAACTTTGGATTAAGATGAATATTTCTCAGGACACAGAAACCACTAGCAGTTTTAAAATAAGTACATGAGATTTCATCAAAATTAAACATTTCCATTCCTTAAAAGACACCATTTAAGAATGCAAGCCAATGTTTGCATTAAATATTTCTGACAAATGACTCATATCAGAAAACATATAGATAATAAAAAGAAAAACAACACAATTTTTTTAAATGAGTAAAAGGTCTTGAACAGACATATTACAAAAGAAGATACAGAAATGGCCAATAAGCACATAATATAGTACTCATCATCACTAGCCATCAGGGAAATGCACAGTAAAACCACAGTAAGGTATGATTTCACACCTACAAAAATAGCTAAAATTAAAAGACATAATATCCAATGTTTACATGTATATGTGAAGAAATTGGAATTCATTCATTGTTGGTGAGATTGAAAACAGATGTAATCACTTTAGAGAACTGTTAGGTAAAGTTTCTTATAAGGTTAAACTATGGCCAATGATTTTTCTGCTAGATATGTAACCTAGAGAAATGAAATTGTGTGTCCACAGCAAAAGACTTTAGCAATGTTTACAGTAGTTTTATTCATAATAATTCCAAACTAAAAATAACCCAAATGCTATCAACAGGACAATCAATATACAAGTTGTGTGATATATTCATACAATGAAATACTACTCAGCAGCTCTGGGCAGGGAATCTCTGAAAATAAGGCAGCAGCGCCAGTCAGGAACTTATAGATAAAACTCCCATCTCCCTGGACAGAGCACCTGGGGGAAGGGCAGCTGTGGGCACAGCTTCAGCAGACTTAAATTTCCCTGCCTGACGGCTCTGAAGAGATCAGTGGACATGCCAGCACAGCGTTCGAGCTCTGCTAAGGGTCGGACTGCCTCCTCACGTGGGTCCCTGACGCCCGTTTATCCTGGGTCCCCAGTAGGGACCGACAGACACCTCATAGAGAAGAGCTCTGGCTGGCATCTGGCAGGTGCCCCTCTGGGACAAAGCTTCCCTGGAAAGGGGAAAGAACAGGCAGCAATCTTTGCTGTTCTGCAGACTCCACTGGTGATACCCAGGCAAACAGGATGTGGAATGGACCTCCAGCAAACTCCAGTGGACCTGCTGCAGACAGTTTCCTGACTGTCAGAATGAAAACTAACAAACAGAAAAGAATAGTACGTCCACTCAAGGACCCCATCTGAAGGTCACCAACATCAAAGACCAAAGGCAGATAAATCAACAAAGATGGGGAGAAACCAGTGCAAAAATGCTGAAAATTCCAAAAACCAGAACACCTCTTCTCCTCCAAAGGATCACAACTCTTCTCCAGCAAGGGAACAAAACTGCGCAGAGAATGAATTTGACGAATTGACAGAAGTAGGCTTCAGAAGGTGGGTAATAACAAACTCCTTCAAGCTAAAGGAGCATGTTCTAACCCAATGTAAGGAAGCTAAGAACCTTGAAAAAAGGTTAGATGAATTGATAACTAGAATAACCAGTTTAGAGAAGAATATAAATGACCTGATGGAGCTGAAAAACACAGCACGAGAACTTCATGAAGCATAAACAAGTATCAATAGCTGAATCAATCAAGCAGAAGAAAGGATATCAGAAATTGAAGATCAACTTAATGAAATAAAGTGAAAAGACAAGATTAGAGAAAAAAGAATAAAAAGGAATGAATAAAGCCTCCAAGAAATATGGGAATATGTGAAAAGACCAAATCTATATTTGATTGATGTACCTGAAAGTGACAGGGAGAATGGAACCAAGCTGGAAAACACACTTCAGGATATTTTCCAGGAGAACTTCCCCAACCTAGCAAGACAGGCCAACATTCAAATTCAGGAAATACAGAGAACACCACAAAGATACTCCTCGAGAAGAGCAACCCCAAGACACATAATCGTCAGATTCACCAAGGTTGAAATGAAGAAAAAAATGTTAAGGGCAGCCAGAGAGAAAGGTCAGGTTACCCATAAACAGAAGCCCATCAGGCTAACAGTGGATCTCTCAGCAGAAATCCTCAAAGCCAGAAGAGAGTGGGGGCCAATATTCAACATTCTTAAAGAAAAGAATTTTCAACCCAGAATTTCATATCCAGCCAAACTAAGCTTCATAAGCTAAGGAGAAATAAAATCCTTTAGAGACAAGCAAATGCTGAGAGATTTTATCACCACCAGGTCTGCCTTACAAGAGCTCCTGAAGGAAGCACTAAACATGGCAAGGAAAAACTGGTAGCAACCACTGCAAAAACATACACAATTGTAAAGACCATCGACACCATGAAGAAACAAATTCAAAAGCTAGCAGAAGACAAGAAATAACTAAGAGCAGAGCAGAACTGAAGGAAATAGAGACACAAAAAACCCTTCAAAAAATCAATGAATCCAGGAGCTGGTTTTTTGAAAAGATCAACAAAATAGACAGACTGCTAGCAAGACTAATAAAGAAGAAAAGAGAAGAATCAAATAGATGGAATAAAAAATGATATAGGGGATATCACCACTGATCTCACAGAAATACAAACTACCATCAGAGACTACTATAAACATGTCTACGCAAATAAACTAGAAAATCTAGAATAAATGGATAAATTCCTGGACACATACACCCTCCCACGTCTAAACCAGGAAAAAGTTGAATCCCCGAATAGAGCAATAACAAGTTCTGAAATTGAGGCAGTAATTAATAGCCTACCAACCAAAAAAGTCCAGGACCAGATGGATTTACAGCCAAATTCTGCCAGAGGTAAAAAGAGGAGCTGGTATCATTCCTTCTGAAACAATTCCAAACAATAGAAAAAGAGGGAATCCTCCCTAACTCATTTTATGAGGCCAGCATCATCCTGATACCAAAACCTGGCAGAGACACAACAAAAAAAGAAAATTTCAGGCAAATATCCCTGATGAACATCGACGCAAAAATCCTCAATAAAATACTGGCAAACCGAACCCAGCAGCACATCAAAAACTTATCCACAACAATCAAATCAGGTTCATCCCTGGGATGCAAGGCTGGTTCAACATACACAAATCAATAAATGTGATTCATCACATAAACAGCAACAATGTCAAAAACCACATGATTATCTCAATAGGTGCAGAAAAGGCCTTCAACAAAATTCAACACCCCTTCATGCTAATACCTAGCATGATATTAGCATCCCCATAAGCTAGGTATCAATGGAACGTATCTTAAAATAGTAAAGCTATTTATGACAAACCCACAGCCAATATCATACTGAATAGGCAAAAACTGGAAGCATTCCCTTTGAAAACCGTCACAAGACAAGGATGCCCTCTCTCACCATTCCTTTTCAACATAGTATTGGAACTTCTGGCCAGGGCAATCAGGCAAGAGAAAGAAATACTGGGTATTCAAATAGGAAGAGAGGAAGTCGAATTTTCTCAGTTTGCAGATGACAAGATTGTGTATTTAGAAAAACCCATTGTCTCAGCCCAAAATCTTCTTAAGCTGGTAAGCACTTCAGCAAAGTCTCAGGATACAAAATCAATGTGCAAAAAGCACAAGTATTCCCATACACCAATAACAGACAAACAGAGAGCCAATAATCCCAGCGCTTTGGGAGGCAGAGGTGGGCGGATCACGAGGTCAGGAGTTCAAGACCAGACTGACCAACATGGTGAAACCCATCTCTACTAAAAATACAAAAAAAAAAAAAAAAGTCGGGTGTGGTGGCAGTTGCCTGTAATCCCAGTTACCGGGGAGGCTGAGGCAGGAGAAATGCTTGAACCAGGGAAGCAGAGGTTGCAGCGAGCTGAGATCACACCACTGCACTCCAGCCTGGGTGACAGGGCAAGACTCTATCTCAAAAAAAAAAAAAAAAATCCAGAGAGCCAAATCATGAGTGAACTCCCATTCACTATTGCTACAAAGAGAATAAAATACCTAGGAATACAACTTACAAGGGAAGGACCTCTTCAAGAAGAACTACAAACCACTGCTCAAGGAAATAAGAGAGGACACAAACGAATGGGAAAACAGTCCATGCTCATGGAAAGGAAGGATCAGTATCATGAAAATGGCCACACTGCCCATTGCTTTTCTTCACGGAACTGGAAAAAACTACTTTAAACTTCATATAGAACCAAAAAAGAGCCCACATAACCAAGACAATCCTAAGCAAAAAGAACAAAGCTGGAGGCATCATGCTACCTGACTCCAAACTATACTACGAGGCTACAGTAACCAAAACAGCATGGTACGGGTACCAAAACAGATATATAGACCAATGGAACAGAACAGAGGCCTCAGAAATAAAACCACACATCTACAACCATCTTATCTTTGACAAACCTGACACAAACAAGCAACAGGGAAAAGATTCCCTATTAATAAATGGTGTTGGGAAAACTAGCTAGCCATATGCAGAAAAGTGAAACTGGACCCCTTCGTTACACCGTATACAAAAATCAACTCAAGATAGATTAAAGACTTAAACATAAGACCTTAAACCATAAAAATCCCAGAAGAAAACCTAGGCAATACCATTCAGGACATAGGCATGGGCAAAGACTTCATGTCTACAATACCAAAAGCAATGGCAACAAATGCTAAAATTGACAAATGGGATCTAATTAAACTAAAGAGCTTCTGCAAAGAAAAAGAAACTACCATCAGAATGGGAGATAATTTTTGAAATCTATCCATCTATCCAACTGACAAAGGGCTAATATCCAGAATCTACATAGAACTTAAACAAATTTACAAGAAAAAAAAACAACCCCATCAAAAAGTCGACAAAGGATAAGAGCAGACATTTCTCAAAAGAAGACATTTATGCAGCCAACAAGCATATGAAAAAAGCTCATCATTACTGGTCATTAGAGAAACACAAATCAAAACCACAATGAGATACCATCTCATGCCAGTTAGAATGACAATCATTAAAAAGTCAAGAAACAACAGATGCTGGAGAGGATGTGGAGAAATAGGAATGCTTTTACACTGTTGGTGGGAGTGTAAATTAGTTCAACCATTGTGGAAGACAGTGTGGTGATTCCTCAAGGATCTAGAACTAGAAATACCATTTGACCCAGCAATCCCAGGATTATAAATCATTCTACTGTAGGTACATATGCACACGTATGTTTATTGCAGCACTATTCACAATGGCAAAGACTTGCAACCAACCCAAATGTCCATCAATGATAGACTGGATTAAGAAAATGTGGCACATATACACCATGGAATACTATGCAGCCATAAAAAAGGATGAGTTCACGTCCTTTGCAGGGACATAGATGAAGCTGGGAATCACCATTCTCGGCAAACTATTCCAAGAACAGAAAATCAAACACCGCATGTTCTCACTCATAAGTGGGAGTTGAACAATGAGAACACATGGACCCAGGGAGGGTAATATCACACACCAGGGCCTGTCAGGGGGTGGGGGCCTAGGGATAGCATTAGGAGAAATTCCCAATGTAGGTGACAGGTTGATGGGTGCAGCAAATCACCCTGGCATTTGTATACCTATGTAACAAAACTGCACATTCTGTTGATATATCCCAGAACTTAAAGTATAATAAAAAATAAAAATTAAAAAATTTAAAAAAAGAAATGCTAATCAGCAATCAAAAAATCATGAACTGTTATAGGAAACAACATGAATAAATTTAAAACACATTGTATTTAATAACAGAAGCCAGACACAAAATAATGCATACAGTATGTTTCTAGTTGTATGAAGCCCCAAAACAGGCAAAACTAATCTATGGTGTTAGAAATCAGGAAACCTTTGCCTGAAAGTGGCACAAGTAAACTTCCTGGGTAACAGACATAGGCTACATTTGCAAAGTCAGTATTCAGATATATGAACTCATCTAAGGCAATTAAACCAGATGTGTTATATCTGTATAATTTATTGTCTATAAATTATACTTCAATGAAAAAAAACTAGTCCATTACTGTCAATTTCCAAATTAGGCCCACCCCTCTGCATAAAGAGTTATAAAGGTACAAAAGGAGGTTTTTTTGTTTTTTTTTTTTTTTGAGAAGGAGTCTCACTCTCACCAGGCTGGACTGCAGTGGTGCTATCTCAGCTCACTGCAGTCTCCACCTCCCAGGCTCAAGCGATTCTCCTCCCTCAGCCTCCCGATTAGCTGGGACTACAGGCGTGCGACACCATGCCCAGTTAACTTTTGTATTTTTAGTAGAGACTGGGTTTCACCATATTGGCCAGGATGGTCTTGATTTCTTGATCTCATGATCCCAAAGTGCTGGGATTACAGGCGTGAGCCACCATGGCCAGCTGAGAGGCATTTTTGGTGAGTCATCACCAGGATGTGCTGTTTTATGGTAACAACATGTCCTA
Organism: Homo sapiens; assembly: GCF_000001405.40. Classification (NCBI taxonomy): domain Eukaryota; kingdom Metazoa; phylum Chordata; class Mammalia; order Primates; family Hominidae; genus Homo; species Homo sapiens. Next base: position 56,194,098 of record NC_000006.12, read on the forward strand.
ATAAATTTTCACCACCTTTCTTCCCAAAAGCCTCAAAATTAAGTTATTAAGTTCCTCTACCAAAAATATCTCAGTATTTCTATTTATATGTAATTCATTCAGATTTTTTGGGCAAAGTTAATTCCCTGATGTTATTATAATTTAAATTGACAATCATTAAAATAGAAGATACAAAAGGATACTAAATTCATATTATTACCATGTTATTTAATCATTAAAACTGGTGTGTTTCATAAATATTTCATTATACACATGTTTATGTACACTTCAAATGAAGTTAGGCTTATCAAGTTTTAACACTTAGTTGAATAGGGAGTGTGTTAAACATATGGAAGCCCTAACCCTAATCCAGTAGCTTCAGATTGTAGGGGAAGAGACCAATTATTCTTTAAAAATAAATAAATGAATCTCCTCATATGCTAACATGCACCAAAGTTTTATAAATTCTAGTATGGGGCAATGCAAAATGGTAAATAAGAAAAAAAGTCCCTATTCCCTTGGTAGAGAAGTAAATTAGCAACCCAAAATAGGGTAGTATAACTCAGAATTTCTACAAGCGAAAAAATTATAAAGCCTTGATACTCAGAGTAATCAGGTGACCTTTAGCATTCCCATATCTCAAATGTTAAGGTGTATAAAAATCACTTAGAGATCTTATTAAAATGTAGATACTGATTACATAGCTTTAGTTTGTAGATGAAGGGTCTTCATTTTGGCTACAGTTTGAATGTTTGTCCCCTCAAAATTCATGTTAAAACTTAATCCTTAATGCAGCAGTACTGAGAGGCAGGGCTTTTAAAAGGTGATTGGGTCATGAGGGCTCTGCCTTTTCGAATGGGTTAATCCATTCACAGATTAGTGGATTAATAAATTAATAAATTAATGGACTAGAATAGGAATGGGACTGGTGGCTTTATGAAAAAAGGAAAAGAGACCTCAGCTAGCATGCTCAGTCCCCTCACCATGTGATGCCCTCTGCGGGCTTGTGACTCTGCAGAGAGTCCCCACAAGCATGGAGGCCTCACCAGATGTGGCCTCTTGACCTTGGATTTCTCAGCCTCCATAAGAAATAATTTTTTTCTTTATAAATTATGCAGTTTTGAGTATTCTCTTACAAGCAACAGAAAACGTACTAAAACAACTTCTAGCAAGCTCCCAAGTGATGCTGATTCTGCTGGTCCATAGACCATACTTTGTGTATTTAGGTGCTAAAAGTTTTTGTCTTTGGTTGTTCTTTTCCCAAAAGTAAAAATAGTGTTGAAATTTCTACAATATCAGGAATAGTATCTCCCTGGTTTTAAGAATCTGAGCCCCAGTCTCTCTGTCTTCCTGAAACAAATGTGGTGGGGGAGGGAAAGAGGGGCAGAATTGTGAGTATTTTAATATATATTTTAGTTAACTTAGAATACTAAGAAAAAAAAGAGAGACAACTTGAATAAATACAATTATAATTAAAGAGGAGCCATTATAAATGATAGTTCAGAGACACAAAAAATTATGAGACTACTATAAAAATTATATGCTAACAAACTGCATAACATAAATAAATTTCTAGAAACTTAAAACTTACCAAAACTGAATGATGATGAAATACAAAATCCTAACAGACCTAGAACTAGTAAAGAGATTAAATCAGTAAACAAAACCTCCCAACAGAAAAGGTCCAGGAGCAGACAGCTTCATGATGAATTCTATTAGACTTTAAAAGGAGAATTAATGCCAATTCTCCCCAAACTCTTCCAAAAAATTAAAGAAAAGAAAATACTTCAAACTCATTTTATGAGGCTGGCTTTACCCTAATAACAAAGCCAGACAAGAACACTACAAGAAAAAAAATCACAGGCCCTGATGAACATGGATGTAAAATTTCTCAATAACCTACTAGTAAACTAAATTCAACAGTACATTCAAAGTGTCATATGCATGACCTAGTGGGATTTATCCCTGAGATGCAAGGATGGTCCAACATAGGTAAATCAATAAACATGATGTACCACATTAAAAACAAAGAATAAAATTATACGATCATCTAAATACATACCAAAACAAAAGCATCTGACAAAATTCTCCATCATTTCATAATTCAAAAAACTCAACAAATTAGGCATGGAATGAATGAACTTCAAGATAATAAAAGCCATATATGACAAATCCACAGCTAACATTATACTAATGGTTAAAAGCTGAAAGCTTTTCCTCTAAGATCAGGAAGAAACAAGGGTGCCCAGTCTCACTACTTCTCTACAACATAGCACTGGAAGTCCTAGCCAAACCAATCAGGCAAGAAAAAGAAATGAAGGCATCCAAATTGGAAAGGAAGAAGTAAGATTGTCTCTATTAGCATGTGACATAATCTTATTACAGAAGACCATAAAGACTCTACCAAGAAAGTATTAAAAGAAGTACATACAATAAACTTGTGGGATACAAAATCAACATATAAAAGTCAGTTGCCATTTCTATGTATTAATAATGAACTATCCTAAAACAAATTAAGAAAGGAATATAATTTACAATAGCATCAAAAGGAATAAAATACTCAAGAATAAATTTAACCAAGGAGGTGAAATACCTGTACATTGAAAACTCTAAAACATTGATGAAAGAAATTGAAGAAGACACAGATACAATTCTTCACTCTGATAAATGGAAAGATATCCATGTTCATGAATTGGAGGAATTAATATTGTTAAAATGTCCATACCACCCAAAGGGATCTATAGATTTAGTTCAATCATTATCAAGATCCCAATGGCATTTTTTACAAAAATAGAAAAATTAAGTCCTAAAATTTGTATGGAACCACAAAAAAACCCAAATATCTAAAGCAATCTTGAACAAGAAGAACAAAGCTGGAGGCATCACACTTCCTGATTCAAGTTATATTATAAAGCTATAGTAATTAAAACAATATGGCACTGGCATAAAAACAGATGCACAAACCACTGGAACAGAATAGAGAACCAAGAAATAAATCCACGCATATATAGTTAACTAATTTTCCACAAAATGTCAAGAAAGGATAGTCTCTTCAACAAATAATGCTGGGAAAACTAGATATCCATGTGGAAAAGAATGAAATTGGACCCTTAGAGCATACACAAAAACTAACTCAAAATGGATTAAAGACAAACAAAAGACCTGAAATCACAAAACTCCTAGAAGAAAACACAGGGGAAAAGCTTAATAACACTGGTCTCGGCAATGACTTTTTGTATTTGACAACAAAAGCACAGACAACAAAGATAAAAATAAACAAGTGGGACTACATCAAACTAATAAGTTTATGCACAGCAAAGGAAACAATTGATGAAATAAAAAGGTAATCTACAGAATGGAAGAAAATGTCTGCAAACCATATATCTGATAAAGAATTAGTATCTAAAATACATAAGAAACCCACACAATTCAATAGCAAATAAAAAACTGATTAAAGGATAGGCAAATGATGTAAATAGACAATTTTCCAAAGAAGACATACAAATGGTCAACAGGTATATAAGATGTTCAACATCACTACATCACTAGTTATCAGGGAAATGCAAATCAAAGTAGCACCACTTCACACCTGTTAGCACGGCTATTATCAAAAAGTCAAAAGATAGCAAGCGTTGGTGAAGATTGGAGAAAAGGGAACACTTGTACACTGTTGGTGGAACTTTAAATTGGTACAGCCATTATGAAAAATAGTATAGAGGTTCCTCAAAAAAATTAAAAATAGAACTACTATATGAACCAGTAATTTTACTACTGGAGATGTTTCCAAAGGAAATAAAATCACTATCTCAAAGAGGTATCTATAGTCCCATATTCAATGCAGCATTATTTACAGTAGCCGAGATATGGAAACAACCTAAGTGTTCATCAACTGAAGAATGAATAAAGAAACTGGGGTGTGTGTACACGTATACACACTCACACAGGAGAGAATACTATTTAGACTTACAAAAAAAGGAAATCCTCCCATTTGCAACAACATGGATAAAGCTGGAGGACAGTGAGCTAAGTGAATAAGCCATACGCAGAAAGACAAATACTGCATGATCACATGTTGAAATCTAAAAAATAAAAGTCAAACTCAGAAACAGAGAGTAGAATGTTGATTAACCCAGGCTGGGGAGGAGGAAGAGAGGAGATGTTGGTCAAAGGGTGCAAATTTTGAGATATATGATGAATACATTCTGGAGACCTAATGTACAGCATAGTAACTACAGTTAATAATTTATTTTATACTTGAAATTAGCTGAGAGAATAGATCTCAAGTTTCCTTACCACAGAAAAAAATGATACCTAGTGAGGTAATTGATATGCTAGTTAGCTTGATTGTGGTAATCATTTCATAATGTATACTTATATCACATCATGTGGTCAACCTAAAATATATACAATTTTTATTTGTCAGTCTTACCTCAAAAAGCTGGGGTAAAATTGTTAAACCTCACATAAATAATGATTAAAATGAGAAAAAAAGAATACAGGCCAACAAGGCCTGCAGCACAATCCATAGACCAATGAATGGCATACTAAGCAAACAAAAAGTATTTTATATTAAGAAACAAAAAGTGAAAGGGAGAGTAAGGAGGCCATGCTTTCAGATCTATTTCACATGTCATTTGGAAATACTATATCATAGCTCATCTTCCTTCTCAGTAAGAAATTAAATGGGTCATTAGACACTTTGCCTATATTCTAGTTTTCCAAAAGCTTTAGAATATGTATGCTTAAAATTTGTCTTGATATGAATTTGGAATAACTATGGTGGCAGGAGTGAACTAAGATGGAAAATAATGGTTTCCCTCAAGAATGACATTACTAATTAAAACATGAGTTTTCTTTTTTATTAACTGAAAGGGGCTCTACAGATGTAGAAGGACTAGGATGATATTTGGAGTCAGAGATCCTGGACATAGACATTGAATCTTTCCCTTCTCCACTCTTCCCACAAAACCTTGTGAGAAATGCTACCACAGAGACAGAGGTACAGTGCTGCAATTCACCTGCAGAATTGGGTCTAACCTGTATCCAGAACTGCTTAAAGCCTGCTTGTGATGGTAACTATTACAGTTGTAGGGTCTCCATTAAATGATGCTTACATCCTCAACAGCAGAAAGTCCTTGGTTACTTGCCTCACTTCTAGTGAATTGGGCTGTAAAGAATATTGATATAGATGCTACCTTCTCAAATATGGAATTCTGTTTTTTTTTTAATCAACCTTTTAATGGTACATAAATAATTCTTAATGGGTGACAGAAAAAGAAGAAATTATTTTTACCAGAATGTAGGAATTTAAACTGAGCTCACCTGTTAATATGGAATATATAGTAGGCTAAATAGACACCAAGAAATCCAGATTATAGAGTTAACACTGCCATTAACTAACTATAACTTAAAGAACATCCTTCTTAGTGGTTTTCTAATGCTTAGAAAAAAGAGAGGTAAACTTGGTAATCTGTATCTTCCTTTTCAACTATGAAAACAATGATTCATATTATCTGTCATCAAAGGATTATTGTGATAATTAAAATTTATACTTTTAAAACTGCTTTGAGAAAACTTTGGTTTATTTAATCTTGAGAATGTTGAGAGAATAAGGCCTGATTGGGTCATATGGTTTGCCTCCTGCATGTACTCAAAAGCAACAGACTCAAAAACCAAGTTTGCTGACCCCAGAATCCTTTCCATTACATTCATTCAACGACAAACATTTATTAAGTGCCTACTATGTGGCAGATACTCTTTTAGGTGCTGGGAATTCAGAGGTGACAAAACTAAATAAGGAATCTGCTTCCATGCAGTTTGTGCCAGAGACTAAATAAATACATGAGATCATTTCAGATACTGGTAAGTGTATAATGAAAACAGTAATGTATCACTTGAGGCCAGGAGGAGAGGAAGGGCTCTGTTAGATTTGGAGGTCAAAGAAGGCCTCTCTAAAAAGGTAACACTTGAGCTGACACTTAAGCAACATGAAGGAGCCACACTTGATCAGATCTGGGGACAAGATTTCCATTCCATTGATGGAGTAAGTTTGGTTTGTCCCAGGAACAGAAAGGTCAGTGAGTCATGCATGTGGGAGCAAGACGAAGAATGACAGGGACTAAAGTAAAGTAGCATGATTCACAAGCATTATGTTCAGTTTAGAATTGTTTTTCCTAAATGCGAAGTGTGTCTATTAAAGGGTTTTAAGCATGGGTGCATCATGATCTGCTTTTTTTAAATTATTATACTTTAAGTTTTAGGGTACATGTGCACAACGTGCAGGTTGGTTACATATGTATACATGTGCCATGTTGGTGTGCTGCACCCAGTAACTCATCATTTAACATTAGTTATAACTCCTAATGCTATCCCTCCCCCCTCCCCCCACCCCACAACAGGCCCTAGTGTGATGTTCCCCTTCCTGTGTCCATGTGTTCTCATTGTTCAATTCCCACCTATGAGTGAGAACATGCAGTGTTTGGTTTTTTGTCCTTGTGATAGTTTGCTGAGAATGATGGTTTCCAGCTTCATTCATGTCCCTACAAAGGACATGAACTCATCATTTTTTATGGCTGCATAGTATTCCATGGTGTATATGTGCCACATTTTCTTCATCCAGTATATCATTGTTGGACATATGGCTTGGTTCCAAGTCTTGGCTATTGTGAATAGTGCTGCAATAAACATATGGGTGCATGTGTCTTTATAGCAGCATGATTTATAATCCTTTGGGTATATACCCAGTAATGGGATGGCTGGGTCAAATGGTACTTCTAGTTCTAGATGCCTGAGGAATCGCCACACTGACTTCCACAATGGTTGAACTAGTTTACAGTCCCACCAACAGTGTAAAAGTGTTCCTATTTCTCCACATCCTCTCCAGCACCTGTTGTTTCCTGACTTTTTAATGATCGCCATTCTCACTGGTGTGAGATGGTATCTCATTGTGGTTTTGATTTGCATTTCTCTGATGGCCAGTGATGATGAGCATTTTTTCATGTGTCTGTTGGCTGCATAAATGTCTTCTTTTGAGAAGTGTCTGTTCATATCCTTTGCCCACTTTTTGATGGGGTTGTTTGTTTTTTTCTTGTAAATTTGTTGGAGTTCATTGTAGATTCTGGATATTAGCCCTTTGTCAGATGAGTAGGCTGCAAAAATTTTCTCCCATTCTGTAGGTTGCCTGTTCACTCTGATGGTAGTTTCTTTTGCTGTGCAGAAGCTCTTTAGTTTAATTAGATCCCATTTGTCAATTTTGGCTTTTGTTGCCATTGCTTTTGGTGTTTTGGACACGAAGTCCTTGCCCATGCCTATGTCCTGAATGGTATTGCCTAGGTTTTCTTCTAGGGTTTTTATGGATTTAGGTCTAACATTTAAGTCTTTAATCCATCTTGAATTAATTTTTGCATAAGGTGTAAGAAAGGGATCCAGTTTCAGCTTTCTACATATGGCTAGCCAGTTTTCCCAGCGTCATTTATTAAATAGGGAATCCTTTCCCCATTTCTTGTTTTTGTCAGGTTTGTCAAAGATCAGATAGTTGTAGATATGCGGCATTTAAAAATTTAAGAATTCATTTGTATGTGTCTTTATATGTATTAATTTCTCATAAAGCTATGAGAAATAAGTTAAAGTATGGAAACCACAAAGAAATGGGTCTGACAATTAGTGAGCTCTTAATAAATAGAAGCTATTGTCATAATTATAGACAAAAATACATTTCAATTTTTAAAATGACAATAAATGCTTGAATAAGAAGCATAAAGACTTATAGCCAACCCACTATTTAACTGTTACATTTTAGTATACTAAAAATTAATGAGAAACTAAAGCATTCATTTTTAAACTTGTTTCATAAAAATGTTTACTCTTCCCTCAGTTACTGAATATTATTTAATATTATTTGAATACCTGGCTTGAAGTATAAGAACAGAATAATAATCCATTTCCAATTGAAAAAGTTCAGAATCAAAGGAAATCCCCTAAAACACTGATTTTGATTAACCCTAATCAAGGATAGTACAGATGAAAGATTAAACTATCTTTCAATCTAGATGATCAAGACTGAAGTTTTTACTCTTTCCAAAGAAAGATATATTTTTTAAAAATGTAGTGTGAAAAGGTAACTAAAGAGTATACCACCAAAAATGCAGGGGTAAAGGCATCATAGATGTGTCAATTAATTAATAAAACTGTGTATTGTTTTTCTGGAGGAAAAAGGGAAAATCACAGCATTTCCCATTGCTACAGTAATGGCTTGGCTTCTAGCCATTTTTGAAGCTAAAAACCCAAGAGCACACATCCATCTTCCTTATCTCCCCTAAATTTAATGGATAACTCATAAGGAGGACCACTTTGCCATTCTCTTTCATCACTGCATGATTAGTGCCTCAAATCGTACTTGGCAAATCACTGACCCTCAATAAATGTTGGTTTAATTCGATCTTTTTCTACTTCCAGCATCTCTTCTATCATCCTCTTATTTGACCCCACTGATAATGCCTTCCTCATCTCACACTTAGTCTACAGTGGTATCCACCTAAGTGATCTCTTAACCACTATCACATCCCCATCTAATTTAAACTGCTAGTTTCAGAGTCTGTTTTCACACTGCAGGGTAGGTATTTCTTGATTGGGTTGTACACTATATTACATAATATCCGTCAAAACCACACATGAAAGAGAGAACTGCAGTAACTTGCTTGTCTGGAGTTTGCATGAATAGTTTAAAAATCTAATCTGGCCATAGCAACTTCTAAATATTCAAGCAACAAAAGAATATACATGTCTATATAATGAGACCAGTACAAGCCAAGAAATGGTGTACAGTGTATTTTATTTGCCTGTGCCAGCAAATGCACTGAAAACAGGCCACAGGATTCCATTGGTGATTTTAAACTCTGCTTATAAATGCAGCCTTTTTCTCTAGCTCTAAATTCCTCTTACATTACATTAATTAGCCTAATTTCTTACTTGTTTTTCTTGACTCAGCTTTAATTTTGACAATAAAATATTGTCAAAATATTTTATTTTACTGGTTTCCAAATGGAAAACTAATAAAACTTCTAAGACTAATAAAATTTCTAACTCAGGTCAAAATTTTTCTCCAACTATCTAACCTTCCAATTCATTCATGATACACCAAAAAGAATTCTGGATAGCAAGTCAAGTGATGTGAGTTCCAGTCCTGGATGTGCCTGGTTTGCCTACTTAGAAAATACAGTGTTAGCATATCCAAGGTTAAATAATACAGGATAGTAAATCAAAATAAATGGCATAGACAAAAGAGGAGTCAGTGAAAGGAAATGAATGGAAATGAGCACTCTTTGAGACATCAAGTGATATGAATAAAATCATCAGTAAGTAACTCTAGCACCTCAATTGCAGTTTCTAAATATCATTTTCCATTAAAAGGAACCAAAGCTCTTTGGAAAAATAGCAGATTCCAGATCTGGGGCATGTGAGACATAAGACAGATATCTTGTCATTCTGAAAACAAGAAAACTGTCAAAATCTACTGGGATTAGATCAACGGGACCCAAGAGCCAATTTGAAAGGCTTCCATTGACTAAAGACGAAGTCATTTGATTATTTAATTTCCAGGCAAGATGGCCGAATAGGAACAGCTCCAGTCTGCAGTTCCCAGCAAGATCAACACAGAAGGTGGGTGATTTCTGCATTTCCAACTGAGGTACCCAGTTCATCTCACTGGGACTGGTTGGACAGTGGGTGCAGCCCACAGAGGGCGAGCTGAAGCAGGGTGGGGCATCACCTCAGCTGGGAAGTGCAAGGGGTCAGGGGATCTCCCTCCCCCAGCCAAGGGAAGCCATGAAAGACTGTAATGGGAGGAACGGTGCACTCTGGCCCAGATACTGCACTTTTCCCATGGTCTTCACAACTAGCAAACCAGGAGATTCCCTCTGGTGCCTACACCACCAGGGCCCTGGGTTTCAAGCACAAAACTGGGTGGCCGTTTGGGCAGATACCCCACTAGCTGTGGAGTTTTTTTGTTTGTTTTTGTTTTTTTAATACCCCAGTGTCACCTGGAACGCCAGCGAGACAGAATCGTTCACTCCCCTGGAAAGGGGGCGGAAACCAGGGAGCCAAGTGGTCTAGCTCCGTGGGTCGCTCCCCCATGGAGCCCAGCAAGCTAAGATTAACTGGCTTGAAATTCTTGCTGCTAGGACAGCAGTCTGAGATGCTTGAGCTTGGTATGGGGAGGGGCATGCAACATTGCTGAGACTTGAGTAGGTGGTTTAACCCTCACAGTGTAAACAAAGCCAGAGGGAAGTTCAAACTGGGAGGAGCCCACCACAGCTCAGCAAGGCCATTGCTGCCAGACTGCCTCTATAGATTCCTCCTCTCTGGGCAGGGTATCTCTAAAGAAAAAACAAAGGCAGCAACCCCAGCCAGGGTCTGATAAGATAAAACTCCCATCTCCCTGGGACAGAGCACCAGGGGGAAGTGGAGGCTGTGGGTGCAGCTTCAACATACGTAAACATCCCTACTTGACAGCTCTGAAGACAGCAGCAAATCTCCCAGCACAGTGTACAAGCTCTGCTAAGGGACAGACTGCCTCCACAGTGGGTCCCTGACCCCCGTGTATCCTGACTGGGAGATACCTCCAGTAGGGGCTGACAGACACCTCATACAGGAGAGCTCTGGCTGGCATCTGGCAGATGCTGCTATGGGATGAAACTTCCAGAGGAAGGAACAGGCAGCAATTTTTGCTGTTCTGTAGCGTCCACTGGTGATATCCAGGCAAACAGGATCTGGAATGAATGAACCTATGGCAAACTCCAGCAGACCTGCAGCAGAGGGGCCTGACTGTTAGAAGGAAAACTAACAAATGGAAAGGAATAGTATCAACATCAACAAAAAGGATGTCCATTCAGAGATCCCATCCAAAGGTCACCAACATCAAAGACCAAAGGTAGATAAATCCACAAAGATGGGGAGAAACCAGTGCAAAAAGGCTGAAAATTCCAAAAACCAGAACACCTCTTCTCCTCCAAAGGATCACAACTCGCTAGCAAGGGAACAAAACAGTACAGAGAATGAGTTTGACAAATTGACAGAAGTAGGCTTCAGAAGGTGGGTAATAACAAACTCCTTCAAGCTAAAGGAGCATGTTCTAACCCAAAGCAAGGAAGCTAAGAACCTTGAAAAAAGGTTAGACAAATTGATAACTAGAATAACCAGTTTAGAGAAGAACATAAGTGACCTGATGGAGCTGAAAAACACAGGACGAGAACTTCGTGAAGCATAAACAAGTATCAATAGCCAAATCGATCAAGAGGAAGAAAGGATATCAGAGACTGAAGGTCAACTTAATGAAATAAAGCGAGAAGACAAGATTAGAGAAAAAAGAGTGAAAAGAGATGAATAAAGCCTCCAAGAAATATGGGAATATGTGTAAAGACAAAATCTATGTTTGATTGGCATACCTGAAAGTGATGGGGAGAATGGAACCAAGTTGGAAAACACACTTCAGGATATTATCCAGGAGAACTTCCCCAACCTAGCAAAATAGGCCAACATTCAAATTCAGGAAATACAGAGAATACCACAAAGATACTCCTTGAGAAGAGAAACCCCAGGACACATAATCGTCACATTCACCAAGGTTGAAATGAAGGAAAAAATGTTAAGGGCAGCCAGAGAGAAAGGTTGGGTTACCCACGAATGGAAGCCCATCAGACACAGCAGATCTCTTGGCAGAAACCCTATAAGCCAGAAGAGAGTGGGGACCAATATTCTACATTCGTAAAGAAAAGAATTTGCAACGCAGAATTTCATATCCAGCCAAACTAAGCTTCACAAGTGAAAGAGAAATAAAATCCTTTATAGACAAGCAAATGCTGAGAGATTTTATCACCACCAGGCCTGCCTTACAAGAGCTCCTGAAGGAAGCACTAAACATGGAGAGGAAAAACTGGTAGCAGCCACTGCAAAAACAAACCAAATTGTAAAGACCATTGACACTATGAAGAAACTGCATCAACTAACGGGCAAAATAAGCAGCTAGCATTATAATGACAGGATCAAATTCACACATCACAGTATGAACCTTCAATGTAAATGGGCTAAATGCCCCAATTAAAAGACACAGACTGGCAAATTGGATAAAGAGTCAAGACCCATCAGTGTGCTGTATCCAGGAGATCCAACTAATGTGCAAAGACACACATAGGCTCAAAATAAAGGGATGGGGGAATATTTACCAAGCAAATGGAAAGCAAAAAAAAAAAAAAAGCAGAGGTTGTAATCCTAGTCTTTGATGAAACAGACTTTAAATCAACAAAGATCAAAAGAGACAAAGAAGGGCATTACATAATGGTAAAGGGCTCAATGCAATAAGAAGGGCTAACTGCCCTAAATATATATGCAACTAATACAGGAGCACCCAGATTCATAAAGCAAGTTATTGGAGACCTACCAAGAGATGTAGACTCCCACACAATAATAATGGGAGACTTTAAAATCCCACTGTCAATATTAGACAGATCAATGAGACAGAAAATTAACAAGGATATTCAGGTCTTGAACTCAGCTCTGGACCAAGTGGACCTAATAGACATCTACAGAACCCTCCACCCCAATTCAACAAAATAAATAAATAAATAAATATATATATATATATATATATATATATATATATATATATTCTAATCAGCACCACATCACACTTATTCTAGAATTGACCACATAATTGGAAATAAAACACTCCTCAGAAAATGCAAAAGAATGAAAATCATAACAAACAGTCTCTCAGACCAAAGTGGAATCAAAATGGAACTCAGGATTAAGAAACTCACTCAAAACTGCACAACTACTTGGAAACTGAACAACCTACTCCTGAATGACTACTGGGTAAATAACAAAATGAAGGCAGAAATAAAGATGTTCTTTGAAACCAATGACAACAAAGACAAAACATACCAAAATCTCTGGGACACATTTAAAGCAATGTGTGGAGGGAAATTTATAGCACTAAATGCCCACAAGAGGAAGCAGAAAAGATCTAAAATTGACACCCTAACATCAAAATTAAAAGAACTAGAGAAGCAACAGCAAACAAATTCAAAAGCTAGCAGAAGATAAGAAATAACTAAGATCACAGCAAAACTGAAGGAGATAGAGAAAGGAAAAACCCTTCAAAAAATCCATGAATCCGGGAGCTGGTTTTTTGAAAAGATCCACAAAATAGACAGCTAACCAGACTAATAAAGAAGAAAAGAGAGAAGAATCACATAGATTCGATAAAATATGATATAGGGGATATCACCACTGATCCCACAGAAATACAAACTACCATCAGAGAATACTATAAACACCTCTACACAAATAAACTAGAAAGTGTAGAATAAATGGATAAATACCTGGCCACTAACACCCTCTGAAGTCTAAACCAGGAAGAAGTCGAGTCCCTGAATAGACCAATAATAAGTTCTGAAATTGAGGCAGAAATTAATAGCCTACCAACCAAAAAAGTCCAGGACCAGATGGATTCACAGCCGAATTCTGCCAGAAGTACAAAGAGGAGCTGATACCATTCCTTCTGAAACTATTCCAACAATAGAAAAAGAGGGAATCCTCCCTAACTCATTTTATGAGGCCAGCATCATCCTGATACCAAAACCTGGCAGAGACACAACAAAAAAAGAAAATTTCAGGTAAATATCCCTGATGAACATTGACACAAAAATCCTCAATAAAATACTGGCAAACTGAATCCAGCAGCATATCAAAAACCTTATCCACCACAATCAAATCAGGTTCATCCCTGAGATGCAAGGCTGATTCAACATACGCAAATCAATAAACATAATCCATCACGTAAACAGCACCAATGACAAAAATCATGATTATCTCAATAGATGCAGAAAAGGCCTTCGACAAAATTCAACAGCCCTTCATGCTAAAAACTCTCCATAAGCTAGGTATCGATGGAATGTTATCTCAAAATCATAAGAGCTATTTATGACAAACCCACAGCCAATGTTATACTGAATGGGCAAAAACTGGAAGCACTCCCTCTGAAAACTGGCACAAGACAAGGATGCCCTCTCTCACCTCTCCTAATCAACATAGTATTGGAAGTTCTGGTCAGAGCAATCAGGCAAGAGAAAAAAAATAAAGGGTATTCAAATAGATGATATGATTGTATATTTGGAAAGATGACATGATTGTATATTTAGAAAACCCCATTGTCTCAGCCCAAAATCTCCTTAAGCTGATAAGCAACTTCAACAGTCTCAGGATACAAAATCTATGTGTAAAAATCACAAGCATTCCTATACACAAATAATAGACAAACAGAGAGCCAAATCATGTGTGAACTCCCATTCACAATTGCTACAAAGAGAATAAAATACCTATGAATACAACTTACAAGGGATGTGAAGGATTCTTCAATGAGAACTACAAACCACTGCTCAAGGAAATAAAAGAGGACACAACAAATGGAAAAACATTCCATGCTCATGGATAGGAAGAATCAATATCGTGAAAATGACCATACTGCCCAAAGTAATTTATAGATTCAATGCTATCCCCACCAAGCTACCATTGAGTTTCTTCACTGAATTAGAAAACACTATGTTAAATTTCATATGGAAACCGAAAAAGAGCCCACATAGCCAAGACAATCCTAGGTAAAAAGAACAAAGCTGGAGGCATGATGCTACCTGACTTCAAATTATACTACAAGGCTACAGTAATCAAAACATTATGGTACTGGTACCAAAACAAGTATACAGACCGACGGAACAGAACAGAGGCCTCAGAAATAACACCACACATCTACAACCATCTTATCTTTGACAAACCTGACACAAACAAGCAACAGGGAAAGGATTCCTTATTTAATAAATGGTGTTTGGAAAACTAGCTAGCCATATGCAGAAAGCTGAAACTGGATCCATTCCTTACATCTTATAAAAAAATTAACCCAAGATGGATTAAAGACTTAAACTGAGACCTAAAACAATAAAAACCCTAGAATAAAACCTTGGCAATACCATTCAGGACATAGGCATCTTATATAAAAATTAAGCCAAGATGGATTAAAGACTTAAACTAAGACCTAAAACAATAAAAATCCTAGAATAAAACCTTGGCAATACCATTCAGGACTTAGGCATGGGCAAAGCCTTTATGACTAAAACACCAAAAGCAAAGGCAACAAAAGCCAAAATTGACAAATGGGATCTAATTAAACTAAAGAGCTTCTGCACAGCAAAAGAAACTACCATTAGAGTGAACAGGCAACCTAGAGAATGGGAGAAAATTTTTGCAACCTACTCATCTGACAAAGGGCTAATATCCAGAATCTACAAAGAACATAAATGAATTTACAAGAAAAAAATAAGCAACCCCATCAAAAAGTGAGCGAAGGATATGACCAGACACTTCTCAAAAGAAAACGCTTTTGCAACCAACAAGCATATGAAAAATGCTCATCATCACTGGTCTTTAGAGAAATGTAAATCAAAACCACAATGAGATACCATCTCATGCCAGTTAGAATGACGATCATTAAAAAGTCAGGAAACAACAGATGCTGGAGAGGATGTGGAGAAACAGGAACGCTTTTACACTTGGTGGGAGTGTAAATTAGTTCAACCATTGTGGAAGACAGTGTGGCGATTCCTCAAGGATCTAGAACTAGAAATACCATTTGACCCAGCAATCCCATTACTGGGTATATACCCAAGGATTATAAATCATTCTACTATAAAGACTCATTCACATGTATGTTTATTGCGGCACTGTTCACAATAGCAAAGACTTGGAGTCAACCTAAATGTCCATCAATGATAGACTGGATTAAGAAAATGTGGCACATATACACCATGGAATACTATACAGCCATAAAGAAGGAGGAGTTCATGTCCTTTGCAGGGACATGGATGAAGCTGGAAACCATCATTCTCAGCAAACCAAACACCACGTGTTCTCACTCATAAGTAGGAGTTGAACAATGAGAGCACCTGGACTCAGGTGGGAGGCATCACACACTGGGGCCTGTTGGGTGGTGGGGGGCTGGGGGAGGGGTAGCATTAGGAGGAATACCTAACGCAGATGACGATTTGATGGGTGCAGCAAACCACCATGGCATGTGTAAACCTATGTAACAAACCTGCACGTTCTGCACATGTACCCCCAAACTTAAAGTATAATAATAAAAAAAGAATAATTTAAATAGCTTGAACTACATATGAGCTTACAATGACAAATATAAGAAAACACGATGGGTCACCTTTGAAGGCTGCTAATAAATGGGCACAAATAAAGAGAATAAACATTTATCCTACTTTTCCTACATGATGATATTTCAAGGTAATAAAACATGATGGAGAAACAATAAATTCTAGAGTAACAGTATTCAAAATTCATGTTTTTCAACCCCTAATGAATAATAAATCTAGGCAAGGACTACCAGTGGCTGCTAATATTGTTAGGTGGAAGATTAGAGAGAAAATTTATGACAGATGCATTAGGCTGTACTACATGTGAACCCACTGATCTACCTTAACATCATTAAAGTAGAATAAGACATATATTCCTCCAAACAAGATATAATAGGAGGAGCACATCACCCTCTTCTGTGAATGGCTTTTGCCAATAAAAAGTAAAACTTGAATCTACTCAAGTCTCTATAGCTACCTAAATAAAAGAAATTCAGTACTGTGTTATATGACACCAAGAGGACAAAATCAGTGAAATCTAGAAATTCTAAAATTATTCAATAAATAAATGGTATGACAAGGGTAAGGAAACTTAAGAGGCATCAATTACATGCAGTTGTGGACTTTGTTGAGATCCTAATTTAAACCATTGAATGTAAATAGATATTTTTGAGTCAATCAGAGAAAACTGAACATGGACAGGACATTAGATGATATTCACCATTTAAAAAAAATGTATGTGTGTGACAGTAGCAAGGTGGTTGTGTTTCCTTTAAGTCCTTAAGTATTCAACTGGATATATAAGCTTTATGTAGAATTCTATATATATACTTTTATTTATAAATATATATAATCTTTATATAGCAAGAGCAAATTCTATATTTGTGTAAATTTTGTGTGTATATGTATATATACATATATATGTATATATGTATATATACATATATATGTATATGTATATATACATATATATGTATATGTATATATAATGAAAGGATAGGCCACACAGTGGGAGAAAATATTTGTAATGCACAGTCACCAAGGAATTTGTATTCTGAATACAAATTTTTATTTATTTCTAATTTGTTTCTAAAATGAGTTAGAAAAAAATTAACCCAGTTAGTCTTGTTTTACTCTTACTTTAAACCTTTTTAATAGTTGGAGTTACTAAAAAATATGTCAGAAATATTCTTTCCTGTTCTTAGGTGTGGCCAATAGCAGCATTATTCTCACAGAGCATGCAGGGTAGTAATGTAAACAGCCGTGGCAGGCAGGAAAGTCCTATATTGAATTATTTACCTCAATTCAAAACAAAGCAAAACAAAAGGCAAAAACAACTCATCTGATTTGCAGTGTTTCTAGAAGAATTACCAAACTGGGGGAGAGAGGAAGATGTCACTCGAATGTATGATACACATAATTAAATTACTGTGATTGTCACCATTTTTTTTAAACAAACGCTATTTCACTGGGTAAGCCTCTAAAAATTCAAACTACTTATTTTTTAATTGCCCCTTCTCCCAGTCCCTAGTTTCCAGTTGAACTAATTTAAGCCAGCCTAATTAATAAAATACATCAATCTATACCACTTTTATCAAAACCCAATGAATATTTGTTCATTGCATACGTCAGCAATTCTAAGGAAGAGTTGAGTAATTATTTTTCAAATTTTTCTAACCAAGTTTGATGAGTTTGAAAGATTTTTAAATTGTGACGTAGGCACTGGAGAAAAAGGTGGTATCAACTCAAATTTCCTGGAAAGTTTAAGAAATTTGGTCTAACCTAAATCATTCACTCCTAAATTATTCTTAATTCTAAGAAGGGCAAGCAAGATTAGTGCTAAGTACTTCATTAACATTTCTTATATTCAAATTGTATATGTAATACAATAGAGGGTTTCCTAGAAATGCATTATGGTTCTTGGAGCCTTGTATAATTGATTTGTACTCTCTAATTAGGTTCATTTTTAAAGTTTGGATCATTATTTTTCTACTTTGAATTATCCTGGTTCTGTGATTGCTATTCTGAGATCACCATTGATACATATTATTTAATGTTAATTGCTAATCGGGAACACAGCCCCCCACCAAAAGAATATTATTCTTACTGTGAATATACACTACTTAATAAGAAATTTTATAGCATAGGTTTGCTACCAATAAAATACCTATTCCTACTCCGAGGGATTCTAGGTTTATACGAGAAATTCTAGTGTTAGACTAATGATGTATTGATAAGGACTTAGCATTTAAGAATGATTATAATTATCTTTCTAAACTTGAAACTTTTCCCTTTCAAGGAAAACAACTAATCATGAAAAACAAAAGTGCTTAACACTACATGGAACCCAAGAGAAGACCTAGGAAAAAACTATAGCTTGGAGTCAGCAAAGAAACAAAATATAACCAAGGAAAAGGCACAGAAAAATAGGTAACGAATTGATACAGAGCATCATTTTCACCTCACTTAATAGAGCACTTAACATCTCAATGATCTCTAAGAATATGTTCACAAGGATGTGAAATGCATGGTTTTCACCACAACATGTTTATATAATAGTTTATTGGAGCATGAAAAAATGAATGATATATACTCAAAATTCTTATAATTATTTTTATTCATTAATAGGTACCTATGCTGCAAATGAAAGAATGAAAGCATTACACAGCTTAAAGAATATTAGACTGGATGTTGGAAGACTGAGTTTTGCCTGATTCTGCCATCATATGAATTTAAGCAAGAGAGAAAGAAAAAATTAGGTGTGACTGCTATCTTAGACTCAGTTTTCTTTTCTATTAAAAAGTAGAGGACTGACCAGTCTGATATTCTGTGACTCTATGATAAATCAATTTGCACGTATTCCTTTGGTTGTTTCTACAACAAAAGTATCTGTATGCCATTTCATAGTCTTATTTAAAAAAAATTGTATACATTTAATAAACAAGTCCAAAAGCCAAGACATTTTATTTCAATAGATAAAATACAAATATGTAGTATTGATTAGTATATGGTATAGAGCTCATTATGTAGTGATGTTTTCACTTACATTATCCATGATTACCCTCATCTACATAATCTTTCCTTGTCTGAACTCCTCAGAGCCAATAATACCTCCTAGCTCACTAATTGCTTTGTGTGGAGGGACTTGTCTCTCCAACTAGCAAGTGTACTTGCCAATGCTGGGCTGGTATTCAAACCTTGGCCCAACAATCACTCTCATGGGCAACTTACCTAGCCTTGCTTAGCCACAGTATCTTCATCTGAAGACATCAGTATAATTCACTAGCCCTTCAATGATTGTTGTAAAGATTAAACAAAATAGTAAAACTCTGGCATATATGAGGTTAAATAATAAGTATCAAGCACATACATTTCATTATTTTCCCTCCGTAGAGCACTCCTTTACGGAAAAAAAAATAGTATATTGTATACATTTTTCGTGTGTGTACTACAGAGCCCTTAACAGTGCTAAGCCCACAGAAGGCACACAAATGTCAGATCCATCATTTATTCAATAAATATTTACTGAGAACCTATTTGCGCCAGGCATGGGAGAAAGTAAAAATGAAGAATGTCACAGCTCTTTCCTGAAGATTTCTAAATCAGCTAAACACCAAATAATAGGGATATTAGAAGTATGAATTTAACATAGCTTAGAACAATTGTGACTGGAGGGTGACCCAAGTATTTAAAAATAAAAAACAAAAATAACAAAAACACAAAGTGGTACCTAAATAGGAAAGATTTTATGCTATAGCCATTGTCTATCTCCCTAAATTAAAATGTCCCTTGGAGTTAAACTTTAATAAGCTAAATGTGAATATTTGTATAATTGGAAACCTGTTTTCTTTTTCTTGGAGCAGGAATCACAGGAAAAACATTGCAGAATTTCAAGTTCCATGATAAAGGAGAAAACACAAAATGGTTTTCATAGATGGGATGAAATCATGTTTCCATGGAAACCCTGAACTGGTTTGTTGCAATCCAACTTAAGTTGGCAATTTGGGCTAATTTCAACTATAAAAATAAATCTGGCAACTTAAAATATTTATCCATCCTATCATGAATGGAATTTCTAAATGATAGCTAAATATGTGAAAAGCATCTCACTGAATTGAATACATATTTTTAAATTCCTTTAATCATTACCAACTTCACCTGGCAAAGATATCATTTAAATTGGAAACAAATCCAATGAACTAAGTTGTGCCAGAATAAATAGAATCTAGAGTATGGTTATCCTCTGATTCCAATGTTGGAGAAAGAACAGGGACAAGGACTTCCTCTATTACAGACTAGCAGAGTCTGTGGGTTTAATAGCTTTTACTGAATCATGATAACCAAAATAGACTCAACATTCTACCCTAAACAGTCAAGGCCCCCCTTTTTTTTTTCATTTAGAACATTTTTTGCAAATTAGAAATCCATTTGATCATGGCATATGGTTGTTAGGCAAAACAAAAATAAGAACCAAAATGGTTATATTTTACATTAATGATTTTAAAAAGATTTTTGTCTTATGTTTTCCATTTATTAAAAGTTTTTACCCTTATTTAAGCACTTCATTATTAACCCAGGATTGACTCCAGTCTTTGACTTTGCTTCATGTAAGTTTCTTTTATGTGACTCAATGCTTTTAGGCACAACAAATAAAAAGAGCCAAAGGGCAGGTTAATATATAGCTGAACAGTCAACTTTAAATTAAAACGTCCAGTCACATAACCTTGGTCAGCTCTTCATCACATCCAGTAACTATCTCCTAACAATGTTCACAAATGCTTAACGTCCTATGTTATATACGTGTGGCAGGCAATTTCAAAACTGAGAAATTTGACACTTAAAGTATTGTTCTTCCCTTGATTCTTTTATTGGCATGTCCTTTTATTTCCGTCCCCTCATGGCAAAGCCTGATGAGACAGAAGTCTTCATTTGATTCCGTCCATTTTCTCACCTCCTGCTAAATCTTCAACCCATTGCAATAATATCTCTGAGAGTGTGGGTAGCACCTCTCTTCTTCCATATCCTTTATTATCCCAAATATCTGCTTTTCAAAGACTGATGTAGGAAACCTTATCCTGCAGCTGTGTTCTCTTTGGACACCCTTCTGACTCCAGACTCATACACTACTTGCAGAAGGGTCCACAATCCTCACCTGGCAGTGCAACTATGGATCAAGATGGAAATGTTTCTGGAGATTTGCCCAAATCTAAGCACTTTTGCATTTCCCTGAACATACTACTAGAAACTATGGCATAGTCGAAACTACTGGTTTTCAGTTAAAACATGCTTAAATTCTCACTCCCTGTGTGACTAAAGCAAGTTTCTTAATTCTCTCTGAATCTTACTATCCTCCTCTCTAAAAGCAAGGATAAATCTACCCCATCTACCTTGAAGGGTTGTTAAGTAAAATGCTAAGTAAAATGGCATAAAAGCACTTTCCACAGTCTCTAACCAACTGTAAGAACTAAATAAATAATATTTTTCTTCCCTTCCTTTAAATTTTTTAACAGCAAAATTTGCAAAAGCACGAGTGGAAAAACAAGTGATTGTTATGGTTGAAAGGAATCTCCTTTTCCTGAATACTTATAATGCATTATCTGCTAATTGCAAGCAGTCATCTGTCATTTTCCTGTAAGGTATTACATATTCATGTGTATATGTGTATATATTCCAACTGCTTGACTACTTGCCTGTGAGTTCCTTGAGGGCAGAGTTTAAAGCCAATAATTCTCTAACCTCACAATTCCTTACATGTTACAGGCAATCAATTAAGTATTTTAATGGCTCACCTGTCACTGGTAAGACATTTAGTTTCATTTTTTCACAATGGTGATAGATTTATGCTAATCCACCTACACTTTCTCTGATGGCTTCTCTTGGAGCCACATATCAGTGGAATGACTGGCTAGGACAAAGTGGACAGAACACATGTGGAACACTATATTGTCCACTGCGATATGGGACCTATTGCTGCATTAGTGGCCGTGTTCCAACCAACCAAGCCAACTCAGATACATCCAACCCTACAGAGAGGACCAACATTATTATTTTTGGATAATTTATTTTTAGGAAATTCATATTTTAGCTTTGAAAGTATGAACCAAGTAGACCCAAAAGTTGATACAACCAAATATACAAACAGCAAAAATTTATCCCTCTTCTGCTCACACACGCCTAACTTTCCTTTTTTGACCAAAGAAGTCTTTTAAAGCCCAATTCATACTAGGATAACTTTTAAATGTGCTGAAAATTCTGCCCCATCTCTTTTTACTCTGTTAACCAAATAATTCCCATGGGAATCATCAAAAGAAATTCTTGATAAGGGTCAACATCATACAGATGTGAGACTCACTAGTTGTACACAGCCAATGCTAGGTCAACATTATTCGCAGCCTCTGACCAAGAGAAGATTCCAGTTCAATTCTTTTCTCTAACCACCTGTAGAATATTGAAGCTATACTTTCCTGACATATCTTTTTACTCAGGCCAAAACTTCTTAACACATGGGCACTAAGCTGGATTTTTCCATACCTGCTTGCATTTTTAAACAATGAAAAATCTTATGAGATCATCTATCTCAGTATCACTTTTATTTCTAAAATAACAAGATAATTACAGAATAATTTCTTTCTGAAAATTAAGAACATGAGAATATATATTTAGAAGGTAAGACCTGATTAGATGTTCCAAAGCAACCTACAAGTATTTTCTGTATTAAGCAAACACATTCAGTTGTGCACATATTCTTCAAATGTTAAAATTCTAATAAAAATATGGCCAATCCATATTTTTAAGAAACTTTTAAGGTGTAGAGTTTGGGTACTAATTAGAAAATATATTAAGTTTCCAAATAAAAAGAAATAGTGTTGCAGAGTAATACTCTCAAGTGTAATAAAAGTATATTGCTAGCTTTTTAATTAAAATTTCTGTAAATGGACACTATATTAGTTCCAGTGAATGGTGTCCTCTGTCTAAACAACTGGACCAATAAATAAGGAGGACTCCACTTGGTGGGTTCCCACTCCTGGGTCATCTGAAACAAAATCACCAATTAAGTCAATGCTTTATCTCAGATAACTACCTGTCTGAACAGAACTCCATCCCAAATGTGGCTCTCACCCTCCACAGCACTGTCAACCATGAATTTTCTCAGAAATTCAGAAGACTGCACATTAAATACATTTCAATAAGAAACTCCCTATAAATAGAAAAATAAAGAGAATTTTCCTCAAAAACATAAACCAAATGACTGAAAGGTACCAGAAAGTCCTTCCAACCCAATTTCATTGTTTAGCAGATAGAATCTGAAGCACAATAAGGTTAAATATTCTAACCAATATTAAGTATAATGACAGACCAATATCAGAACTTCAGTGCGTTGACTCCCCAAACTGTGTTCTCTCCAATCTACCACACTGTCTCTCTTAAAATGGGAAAAGGCATAATGTTATTGCTCTGGAAACAACCTATAGGAGTCAGTGCATGGCTTAAACATGAAGAAGGCTTCCACCCACATGTAGTATCCTAGGAACAACAAGAAAACTTCACTCACTTCTCAACACAGAGCAAAACCATTCCAACTCCAGTTAACTCCAGTCCTAACTGCAAAGCACCAGGTATGTGATCCTCCTGATTGCTTAAGCACCTCTGAGAGCTGGAGGTTGCATATGTAAAAGGGGATGGCAAGCCAATTCTAATCTGTCTCACATGAGAATGACATGTCATGATGAAACCTCAAGAGCTTCACATATTATGACACACTATGCAAAGTACTTAAAATTCTGTGTCCCTAAATGAGAAGATTGCTTAGTCTGTACTATAAAGTTGTCTAAATACAATTTAGTACCCTCTTTTAAGAGGAATACACTAAAAATGTTTCTGGATCACAAACTTGGTACAAAATATTAGGGGGATAGTCAAACTTTGCTGAATTACCTTATTTTCAAAGTGTAAAGAAAATGCACTTGATGAATATTCAATACTCAGAACTGTCCTCTAACATTATTTCCTAGCATAAAAGTATATGGCTTTGTAAAAAAAAAAAGAGTAAGAAAAACAACAGAATTCATGAAAGTTGTTAGCCATATCATTGTTTTGTTCTTAGTACATTTCCCAACACTTCCTAAAATCAAAAGGTGCTCTTTAACTGTATAGTAAAATCACCATATGGCTTGTTATTGTTATAAATCTATAAGACAACAGCTCCCTCTTAGATGGAAATAGGCTGGTGCAAATGTTATTGTGTTTTTTTGCCTTGTTGAAATTTGCCATTTGATATTGGAATACATTCTTAAATAAATGTGGTTATGTTATACACTATTTAAATGCACATTTATTGCTTTATTTTTTTTACTAATGTCTTATTACTTACTGCTCATTTTACATTTATTTTAGGCTATGGAAATGATGTTAGACAAAAAGCAAACTTGAGCGATTTTCTTATTCGAGTTGAAAATGGGTCTTAAAGCAGCAGAGACAACTTGCAACACCAACAACGCATTTGGCCCAGGAACTGCTAATGAATGTACAGTGCAGTGGTAGTTCAAGTTTTGCAAAGGAGACAAGAGCCTTGAAGATGAGGAGCATAGTGGCCAGCCATCAGAAGTTGACAATGACCAGCTGAGAGCAATCACTGAAGCTAATCCTCTTATAACTACATGAGAAGTTGCTGAAGAACTCAGTGTCAACCATTCTATGGTCGTTCGGCATTTGAAGCAAATTGGAAAAGTGAAAAAGTTCAATAAGTGGGTGCCTCATGAGCTGAGCAAAAATCAAAAATATCATCGTTTTGAAGTGTCATCTCCTATTCTATGCAACAACAATGAACCAGTTCTCGATCAAACTGTAACATGCAATGAAAAGTGGATTTTATGCAAACAACCAGCGACTGCTAGCTCAGTGGTTGAGCCAAGCCCAGAAGCTCCAAAGCACTTCCCAAAGCCAAACTTGCACCAAAAAAAAAAAAAAAAAAAAAAAGGTCACGGTCACTGTTTGGTGGTCTGCTGTCGGTCTAATCCACTACACCACTACAGCTTTCTGAATCCCAGCGAAACCATTACATCTGAGAAGTATGCTCAGTAAATTGATGACATGCACTGAAAACTGCAATGCCTGCAGCCAGCATTGATCAACAGAAAGGGCCCAATTCTTCTCCACAACAATGCCCAACTGCACACCATATAACCAACACTTCAAAAGTTGAAGGCATTGGGCTACAAACTTTTGCTTCATTCGCCTTATTCACCTGACCTCTTGCCAACAAACTACCATTTCTTCAAGCGTCTCGACTTTTTGCAAATTCAAATTATTTAAAATAAATAAACATGATCTGGTTTACAAAACTGTTATTAACAAAAAAATTGCAATAAAGCATCTACTGCATAATTGAAGCATATTATTATATCCTGACGATGGATGTGATGATACACATCAATTATCATTCGTGATATCATCAGGATACATTTCATTTTATTACCCAATTAAGATAGCATTTTGTCAAGCAGCTGACTTGTTGCAATGAATATTTTTGCCCATCTATCCACTGACTTACACTTTATTCATTTTTCAAGCAAATATGTATTGAGTGCCTGATTTACTGAATACCTCTATTTATTAAATGCCTGATAAACACTGAGGTGTTATGAAGATATAATAATCACAATTCTTCCAATCAAGGCACTTAACTGTATACAGGAAGTTTACTACAAATTATCCTGTTTCTTCAGAAAAAGAGTTTTTAGAGGGTGGGCTCAAGGTGTTTATTTTTTCAATTTTCAATAATAGACTGTATTGGTATATAATGCATTGAAGCTCAATCAATATTGCATTTATGCCTAACATATTTATACATTGAATTAACATTTATTGCCTGCTTATCAAATGGCATAATACATAAACAGCACATTGCACAGTACTGGCATACAAGGAGTGCACAATTAATGTCATGTTATATGGAGAGATAAATGGCAGGCCAGCCAGGACTTGTAACAGGCAATAACCACACAAAAGATGTACAAAGAATTCTGGTGCTACAGAAGCAGAGAAAATAGCCTGGGGGAATCCAAGCAAATAACTGACACTGATTAGTAGAAGGAACAAAGGGAATATGTTTGCAAAAAAGTTAGTCATCATTTGGTATTAAAACACAAAGGAAGTTTAAAATTGCTGAACAATATCAGTGTTGTCTATGCTTATTTGGTGTCATTCTCACCTAAAATTTCTTAACTGCTAAAGACTTGTGAAAAACCTTTATGTTTTACGAAAACTTTATGTTTTATTTAAGAATGGTTCTGTATAACTAAGAAAGATGGAATGCCATTCACTCATAACAGAGTCGGAAGGACACAAGATGTCCGCACTGTACTTGAACTTATCCGAGAAGAGGAAACTTGCTACCTTCTAAACAAACCATTCTATCTTTAGACAGTTCTAATTGCTACAAGGCTCTTCTTCATTGTCATACTTTGAAAAATAGCTGACTTTTATTGAGATCCTATAGGAACCAGGCAATGGACTAAGCAATTACACATATTATTTTATTTAATCCTACAAGACTTTGAAGTAGAAACTATACTATTACCTCAATTTTACAAGAGCACAGAGAGGCTCTGAGATATTTAAAGGAAGCTGGTCACAAAAAGGTGGAGCCCACAGTTTTAGCAAAGTCCCTTTGAGGTCATATGACCTCTGCTTTCCACTACACAATTCAATTCCATTCTTAAGGGAAAAATCTGCCTCTTGTTAATTGATATTTTGTAGTTCTTCTTCATGCATTAAGTGTACTGTTATGTATATTAGTCCAGAGTTTCTCAACTACTGGCATTTGAAACCACATTAACTCTTTATTGTGGAGTCTGTCTCATGCATTTTAGGAGGTTTGCAGCATCCTTCCACCCACCAGATGCTGGTAGCATCACCTCCAGCTGTGACAACCACAGATGTTCCCAGATATGACCAAATTTCTCTGTGGCACCAAATCCCTCTATTAGAAATCACTGATTTAGTCAATAAATAGAGGCTTTACCTCAAGGATTGATAATTGGACCTTAATTAATGAAACTGACTTTGAAGTTTGTAAGTCTTAGGTTCCAAACTAGGAATCAGCCACCATGTTCACATTCCTCTGCCCAAATAAGGCAGTTAAGGTAAAAGCTCAATTTGTTTAAAATATTGAAAAGGGTCGGGCACGGTGGTTCATGCTTATAATCCCAGCACTTTGGGAGATCAAAGCAGGAGGATTACTTGAGCCTACAAGTTTTAAAACAGTCTGGACGACATGGCAAGACCCTGCCTCTATAAAAAATTTTTAAAAGTTAGCTGACTGTCGTGTCACACACCTATAATTCCAGTGACTCAGGAGGTGAGGTGAGAGAACTGCTTGAGCCCAGGAGTTCCAGGCTGCAGTGAGCCATGACCACACCACTGCACTGAGTGACAGAACAAGACTCTCTTTAAAAAATAAAAAATAAAATATTATAAAGACTTGAATTTATTGGATATTCTTCTCTGTATCAGGTTTGACATAGCTCTATTCTTTTACTATCAGTGTTTCCATGGTAATGCTTCTATTTCAGAATCAAAATGTTTTTGAAATAGATTAAGTATTGCCAAAAAACAATTTAAAAGCAAATCGAGAAAGCTACTAAACACACACACAATTTCATGGCTTATATTTGCTTTTTATTCTTTGGCCATGAACTATAGAGTCCATTTAAAATTGAAAGTGTTGGCCAGGCATGGTGGCTCACACCTGTAATCCCAGCACTTTGGGAGGCCGAGGCGGATGGATTACCTGAGGTCAGGAATTCGAGACCAGCCTGACCAACATGGTGAAACCCCATCTCTACTAAAAATACAAAAATTAGCCGGGCATGGTGGTGCATGCCTGTAATCCCAACTACTCGGGAGGCTGAGGCAGGAGAATCACTTGAACCCAGGAGGTGGAGGTTGCAGTGAGCCGAGATCGTGCTATTGCACTCTAGCCTTGGCAACAAGAGTGAAATTCCGTCTCAAAAAAAAAAATTGAAAGTGTTTTCCTTTTATTTTATTTTAGCTTTACAGGCAACTAATTGTAAAATAGGAGGTTAATAATGTTGTCTATGAGGATTTTTATTATACTTTACTCACTCACATGATAATGGTGGTTATATTTTTCAAGTTTCTCCATCCATTCATCTAAAAAGCTCTAATATTTCATGCCTATAATAAAATTGTTATATAAGTCTTTAGTACATTTAAAGAATATAAAACAAAAGAGGCATTGCTTCTCTAGGGAGTAATTAAATTTAAGACATGTAATCCATTTCTATGATGAAACACAGATTTCCCATTAGAAGACAAATCATTCATTTAAATCAGTTGAGTAGGAGAGTATCAAAAGAAAATACATCTGGTTACATTTAAGGTTCAGAAAAAAATCATGTACACAAAGATTCTGTGGCTTTCAGCCTAGAGGATTTTCATGAGGTTATCAATCAGATATCTTTTTATTCAGTGTAAGCTCCTATTCTTTAAAAAAAAGGGACTCCCAGGGAATGTTTGCAAGAATTTCAAAGTGAGTCACACAGATTAGTACTTACAGTTTCCAAAAAACTGAAGCCTACTTGGTGGCTTTGACAATGGAGGGTGAGTGGATTAATCTATGTCCTTGACTTTGACCATCCTTTTACATTTTTTGCTCTCATACCAGTGAGTATCATGTGACTCAATCAGTATTTTTTTTTTATTAAATGCTGACAAAGTTATATTAAAGTAAGAGATATCCACATTCTATTCAGAACAAAAAAAAAAAAATTGGAATCCCTGGATAAGCTTTTATTGCTGTTACTCTACCAGTCACTTCTGGGATAAACCGTGTTCTTCCAACATTACTTTCTGGGATAATCAGTTCATGTATTTGTTGTCTTTTCATCTGAAGTCAAGCTGATCATGACTGACAGTAACATCAGTAGATGAGAGGACAGGAGCATGTTATTTTTTTAATATTATTTTCCTCTTTATTGTCTTGAGCTTATTTTTGTCTTCCCACTGAAAAGTAAAAGTGTCCCTCTAATATGAAGGGAAAGACTGTACTTTCTTATTTCATATTTTATTCAGGCTTTCTTTGGATGCCATAAGTAATATCCTTCATTCTATAACATGACTTACTGAAACACTTATTTATTTGCTTTTCCAAGTAACTGAATCATTAAATTTAAAAACTATATTAAATTCCTCTAAAAATTTAGGTACTAGGTTTATGCAATTTTCTTTACATGCTTAGCACATTTGTTTAATGTGCCAAACAAAACACATTAAAATTTTCTGGCAGTCACCAGTAAATGTTTCTTATGATAATTACAGCTATTACATTGGGGTTTTGGGTAAGGGGATAATATTAATTTTAAAAAAAACATAAAAATTGTAAGCAATGTAGAATGATATTTGCATAATGCATTCATGGTAAACTACCTTTAAATCAAAGATGCTCAAGTGTGTAACATCATTAGCTATTGCCAGAGTAACAAAATGTGCCATGATTCATCTTGATAGTCACCAAAAGGCTTTCACCTTATGAGAAGTAAATTAATTGATACATGCATTAAGATTTTACATTTTATTTTATTTTTTTAAACTGTAAAGTATTGGAAGATACTCATGGAGTGTTCTGTGCATCTTATTTCCACCTATTTTCCCAAAGATGTTGAGATACATCCCCTACAGCCTTGGGAGACAGTGTCTCTCTCCTGGGATAAGGGCAAATTTGTTTCCTGACTGGAATAAGAAAGGTAATTTTTTCCAGTATAAACATTGGAGAGATTTACTAGTACCCTTTTTATAAGACTGGGGATTTATTGAGCTTGGAGTTCTTCAGCCATGACACACACCCACTATGCACATAGCATCTATCTGGGTCCTTCCATATCACCCCACGGGGCTTAGGGGAAAAAGCAACCAATGCAAACATGAAGCTGTGAGTAATAAAGTCTTTTGTCCCTGACTCAACAGTCTCCTCTCTGCCAACACCTATAAAACTGTACCAGACTAGTTAGCTTGCAAGTAGGGTAAAATCTCAGGCTCATAGTTCTTGACATAAAAATAGTAGACAGACAATAATTACTTCTTAAACAAAGAGAACAAATAGCCATGTATAGCTGAATTCCATGACTTAACGTGGAGGCTTACAATTTTCTTTAGCAAAAGTGTGTCATAGTCTGTACTTTATTTTATATGTAATTAAAACAAAAATACTATTTTAATGCTTCTCATTCTGAAACCCATATACCTTATGTCAATAAGTGATGCTACTGAATAATTCACAGTCTTTTTGGAATATGGGAGACATAAACGAATTTTTTAAAAATCATATTTAATACCAAAAAAGGATTGGGTTTCTAAAAATCAGCAGATGTAACTAAATCAAAACAAAAACATCGACATTATGGGCCGTTCTTTCTCTGATATTTCCCTGTTTTACCAAGTCCCTTAATGGAAAAAGCACATCAATATGGGCCATTAAATGAAAACAATGACATACTGGATTTCATTTGGACAAATATGCTGAAATATTATAGTTAAATTAAACTCCATTATTTAACAAAAAGTACTACTTAACCTATCACAACTAGTGAACCAAATCACACCAACCTCTTTTCCCACCTACCTCTCATCATCAAACTCATGGTGATAAAGAACAGCAATGCTGTTGAGCAAGATACCATGCATGCAGTGTAAATTGTAACATAAAACTAAAATGTAATAAACAGGGAAAGAAAAACAAAATTCTGACCCTCCAGGAAAAAAAAGTCAGAAAAGATTGCCCTTTTCTCAAATTCTAAAAAATGATCACTTTAACCACTAAATTAGTTTAAACACCACTGACTCCTCCAAAGCCACAAATTTTAAATTTTTCCCCACAAAGCCTTAAAACATTTCATTTTCCTTTGACATTATGCAAGTTACAATAAGATTTCTACTAAAGCAAACAACTGCCCCTGTACTCAACAATCATTTCTTTAAATCTTTTTGAAACCCCCCAAGCTATCAAGAAACTAACCACTAGGTCAACTGGTCTTCATTCATTCCAACACCTGCTGCTGAGTGATAGAATGACTCAAAATTTCTGAACTCTTTTAGAGCTTCACTTTGAGTGGGCTACTACTCACTCCTCAGTAAGGAAACTTGAAAGCCTTAAGTAGCTAAGTTCTCTACTCTAGCCCAGACAGAATCTATGGTAGCTAGTGGAATGAAGGCAACAAAAATGTACTTGACAGCAGAGACCTGGTATTTGGCTGCCTACAGGTTGCCACTTGGGCAAATTTTCAGCTTGTTCCTGTCCAAAGGATGTGCTATTTTCAGGTACTCAATGAAAAATAATCTACATCAGAAAATAATCTGATGAGAACTTTGGCATAAAAACAAAAGGATTCCAAATTTTAAACATATTCATGGCCTTTAATTTTTTTAGTCTTTTTAAAATTTAATTACTTTAAAAAGACAAGAAACACAATAATTACGGGAACAAAAAAGAGTATTTTGAAATTAAGTTTGAGTAATTCTAGAATGGCAGAAGGTAAAATTAGACACAGCTAGTCACCCAAGTGCCTGAGATGTCTTACCATTCCTATGTGATGGTCTTCCTGTGGGCTTTGTTTCCTGGGTAGGAGATCCCTGGAAGCATACAGTGTTTAAATAGATTAATCACAGAGCATCCTGTCTTCATTGTGGTGTACATGTTTCTGGAAGTTACAAAGAGTATTATGCCTGCATTTCATGATGTCCTTTTCTCACCTTATTTCAAATATTCTTCCCAAGAATAAGAGTACAAATAGTACATAGAATTGTTTAAAGAATCCAAATATCTTGACTTTTTCTTTTCAAATCTAATTTTAGGAATGTTACCAATTGTTAATTCATTTAACATCAGGGAGAAAAATAAGTGTAGGGCATAGCCGAATTACCTACAGGGTAGCTTTTACAGTCAGGTGTATACCAAAAAAAGTCACTTTGCTTTCTTCACCTGGAAATATAGGAATGTTATATCATTCCTTTCTAGAAAGAAGAGCAAAGTAACTTTTTACAAAATGTTCCTCGTTATTTAATGTATATGAACACATCTACTAATGATTCTACTGTAACTTTCAAGAGATAGATATTTGTCCCTCTTCCTCATAATCCCAGAGGGAAAAGGTAACTATCATGAAACATTTTTAAAAGCTTTATATATTATATCAATATAAAATAAACCAGTTCCTCCATTATATTAATGGTATCTGGCTTTTCAAGACAGAATTCACTAAGGATGTTGAAAATATAAACCACACACCAAAATGTTAGACTTCCATTTGGAGGCCAAAGCTAACTGGCAAGCCTAATTTGAGTCACACTGTGAAACCCCATTTTCCTAACTTAATTTATCTTGAATTGTTTGTGTGATGGTGTTGTTTGGTTTGCTTTTATGGTGCAATGCACTGGTATCTTCAGCACTGCAGTTTATATGAAAATCCAATGTTCCTCACTTCCATAAAAAACAGTGCAAGGTGATAAAACTAAATTAGGGAAGAGTTATGTTGTTATGACAATGAAACTTTCGAAGAGACTATCAAACTTTGAAAACAGGTCACTGAGAAGAATTAAGAAATACTTTCTTTGGATTTTTTTTAAGTAGATAAGATTCCCATCTCTGTGGGATGGCTCGTATAGGGGGAGCCCACAAACAGTATAATGGACTTTGAATCGCCCAAGTTATTTTCCAAACTTAAAATGGTGCCATGACAGGTCCTCAAACGAACTAAGAGAGCAACTTTCTCAATAAGTAAAAGCAGGATACAGTTCCAGATCATGAAAACTCTGCAATGCTGGTTTTGTGACCTTGACTCAGCGTCACTGGGATGCTACCAAGAAACCACAATTCTTGGCAGCTGCACATTCAATGTACAAATGTTTACCAGATGTGAAGTTCATATGATCTATGCTGTATAATAGAAACAAAAATGAATGTGCTGTGTAATATGACATGCTAGTTCATGCTGTGAGCCAGCAAGCAAGAAAACTGGTCTCATATCTAGACAAAGCCTATGGACTATTTGGAGTAAAGAGAAAACCTCTAAGTCCCACCTCCAATCCCCAATTAAAACAAATCCCATACGCTTGTTAAGCCTGTGGGAAATTCTACTAAGTAAGGTTCCTTTCTTTAGATTAAGCATTCCATCCTTGTTCAATAAAAACCCCCTTGGGAGACATAAATTTTTATCAGTTATTACACTTCAGAGTAAATGAACTTCAGATCCTGTCTTGACAGTTGGTTCTGATATGAAAAATACATGAAGCTTGGTTGTTTAGATTGTAAAAGAAAGAATCATCAAGAGATAAAATTTAATACATATTTTCCCACTACTATTTGTCTGTTTATCCATTCATTCCACAATATGCACAGTCATCTACTATTATTCAGGCAATGTACAAAGCACTGAGGATACACAGATGAGAAAGCCTAGTGATAGCCTCAGCAAGTATAGGGTTTTTGTGAAAAGATATCAAATATATAACTACAATACAATAATAGAGACCTTAATGGAGGTATGTGCTAGGCACTGGGAGCTTGGTGGAGTGAATACCTAGTTCCTGGCTGGCTGAGAGGAAATGGGTACATTCTCTGAGAGGAAGTAAAGTTCATCTGTGAATTAAAGGCAAACCAGGGATTTGCTAGATGACCTTAAGAAGACAGGAAGATAGTACCTGAAAATGCTTAAAATCACTAAAGAACAAGATGTGCTCAGTGAAAAGGTATTTATGAAGTGAACCGCCCATGGAGAGTGGGAAAGGGGTGAGGGGTGAAGGAAATGAATGATGGGGCAGGTACTCAGGAAACAGAGCAGGAACATGGTCTTTTGCATTAAGTGAAGAGGAGTGGACTTTGTCTTTAAAGTTTACTACAGGAGGGATTTTTAGCAGAGAGAAACATATTCTTGTTCACATTTTAGAAAGCTCACAATGGCAGCAGTAGGGAGAATGGTGTACAGGAAGATGGAAAGTTTATGGCAGCAGTCAAATGAGAGGCAGTAAGGGCCTGAAGGACAGTGAGAGCAGAAAGTGATTTGAGAGGCATTCAGGAGTTAAAACGGGCCAGGTCCTATGACTGTTTGATTGCAGTGGACAGGAGAAAGAGAATGACCCCAGCCTCTGGCTTGAACGTCTTGTAGATAGTGATGTCTTTCCCTGAAAGAATTCAGGAAATATAAACCAAATTTTCCTGCTAGAGGGTAGAGGAGAAGAAATATAAAGCATCTTAGTTTTTAGAAAATTAAGCACAAATTTCATGTATGGACATGAAATGGTTCATACATGAAATTTGTGCTTAATTTTCTAAAAAAGTATGGACAGATGAAAATGCTTACTTGACAGGTGAATATATAGACCCCCTGTGTGCCAGGATTTGAGTAATGGGGAGATGCAACTGACGCTAAGCAGAGTGAGTGGACATGGATTCTGGTCTGGCTTACTGTTTGCTTTTGAGTGTCAAGGGTGAGATTTTTAGTCCATTAAAACTCCTTGTATGGAATAAAACAAATGACTAAAGTA
The DNA here is from genome assembly GCF_000001405.40 of Homo sapiens. Lineage (NCBI taxonomy): Eukaryota > Metazoa > Chordata > Mammalia > Primates > Hominidae > Homo > Homo sapiens. The sequence goes on from NC_000006.12 coordinate 56,228,822, forward strand.
CAAGAATAACTAAGTAATTGCTGGTTCATCCATATGATGGAGTACTACAGAGGCATAAAATTCAAATGTTCCAAGAATACTTAATGACAATTTTAAAAATATCAATAAAAGAACAAATGCAAAAAAATGCAAAACTATATAGTAAGCTAATTATGTGATATTATATCTCTTTCATAGAAATGTCAAAAATTGTTACTTCCAGATAATAGCATTATGGATATGTAATTTTTATTTTTTGATGCTTTCCAACTTTTCTATAAAGGATATGCATTATTTTGGCTGGGTATGATGGCTCACACCTGGAATCTCAGCACTTTAGAAGGCTGAGGCAGGAGAATTGCTTGAGATCAGGAGTTCAAGCCCAGCCTGGGCAATACAGAGAAACCCTGTCTCTACAAAAAAAAATTTTTTTTAATTAGCTGAGCATGGTGGCTCATGCCTGTAGTCCTGGATACTCAGGAGCCTGAGAGGACAGAACCATTGAGCCCAGGAGTTTGAATTGCACTGCTGCACTTTAGCCTGGCCAATAGAGAGAGACCCTGTCTCAAAAACAACAGAATATGCATTATTTTAAAATCAGAAATAATAAACATATTTTTAAACTTACATATGTTTTAGATAAAGTTAATATCTCGAAAGGAGACTCTGCTCCACCAGCAAAACACATAATTGAATTATCGTACACTAACCACAAGAGGTTAGATTATGCTGAGTAACAAATATATCCAAAAATTGTTGTGCCTTATAACAACAAACATTTATTTTTTGCTCATACTCTACGTCCACTATGAGCTGTCTAGTGGCTCTGCTCCACATTCCTCATTTTAGGATTGAGTCTGAGGAGTATGGTCATTTTCCAAGGTAAGGGTAAAGAGCTCTGGAGGTTCTCACACTGAAAATAAATGTTCCAGTGCAGAAATATATGTTAATTTCCACTCAGCTCGTTGGCCATGAGTATCATGGGGCCAGAAAACGTAATCTGACTGTGTACCTGAAATTTATTTGACAAACAGAACTAATAAGAATCTCCTATAAGTACAAATTCATCCCCTCCACCACCACCACCAGCAGCAACAAAAAACTGGAGGGATTTTTATGGTAGTGTTTTTTAAAATGCAAATCACGATCCATTGGTTGATCTTGAAATCAACTCAGTGGTCTATGACCAACAGTGTTTAATAGAATGGAAGGGAACAGAAAATGTCAGAGCACATTGCATGTACAAAAGGTAAATATTATGATATATTTGGTATACATATTTCGAATAAATACAGATGTGTCACAATGTAAAATTTATTTCTTCCTGTGGGTCCTGTAAAAAAAATTGAAAGTCATTTTTCTATAGGAGTCCCAACTAAGCCAGATATATGGAAACATAACAATTTCCATACTAGGTTTTTCTAGTCCAGTGTCCTATGACTCTGTGAAAGGCTGGGGGAATCTTGTATCAATCTCAAAGAACTCAGTCAACATTTTACTCTTTTTTAATAGTACGGTCTCTCAATGATAAATCAGTCAAGAAATATCATAAAGCAAACTCAATGTTTAGCATCCTTCAAGTGCTAAGAGTATAATTACATTTTATTTCTCCTAAAATAAAAAAAGTCAAGTTTCCAAAGTTTTTCTTAATTCCGTACAGCCTCATTTTATTTTTTTAAGGAAAAGATATACTTCTTATATTAATTCAAATGGCATCCTTGATGAGGATGAATTGTAATATAATTTTTTTTAGTTTGTATTGTTATTAACATAAAGTATTGTCATGTTTTATAAGGTGATGATTTTTATCAGCCTTATTATTTTTTGATGTTTAAGGGAAGAAATCACACTTCAAAACCATAATCAATTGCAAAATACCTTTTGTATGAGTATCTAACTCCTTACCACATGCTTAATATTGCACAATTTTAAATGTTTTATTTCTTATTTTCAACTGAGAAAATACAAATTTGAAATACGCTAGCTGTACATGTTTATGGGAAACATGTCATTTATCAATTTAGTTTCAAATTTTTCATTTCCAAAATAAATTCATCTTAACTCTTAGTTTCTATCACCCATGTGAAAGGTTTATAATTGCTTACTTAAATATACGAGCTCCAATCAGTGTTTTCTACCCTTCCCTCAAATAAACTGCCATGCTTTTTCCTACCTACCCTTCATAGCACCACCAGTTCAAAAGCCAGCCTTTTGTTTCTACAGGAAAAATGCTTGCTGACCAGCCAAGAATAAAACACACCTCACATGGTACAATCTTCTTTTACCTCCCAGATGACTCTACTGCCATTTACTAAGGATGCCAGAAGAGGTTTCCTGAGGAAGAAACAATCAATGTGAATTAATACCATCCTGACATTCAGGAGACCCAAATAAAACATGACTATGTTTAAAAGAACGGAAAATAAAAAGACTATCTTCAAAAATAACTTGGTGTGCGATTTCTTACCATATAAAAGGAAGCTCTGGTATGGAAAAATGATAAACATCCTGCATTTGTTAGTAAAGGAAGCATTATATTCAGTTCGGTAACAGCAACTTTTTTAAAAGTGATGAGTCACAATATTCAGTTCTTTCCTGGCGTTATTCAGCTAGGTGTGGGTAAAAGAGGATAGTACTGAGAACTAGACTCTCTGTATCCCAACCAAGACCACTAAGACATTGCAGGAATTTGAGCAAGAAAACAAGCCTGGCTAGACTTCAGTATCTCCTCTGTAAAACCAGGGGCTGAGAAGATAAGCAAATTTGAGAATCTCTTCCATTTCCAATTGGCTACCATTCTATTGTCTTAAATATTTTACCAATTATGTATACTAGTAAATACATGGTTAATAATCAGCTTTCTAAGCTGCAAAAAAAGTCATTCAGTTTCATTATTCAAACTGGATCCACTAGATCTAATATGTTATGACTTTTCTATAATTAACATTTTATGATCAAAATTATAATATCTATCGCTAGTTCTATTACTTTTAAAGAGCTCCAAAGACATATACGGTAACATTCAGATCATTCTCTTTTCATAAGTTTTTTGATTGCTAAGCTATCAAGATGAAAAATAATCCCATGAAAATGTTCTTCCTTTTAAATGAGTAACAAGCACTTCAAAAATCCAACTGATTTCTTGCAGTATATGGTTTAGGACTCCAACATATGAGATTTCTTAAACTATTTGACATTGTTTTCAACACACACAAAAAAAGTTAGCAAATGAACACTACAGTCAAATGTTGACTATCTGCCAAGTGGGATGGCAAGAGAGAACTAGTACATATAACCTTAAATTGTGGAGAGTTGGGAAAGACATATAATTGGGCACTGGAATGTGTCTTATTCTTATATTTGAATAAATCTATGTCTGGCATTCTGAAAATTGACAATACTATACTTCCAACTGAGTAAAAAATGAAAACATCCTGGGAAAAAGCAACTCAAGAGAACTAAAAATCATTCTAATTAGTAAATATTTTGCCTCACATCTTAGAAAACAAGAACAATATGCAATGTTTAAAAAGATATTTTAAACTCTGCTATGTTAGACTAGTGTGACAAAGTGAATTACAAACATTGATACTGTCATTAAATATTTTGAAAAATTCTTGCAGAACAGATCTCTAAAAGGGGTTATGTTGTATAAACTCAAGACAGTATTGTTATCAAGTTTGCTTCCTACAAAGCAGGAGATTCATGAGGTGGGAAACTCTCCTATCTCATTGTTCACTCCAAAGTCAGTTGGCTACGTTCTGTTATAAGGACTTTCAGATTCAATGGTGTAAAGCAGAAACAGCTGCACTGGACTTCGTTCATCCTGAAAAACAGACATTTCTCAAGCATGTGCCAAGTGCAGTCTTAGAATTACAGTATGTCAGACTTTATCCAAAAGGAGATGCTCTTATTTTACTACATCATCCAAATGCTTTTCATAAGAAATTGCAAACAAGATCCCTAGAGCCACATATTGCTTGGTCCAAAATGTTCACTACATAGTAGAAGTAATAAAGCAGATATCAAAATGACTCTTGTTCCTTTCTATAATTACAGGTGCTTTTGAATATTGTCAGATTAACACTGAATGGGATACCTCTACAACTCCATAGCCTATATTGCTGGGAAGATTAGAAGAACAATAATACTCAGAGCTGGAAGTAAAAGAATTCTCAGAGCAGGGGGAAGAAAAGTGCTCTGACAGAGGTAGGTGCCTTTCAGAGAAGGATATACTTTACACAAATGAGGAAGAGTGGCCTCTTGAACACTGTGCAACTCCTTCTATTTGTATCCACAGTAATCTATGAGTTTGGGCACTTAGACTAGACTGACAAGACAGGCCCCAGGTAGCTTCCCCACAAGCAAAACCCAAGAGAAGAAGCAGCCATATCCAATAAATAAGACACTAATACATTGCCCAACTTTATAATTATTGGGGGCAAGCTCCAGATAGTCTTAAATACAAAATTGCAAACACGAAAATAGGCAACAAATAAGAGTGAACAAATATCAATAAAAACCAGCAACATGAAGAAAAACCATGAGCTCAATGAATACATTAACAGCCATAGAAACAGTTAATAACAGTAAAAGGACTCAGTTAAATCTAATTGATATATTCAAATATATATGTAAGAATATTAGTGAATAAAAAGAGAAAATCAATTAGTATCTTAGAAAATTAAAAACTTAATAATGGATATAGTTGAAGATGGAAATAGCTAGATGGAAAATCAAGTTGAAAACTTCTACCAGATTACAATGCAAAAGAACACAGATTTTACAAAATATTTCAGAAGAATATTCAGAAGAAAAAACTAAAAAGAGACATATGGAGAAATATAGGAGAGAAACGGTAAAGGAAAAAATTTCAGAGCTAAATTAACATTTGATTCTTCAAACTGAAAAAGCATTACAAATATCAAGCTGCTTGAATAGGCAAAAAAAAAAGACCTATTTCATATTTTTGTGAAAAGTTATAATTCAAAGAATAGAGCAAAAAAATCCTAAGTGTTTGGGGGAGAGGCAGGATGCCTAAAAAGAAATAAATTTAGCTTGTCTAGAGACTTCTCATCACAAAAGTGAAGCTAAAAAACAATGAGGGGGTAATTGATACCAATCAGCCATTAATAGGAAAATATGTTTTAGTTAATACGTAGAAATGTAATTATAACAATTATGATATAAATAGGATTATAACTTCCAGAGATGACTGGTAGAAAAGGAAAATAAAGCAAACAATTCCAAATAACAGAAAAAATCATTATAATAAAAGACAAGAAAGCATGGTAAAAACAGAAAACATAAGTAAACTTCAAGGAAAAAGTCCAAACATATTAGCAATCATAATAAAGTTGAATGGGTAATTTGCCTATTTGGAATCCAGAAAAATTTGAAATTGTGTTTTTTAAAGTCTTTGTATATGCTGTTTACAAGAAATCCACCTAAAACTCAGTGACAGAAAATGTTGAATATAAAGGGGCAGAAATATAATTTACTAGGTAAATACTAATAAAAGAAAATAAATATAGTATGAAAAATAGAATTCAAAGCAAAAGTATTAAACAGGATCAAAAAGGAATATTTCATATTTATATAAGATGCACTTCCTAAGAAATAAGTTATGAAACTGTAACCATTTTCTTTCAATATTTTGTCATGAACATTTTCTATAAAGTTATTTACTTTCTATATTTTCTATTATCTCTAAAGACACATTTACTGTTAAACATCATTTTTAACACTGCTTCATAATCAATACAAAAGGCAACGTTTTCCCTAATAGTACACATTTAGGATTTTTTTTTCTAAAATACAAAAAATTTGCACTTTCATCTCCATCACCAGCAGAAATGCTCACCTGAAGACTAATGACCTCCTCATTTCCCAATTCAATAGCTCCCTCACCCATACTCTCGCACTTCCCTCCTTTATCTTCCTCTGCTTAAAAAATCACACACTCTTAATCACTCTTGTCATGCTTTCTCATATTCATCTCTTAAAAGCTATCCTTTCTCCTGATTGGTCATTTTCTTTTGGCCTTTTGGTTTTTGGCAGACTATTGACAAATGTATTCTTAGCCAACTGATCACTGCCCCTCATCCAGAAAACACAACATCTTCCCCTGCTCCAGTGATTGCTTCCACTCAAGGACTTCAGTTCGTGCATACTGAAACATCTTATTTCCTACTTCTCCGCACCTAAACCTTCCATTCCTACTAGGCAAGTTATATTGAGTCCCTTAAATAAGCCATTTCCATTCATAGCTCTAAGGCTTATCTGAAAACACACCTTAATTTGTGGCTTATAGATTAATGTTCAGGGTCTAGGTAATAAACACCATAAACTTACAGAAACTTGGTATAAGTAATCTGTATATGCAATAAAGAAATGGGAGGCAAAAGGGAACAGAAATAGCTATGAATAGCAATGCATATATATGCCTCTGGTAAACCCACAAGCCTGAAGTTTAAAAACAATTGTGAACCAGGCCTATATTCAGCTGGTACAAAGCAAGGTTGCTGTACAGATTGTGTATGCACATTTGTTTTGACTGGATCTGAACCCACTCCAATTGGCTGATGTTCTGGCTTTTCTGATTGTTTAATATTCTAAGCCTCACTTCTGTTTGTGAGCACTTACAAAACTTATAAAAGGAATGAGTCACTGAACACTCTGCAGTGCTTGCTAAGTGTCAAAAATAGATCATATAAAACTAACCTGTACTTCTTTGATAGCTGTACTAGGCTGACATCAGGGGAATACTGTTCGTGATAGTTCAAAAATGAAAATGAATTAATGTCAGTTGGATATAAGACTATTTAAATGGCCCCCTAATGAAGAATAACACCTGATGTCAGCCTGGTAGGAGGTTTCTGGTGGTATGTTTTAGAGTTCTATGCTTTTCCCTGTCTAATTGGTTATTCATAATTTGAATGAGGGAGATGATGGCTTGCAAATTAAATTTCTAGACAAAGCATACCTTGAAAGATGACTAACTGATGGAATAGAAGACTTTGGACAAAAAAAAAATCTTAACTGAATAAATAAGAGACCACTGCAACAAGGCAAAATTCAAAAGAAATACAAAACTTCTGGGATCCAAAATTTGGATTGTAGAATGCTCATTAGGAATAAAGTGGCTTAACAGCAACAGGTCTGAGTTGACTAAATGGTCTTAGCTGATACCAAATTGAATTCATTCATGTGAACTGGCTGTCAAGAATTAATTTGCTCTTGAACTACATTGAGGAAAGAATACGGCTACATCCTTTCTATTAAGCAACCAATGGCCATAGATATCAAAACTGAATGTGTTTAGGGAAGGCTGACAAGAGTGGAGATATAAACACAAACCATCTCAAAGAAGTGGTTTCAGAATATGATGTTCCACTTGGGGCATATATTAGCTGTCTTCAAATGCTGGGAACATGGAAAAAGAAATAAGGCTTGTTTCTGTCACTCCCAGAGTACACAACTAGGTCTAAAGCCTGGAAACTCCAGGGAGAAGTTTTTCAGTTTAAGAAAAAAGTTTCCAATAGATGGGGATTTCCCTAAAATAGAAAGTTTCCCATCATTGGAGGTGTTTGGTATTGGAAACTATGCTCAATATGTATGCTATAGGGAGGGGTTAAGGCATCAAGAATTGTTGGGATAAACAATACTCATATCACGAACAACAATTTGTAGGATACTGCCAGCCCTATGACTTGTGTTAACTAGAGTGTGTCTAAACAGAAACATTTGTTCAAACTGAAGCATGCTTCAAAAGGCTGGGTCAAGCCCCATCTCCTCCATGAAGCAAATCATGACAAAAACAGATGATATCTTCCACAGTGCTTACCTCTAGCATTAGACCATATGGAACTCAATTAAACAGAGTATTAGTTTGCTTTCTAAAAATTGTATTTAAAATAGTCCATCTCACAACTGTATCATAAGCAATCTGGCTATGGCTTGCCTCAATCTACTAAGTACCTAATGGCCACTGAAATTAAACTTGTCTACTCATTGCTCCTCTTGTTCTCATATGGCATATATTCAATGTTTTTACAGCTGACAATACCTCCTTGCTGCGAAAGTGATGAAATATACAGTAATGACTATTTGGGAGTTCCTGGTGGTGCCTCTCCATCTTGATAGTTTAAAATTTCTATATTTTTCCATTTAAAACTTCTCAACTCCCTATTGAAAACAATGGTTATAAAAACTGAAATCCATTCTTACAGCTTTTGATGAGAGCAAAATGTGCCTTTTTCTCCCTGTTTTTACGTGAGAACCTATCAATAGATGGCTCTGAGAAAACAGAAATCCCAGGAAAAGAAAAATTCGAAAGGAAAAAAAGCCAAATTTTAAAATTCTCTAGAGTCTACAGTAATAGACAGTAGCAAAGTAGTGCACTCTAAAGAACCAGGGCTACATGTCTTCATTGCAACTTGAAAAGTCTGCAGCTCTATACTGTCCTGATTACCTGAGGACACTCCCTTGAGTAAAACAGGTTTGCCCTGTCTAAGCATTGGCAATACAAAAACAATGAAATTTTTAAAAAGGAAAATGTTTTCCTCAGTTAACTTTATGATAAATGCTAATCCTTAGGGATAAAATGAAAGAGTAGATAAAGTAGAAAGCATAAACACATTTAGGTTTTAAATTAAGTCATTAGTGTTCAAATCAAGTTTGAAAATGTAAAAATATAATTGCTTCTCTAATCTCGCTTAGGCTCTTTAGGCCAAAGGCTCAAAAATATGACAGGTTACTAGAAAGGAGATTTGGAACTCAACTTAGCAACCATATCCAAAGTGGCATAGAATAATTTAAAATGTACATTTATTAAATTAGTCAACCTTAGCATTTAATAATGTCATAAGTCTGGCCAAAAATGTCGAATGTGAAATTACACTCTCTACCTGAAAATTAAAAATATTTAGAGGCACAGTTAAGGAAACACACATACATAAATGGCTCTAACTATTCTACAGAGGCAACTGGACATTCATTTAATTAATTTAGAATGAATCAGAGGTCAAAAATATTCACATTTTTTCCAGTATTCTGAGATGTATAGTCTAAAAGTAATTGATTCTGATTCTCCCAGTGCCTCCACAGCTGTATTCTATAAAGCCTCAGTTCATTCAATTCAATTATGGTGTTTTTGTTTTATTTTTAGCTTAATAGACTACGTGGTTAGTCTAAATACCATGTAAAAATTTATGTACATTACATACACAGACTTCACCACAGTTTTGAGGAGAACATAGATCTGACCACATATTCCAATTATTAGCCTTCACATTACTGGGTATGAAACAATCAACAACCTGCTCAAAGTACTCTACTATAAGCAGCAATTGATTAGGGCTGGGAGCCTTGTGATATGACAACCAATCATGGCATCCAGAGAATCTAAGGGGAAACTGACTAACAAACTGAGTGCTCCAGGACAGGAATCATGTCATATTTAGGGCTGCATCCCTAGCACCTCATCTACTCTATGGAAAAGGCTGAATAAATATTTGTTGAATGGATAAATTGATGCATATCTATACTGTTACAGCAAATCTGGACTGCAGAAGCATGAAGGCACCTGCTGAGAAGGCAGTGGATGCTGAAACTCGGGGCAGTCTTCTTAAAAAAAAAAAAAAAAAAAAAGCCTCCACAATTGCTAAATCCAGGAGCTCACCACAAACCACTTGCAGTTACAAGCGAGACCTGAGGATACCCTCAGTCTCACCCAACCACCACAGTGACTACAACTGTGCCATTACAGCAAAGACTGACAGCCTCATGGACCCCAGAATCAACACCTACAGCCACAAAGCTTTACCTCAAAAGCTTCTGATAGAGCTGCCACTGCCCTGCCACCTTCAGCAGATACCTTTCTCCTGCATTCTCAGTTCCCTCTCCCAAGTACTAGGTGGATAATGGCTAAAATCTGGATTTGCCTCTGCTCCAGGTCCTCAGTTACATGAAGAATATTCTCACCTAAAGAAGCAACAAGCTTTCCAAAACATAGGGATTCAAATGTAAGTGTGAAAAAGCTTAGGAGAAAATTACTTATGATAATAACTAATTTGAACTAATCTGAATACTTTGTATCTGCCAGCCCTTATGCCAAAGGGTTTATGTGCATTGTTTTATTTAAACCTTCTGACCATACTATGAAGTAGGTCCTCTGAATACACACTTGACACATAGCAAATTAAGCTTTAAAAGGTCAAGCACCATGCACAAAGTCACACAAGTGGTAAATGTCAGAGCCACAACCATACAACACTCATAATCTTAGCTATTACTCTATATGGCCTCAATGTATTAGAGCATGTAACTATTTTTTTGCATTCACAAGGAGTAATAATATTTTCTGCTTTTTAGAAATAATTATTTCATCTTCACCAGATATTACCATCTCTAATTAGTGTCTAAGTACATCTGGCACAACATGTACTTTATGAATTATAGGAACATCAATTAATCACATTCTAACAATCATTATCTCTCACTTGTATAGGAATTTGAAATTATAATTCCAAATGTTTCCATATACAAAGCATGTATCTAAGTATTCATTTTTGCATCATAAAAATAATACATGTATTTAAAAATACACATGAGAAAACAAAGAAAAGCATAAAAACGTCTACCATCTCACAACCCAAACACAACTGTTAACATTTTGGGAAACATGTAATTTAGAGCTCAAAAATATAATTTGATTACTCATATAAACATGATTTCCAACAAAAAGCCATAATTCAAATTTAAAATTTTTTTTCAAGTGTTGGAAAGACCAGTGAAAAAAATTTTTTATATAATTTCCACATAGATGTCAAAGATAAATTTGTTTAGTCATCATGAAAAAGAGTTTACAATTTGTTTGGAAGAAAAAGCTGTTATTACTCACCATTCACAGTAACAACCATCCTCAGTGAACATTCAAGTATGTTGCTATGGTTTCAATGTGTCCCCTCCAAAATTTACATGATGCCAATGTGATTGTATTAAGCGGTGAGGCCTTTAGGAGGTGATTAGGCCATAAGGGCTCCTCCAATATGAATGGGATTAAAGCCTGGTATGGTTTGCCTGTGTCCCACCCAAATCTCATCTTGAATCATAGCTCCCATAATTCCAATGTGTTGTGAGAGGGACCTGGTGGGAGATAATTGAATCATGGGGATGATTTCCCCCATACTGTTCTCATGGGGTTGAATAAGTCTCAGGAATCTGATGGTATTGTAAGGGGAAACCCCTTCCGCTTGGCTCTCATTTTCTCTGTCTGCCACCAGGCAAGATGTGTCATTTGCCTTCCACCATGATTATAAGGCCTCCCTAGCCACATGGAACTGTGAGTCCATTAAACTTTTTTTTTTTTTTTTAAATAAACTACCCAGTCTCAGGTATGTCTTTATCAGCAGTGTGAGAACAGAATAATACAAAGCTGTTATAAAAGAGGTTTCAGGCAGCTTTCAGCTGGCTTTCCCTTAGTCTTCCACCATGTGAGGATGCAGTGTTTCTCTCCTCTGGAGGGTGCAGCCATGAGGCGCCACCCTGGAAGCAGCCTCCACCTGACAACAGAACTGCCAGTGCCTTGATCTTAGATTCCAGCCTCCAGAACTGTGAGGAAATAAATTTCTGTTCTTTATAAATTACCCAGTCTCAAGTATTTTGTTATAGCAGCATAAAATGAACTGAGATATACCTCAATAGGAATCTTAGGAATAAATAAACTCTACATTTCTCAGTAGACCAATTTCCTAAAGGATCCAATGACTTCATGCTGACTTAAACTCTATATAGAGATGCTCTCAGATGCAACCCTTTAGATGTTCCATGATGGCCTATAATGGTGCTTTTAACTAAGAAAAATATACAAATGGCAAAATGAAAGAGAACTTTGCAAGCACACCTGTCTAACTCTCCTTACTGCAGGCTTTTCTAAGCTTCCAGCATCTCAGTAAGTTGGTGGCAGGCTGGATGAGAAGCCATTTCCCAGCCCAGGGTCTTCTTGGCCTTTATTTAGTATTTGACATGTCAATATTAACATTATCTAAATAGTAGTGTAGAAATGACACATAATTTAGATTATAGGTACCTATCGCTCACACTTCACACTCACATGTTTGCTGTCGTTACAAAAATACAAAAGTTTGAATTAGGTTCCAAGTGCCTCTGCTTCCATTAAGAGCTCTGCATCTTACTTTCCCTTTTCAACCCTGCTCCCTCCCCATTCCATAGGCACCCAAGTAGGAGCTCTGTCCATTCCTATACCACTCTGGTTAAAACAATTATCATGTTGCTATGAACTGAAAGCTGCCCTCCCAAAAATCATGTGTACAAGCCTTAACTCCCAACATGGTGATATTTGAACGCAAGGCCTTTCGGAGGTAATTAGATAACAAGACTGGTGCCCTCAGGACTGGTAGGCCCTTATAAATAGACAGAGAGCTTGTTTTCTTTCTCTTCATCATGAGAAAAGAACAAAAAGATCACTCTCTGTAAGCCAGAAATAGAGCCCTTTCAAAAGCCAAATTGGCCGGCACCTTGAGCTTGGACTCTCTAGCCTCCAGAAACATGAGAAATAAATTTCTGTTGTTTAAGCCACCTGCTGTATGGAATTTTACTTTAGCAGCCTGGGCTAACTGAGACACATATCATCCCTAGTTGATATTTCTCTTTATCTCATTTCAAAACTCAGCCTAGTGTTGCTAGCTAACAAGGAATCTGAACAGGGAGAAAAAAAGTAAAAGAGCTGTAAAATGATCCAAAGGCAAACTGCCAAAGAGAACAGGTGATGATCAATAGGGAAACGGTGGAGAGCAGCCTGATTCTCAGGACCTGGGTATTTACCTTCTCCACAATGCTTCTCTCTGGGATAATCTCTCTCCACTTGTTGCCAAGACATTACTTCAAACCACATTGAACACTTTCTAAAGATTAATAAATAGTATTATGTCAAACGACAATCAAAAATGGTTTAAGAAATCCAGTGATACATCATGCTATGCTTGTTGAGGTTTTTAAATTTAAATTAGAAGCATTTTGCCTTCTACATTGTTCAAGGTATTTACAAAATATTTTTCAATAATGAATTGAAGGGAGTTTTTCATTTTTAAAAAAGAAACAGCAGATTGGCTATTAATAGACTCTCTGAAACAGACTTTAGCAACTTTTTGTCTGAATCCCCTTTACCTAAGATAGCCAACCACTTGGTAGACACTTAATAGTTATTTGATGAATGGGTGAACACTAACAAGGAATGTTCCTCCCTGTTTTATCTTTAATATTCCATCTTCTGAGTACTGCTGGAAAACACATGCCTATACATACCCTATAAGTGGAACCAAACTCTCTCTTCCTAATAAAGTTGCAAAATACGTATACAACAAGGTCTAAAAATGTTAAAGTATATTAATTTAATATTTTAATAAGTTGTTTCCATTGAATCACCTATGAATTTAAAGGTTCTCATAAAAATATAAAAATAAGCTTTGAGTGCTTTTATTTACTCCATTACGTAATTAATGCAAAAGACTAAAATTCCAAAGAATCTTTTTAAAAGAACTTTCTAAAAAGCTCAAACTTCGCTAGAACATTTTACTTTGAATTAAAAAAATCTCTTTTCTTGGTCCTTAGTCTTTTCTTCTCGACACCAATGAGTACATAAACAAACAGTTAAGGGGTAGCATAACACTGCAATCATGGCTAAATTGACCTAGATGAAAACAAGACAAGTCCAAACAAAAACTAAGCACTGAATCAAACACAAGCATCTGGCAGGATTCCCAGAAGGTCACTAAGCTTGGACTTCAGAAAATTGTCAATGTTTCCTGAAATTTTCAAAGATTTATCTGAGTATTTCATTGGTAAAAACCAAAATGTCCAAGAAACAACAAGGAGAAAAAATTATATTGAATTCTTTGAAGTGACAAAGGTGAAAAAATTATCTTTTTCACAACTGATAACTTCAGATTTATTTTCTTGGCATTGTAAACATATTGCTTTCAGTGCTCTTTAATTAAAGAAATATTTTAAGTAAATGTCCCTGAAATTAAACTGTGATAAGTGGAACAGGTATAACTGTAGTATTCCAGTTGTATTCTGTAAGTTGGATTGTGCGTCTCTTTGTCAACATTATCTGATTTTTTGGAATGCAAGACAGTTGAATGAAAAGTGTACTAAGTAGGATTAAAGTACTAAAAAAATATGAATTGTTATCCAGTGCCACCACTAACTCTTCATGAGCCCTTGGCTAAGAATGACATCTCCAAACCTGTTCCCTCATTTATATTACGCAAATTCTAATATCCCTAACCATTCTAAAAATTCTATGAGTACATGAGAATCCCATGAATATAGTGTGTAGATATGTTCCAGGGACTCTCTTTATAAATGACATGATTACTTTACTCTTTTCACAATAAATTTCAAACATTCTAACACAGAACACAGTCTAAAAAACTGTTCTCAGGTGATTCAAATGTCCAGTCAAGTGGGTTAACCAGTGGGTTAAAGCAGTGATTCCCTAGGTGTGGTCTCTGGCCAGCCACAGTAGTATCAACTGGGACCTTACAAAAATGTTGTTCTAAATTTATTATTTTCTGAGAAACTTTAAGTACCTCACTTATTCTGAGACAAATTATCCCATTAAATAAAACAGAAAAATCATGGGAACACCAAATTAATAACCTAAATTACTATTTCCTTTTAGGATCTCACTTTCAGAGGTGAAAACAGAAAAGAGAGCTTCAGCTTAAAGCATTCATTAAGGCCCAAAGTAAAATAATAGCAAATTCTTATTAAGCACTTACTATGAGCCAGGCACTGTTTTAAGAACTTCACATATGTTAACTCATTTACTCCTCACAACAGCCCTACTGAGGTAGGTTCTACTTCCCCAATTTTACCAATGAGGAAACAGAAGCAAAAGTGATTATGTAACTTGTCCAAGTTTAAACAACTAGAAAGTAATGAGGTCAGGATTCAGGGCTAGGCAGTCTGGCTGCAGAGTACCTTGTCTTTAACCAAGAGTCTATGCAGAAAGTTGGGGAATTTAGACTCATGGTTCATTTTCCTCCTATGAGACTGGACCACGTACCAGAAATAAACATTTCAACTTTGTTTCTCACAAGAATAATAATGAAGCAAACTAAAGAATTACTATTGCATGCTGAGAAATATAATCCAAAGATAATAAATACAAAATAAAAACACGTATCCATTTCCTGTGATAGGCCTTACTCACAACAGTTTCAAGACTGACCTTAATAGTAAAACCATCCACTATGGAACAAAGAGGGCCCTGAAAATGAACCTAAATGAATGCCAGGTAACTCTCATCAGAACATTTCTAAGTGAGCCAGGTTATGTAAACCAAGCACAACTTCTTTATGATTATATCTGCTCTGGACCCTATACCTATGACAGGAGAGTCATGAAGTCACTGTGGGGCATTGCAATATTGATCATTCCTAGTTGGCCATTCACTGCAAGCAGTGCTGCCCCATCTGTCACTCTGAATTGCAACATCATAGACTCTCTTAGCTTTTCAGTTAAGTTATCCAGAACACAGCATTTGATTACTGAGAATCTGAACTTGCTCCTATATGTCTCCATTTTTCCCAACAACAGGTATGCCTCTGACCTTCTTTTTCATCCCCACAGCTACTCCTCCTCTTTCCACAGTGAGTCAAATAGAAAACCCTATTTATAATAAATTGGAATTACATTTAGTTTAATAACATTAAATTCTAATTCTAATCATTTTAATAACATTAAATTATAATTTTTAAAGTATCCTAATGAAGATCTGATTTCTTGAATGGAGGACTTACTAAAGTGCTTAGATGCCGGAACTTGCTTTATGTTTAGTCTTATAGAAGTCATATATGATTGGTAATTAGCAGGTTACAACCTCTTGCATTTAAAGATGCCAGATGAGTCATAAAAGGCATTCTCAGTAATACACTATTCAACTTATCGCTAAAATAAAAGAGAATGGAAATTAATTTCAAAGTACAGAATCATTTGGCATCTTTTTTGGCATTAATACCATAAATATTTTCACTAGATCTACTTGGTCCTAAGAGGATAATAGAGATCAGTTCCAATCAAATAATGTGAAAGGAATTGATTGTATGCATGTGTGTGTGACTTGAAGCATTTTGAAATTATTGCAGCTAAGGAAGAAAAGGACTCATTACCTCACCTACTCTTTTTGCCAGTTTAGGCTTGTCCTTGCTCTGTGTCCTCATTTTGCTTCCTCTTATATTTTCTTGAACAAATCATGATGTAACTGGATAGGGTTTCCTTTATTCACTCTGTTAAGAACCTAAGAAACACCAGATAGTACTTCTAAACTAGCTTTCCTGGAGACTACACCATCTCACTTTTAGATGCTCTCTCATTTGGATTTTCTTTTACAAAGAAAAGTATTCTGAAGAACCAGATTTTACGGCTATTTAAATATGAATGTTAATACATTATAAAGGCTACCAGAAGGTGAAATCCTTCACCACAGTGACTTAAAAAAACCTAGGCTATTGATTTGAAGCTAATCTAAAACTTTTTCCAGAAAGTTCCATATAAAGTATGTAATCAAATTATAAGGATAATTTGAGGATGTCCATATAGTCACCTTCTAAGAGTGCAGTTGGTATTTAAATAAAAATCTAATCATGTATCAACATAGATCTTCTTTTAAGGTGGTTGAGGATTATGTTGTTTGATGGTGTGTATACATGAGTTTGTATTTTGAGCTAACAAATATTTAACTTACTATGCTAGGCACTTTAGAAGCATTATTTAACTCTGACAACAATGTGAATTATGAGGTAAGTGTACTAGTACGCCCCACATTTCACAGATAAGGAAAATGAGGCTCGGAGAAGCTATGCAACTATCCAAGAGCACAGAGAAGCAGAAGAGCAGGTCTTGAACCCAGGTCTGCCTCAGACCAAAGTTCCTGTTCCTAACCACTATCTAAATTTCCCCCAGATTCTCTAAATACAAGCTTAGTACCTAACCCTTAACAAGTTTATATACCTCAGTCACAAATTGGCACAGAAAAAAAGCAGTTTGGAAAATAAATGTTCTCTGTACAGGAAGTCTTGGTACAGTTAGCCCTGTGTTCATTGCAGCACGCATGTGCTGGGATTGGAGTCATGCCTATTCTAGATTTTCTTATCCAGTGTCAGATTTCTAATCCATTTAAGCCCATTTGCAAAGTCATTCTATTTTTGAACTAATGGCTTAGAAACAGCTGGAACTATTTTAGCCAAAATTTTGAAATCTCAGATATCTATAAAAAGAAAAAAAAAATGGTCCACTTCAATAATCCAGAGGCCTGCAACACTGAATTCCCTTTCACTAAAGAGAATTGGCATGAATCCCTTAAACCCTCAACTACTTTAGGAAAAGACAAAATACGCATATGAATGCTGTAACCTGCACTGATGACAGTGATGATCCAGGAACATTTCATCAGGGGTCAAAGATTCCTGTTATTACAGCTGGAAGACTCATGTATATTTCTTCCTTGGCTTCATTTCAACTTTTAGAAAAGGAAAAATTCCTATTCTCTCCTAAAGCAAGTATACAAATTCTACTGCTTAAAAATTATTCGATGATGCTTAAGTCTCCCCTTTATAAGATCTTTCAAAGTCCCCAGTATGCTTTTTTTTTTTCAATATGGGCAAAACTCTACTAATAAATAACTAAGGTTCTTCTGAAAAGTGGTCTGTTGCCTCCTCCCTTGGTGAAGGGAAATTTGCAGGTGTCTTCTCTGATTAAGTAAGGTCCAACCCAACAGTTTTCAAACTTGAGCAAGCACTAGCATTACCTGGAGGGCTCATTAAAACACAGGTTTCTGGGCACCAGCCTCAGGGTTTTAGGTTCAGTGGGTCTAGGGCGGAGCTAGAGCCCTAGATTTTGTTTGTATTTCTCAAAGTTACCAGGTGCTTGCTGCTGCGGGCCAGATGCCACACAGCGAATCACTGCTGTAGTTCGCTGCTTTCTATATTCGACTGCACTTTGGAATCACCTGACAAAAGTTTTAAATATGTTAATGCTCAAAGTCCCACCCCCAGAGATTCTGAGTAATTGGTCTGGGGTGCTGCTCAAGCATCGATTTTTTTAAAGGTCCCGGAGTGAGTCCATAATGCAGCAGCCGTAAAGAACCTCTGGCCCACTCAACACAGCCCCAGACCCACAGCTCTGCGCGCTCAGCGCCACGTGTGGACGCTGGAGACCCTTCCAAGAAGCTAAAAGCTGAGGGTGGGGTTGAGCTCAGGGGAGTAAATCAACGCACGTTATCGTACTCAGAAGCCAAACACTCCAAGGCAGGAATCTGCACCCAGAGAACCTCCCAAGATTCATTAACATGAAGTAACTTTGCAAGACAAATCCTGACATCTCAGCCTCCAGCTGGGCGCGGAATTCACCGAACAGTTCACCAACTGCTTTGGCGCAGGGAGAAGACTGCACCCCCAGGAAACCCAAAATGCCAAATTGCAGCCCCTGGAGAGCCAGCCCTGAGGCCCCCCGAGATGTCATTCTGGCAGCGAGAGGGGAGTAGGAGGTGTCTCCTTACCTGGCGCAGTGTCCAGGCTCGGGGTTGCCGTCGCAGCCAGCTGAGTGTTGCGCCAGGGGGACAGGTATGTTCCAGGCAGTGGCAAGCCCAACCCGAGCAAGACCTGCGCTGAAACGGATTGGCTGCCCTCCGCCCGGAGTCCGTTCTCCCTGCAGCGGCCAGTGCAGAGCTCAGAGGCTCAGAAACTCGCTCTCAGCCCCCTGGAGGCGGAGCCCGGGAGATAAGGTTCGCGCTCCCCACCCGCCCCCTTTCCTTGGCCGAAGACCAGAGGGTGGATTTTGGATCTGGATCTTGAAGGGCGAACTGCTAGTGTCGCCCTGGTGGAAACACTCAGTTCAAATCCTGCTAGCATCAGAAAATGCACGATTGAGGATTGAAAACGAGGGTGAAGGAGGACCAGGGAAGCGCGAGGAGAGAGGCAAAATAAGGGACTGCCAGGAAAGCAGGAAAGGCAACTCAGTTGAAAGGGCAAGCACTAAAGGAGGCAAAGACTTGGGCAACACCAGAGCATCGCCTGCACTGATCGAAGGAGGCCTGCCTCCCTTGCCCAAGAAGAACCCCCCTCTGGGGCGCCAAGGTACGTTGCAGCGGACTGATGTTCCTTGCTTTCAACCAAAAGTAACAGCTGCTCCAAAACCTGAGGGAAGTTCACTTTCAAATAGTCAAGTAGGCAGTGACCTTTAAGGGTTTAGCAATTACAAAGGAAGCCTCGGAATAAGGTGACAGCCTTATGACAAGATAAAGATGCTGTCTGCTCTGCCCCTTTGAGTGCATTCTTCACAGAGCAGCCAGAAAGTTATTTAACATTCATATGCTTTCCCTATTATCTGCAACTCTTCTTTTCTCACCCGTGTGCACCCCTCCTACCCCAACACACACAAGACCTGTTTGCCCTTTCTTATACACACCAGTGTGTTCTCATCTCACTTGGCATTTCTTCTGCCTCCAAAACTCTGTCCCAGACCTTATCATAGTTGCTTGCTTCTGTTCATCAAATTATCCACTCTTTGTGACACTTTGAGACACTTTGAGAGTGAGTCCTTCCTGTACATCCCATCCAAATGGAATGCCCAACCCCACTTTGGTTTCAACAGATCACTTATTGCTATCTGAAGGTTTTCATATCTTCATTGCTTGTGTGTGTTTCCTATCCAACTCAAGGTATGCTCTATGAGGGCAGGAAATTGGTCTTGTTCCCAGCTGTGTCCCCTGAGCCTAGAACAATACCTGGAATATACAAGGTGCTCAATAAATATTGGCTAAATGAATGTGTGAATTAATTTCTCCCTGTGGGAACAGGTTCACAAAGAAATGCCTTCTTCAATAACTAAATCTCACTTAATTCAGGTGTGATACAAACATCTTCAAATGATCATTTCCTGAATTTCCTTATTCATTCATGTTAGATTCTACTGTTACAAAAATATGATAGGAGAACATTGCTTTGGATTTGGTAACATCTTCTTAGATATGACACCAAAAGCACAAGCAATTCAAGAAAAAATAAGTTAGACTCCATCAAAATTTAAAATGTTGTGCTTCAAATCACACTATCTAGAAAGTAAACAGCCCACATACTAAGAAAATATTTGCATACCATCTATACAATTAGATTCTTGTGTCCAGATATACAAAAATCTTACAACTCAAGAGTAAAAAGACAGTTTTAAAATGCACAAAGTATTTAGACGTTTCTCCAAAGAAGATCTACTAATGGCCAATGAGAACATGAATGAATGCTAAACATAATTAGCCATTGGGGAAATGAAAATTAAAACCACAAGCAGATACACTTTATACCACTAGGATGGCTAAAATAAGAAAAACAATAAGTGTTAGGGAGGATATGGAGAAATTGGAACACTCATATATTCCTAGTGGGCTTGTAAAAATGATTAAGCCACTTTGGAAAACAGTTTGCCATTCTCTAAAATGTTCAATGTAGAGTTAACTTATAACCTGACAAATTCATTCTTCAGTAGATAGCCAAGAAAATCAAAAACATATATCCACATCAACACTTCTATATGAATATTCATAGGAATGTTACTCATAAAGCCAAAGGCAGTAACAACCCAAATGTCTATCAGCGGATGAATGGATAAGAAAAGTGTTATATCGCTACAATGGAATATTATTCTGACATAAAAAGGAATGAAACACTACATGCTAAATCATGGTTGAACCTGAGCATGTTAGCTAAAAGAAGCCAGTCACACACACAAAAAAACACTTATTGTATGATTCTGTCAATATAAAATGTTCAGAATAAGCAAATCCATAACTACTTGAAGTACGTAGTAAATCCATACCTATAATACATGAAGTGCTGGTAGAAGGAAGAAATGGGAGTGAGTGTTAATGGGAATGGGGTTTGCTTTGGGGTGATAAAAATGCTCTGGAGTTCGTGCTGATAGTGACGATTTTGAATATACTAAAAACTACTGAATTGTTGACTTTAGAATGGTCAATTTTACAGTATGTGAATTATATATCAGTTTTAAAACACTGATTTGTACCCTTTTAGTGGGTAAATTTTATGATGCATGAATTGTAGGTCAATAAAGATGTTATTAAAAATAAGAAATAAAATGCACTGGTTTTAACTGAACTGTAAAATATTCCTCTAAATTTTGTCATGGCTCTCTAGAGAACTATTCTTGTCCTAAGTGAATTCACAATTTTTTAAAACATGTCTGCACAATCGTTGCTTGATTTCATCATCCCCATTTCCAAAATATGCCATGTGGCACATACATACTTAGGGAAATATTCATAGGGTTCCTTTAAGACAACTCCTTTAATTGAAAAGAAGGACAAGAAGAAAAAACTAACCTAAACTAGGAAACTGTTGTGATGGCATTTTGCAGATATAACCAAGGTTTTAAATGAATTAACATTAAGAGAGACTGTATGGATGGGTTTGATCTGATCACCTGAACCCTTTAAAGCAGAGAGGTTTCCTCACAGAAGAGGAAGTTAGAGAGGCATGCTTTGGCTGGCCTCGGGGAAAGCTATCATCCATGTAATGAACTGCCTGCGGAGGTCACATGGTAAGGAACAGTGAGCAGCCTCTAGGATCTGAGAACCATCCCAGGCTGACAGCTTGAGGAACAACAGAGACTTCAGTTGTACAACCACAAGGAAATGAATTTTGTCAACAACCAGTGAGCCTAGAAGATGACCCTGAGCCTAGATGAGAGCCTCAGCCCTAGCCAACACTTTGATTTCAGCCCACTGAGACTCTCAGCAGACAATCCAGCATCACCATACTCAGACTTCTAGCCCATAGAAACTGTGATATTAACTATTTGTGATGTTTTAAGCTGCTAAATTTGTGGTAATTTGTCATGCAACAACAGAAAACTAATGCAGTTACCATAAACCCATATATTCTAGCAAGGTCTAAATTTCTTGAGCTATTCATTTTAGTAAAGAGAGTATCTTTTTATATCTGATTAATATTATTTAATTACTAAATACTTGTATGGCTTTAAATGTTTAAATTTACAAACTAGGAAAAAGAATATACTTGCCAAGTTAAACTTCCCAATGTTTGTTTTAGAACATTATTGTGCCCAAATTTACAATATTGTTTCTTCCTCCTCAATAACAGATATTTAAGTCATAGACCCCCAAAATTAGAACACAAGGGATCAAAAAAGCCCTTCATTTCCCTTACAGTCCTCTGTCTCACCTCTGCCTCATCCAAATGCAGGCTATCAAGATAGAAGATGCTGTTACATAAAGATTGGCTGTAATTGATATATTGCTCTCTTAGAAATACCTCTATCCTGATTCTTCAGGGCTCCTCAATTCCCTGCTAAGGTAATAATTCTTCCTCTTCTTCAAAAGAATAAGCCTAAATGACTACTATATTATGGCATTTTAAGTCTCAAATTCTCAACTAAATTATATTTAATCAATCTACCACAGTGAACCTAAGTCACACAGCACCACTAAGAGCAGGTGTCATATCTACATTGTTTCTCATTATATTCCCATGGGAACAGTAAACAAATATTTATCGAATGAATACCTAATGTGACAAGTCCAAGGGAGAAAAACATCAATGTATATAATACTGAATAAATTGATGTTATTTATTCCAGGCACCAGGCTAGACTTTTGGGATGTAGCTATGAGCAAAAGCTCATTGTTCATAAAGCTCTTTGATTGGATGTGTGTGAGTGTGTATGTGAAAAAATGGGAAATATTTGAGAATATTAAAGTTATTTGGCATACTTTTTCTAAAACCTATAAACAGGACTAGCCCCTGTCCTCCCTCATGAAATGTCTAGTCTAGTGAATGAAATTTAACCCAGGACATAAATAGCTAACTCTAAAACAGTGGCCATTCACAAAGACAAGCAGTTCTCAAATGCTCTCTCTAGGTTTGCAGGAAGGGTTATCCCAAGAAAATATGACAATGTCCTCACTTTTTCCTCTAGCAGTCCTATGTAAATGCAAAACTTAAATCAAGGATATTTGTGAAGGGAGTGAGAAGTAACAGAGGACTCTGCCATCTTATTTCCTTCCGTAGTTTCCACTGTGCTACTTTTGATCACACTAACTTCCTCAGGAGACAGAGAATTTGGCTTTTCTAACTGTCCAAGACTCCATAGTATCAGGCTTTAAGCCATCTTGTTTTGCAGGTTGCAGAATATCTCTAGAAAGGCCTTCTTTCTTCTTTCTCTTCTTTCAGAATGAGCTTCAGCTTAAATGTATCAATTTCTCCTAGGATCCTACTGAAGATTACAAGATGTAGCCAAGAAACTTCAATACCTTCACATTTTCCTTTTGCATCTCTGAAAGATTCAAGTGGTCTGAGTTCCCAATTACTACAAGCTACAGCTTAACAAGCTTTTCCCTTATTGCATAACAATAATGGCCAACTTTCCAGGCCTGGATGGAGGAGTCTTTTCTGCCTTCTATCTTCCTTTGACTAGGTAATTTTGCATGTTAAGCTCCGTAACTTAACTTGCAGTACCCTGCTTCTAGCCCTAACTTCTACATCGGTTAGTGCCCTCTGGTTGCAAGCACAAAAGCTGTTTATGTGTAATTTATTTTTTAAAAAATGAATCCTTTGGAAATATATGAGTAGCTCCCAGAAGGGCTGGAAAATTAAGTTTTGAAAAAGAGGCATCAGACAAAGCTGCAGAGACCAGGTATCAGGAACTACTTAGCATCTTTAAAGGATACCAACAAAGGTATAAATATGCTACATTTTCCTTTTCATATATTAATCTACTAGATGTATAAAGACAGTGAGTTCCATTGGTTTAGCTTGGGTCACCTATTGACCCTTTAGATTAGGAGAGAGTAGGGCATGTAATTCTACTGCCCTACTAAAATTGCCCACAATGGGGAAGAAAATATCCTCAAAGAAAATCAGGATGCTGTTACCATAAAAAGGAAAAATGAATGCTGGGTGGACAAAATGAAACAAAACAGCCACTGCATGGAGAGAAAAGATATACCATTTCCCTGGGGCTTTTTAGAACGAATGACAGGGGCCACCTCTATCTCCTTTCAACAACAATATCCTTGGATTATAAACACCTCCAGTTTGATGGATAAATCGAAGAGCCTAATACACAATAGCTGTATTCTATCTAAGCAGATATGACCTATGTATTCTATCTAAGAAAATAGAACAATCCCAGTTTCCAGACTTCTCTTAAAAGTGATATGTTCATTACAACAATCATTCTCTTAGCAACCTCTGATATTTCTTTAAGTGCTGCACAGGTCATGAATTCATAGCCCTACCCTGAAAATAATTGGGAAATATTTCAGATGCTCACTGCTGAACTATAGACCTTGGGCTGCTGTTTCCAGAAACATCACAGCCCAGAGGCCTATGATTTTACAGGAGTGATTGTAGTAGTCCTTGATTTTGGTTCGTATGAAAACATCACTGGGACATTCAACCTGCCAGTGTCCACATGGGACTGGTTTACAAATGAACCTTTGACCCAAATGGGGCCAGTTAGAGGTCTCTCCAGGACTTTGGAAGAAAAGAGAGTTAGTTAGCTGTTTTCTTAGATTGTGAACTCCAAGTACCATGTAAGCCTAGATCTTCCTAGGAGAGACACTGACTGAGAATGAAGCCAACACAGAGAAAAGTAGAACTCCAGAAAGACAGAAAACAAGCTACTGACATCATTAGAGTAGCTACATCCAGCCATTACTGAAACTAGGCCTACTTCTGTATTTTTCCCTATGTGAGCATTTTTTGTTTAAGCTCATTTGAATTGAGTCTCTGTCGCTCTCAACCAGAAGAGCTCTAAATTGAACACGCAAAAGCAATTCAGATACTGAAAGACTCTTAAGAAAACAGAATGTCCATATAAAATCCTTTTGTATCTTAAATTCTGTTCAAATATTTTGCTTTAAATGCTAAATATAAATGCTTAAAAGAGCTTGGCAACAATAATAACTATTTTAATAAGTTCTCTTAAAAGTCCAAAACCTCAAGGAAATTTGACTGATTCTAATTTGGTTAAGTAACCTGCAAGTCTTACTTCGGAAAGCATGTTCTTAGATCCAGATGTAACACCCCAAATTGACAGGTAAAGATGAAAAAAATCACAAATATACACTGAAGTGTACTCAGAGACTACTTGGAGATAATTATTCTATTTTATCATCCTCAATTTCAGAGTCCCAAATTCTTCTGGCCAAGAGAACATTGAGTGAAATCATATTTCCTAGGGCTTAGCTCACATTTCTCATATTTTTATCTTAGGGCTGACAGTCCAATTCAACTTTCCTCACATTAAACCACATGTAAAAATAAGAAACTACCTTATTTCTAACTAGCTAAGAGATGATTTCCTATTAGGCTTCTTCTTACAGAAACTCTTCGAGAGATGCTTCTTTGTGGTAACCCAGTTAAGAGGGAGGACAAAGAGGTGGTTGGCCTCTGTGTTGAAATCGTTTATATACAGGCATCCTCAAAGCAGAGGGAAGATACATTATTTGTTAGTTAATTTATTTTGATTGAAATGTATCTAAAGTGAAAGCACATAGTAAGTACTGGTTTCCCCTTGAATTATGGTTAAAACTTGAAAATAGAGGTTTATCAACAAGGATTCTGTAAGTACTTGGATTCTTTACAGATGTGGTTAGTAACAGGCTGGGATCAATAACAGAATTAAATTTCTATTAATTTTGAAGTTAACTTATCAATACATAACAAAATAATTGTTTATAAAGCTCCCTTGGTTGGATGTGTATGAGCGTATGTGAAAAAATGGGAAATATTTGAGAATATTGAAGTTATTTGGTGTGTTTTTCTAAAAGCTATAAAAATCCCAGCTCCTTAACTTTTCTTAAAGGTCATATTTTTATTACTCCAGCTATTCTCTTAGCAGTCCTCGATTTCTTCAAGTGCTGCAAAGGTCTCTGGGTAATTTTTCATGAAGAAAATCAGTGAAGACTACTTGAAGAAGACATCCCACAGTATGCTGCTTGCTTTAAAAAAGAAAAAGAATCCTGTACTACTTAGTTTCACAAATTCTCATTAATTATCCCTAGATTTTTTTTTCTGTCATGATAAGCCATTTATGATCCAACTCACATTATTTTCCTCAGGTAAATGACTCAGCACTCATTCCCTTAAATTTCAATTCTGTTTAATTTCAAATACTCTACTATACAGGTCACTTCAATTAAATTTAAGAGATATTTCATTATATGTCATATGAAAAATTAGGATGATGGATGAAATGATGTCTATGGCTCTTTCCAGCTCTAATTGCTGTGGGGTCGGTCAAGTCATAATCATAATCATACATTACAACCTGCATTTTCTTATTTCTCGTGTTCTATAAACCATAGGTAATGGAATAAATGGTCTTCTAAATTCATAACTGTCTCTTTCAATTCTGGGTATAAAATCTTTTTTTCCTAACCTTCTAGAGTGATCACTGTTGTTAAGAGGGTGTGTGTGTGTGTGTGTGTGTGTGTGTGTGTGTGTGTGTTTAGTGTTTGTATGGATTTTGCCCCAGTCTAATTGCATAGAGCGCTGTGAAGGGAGTCTTTTCTTAATGATATGCATGCCTTTTTTATCAGATGCTATCTCTAGAACTTGTCTTCAGAAATTAGGCCAGCTGCCTGCATTACATACTGTTGTAAGGAACAGGGAGGGAAATAACTCCTTCCTGCTCTGCCAACATTTTTCTGTGGCTACAAGCATACTTAGGAAGCCTTATGTAGCAGCAATGGGTGGGCATGAATGCCTTGGCTCTCTGTGTGTCATACTTACAAGGATGCCAAGTTATTAAAACAGAGCAGTCCCTCTGCTGTGGCAGAGTCATCTTCTGGAACCTGTGTATCTGAAAGATGTGGCTTCACCCTCAATGCTTCTAAAAGCTCATGTCTGATAAGCCTTTGGGGGCTGAATTCAAGAAAGCCGCAATGTACCTGGTAAGGTCCAAAAGGGACCCAGCCCTGCTTCTCACCGCAGCCGCTGTCTGAGAGGAGGGGACGGCACAGGATGGGCTCCATAGGGTTCTTCTGAACCTGAACCACAACAATTCTAGGAGGTCTGCTTGGCTTAGCTGGAAGAAAGGCTCTCACCCAAGGTTCTCAGTGATTGCTGAAGTCTAAGGATATAAGAGGATGCTTCTAGAGTCTCCCTATGAATTATTCTGATGTTTTCCTAAAGAAAAGTTAAGAAGATTTTGAATACTTTTAGTTGAGACGTTAGCCCATTAAATAGTTGCTGAACAAAGAAATAAGGTTCTCTAGATGACACCGAGGTTAAAGACCAGGCTAAAATTACTAATTACTAAATTCAATGGTCTCATAACACTTCTCAGCTCCAGCTAGTCTCACTGTGTTCTTTACAAATCTGGAAAACTTAATCTGAAGATGATCTTATAGGGCTTCTGATGCAACACCTTTATTTCTGGTGGATACAGGTTGTGAACAGAGATGAAAAATACTCATCTCATAAACAACAATATATTTTCCTTTCAAATCCTAACAGAATGTATCTTAATTCCAGCATTTTCATTCTAAGTGAAAATTTGTTTTGTGACAGTTTCTTAATTTTTAAAAAAGTTCCCCATGGACAGAAAAAAAAATTAATTCGCATCAAATTAGATCGTTGAAAACTTGATAAGCAAATACTCAAAATCAGCATAACTTATGTGCAGTATCGAAAGTAAAGCTTCCAATAAGAAGAGATTCAAAGCTGTACTCTATACAATATAGTTCACATTAAAGAGGGTAAAATATAGACTTAAGATTTTCAAGCCTAATTATCTGTTCTCTCCCTTCTCTGGCCAAATAATATTTTTTAAAAATTTTAAAAACCCCTTTTTTAAAAAGGGGTTATGAGGCCCCTTTCATGGTCACTGCTATACTCTTCGCAGTCCCACATGTGAGTGAAACTAACATGTTCAATGTTAGTTGAACAATGCTTCATTGTTCAAGAGGCCAATAAATTTATCAGTTAAAGGAGAAATGAGCATGGGCAGGTTCAGTTAGAATTTATCCATAATCAATCATACAAAATACAAGTAAATTCATGTCATTGCACAGAGGAGCTCTAAATTTAAATTTATACAAAATCAGATACAGACTCTGATGAATCTTATATTTCCCATAATATAAAGAAAGATTTCTCCATTAAACACTGATTTACAATGTCTGGGGAGTAAGCAAGTTCTGTGAGGTCTCACAACAGGATGTGTCAAAAGCAGAAGCTGAATAAATGTAGTGCTGTGTTGAAAAAAGAGATAAAAATCAAAAAGCATGTGAATCTTATTCCCCCAGAAAATTCCCATTACTAGCAAGTTTGGACATGATTAACACTTTGTTTTATTATTGAACTTAAAATAGTTTAAGGCAGGGTACTATGGAGCTTATTTTGCCAAAGGAAAATATTTGTAGCTCTCATATGGTTCTGGTGAGAGTATAACTTAGTTTGAGCTTTTTGGAAAAAATTTGGCATTATGCAGCAGAAGCCTTAAAATATTCATACCCTTTAACAAAATAATTCTGTTTTTAGGAAAATACCCAATAGAATAATCACAAAAGTAGGCAAATATTTATATGCAAGATATAAATATATGAACACATAAATATAATAGTAACACATTCTTTATAATGGGCAAGAAAAAATGAAGAAAAAACCCCCAAAGCCCCCAAATTGTGGATTGGTTAAATCAGGGGTTAGCAAACATTTTCTGTAAAGACCCAAATAGCAAATATTGTAGGCTATGCTGTCAATTTTACAACTACTATTCTGTCATTGTCCTGTGAAAGCAGCCACAGAAAATTGTAAATAAGTGGATATCACCATATTCCAATAAAACTTTATTAATGAACAGTGAAATTTAAATTCATGTAATTTTCAAATATCATAAAATATTCTTTTAATTTTTTTCAACAATTTAAAAATGTAAAAACCATTTTTAGCTTATGGGCTTTACAAAAACAGGTGGCCGGTCAGATTTGTCAACCCTTGCATTAAATTATAGTATTATAATTAAAATTTATGTTCATTATTTAATCAGTCAGAAATTATACAGTGAGACAAAGGGAAAGTAGAAGATAATATACAGGTATTTCTGGATTGAGATTATGGATAATATGGGTAATTTTTCTTTTATTCTTAATGTTTTATATTCTTGAAGTTTTTTACAATAAGTACATCTTATTTTATGATAAAAATGATATTCTTAAGGGGTGTCTTTTTGACTAAAAATATTCATTTCTTTCTCATTCTTTAAACATTACTCAGAAACTTTGGAGTTTCTGAAATTCTTGACAACATTCACATGTATTTTTAGCAATAACTTTTAAACAACACCATTTTTTTAAGCAGGAGCTAATAATTTATTTATTTTCAGGAGTACATACTTCTTAAAATTAAATACTTAGACTTTAGCCCCAAAGTCAGAGTCTGCCCTGTGCTCTTTTTTTAGGTACCCTTCAGCCTCTGCCCAGCTACTTAGCAAATGCATGCTGCCAAGTTCCCCTGAACTTGCACTATAACACCTCCAACTACTCCACTCTACCTGCATCCAACGGAGGACCTCAAATGCATCCTTCTAACCTTAGGTGCTCACCAGACAAAACCCACACACATGCACTCTATTACAAGGGAAGCCTCGGAGTAAGGTCACAGCCTTATGACAAGATAAAGATGCTGTCTGCTCTGCCCCTCTAACTTTAAGTGCTCACCAGTCAAAGCCCACACACATGCACTCTATTTGCACATCTCTAGACCTGTTTTGGCTCACAGGTAACAAGCTACCTGTCACTTGTTGAGTCAGTGCTGGCAAGTTTTTAACTGATAATGGCTCACATTGTAGGACCTCCAGAAATATTTTTATATTTATTTTAAAGAAGCTTTGGAATCTTCATATCTTAACTCAGTTGAATAATTAGCTGATAGGCAATTTTCAGGCATCCAAGCCAGCGTTTCTCAAATGTGTTTCACAAACACATGTCCTATGAGATATTTCAAGAAAAAGAAAAACCAGATCTGTATTTGGAATATTTTGAGAGCTGCTGCATACAATATCCCATCTCCTAAGGTTCACAATTCATTATTAACATATTAAGGGCTCTGCAAAATCCAAAACTAAAAATACCCATTTAACTTTTATTCCTTGTATCCCAAACTTATTTGCACTCCCCCTTTATTTTAATAGGAACACATAGACATTCAGCAGAAGCAGTGTTCTCAAGGAACACTCTTGGACATACCCTGACTTGGCCAGTAGAAGAGCTGATTTGGGAAGGGGAGAATAGAATAATGAGTTCTAGCATCCCTCAAAGCATTCTGCATTGGATTGTGATGGTCTCAGACACTGAGACAGAACCATCCTGGCCTGGAGTTTACTGCATTCCCCCACTGCTTCTTCAATGCTTCCATTTGCATTTCTACTTAGACTACTGAGTGCCTTCCACTCCCTCCATCTCCATTTGTTGCTTTTCCTTCCATCCATCTCTCTGACTCCGCACCACTGGTGCTATCATTCTAGTACATTCCCATCATTGCTGAGCGCTCACTCACTAATTATGTATTTAAATTTGAATTAAAATCACCATAGCTTCCCTTGGCTGCTTCCAAATGTTAGGATATGTTTTCAGTATTTATGAGACATACACAGCTGACATTTTTAGAAAATTACATTCTGTCTGCAAAAACATATGTATCCAACTGTGATGAGATTAGATGTTCTTGCATTTATTTTTCTAAGAATTGGGCACATCCAATATAGTCTTCTCTGAATGCATCTCATTGTTTCTCTTTTGGCAGTATCTTTCAAATGTCCTATCACTTGGGAGAGTTATGCATTATACTTTAATTGAAGTAATAGCTTCTTAGAAAAACATGCACTTTTCCCAAAAGCAATATGCTACAGTCAGTCTGCAAAGGACATACAATATTGCTGCTACTTAGGATAATTTTTATAAAACCAATTATTTCAGACTCAAATATGTGCTCTTTATAACTAGAGCTTAAAGAAACACATGGCACACAGCCAGTTCAGCCTTTGCTTTCTATGCTGTAATATGATATCCCGGAGTCATTCTGGGCATTTTCAGATGTCTCATTATTGAGGAAAGAAAGCATGGCATACTTTCTCACATTAACCTTTAGATTCTAACCCAGAGGGTAGGTGTGACCCACTACCTCCCCACCACACACATAGCATGTTTTAAACTCAACAAAAGTAAGAGAGAGTTGTAACCAATGAGTCCAATTTAACAGGAGAATATTACTTGAGATTGTAAATTTAAGCTATATTATGTTTTATCCTCCCTCAAGACACAACTCTAAATGACTCTGTAACCATGGACTTAACTCACAAGAAAGGCTTGGATAAAAATAATTAAACAAA
The DNA here is from genome assembly GCF_000001405.40 of Homo sapiens. Taxonomy (NCBI): domain Eukaryota; kingdom Metazoa; phylum Chordata; class Mammalia; order Primates; family Hominidae; genus Homo; species Homo sapiens. The sequence continues at coordinate 56,260,259 of NC_000006.12, forward strand.
AGATGTGAGGTACTATTATATTATTACAGAAAACATGGAATCTGGCCAGGTGCAATGGTTCACGCCTGTAATCCCAGCACTTTGGGAGCAGAGGCAGGTAGATCACCTGAGGTCAGGAGTTTGGGACCAGCCTGGCGAAACCCTGCCTCTATAAAAAATACAAAAATTAGCCAGGCGTGGTGGCATGTACCTGTAATCCCAGCTATTTGGGAGGCTGAGGCAGGAGAATCACTTGAACCCAGGAGGTGGAGGTTGCAGTGAACCAAGACTGAGCATCTGCACTTCAGCCTGGGTGACAGAACAAGACTCTATCAAAAAAAAAAAAGAAAGAAGAAGAAGAAGAAGAAGAAGAAAGAAAGAGAGAGAGAGGAAGGAAGGAAGGAAGGAAGGAAGGAAGGAATGAAGGAAGGAAGGAAGGAAGGAAGGAAGGAAGGCAGGCAGGCAGGCAGGCAGGCAGGAAGGGAGGCAGGCAGGAAGGAAGGAAGGAAGGAAGGAATCAATCTTGGGGGAAGATTTTTTAGAAAGTAAAGTGGAAGACAATTTTGTATTCAAAGAAGCCACATTTTGGAGCACAATTTACTTTAATTCACTGTGTGTGTGTGTGTGTGTGTGTGTGTGTATGTGTGTGTGTGTGTACCTTTTATAGCTATACCTATACATTTAAAAAACCCTTAGAAGTAAATCACAAACTTCTTGATTCTTTTCTTACATATTCAAGTCTAATAAATATATTTATTTGAAAGACAAGTTTCAATGTCTTAATGAATTCTTCTGGTTCTTGGTTTTCTTGACACTTCACTTTTTATAGAAAATAAGGAGCTGACTATAATTCTACTACAAATCCAAAGATCTTTCAATGGTCTGTGAAGCCGTGACCTCTCAGTTCTCATGCCCCACCCTCTCCCTCTCCCTCACTCTGCTTTGGTCATCCTGGCACTCACTAGCACAGCCCTGAGAAGGAGCGCCTCCCTCAGTTTTGCACCCTAGGCACCTCTCTTGCCTGCCTCACCCGAATCATGCTCCTGGTCCAGAAGCTAACATTATAGTCAGATTACAAGATTAATCATTGTATTAGTTAGGATAAGTCAGTGCTGAATGTTTGTATCCCTCCCAAATTCACATGTTGAAATCTTAACCTCTATGGTTATGGTATTAGGAGGTAGGGTCTTTGGGGGGATATTAGGTCGTAAGGGCAGAGCCCTCATGAATGGGATTAGTGCCCACCTAAAAGAGACCCAAGAGACCTGTTCTTCCTTGTGAGGATACAGCAAGAAGGCATCATCTGTGGACCGGAGAGCAAGCCCTCACCAGACACTGCATCTACAGGCACCTTGGTCATTGATTTCCCAGCCTCTGGAACTGTAAAAAGATAATGTTTATTGTATTTAAGGTGCCCAGTCTAAGGGGTTTTTTCTTGTGATAGTATTCTGAATGGACAAATACAGTCAGGTAATACTGCAATAACAAATCAGTCCCAAAATTATGGTGGGCTTAAATCAACAAGGGATTATTTCTTGTTCTCACTACACATAGTTCAGTGGGAACCTCTGCTCTACCTGGGGAATTGGGTGGTGGGAGCTTTACCATGTTGTCTGCCATTCATGTGGAAGATGTGGTCTCTGATCACTGCATCAGTGGAAGAATATGGACCTTACCTGCCTCAGCTCTGAAGTGACACATGTCACTTTCTCCACATTTTATTATCCAAAACTGCAAGAGGATTAGGAAATATGGAAAAGAAAATGGAATCTTGATAAGCTTACTGTCTCTGCAAAACTCATATATAAATAACAACTGAATAGAACAGATAGAAATTTTACTTATTAATGCATTCGATTTCTCAAACCTGGTGTCTTTCTTATCCCTAGGCTTTCAAATATGTTTCCTTTGCCTGACATAGTCACCATAAATGTGTCCCACCCTAAATCCCACATCTGCAAAATCCTACCCAACCTTAAGGTTTTTGGCTTAAATAGCATTTCTTTGAAATTCTTAAATAATCCTTCTTCTCTCAACTTAGACCATCCTCTGTACTTTCATTTACTATTCCCACAATAACAGTAGCTAGCTAGTAAATACTGTAAGTATCTACTCCATGGCAGGCACTGTTCTGAGCACTTTATATTTATATTTAACCCTCACAATAAGCCAATGACATGGTATCTTAGTATGAGCTCCCTAGAAAACAGAGCCTAAGCCAAAAGCATAATACTAGCCCTGTAGAAAGTGGACAATCCCCAGGAATCAGGAGGGCAAGAAGACAGCAATGTGTCAGGAAAGAAGGAGAATGTATTTTAATTAGATTTGGGTCTGTTTTTCCTCTGTAGATCTAAAATTGTATTTTATTCATCAAAGTTATACTAGAATATAAAATATACTAGTATATTTTATACTAGAATAGGGACTGGGATACAGAGCTGGCTGCAGCTTTGTGACAAGCTACAAACTTACAGGAAATCAAGAGATTCAGGGAGGTCAAAAAGCACTACTATTAGTCTAAAAATCCAACCTCCCTCTAACTATACCAGAAGCAGCCACTATGCAGCTCCCAGGTCTGTAGCAGCATCAGCAGCCTGGTTCTATTCCCAAGGGAAGATGTTATAAGGACTACTCCAGCTAGAAAGCAAGGTGAGGACACAGACCTGGTGTGCTACAGCAACCAAATTCAGAATAATTTGGTTCAGGTTCTTGTAATTTATTTCCCGTTTTCAGATGAAGAAACTAATGCATTAAAATATATAATCTTGAACAAAGTTACACAGCTAGAAGGTGACATGGGATGCAAACCCAAAAATACTAGCCCTAAACCATACAATCCCAACCACTCCGCTCCTGCAAGAATGCAGACTCCACAAAAGCAATAACTGCTTTATTCCTAGCACCTATCACAAATACAGAGTCTAACGCATAGTATGCTTAATAGATACTTGTTGAATGAATGAATTAATAAGTGCATCAATGAATAAGTTTTAAATCAGTGGTATTTCATAAAGGGCCAAAGAAATTAATATGAAGGAGAGGTTCCATTTTATTAGGATACTCTGGAATGGTCTACATCAGAAGTAACATATAAGCTAGATCTTCCAAAGACTTAGAGAAAGGTCTGACCCAATGACACAAAGGCCATATTTGGAGACTGTGGTTTTACTATGGGGAGTATTGAAATACTCTATGGAGTAGTGAATGGAGAATGGAAATAAGGGTGTGGTGGGAAATAAGACTTAAAACACACACTTGGTATCAAGCGTTGGAAGCTTGCCATCTTCAAGGTGAAAAAGATGCCTAAGCTGAAGAGAACTCAAAAACTGTTCATTACAAAAGAAAGTCCCACTCAAAACAATGCCCACAGTCAGGGAAGCTAAGCGCATGTCCCCAGAATATTCCCAAATCATAGCTCACTTAAGCTGTGTTTTATTCTGTATTCTAGGAACCCACAATTCTGTTTTAGGCAAAAGTTCTATTTTGTTGTTACCCAAGACTCTATGGCTTAATGTGAAGCTGTGTTCTTGTTTTCTATCAAGAGAAATGGAAAACCGCTGTTTAACATTCTTGCTATAATAAGCTTCATACAATTCATGCGGTTATTTAAACATTTTCCTGATATTTGATCCTTAATCCTGCACACAACATAAAAAGACACCACAAGAAAATCATAGAAGAAAGAACAAATGATAGTATTAGCTTCATAAAGAGAACCACTCTCATACACAAACACACACACACACACACAAACACACAAAGATGAAAATATCTATAAACAATGAAATTATGTTCCTTTATAGGACAATTCCTCTGTTTATAATGTTTTCCTTATGATACATAGCACATAAGACATATTTATCGTATGTCTTTATGATGAATGAAGTCTCCTTGGAACTATTTATATCACACATGGAAAGCAAATTGCTGGAATAAATGTTTATTTAGCAACATAAACATTTCAAATAAATCCACAAGAAAAGGGTTTCATAACACGTCCATTCCCATTTGCATTTTGATTTGGTTACTGTCTTCATACATCAGTAGGAGCAACATAAATAGAATAACCACAGATCATCCTCCAGAAACCCACTCTCATCCCACCACTTCTCTCAGACTTAAGCATCTTGTCCACCTTGGATACTATCCCCTGGCTTTCCTTCTACTTCTATGGTGGCTCCTTCTCATTCCCTTTGGGATGTTTATTCCTATCTACCCAACAATTAAATGTCAGAATCCTGGACACTCAAAAATCAATCCTAAACAATCTCCTCCTTTCATCCTATACTGTCTCACTAGAAGATTTTATTTACATGACTCACAAATTTATGTCTACTTGAGGACCTGGCCTCTAAAGTTGGGACCCATTTAACTAATTGCCGTGTGAGATTTCCAATAAAATGCCTACAAGCCACCTATAATTCAACATATCAAAAACTGAATTTATTATGCATATACCTCAATCCGATACTAGTCTGATGTTCTTCTGTTTCATACCATTCTCCTGTACACCCTAAATTTAATCCATATCATCTAAACTCCAAGTTCTATAAATGTTATCTTCTAAATATTTCTAATCTATCCACTTCTATCCTTCACCATCACCATCAACTAAGTCCAACGTACTGAAGTGGTGTGTTGAGTGAGACTTTCCTGTTGCTCAGGAGTCTTCATAGTTCTTGATGAAGGGCATTTTCTTTCTTCTACCAATAGCAAAAAGAAGGTGCCTCTCCCAAACAATTGTGAAAAAGACTATAAGAAAGTAGAGGTTCCTACAAGGAGATACCAAGATCTCATTTCACAGTAGATGCCTGCTTACATGGAGATCTTTTGGATTTTCTCACTGTGCTTATTTGAGCAGGAGGAGAGGACAGTTGAAAGGAGATGGCAAGGCTAAGACAGGGGCTGGAAGCGGAAGTCTTCAAGCTACTTGGAAAATTAAGACTGTGTGAGTTTGCCATGGGTCAAGTGGCTGTCCCAGAAATCTTGATGAGGATCCTAGGCACAAGAAGCTCTGGGGTGGATTGTCCAGAACAGATGCCAAGTGGGGAGTGGAACAGGCAATGGAATACATACATGTTTATCATGAGGAGCCAGAATTTGCATGCCTTTTACACTTGAATCACTAGGGTCTGGTCAGTGTTAGTCCAAAAACCATGGGAAACAATAGCCCAGGGGCTACAACAGAGCCAACTAAGGAGACAACTGTCCCTTTCCCGTCCTTCCTCCTATTCCACTTACCAGAAGGGCCTGATTCAAGGGCAGACAATGATACTCCCCATCCCCACTGCAAAGTGAGTCTAAAGTCTATTTCAAAAACACAGTGCATAAGCAAATGCTGTAGGTGTCATCATTCAAAATCCCTTTACCTAAAGAAGACTCCATATCCCATGGTTCCCACTGGTGACAGATCATACCATCTTAATTCAGTGGACAATAGACCTGCCTCCACCTACATCTTTTAGTTAGATCTTTTTATTTGCTTCTTCCATGTTCAAAAGGATTTTTTGTTTGTTTGGGGGAGGATTTAACACTACTTGTTGACAGAAACATTTTAGGAAAAAATATCTTCCTAGATAGTTTGAAAACATTAAATAATGAATAAAATGACTGATGCTACTTGGAGTCTTATAGAGCAAAAGCTTTAGAAGAAAATTACATTCCATCTATCTATGAGAAAAAAAAATTAAGTAAATACACATTCGCAACTAAAGTTTATTAAATATTAAGTTTAACTTAAAAAGGCCCATGAACCCTGCCTCAGCAGTTGTTAAAGCCTCTGTCCCAGTGCTTTTAACGAGGCAATTTTACTCTGGGTAACCAGTAGCCTTTATAGGCCTGTAATCTAACAAAACATGCTAACACAATTATGACTTACAGCTTAATTAATGCTGATGACAAAAGACAGTGAATTAGTGTTATCTTAGGCCATGTTCATTCTTCCCACCGAAAATCAAAGCAAAAGTAAAATTCAAACTCTGGAGATAAATCAGCTTCATGAATGTCATAAACATCTAATATAAAATTAGAAAATATAAAAGTACTGAACGTTCTAGACAAGGAGCTGGCAAACTACAGCCTTTGGACCAAATCTAGGCTGGTACCTGTGTTTATAAATAAAGTTTCATTGGAACACAGCCATGATCTTTTTTGTTTTTTTGTTTTTTGAGGTTTGTCTGCATATTGTCTACAGTTGCTTTCACACTGTAGTAGCATAGTTGGGTAGTTGTGACAGAGACTGCATGGGAACAGAGACTGTATGAGCAACAAAGCTTAAAATATTTACTACTTGGCATTTTACAGAAAATCTTTACTGACTCCTGCTAGATGCAATGCAAAATCTTCAGCTCTGCTAAAATGACTGCTGTTCTTTGAAAGAAAAGTACCTAAGTACATACCTTTTCTGGTAAGATTAATTTAGATGGACTAATAGAACAAATAGATCTGTAGACAGACAGATAAACTCTCCACTTTAGTAATATTTTCATTCTCAGTGTCTGAAGGAGATGAATAAAGGATATTAAAGGTGCTCTTCTAATCTTAAGAATCACTTTATTCTTTAAAGAATGTATTGAATGAAGATTACTTACCTCAAATTATGTTCAAGAAAAGAAAATAATTTTACTATTCCTTTCCTTTGTGCAGTTAACTATTAATAGCTCATATTGACTCAGTCACATCTATATATTATTCACAGCAAACAGCTCGGGCAGAATGTACATATATATTTTTTAAATCCTGTTAACTTAAGCTTGACTTTAGCCTAAGGAAGAGACAATGAGCATCCTCTTCAACTCCTCTTCCACAGAGAAGTCTAGATGATTAATCTTAATTCTCTATATGGCAGACATTCACCAAAATATGTTGTATGCTTCACATTTCTTAAAATACATAAGGTGTCATGAAAGTTGTAAGTTGACATTCAATATGATAATAATAATAGTCAACATACCTTGAGAGTCAACAAAGTACTAAGCACTGTTCTAAGAGTGTACAGCAGAGTCTGTCCTGATCTTCATCAAACCTGCTTCCTCTTCCTAGTAACATTGCCTGAATTCTGGCCAATGGAATGTTCCTGGTGCATAAAAACTTTTTCTGCATAATCCTCCATGCTTTCTCCTTTTCACTGATTTGACAGAGATGAGCCCAGCAACTTGAGAAATCACTGTTGAAGTTAAGTAAGCCCCAAGATGGAAAAAACCTGGGTCCCCAAACACAGTTTAGAAGAGAGCCTCCTGGCCAGGCACAGTGACTCATGCCTGTAATCCCAGCACTTTGGGAGGCAGAGGTGGGCAGATCATATGAGGTCAGAAAGTTCGAGACCAGCCTGGCCAACATGGCGAAAACCCATCTCTACTAAAAATACAAAACAGCCAGGCATGGTGGCAGGCGCCTGTAATCCCAGCTACTCGGGAGGCTGAGGCAGGGAGAATCGCTTGAACCCAGGAGGTGGAGGTTGCAGTGAGCCAACATCATGCCATTGCACTCCAGCCTGGGCAACAGAGCAAGACTCTGTTAAAAAAAAAAAAAAAAAAGAAGAAGAAGAAGAAGAAGAGAGCCTCCTATCTAAGAAGATTTCTTATTTGCAGGGAGGGGATAAGATGACCAACTAGATGCAGCCAGAAAGCACCATTCCCACTGAAAGAGACCAAAATATACAGTAAGAAAACATACTTTGAGCAGACCTGAGAGCACAGCCTCCACTGCCCAGCCTTTGTGCTTTGCTCCACCTGAGTACTTTCCCAGTGGCCTGAAAGCACTTTGGATCCCCCAGCACAACTGGAGCTAGATCCCAAGGGTCTGGAAGATGGAACCAGAGGCCGTTCCCAGTATCCCAAAGCTACAGCGCTGAGCTGGAAGTGTCAATTCAAGCGGAGATGTGTGGTGAGAACTAAAGCAGGGGAGGAGCCCACACTCTCAGAGCACTAAGAAGGGTGAAATGCATGGGTTCATGGGCCGACACAGGAGCAGGGCATGCTTCCATTCATAGGTCCAGTCCAGAAAGAATGTAAGCTATCGCCCTGCCATGGCCTCTACCCAAAGTAGCCCCACAGCCCGGAACATCTAATAAAGGAAACATGGGTGCGGTTCCAGGGATCAGAATGAGCTTTCCCAAGACCCAGGAACAGACCTGATGAGGGAATCATGTCTCTCAAACCCCCACTACAGAGCATGGTTGTGAACACAAGGAAATACAAAAGAGCCATGTGGCTAAGTAAAAGCCATTCTTCCCACCACTACTCTCAATGACCACCTAATGAATCACAACTCAAACCACCACACCAAAAATATTCTGTCAATATATACCCCTGTGAAACCAAGGGCAAGAATCCAGACACAAATAAAGATCCTGTACTGAGACTTGGCCCTCTGAAAGTACTGAGAAATGAAGCCAATTGACTATACTCAACTTACACCACAGATAAAGGAACATCAGCCCTCTCAGATGAGAAAGAATTAGCATAAGAACTCTGGCCATTCAAAAAGGCAAAGTGTTCCCTTACCTCCAAACAAGCCCAGTATCCACCCAGCAGTCGTTCTTAATCAGAATGATATGATAGACATAGAATTCAGAATCTGGATGGCAAGGAAGCTCACTGAGATGCAGGAGAAAGTTGAAACTCAATACAAGGAATCCAGTAAGATGATCCAAGAGCTGAAAGATGAAACAGCCATTTTAAGAAAGAACAAAACTGAATTTCTGAACTGAAAAATTTACCACAAGAATTTCATAATACAATTGGAAGTATTAACAGCAGAATAGACCAAGCTGAGGAAAGAATCTGAGCTCAAAGACCAGTTCTTCAAATCAACTCACATAAAAATAAATCAAAAACTTCTAAAATAAACAAAACATCTGAGAAATATGAGATTATGTAAGAACAAACCTACAACTATTGACACTCATGAGAGAAAAGGAGAGAGAATAATCAACTTGGAAAATATATTTGAGGACATAGTCCACAAAAATTCCCCTAATATTGCTAGACAGCTAACATGCCAATTCAAGAAATAAAAAGAATCTCTGCTAAATACTATACAAGATAACTGTCCCCAAGACACATAGTCATCAGATTCACCAAAGTCAACATGAAAGAAAAAAATCTTACAGGCAGCTAGAAAGAAGTGACAGGTCGGCCGGGCGCGGTGGCTCACGCCTGTAATCCCAGCACTTTGGGAGGCCGAGGCGGGCGGATCACGAGGTCAGGAGATCGAGACCATCCCGGCTAAAACGGTGAAACCCCGTCTCTACTAAAAATACAAAAAATTAGCCGGGCGTAGTGGCGGGCGCCTGTAGTCCCAGCTACTTGGGAGGCTGAGGCAGGAGAATGGCGTGAACCTGGGAGGCAGAGCTTGCAGTGAGCCAAGATCCCGCCACTGCACTCCAGCCTGGGCGACAGAGCGAGACTCCGTCTCAAAAAAAAAAAAAAAAAAAAAAAAAAGAAGTGACAGGTCACTAACAAAGGGAACCCCATCAGGCTAGCAGTGGACCTCTCAGCAGAAACCACAAAAGCCAGAAGAGGTTGAAGGTCTATTTTCAGCATCCTTAAAGAAAAGAAATTCCAATCAAGAATCTCATATCCTTTCAAACCAAGTTTCATAAGCAAAGGAGAAATAAAATCCTTCTCAGACAAGCAAACACTGATGGAATTCATCACAACCAAATCAGACTTACAAGAGGTTCTTAAGAGAGTGCTAAACATGGTAACAAAAGAACGACACCTGCTACCACAAAAGCACACTTAAATGCATAGCCCAGAAACACTATAAAGCAACTACACAATCAAGTCTACAAAACAACTAGCTAGCAATACAATGACAAAATAAAATTTCACATATCAATACTACCCCTTAATGTCCCTGCCCCACTTAAAAGACATAGAGTGGCAAGCTAAATAAAAAGACAAGACCCAAACATCCTCTGGCTTCAAGATACTCATCTCACATGTAGTGATACCCACAGGCTCAATGTAAATAGAGAAAGATCTACCCCGCAAATGGAAAACAAAAACGGAGCAGAGATTGCTATTCTTATGTCAGCTAAAATAGACTTTAAACTGACAACAATTAATAAGGATAAAGAAGAGCATTACATGACACAAAAGATCCAATTCAACAAGAAGACTTAACTGTTGTAAATATACATGCACCTGACATCGGAGCACCCAGATTCACAAAACAAGTTCCTCTTGACTGATGAAAAGGCTTAGACAGCCATACAATAATAATGGGAGACTTCTACATCCCACTGACAGTATTAGACAGACCACTGAGGCAGAAAACTAACAAAGGAATTCTGGAATTAAATTCAACACTCAACTAATTGGACCAAATAGACATCTACAGAACACTCCACCCACCAGTCACAGAATATACAAGAAACATCCTGGTATGTTTCTCTCACCCTAATCTCATCTCAAATTGTAATCCCCACGTGTCCTGAAAGACATCTGGTAGGAGGTGACTGAAACATAGGGGTGGTTTCTCCAATGCTGTTCTCATGATAGTGAAGGAGTTCTCATGAAATCTGATGGTTTAAGACTGTGGCACTTCCTCCCTCATGCTCTGTCTCCTGTCACCTCATGAAGAAGGTGCCTGCTTCCCCTTCACCTTCTGCCACAATTGTAAGTTTCCTGAGGCCTCCACATCCAGGCAGAACTGTGAGTCAATTAAACCTCTTTTGTTTACAAATTACCCAGTCTCAGGTGGTATTCTTCACAGCAGTATGAAAACAGACTAATACAGGAAATTTGTACCAGGAGTGGGGCACTGCTATAAAGATAACCTGAAAATGTGGGAGCAACTTTAGAACTGGGTAACAGGAAGAGGTTGGAACAGTTTGGATGGCGCAGAAGAAGACAGTAAGATGAGGGAAAGTTTGGAACTTCCTAGAGACTGTTGAATGGTTTTGACCAAAATGCTGATAGTGACAATGAAGTCCAGGCTGAGATGGTCTCAGATGGAGATGAGGAACTTACTGGAACTGTAGAGCAAAGGTCACTCTTGTTATGCATTAGCAAACAGACTGACAGAATTTTGCCTCTGCCCTAGAGATCTGTGGAATTTTGAACTTGAGAGAGGGTATCTGGCAAAGAAATTTCCAAGCAGCAAACCAGATTTAGGGTATCTGGCAAAGAAATTTCTAAGCAGCAAAGTTTTCAAGAGGTGACCTAGCTTATTATGAAAGCATTCAGTTATATGCATTCACAAAGAGATGACTTGAAATTGGAACTTATGTTTAAAAGGGAAGCAGAGCATAAAGATTTGGAAAATTTGCAGCCCGACTATGTGGTAGAAAATAAAAACCCATTTTCTGGGGAGGAATTCAAGCCAGCTGCAGAAATGTGCATAAGTAACTAGGTGCTGAATATTAAGAGTCAAGAGAATGGGCAAAATGTCTCCAGAGCATGTCAGAGACCTTCACAGCAGCCCCTCCAAACACAAGCCCAAAGGTCTAGGAGGAAAAAATTGCTCTGTGGGCTTGGCCCAGGGCACCACTCCTCTGTGCAGCTTCAGGACTTGGTGTCCTGTGTCCCAGACACTCCAGCTCCAGCCATGCCTCAAAGGAGCCAAGGTACAGCTTAGGCCATTGCTTCAGAGGGTGCAAGCCCCACAGCTTGGTGGCTTCCATGTGGTGTTGGGACTGTGGGTGTACAAAACACAAGAGTTGAGCTTTGGGAGCCTCCACTTTGATATCGGAGGATGTATGGAAATGACTGGTGATCCAGGCAGAAGTCTGCTGCAGGGGCAGAGCCCTCAAGGAGAACCTCTACTAGGGCAGTGCAGAAGGGAAATGTGGGGTTGGAACCCCCAAGCAGAGTCCCCACTGGGGAACTGCCTACTGGAGCTGTGAGAAGAGGGCCACCATCTCCAGATCAGAGAAAGGTAGATCCACTGACAGCTTGCACCAAGCATCTGGAAAGGCTGCAGGCACTCAACACCAGCCCAAGAAAGCAGTCACAGGGGCAGAGCTGACCATGGTCTTGGGAGCTCATCCCTTGCATCAGCATTCCCTGGATGTGAGACCTGGAGTCATAGGAGATTATTTTGGAGCTTTAAGATTTAATGAGTGCCCTGCCAGGTTTTGGACTTGAATGGAGCCTGTGGCCCTTTTGTTTTGGAGTGGAAACATTTACCCAATGCCTGCACCCCCATTGTATCTTGGGAGTTAACTAACTCGATTTTCATTTTACAGGCTCATAGGCGGAAGGGACTAGCTTTGTCTCAAATGAGACTTTGGACTTTCAGGTTAATGCTGGAATGAGTTTAGACTTTGCAGGACTGTTACAAAGGCATAATTGGTTTTGAAATGAGAAAAGGACATGAGACTTGGGAGGGGCCAGGGGTGTAATGATGTGGCTTGGCTCTGTGTCCCCACCCAAATCTCATCTCCAATTGTAATCCCCATGTGTTGAGGGAGGGGCCTGGTGGGAAGTGATTGGATCATGGGGGTGGTTTCCCATGCTGTTCTCATGATAATGAGGGAGTTCTCATGAGATCTGATGGTTTAAAAGTGGCAGTTTCCCCTGAACTCTCTCTCTCTCCTGCTGCCTTGTGATGAAGGTACTTGCTTCTCCTTCATCTTCTGCCACAATTTTAAGTTTCCTGAGGCTCCCCAAGCCATATGGAACTGTGTGTCAATTAAACCTTTTTTCTTCATGAATTACCCAGTCTCAGGTAGTATCTTTACAGCAGTGTGAAAATGGACTAATACACATTCTAAGATCAAACACATGCTTGGTCATAAAGCAAATTTCAACAGATTTTAAAAAATCAAAATCATACCAACCACTTCCTTGGACCACAGCACAATAAAAATATAATTCAATATCAAGAAGATCTTTCAAAACTACACAAATACATTGCAAATAAACAACTTGCTCCTGAATAATTTCTGGGTGAACATAAAAATTAAGGCAGAAATTAAAAAGTTATTTGAAATTAATTAAAATAGGGACACAACACAACTTACCAAAATCTCTGGGATTCAGCCAAAGCAGTGTTAAGAGGAAACTTCATAGTGCTAAACACCTTCATCGAGAAGTTAGAAACATCTCAAATTAACAACCTAACTTTGCACTTACAAGAACTAGAAAAAAAGAACAAACTAACCCCAAAGATAGCAGAAGAAATAAATTAGAAAAGAAGTGAATGAAATTGAGATGCATGCATTCATATAAAAGATCAATGAAACCAAAAGTTAGTACTTCAAAAGAATAAACAAAATTGATAGACTGCTAGCTACATCAACAAAGAAAACAGAGAAGATCCAAATAAGCACAATCAGGAATGACAGAAATGACATTACAACTGATCACACATAAATACAAAGGACCCTCAGAGGCTACTATAGACAACTCCATGCACACAAATTACGAAACCTAAAGGATATGGATAAATTCCCAGAAGAATACAACCTCCTAAGATTGAATCAGGGAGAAAGTTTAAACTTGAACAAACAAATAACAAGTTCCAAAATTGAATTAGTAATAATAAACCAAAAACAATCCTGGCCCAGATAGATTCCTAGCCAAATTCTACCAGGCATTCAAAGAAGAACTGGTACCAATCATACTGAAACTATTCCAAAAAAGGAATTCTATTCAAGGAGGAGGAGGGGCTCCTCCCTAACTCATTCTATGATGCCAGCATCAGCATGATACAAAAATTTGACAGAGACACAATGAAAAAAGAAAAACTTCACACCAATAACCTTGGCGAACATACATGCAAAAATCCTCAAAAAAATGCTATCAAACCCAACCCCAGTAGCACATCAAAAAGATAATACACCACAAACAAGTAGGCTTTATTCTTGGGATGCAAGGCTGATTGATAAATGTGATTCACCACATAAATATAATTAAAAACAAAAACCTTATGATCATCTTATTAGACACAGAAAAAGCTTTCAATAAAATCCAACATCCCTTCATGATAAAAGTCCTTAACAGAGTAGGCATTGAAGTAACTTATGTCAAAATAATAGGAGCCATCTATGACAAACCCACAGGCAACATCATACAGAATGGGCCAAAGCTGGAAGCATTCCCCTTGAGAAGTAGAACAAGACAAGAATGCCTACTCTCACCACTCCTATTCAACATAGTACTGGAAGTCCTAACTAGAGCAATAAGGCAATAGAAAGAAATAAAAGGCATCCAAATAGGAAAAGAAGAAATGAAACTATCTCTCTTTGCTGATGATATGATTCTGTACATAGAAAACTCTAAAGACTTTGCCAAAAGGCCTAGAACTGACAAATGACTTCAAAAAAGTTTCAAGACATAAAATCAATGTAAATTTCAGTAGCATTTCTATACACCAATTACATTTAAGCTAAGAGTAAAACCAAGAGAACAACATCATTTACAATAGCTACACACAAAAAAGAAAAATGAAATACCTAGGAATACAGTTAACAATAGGGGTGACAGATCTCTACAAGGAGAACTACAAAATACTGCTGAAGGAAATCAGAGATGAAACAAAAAAATGGAAAAATATTCCATGCCTATGGATTAAAAAATCAGTATTATTAAAATGGCCATACTGTCCAAAGCAAATCATAAATTTAATGCTATTCCTATCTATGTCATTTTTCACAGAATTAGAAAAAACTATTCTAAAATTCATATGGAACCAAAAAAAAAGCCCAAAGAGCCAAAGCAATCCTAAGCAAAGAGAATAAATCTAGAGGCATCACAGCACTTGACTTAAAACAATACCATAAAGCTACAGTAACCAAAACAGTATGGTACTGGCACAAAAACAGTCACTTAGACAAATGGAACAGAATAGAGAACCCAGAAATAAAGTCCCACACTGCAACCATCTGATCTTTGTCTAAGCTGACAAAAAACAAGCAATTAGGAAAGGACTCCCTATTCAGTAAATGGTGCTCAGATAACTGACTAGCCATATGCAGAAGACTGAAACTGGACCCCTGCCTTTCATCATATATGAAAATTAACCCAAGATAGATTAAAGATTTAAATATAAGACCTCAAACTATAAAAATCCTAGAAGAAAACAGGAGATACCCTTCTCTACATTGCCCTTGACAAAGAATTTTTGGCTAAGTCCCCAAAAGCAATTGTAACACAAACAAAAATTGACAACTGGGACCTAATTAAATTAAAGAGCTTCTGCACAGCAAAATAAATGATCAATAGAATAAACAAACAACCTACAAACGGGGAGAAAATATTCACAAACTGTGCATCTGACAAAGGTCTAATATCCGGAATTTATAAGGATCTAAAACAAATCAACAAGGAAAAAAACAAATAATCCCGTTAAAAATGGATAAAAGACATGAACAGATACTTCTCCAATGATGAAATTGTATAAGCAGCCAAGAACCATATGAAAAAAAGATGCTCAACATCACTAATCATCAGAGAAATGCAAATCTAAACTACAGTGAGATAGATACCATCTCACACCAGTCAGAATGGCTATTATTAAAAAGTCAAAAAATGACAGATTCTGGCAATGCTATGGGAAAAGGGCATGCTTATACACTGTTGGTGGGAATACAAATGACTTCAGCGACTGTAGAAAGGAGTTTGGAGATTTGTCAAAGAATTTAAAACAGAGCTACCATTTGACCCAGCAATCTCATTATTGGGTACATGAAGAAAGAAAAATAAATCATTCTACCAAAAATATACATGTATGTGTATGTTCATCCCTGCACTATTCACAATAGCAAAGACATGGAATCAATCTAGTGCCCATTAACAGTGAATTGGATGAATCAAATGTGGTATATACACACCACAGAATCCTATGCAGCCATAAAAAAGAGTGAAATGTCCTTTCCAGCAACATGGAGGCAGCTAGAGACCAAAATCAGAGGCAAATTAACACAGGAACAGAATGCTAAATACCACATGTTCTCACGTATAAGTGGGAGCCAAACATTGTGTACACATGGTAAAGATGGGGACAATAGACACTGTGGATTACCAGAGGGGAGAAGGAGGAACATGAGTACGGGTTGAAAAACTGTCTATTGGGTACTATACTCAGTACTTGGGTGATAGGTTCAATCATACCCCAAACCTCAGCATCATGCAATAGAGCTTCAATATACCCCTGCAACAAACCTGGACATGTACCCCTGCATCTCAAATAAAAGTTGAAATAATTTTTAAAAAGGTTTCCTGTTTTGATCTTTTTTTTTTAAAGTCAACAAAAGTCTTTCTTTCTAATGTAAAAATACATACTTTTTTCAGAGAGAGGGGGAACAACTTAAAATAAACCAGAAAACACCTTCATATTAATCATTCTTCTTATATACTTCAAATTTGTACTTAATGCCTTTCTCCTCCTGGACATCAGAGAGAACGCCAGGGTATTCTGGCAGAAGTTTATATTTCTCAAAATCAATTTCTGGAAAACACGTGTCACTTTCAAAAGTCCTGCATGATCCTTGTCACAAATAGTTTAAGATGGCCTGGGTGATTCACGGCTTCCTTATAAACAGAACTGCCATCAAGTATCCAAATCATCTCTACTTTATTTGCTAATTCTGGTTGTTCAGTGAGTTGTGTTTTTTTTGTTTTTTTTGTTTTTTTTTTGAGACAGAGTCTCGCTCTGTCGCCCAGGCTGGAGTGCAGTGACGCGGTCCAGCTCACTGCAAGCTCTGCCTCCCGGGTTCACGCCATTCTACTGCCTCAGCCTCCCGAGTAGCTGGGACTACAGGCGCATGCCGCCACGCCTGGCTAATTTATTTTTATTTTTATTTTTATTTTTAGTAGAGATGGGTTTTCACAGTGTTAGCCAGGATGGTCTCAATCTCCTGACCTCATGATCCGCCCGCCTCGACCTCCCAAAGTGCTGGGATTACAGGTGTGAGCCATCACACCCAGCCGGTTGTTCAGTAAGTTTTGTTTTTTTGTTTTGTTTTGTTTTATACTTTAAGTTCTAGGGTACATGTGCACAATGTGCAGGTTTATTTCATATGTATACATGTGCCATGTTGGTGGGCTGCACCCATTAACTCGTCATTTACATTAGGTATATCTCCTAATGCTATCCCTCCCCACTCCCCTCAACCCACGACAGGCCCCGGTGTGCGATGTTCCCCTTCCTGTGTCCAGGTTTTCTCATTGCTCAATTCCCACCTATGAGTGAGAATATGTGGTGTTTTGATCTTTATGTGAGAAATTAAATTCTTTAATACTTGAACCATTATACATTTGGAGACTTGTTTGTTACTGCAGCTAGCATACATCACTCTAGCAGGTATTGTCATTTAATCAAGAGGTATTTTCATTAGCACTACTATGTATGCATAATAACTACCAAATACACTAAATAGTCATTCCTGTTAAGAGTGGCACCATAATTTATAAAAATATACCAATTCTTGTAGATATTTTACAACTGTGTAGCAGATTTTTTAAATGTCCTTAACTCCTTGATCTTAGAAATCCACATATTTTAAATCACATTTTGGGTAAGTCATTCAGATATTAAACATTCTCAGTGAAATTTGCAAATACTAAATAAATTACAGATAAGCATGTGAACCATAAAAATGTTAGTAATAGTTGGTGAATTCAAGTGAGACAGAAAGGTGGTTATTAAGATACAGACTTAACATGTATATTTCTGACAAAGGAACAGTATTTGTACTAATTACACAAATGCATGGGAATCCTACTTAAATCATAATTTGTTAATTCTCATATGTTTTTATATAATTTTGGTCAACATTAAAGACTCCTGGAACATCTTTCATTTGCTGAAGCATAAAATAATGATATTGTTCAAAGTGGCAAGTTTTTTCCTGCAAATCTGGTCTTTATTTCAAAACAACTTTGGATATTTTGTGCCACTTAGATTGGAATTGTTTCTGTATATTTTCTCTCTGGCAAACACAGAAGTAAACAAGTGCCAGAAACGCTCATCTTTCCTTTCCCATAAGAATTCTTACCACCATTATCCACACCCTGGAGCATTAGACCCGCTTTATTCAGTTTATGTGAATAGGCTAAAATAAATGGTGGGATGTTTAAACAACTGTGAGATAACTGCCTGGGGGTTACACTTAATGATCTCCAAAAGCATTCCAGCTGACACATCCCTGTGTACAAGCCAGAAGGGAGCAAAAGGTTTGACAGTAGGGGGTTGAAGAGGAGAGAAAAAAAGCTCTTTTGTATAAGCGCTTCATTCTTTGTCCTCTCATTCTCTCATTCTGTGTGGCCTGTGGAGGGGCCTATAAACACTGCATACCCCACCATTCCCCAAATGAGCTAAAGTCTTCATATGGCCCAAGACACTTCTTTCTTCCCATTCCCTTTTTTCCTTTCCTTCAGATATGCACTTTATAAAATAAGCATATTTGTGCATTCATGCAGCATGGTATATTTTACAAAGCTCTTTCACATCTGTTTTCACTGATCTCTAGAACAACTCTTTGGCTGAACAGATCATGGTCACAATCAGATGAAGAAAATGAGGCTCATGGCAGCAATTTCCCCATGTCACACCGATTGGTGGTGAATGATTGAACCTGTGTTGGAACCTCCACATACCTCATTAAACACCCCACTAAATATGCAAATATCTTCATCTCTCTAAACACCTTCCTTCTTGAAAGAGTAATGAAATACTCTAATTTCCTTGTCCTTAGATAAATTATGCTCATGCATGAGAATGAAGTTGCTTAGGCTGAGCTAGGGATTAGTGAGGGTAGAATGAGGCTGAGATAGATTCAATGGCTTGTGATATGTTTGGATCTGTGTCCCCACCCAAAGCTCATGTTGAATTGTAACCCCCAATGTTGGAGGTAGGGCCTGGTGGGAGGTAATTGGATCACAGAGATGTTTCTCATGAATGGTTTAGCACCATCCTCTTGGTGCTGATCTCCTTATAGTGAGTGAGTTCTCATGAGATCTGGGTGTTTAAAAGTGTTAGCACCTCCCACCTCACTCTTGTTCTTGCTGCACCTGCCATATTTGACACCTTGCTCCCCCTTTGTCTTCTGCCATGATTGTAAGTTTTCTGAGGCCTCCCCAGAAGCCAATCAGATGCCAGCATAATTTTTCCTGTACAGCCTGTGGAACTGTGAGCCAATTAAATATTTTATTTATAAATTATCCAGTCTCAGGTATTTATTTACAGCAATGTGAGAACTGACTAATACAGTTTGTGGTGAAGTTGGCTGCTAGGCATCTTTGCCTGGGACTCCTGTAGTTCCTGGAATTGCTGATAGCAACAGCAGGGGCCAGAATGTCTTTCTCTTGGCAATCAAGCAGCAGCCTCTCCTTTCCAATGCAGCTCTCATGAGGCCCATTCCATTCCAATTGTCAGATTTGATAACTCAAGGATTGTGCAGGAAAAATTCTGGAAATACTTAAGGGTGACTCAGAAATCTCAGGTGCAAAATAAAAGCTGCATTCATTTAATCACTTAAAAAATCAAGTGAGGTGCTTAAATGAGTCTTTGTGAATGTTGATTAACAACATTGTCTGTCAGCTTTGAACCAGAAAGATACACTAGTGAGAACACTGAGATGCCATCTCTTCTTCTGACTACCAGTGTCAGATAGCTTTGCATCTTGACTATGTGATTCAGATGATAACTTTCCCTTTATCTGTAAGACTACCAACCTCCTTCAGTAATCTAGGTTAATGTTTAATAGCAATGCAAGGAAGTTAAGCCTGATAAATCACCTAGTCCCTCAGTGACTCATCTGAATGCACTTCCTCCCCTCCTTTACCCTCCTCTTCCTCACTGTGGTAAATACACACATACAGACACACACAGAACACAAAAAGCTACCATCTTTCACTACATACGTTACCTTCCAAATAATGTTTTACTTACCTACAATCCACAAGTTGTACATCTCCTATTTATTTAATCATTTTTTTCATTGATTCAATGAATATTTATTGTGTTCAGTTCATACCAAGGACTCATCTAGGACACCTAATTTCAGTTCCACAAGCTTTTCCTGTGGGATTCCTTTACAAATATTCTTGCTAATATCATTCCTTCAACAAGTATTGACTAAGTCCTGAACTATCAAGAAATAAGTTTGGATAGATGGCACAGGACCAGGCTTTTATTGCTCGATTCTGCTTCCTTCCAAGTTTTTCAACGCTTCTCCAAATTCCTGATATTATTATGGATTCTTTGCACAACTGAATGCAGCTCAGTGTAACTATCACTCATGGAGCCTCCACTCTCAGCCAAGCACTGACCTGGCCCGCTGGAGATGAAAAGTGAACAAGACACTATTCCTACCCTTGAGGGGCTCACCTGTCTTTATGGTGAGTAAAGCGCTACCAGAAAAGCCCAATCAAGGACTCTGAGCATATAAGAAAGGAAGAAAGATGGAAACACTTGTGGCTTGCATACTTCTTGACCAGGCCAGGAATGTAGCACACAATCTTTTGTATGAAAGAGATTTATTCTCATCACTTTACAGATCAGGAAACTGAGCCTTATAGGGTCGAAACAATTCACCCTGGCTGGGCACAGTGGCTCACGACTATAATCCTAACACTTTGGGAGGTCAATGTGGGTGGATTATTGAGCCAGGAGTTCAAGACCACCCTGGGCAACATGGTGAAACCTCATCTCTACAAAAAATAAACACACACACGCAAAATAGCTGGGTGTGGCGGCACATACTAGAGGGGCTGAGGTAGGAGGATCACTGGAGCCTGAGAGGTTAAGCCTGCAGTGGGCCATGACTGTGCCACTGCACTCCAGCCTGGGCGACAGACAGAGACCCGGTCTCAAAAAATAAAGATAAAAAAAGTAATTTACCCAAATCTGCCTGACTATAAAGCCAGTGTCCATCCTACTACACCACACTTTCCTATGATCCTCACAGCTCAACATCTCAAACCCCTGTCTTCCCTCCAGCTTTCATATCCCAAGTATTCCTATTCCTAATTCCTAATTGGAAAGACATCAGAAACAGGACCACAGCCTAGCATGTTTGGGCTGACAGAATAAAAGAAAATGAGAGCTTTCATATGTCTTTGAAGATCATTGCCTTTCAATGAACTATGATAATATCAAATAACAGTTATAAAGTTAGAGTTTACAATGCCATTTCACATTTAAGTCATAAATAGTAAAAACTGCAAGAGGGTACTAAGAACATGTTTCGTCCTTTTTACATATAGTTAGCATGGCAATGAGGAAAAGCAAAAAGGTAACAGTGGGCATCACCCCAACCACCACTATTATCATTATCATCAACCTCAACAAGCAGAAAATGTTCCATGAGATTTAGATGCCAAGAATACTTCCAGAATTTTATAATTTTACTTACCTACAAAGTAAAATATCAAATTCTGCTGATATTCCTCCTCCTTGCATAGTGGATGAATGTTTCACCATTACAGTATGGATTTGTCTGTCTCTTTCTTTATCCCCATTAGCTTTGTGCTGCTAATCTGAAGCATCACTTCCATGGCCTGTGATTTGAGTGGTTGCCTCTAGATCTCAGTTTGAAAAATTAAGAAATAATAGAAATACCTGATCCTTGTATTAATTGAGCATCGACTAGGTAGAAGACTGAGTACAGGCATATATTAGATGGCATCTGGTCACAAGAGATAAAGCCTATAATTAAATAACTCATCACCACAAGAAGAAGTTGTGTCATAAGAAAGATATAGAAAAATACATTCTAAGAAGCTTGAAAAGGAGAAACAGTGAATTCCAGAAAAACTTAGGAAATTTTTGTCAATACCAAATAAACTTTGCTGTGAGACGATGTGTCAAGAGTGGGTTTTTTAGAATTGCTATTTTCTATGTGGTAAGTTTTCATTCGAAATATTTTTGGAGAAATATTAAAAGCACTGGTGCCTTCAAATTTCAGGTATGTCAAATAAGCAACTATTGGTTGGGGTCATACACAAAAGTCTGTATTTCTAGACTAGAAAATCACCTTAGGAAGCCTTTCTATTAATTACCATCAAAATTTTGTTACAGTTGTAGGTATCATGAGGATTTCAATAGAATTCTAAAGAATTTTAAAAATGGGAAATTTTAAGCTGGAGAAGGTAAACAAGAAATTTGTTCCTGTTGAGGAATGGTAGTAAATTTCTTCTTGTACATTAAGATTTTGTTTTTTCTCATACGCATGGTTTTTTCATAATAACAAAAAATAATTTTATAGCAAATATTCCCAGAAAAAAACTAAAATTACAGACAAAGGTACAAGGACTAGAGCCACACATACTATTGTTCTATTATTATGAAATATGTTCAGTCAGATGAAGAGGCCTGGATGCCAGATACACCATATAAATAATTCAAAGTTTGTCTATCATATGTTTACCATGGGAAAGCTCCTCTGTGGTCAGAACAGCATGCAGAACATTGCACAGCCTGAAAACTTCTGCCAGATGCATTGTTTGAGGGTTTTATTAAATAAATCAAATCCAGACACCTTTGTCTTACACAATTTTCAATATAGAAAAGCTTCCCAAGAAATGTATAAGTCAATTGTAATCATCTTGCAAAGACACATATTATCTACACACACTTTACCTGGATGATAGATTTGTCCCCCAACAAGAACAATCATTTCTTATCCAGTATGTAAGATTCCCCACTACTGAAAATCACATTCAAACCTATTGTATGGCCACTTGAGTTAATAAACTCCTGTTTGTAAAAATTGTGTCAATAGTCTCCTGAATTACTATTAAGTTTTAATGGCCTTCTCAGCATAGATGTACTTATTTGAAGTAATCCTTCATATTTAAAGAAACATTGAAGGAACTTCTATTACAATAATGAGATGTTATAGAAATATGTATGCAAAATACAGTCTAACACAATAAATACATTCAAAAAAATTTTAAGTAACTTAGCAATCTGTATAAAAAGACTTTCTGAAGTAAGGACACTTTAACCCAGTAATTCCACTTTTAACTATCTATCTTAAGGGAATCAAGACTTGCATAAAGATTTATGTGCAAGGTTCTCAGTGTAGCATTATTTGTAAAAGCAAAAAAAAAATGTCCAACAAGGAACTGTGGCCAAAAAATTATTATAAATAAATGTATTAGAATAATATATAGTCATTAAAATGGTTTTTTGACAAATATTTAACCATGTAGAAAAAAAATCTCATCATAAAGGTTAAGAGAAAAAAGGAAAAGAATAAATATTCAGCACAAAGCCATCTCCAAACTTAACAAATAAATTTAGGCACGGAACAAAAGCATACTTAAAATACACCAAGTTAACAGCACAAGAGAGTACTATTATGAATAATTCTTATTCTCTTCTTCAACTTTCCTACATTCTTAAAATAATTACAATGAATATGTACTGTTTTTTAAAGGAAGACATATACCAAAAGCAAATCATTTCTGTAATTGGTGCTCAGTGACGGGCTGGTGATAAATGAAAGAACCACAAACAAGAAAATGAGACCATTTTCCAACAGATGAATGAAAGAAAACCGTGTGCAAACTTCACGAAGCTATGAGTAGCCATTTGGAGGAGGAACTAAATTTTTAAATAAACCTTGTGAAAGAATATGTCATAACTCAAAAATTCCAATACAAAAAGGATGCAGTCTCAGAAGGCATGGCAGAGATGAGGGGTAGCATTTTATCTGTAGACACACTCACACACACACTCTCTCTCTCTCTCTCTCTCTCTCTCTCTCCAGCAGTAGAGCAATCAAACAGTAAACATAACAGGAGTGGCCGACCTGGGGCAAGCCAACCAATTACTTGGGGTGAGGTGATTTCCTCAATTAATAGATACTAAAACTGTAATTATGAGGATGTGAATGTTTGTAGTTTTGTTTTGTTTTGTTGTTTTTTGAGACAGGTTCTGGCTCTGTCACCCAGGCTGTAGTGCAGTGACACCATCTCAGTTCGTTGCAACCTCCACCTCCTGGGTTCAAGGGATCCTCCCACTTCAGCCTTCCAAGTAGCTGGGACTACAGGCACACGCCACCACACCCAGCTAAATTTTGTATTTTCTACTTTTGGTAGAGTTGGGATTCACGATGTTGCCCAGGCTGGTCTCTAACGTCTGAGCTCAAGTGATCCACCTACCTCAGCCTCCCAAAGTGCTGGGTTTACAGGTGTGAGCCACAGCACCTGGCCTGTAGTTTTTAAATTAATGTTAAAAAGTGATCTTCACACTTGAACGCACAATCTGGAAAACTTACTGTTATCTTAGTATCCTGTTGTAGTTGTTTTTTTCTGTCATCAACTTACCACATTTGATTAACAAGACTGTGTGAGTCTATCCCAGCAGTGTCTACTGACTATGGCTTTTCATCTCCATCCCCAATGTCATTATTCTCCTGGACTAGTGCAATAGCCTCCTAACAGCAGTGTCTTCCCCTTCCCATCCACGCCCTCCACCCATGCCAGAATTACCATTCTAAGACACAAATTTTATTATACCCTTCCTTACCATTCTTTCTTAGCTCCCACATGGCTACAGAATAAAATCAATCTCATTACGCTGGCAATGAGATGAACTTCATCGACCTACCCATTTCCTGTCTAGAAGGTTCATCTTCCAGCTATGATTAGTTCACCCTACACTTCACCCACTCCAAATAACTTACCTTTCTCCAAAATGTGCTTTGCTTTTCTGACTTCCTGGGTCCATGGACATGGTTTTCTCTCCTCTGTTTTCTTTGCCTTTGAACCAACTAAATTAGACTCATTTAGGATGGCATTTGGGCATTAGTACTTTTTAAGCCCCCAGGTGATTCAAATGTGCAGCTAAATGTTAAGAGCCACTTATCTAGTCTCTATTCAAGCATTTCCCTCCCTGCACTCTATTGATTTTGGTGTTTATGTCCCCAATACTTCTTCCTATCCCTCCCAGAAAACAGAATCAATCAATAGCAGGGACTTGACCATTCATACATTCCTTCATCCAATGGATGCTATGTGCCAGGCATTATTCATCTTCATATCTGAGCTCCTTCTTCTTTCCTTCCACCTAGCTACCATATAACTGGGCACGGAATAAGACTCAGTGACAATGTGTTACATTTCAATGAAACCATCACTAGGCTTTTCAAGCATTTCATCAATATCTTAAATAGCTTTTTCTTAAAGAGCAATCAGTTAGCAAATGTGATAGGTTCTTCTTCTTTATTACATTAACTTCATGTAATTTAGGGCTGGAAAGGGTCTTAGAATTGTCCTTAGAATAAAACACTAGGAGTAGCATTTGTCCTGAGCAATTTACCTCAAACAACAAAAATTGGTTTTCTTCTTGGTAAATGTAGGTAAAACAATTCCTTCACAGAAGAATAAATATACTTTAAAGGGGTTCATTTCTCATTTCTCTTCTCATTTCTTTTTTGTTAGGACAAGAAGAAGAAAACACGCCCAAAAGACGACATTTATTATATTAAATTGGTATAGTCTTCTCAAGTACTCATGTAATGTAATACTTAACTGAAAATTTTCTCAGCCACTACCCTCCTAAGGCTCCCTTATCTCTATGGAGCAAATCAAAGTCCTCTTCCCACTCATTAAAACCTTCCTCCAGGACCCTGCTAACCCCTCCCCCACCCTCCCTCATTAGCCCACCATCTCACCATCCTGAAGGCACAGTCTTTGCAATAAATTTTGCTAATCTCCCAAACACAGCTTGCTTACTCTTTTCTTCCTGCCACAAATGATTCCCTTTTTGACTCTCACATGGAAAGGGAACAGTAATGCTGATTTTATTTACTTTTTTTTTGCCTTTCCCTAAGCCTTTTATACGGGCAGTTAATTAAATTTGGATTTCATTAGCTCAATCTGTTTCAGGAAACAGAAAAATCAAAACAAGCAAAATATTTAAAGCCTCCCTTGATAAGTCTTAAAAACTGGCCAGTCAGAAACCATCTTAGTGTTTGGGCTACAAACTAGGCCATGATACAGTTTATGCAAGGTTTAAACAGGGCAAATTCAAAACAAGTCTGTTAGAGAAGAGACCATCCATAAAATGAATTGAGGAAAGGTCAGTTTGATACTAAGCTGCATGCACTGAGCACTGCGCTATCACTGTCATTCAGTTACAAATACACATGTACACACACTAATTTGTATACAAACACATGTGAACACACTCACACATGCAGGCATACATACACGCACACATACCAATACCCATGTATACACAAATACACTCATATACAGATACACGTACACATACAAATACCCATGCATACACACATACACTCATATATGCACACATGTATACATGCACACTTAAGCACACTTGCATTTTATTTCCCAAATAAAATTCTAAGTTCCGTGAGGCTGATACCATGTAAGCTACTTTTTTTATATTCCCATAGCATTTAGCACGGGGCTGAGCACGTAGTAAGTACTGAACAAGTACAAGTTAACTCAAAATGTTTACACGGTTTTGTGAATTGGTATGCCTAAATTTCTAATTATTTTTGTCTTACTTACATTAACTTAATATCTGTTTTTTCCAACTGAAAACTGTGGATAATAGCCTCTACTTACCTCACAGGGTTATAGTGATACTCAAAGCAGATAATCCTCAACCATATACACTATAAAGTGATATACAAGTATGAGAAGGGGCCATCATCTCCTAACATTCTATAGAAATAAGCCTGGAGAGGAAAAGAATGTTCCTAGAGAGAGATGAAACTATCTCAAGGCAGAATTTCAATTTTCTTTTCTGAAAAGAGTAGCTTTATTTTGTTACCTTCTTGGCTTTTATTTGAAGATAACACTGATTTGACTTTAATCTTTCATTTATCATATTAATTGCTCTTAGGAAAACAATAAATAAAAGGTGGGAGAATCACTGCTGACATTCAGATCTATGAGTAGATTTCCATATTAATAGAAATCAAAAATGATCAATCCTCTCATTGAGGCTAAAAGATATGAAAGACATGATGTTGAACTTGATCTGCCACTAAATGGAGGTGCTTCAAGACTACTTGACATATTTGAAGCAGGATATTTTATCATAGGATTGTATTTTTCAAACTCTTTTACATTGTGGCCCTGTGGTGGAAAAAATAATGGCTCCCCAAAAATGTCCGTGTCCTAATCTTCAGAACCTGTGAATATGTTAGGTTACACAGCAAACAGGATGATATGTTTGGCTCTGTGTCCCCAACCAAATCTCATGTTGAATTGTAATCCTTAGTGTTGGAGGAGGGGCCCAATAGGAGGTGACTGGATCATGGGAGAAGACTTTCCCCTTGCTGTTCTCATGATATTGAGTGAGTTCTCATGAGATCTGGTTATTTACAAGTGTATAGCACCTCCCCCTTCTCTCTTTCTCTCCTGATTTGCCATGTGAAGAAGATGTGCTTCCTTCCTCTTCGCCTTTACCATGATTGTAAGTTTCCTGAGGCCTCCCCAGCCATGCTTCCTGTACAGCCTAGAGAACCGTGAGCTAATTAAACCTCTTTTATTCATAAGTTACCCAGTCTCAGGTAGTTCTTTATAGCAATGTGAGAATGGACTAATACAGAGGAAATAAGATTTCTAATCAACTGACTTTGAGACATGGAGACTATACTGGATTATCCAGATAGGCCGTAAGTAATCACAAGGGTTCTTACAAGTAGAAGAGGGAGAGAGCAGAGGAGGTCAGAGTGATGTGATGTGAGAAGGATTCAGCCTATCATTGCTGCCTTTGAAGATGGAGGGAGAGGTCACAAGCCAAAGAATGCAGGTAGCCTCTAGAAACTAAACAAGGCAAGGACAAGGATTCTTCCCTAGGGCCACCAGAAGGAGTACAGCCCAGTCAACATCTTGATTTTAGCCCAGTGAGACCCGTGAGTGAGTTCTAATCTATAAAATTAAGGTAACATATTTGTTTGTTTTAAACCACTAAATGTTTGGCAAGTTGTTGCAGCAGCAATAGGAAGCTAATACAGGTCCCCGTACAAACATTCATGCAGCAAAAGTTACATGAAATAACACTTATCTTTCTGCATGGAATGCTGATAGTTTCTATTCTACTCCAGCTTATTACATTTTAAAAAAATAAAAGAAAAAAAAAAGGAAATGCTGGCTATTTGACTGCATGACCCACTAAAGGGTTTCACAGCACTCTGGTGTGGAAAACACTCCCCTAGATAATACAGGTTAGGATTGCTGTGGTACACTTTAAATACAAATAAAGAAGAAAATTAGTTACAATTATAGCGAAATCATAAAAAGTACAAGTACTTTTACTGTACAAGTACAAGTAAAAATGATTCCTGCAATTATGCTCAAGAGATGAATAAATTTTAAAATGACTCAGTGTTTGCTGACTTTGAAGTCACACTCCCTGTTTTCACACTACACTTACCTCCTAAGGGCCAGCCAAGATACAAGAGCCAGTGAAAGAGCAGAAAGAGTAGATAAAAGGGCAGGTGCTTATGATCACCTGTCACTCAGTATCTGTTTGGGGGTTCAGAGTATACAAGCCAAAACCAAGGAAGCCCGAGGGCCAGCTATCTGGGAACCAGTTAGCACTTTAATGATTAGCTGCCATTCACGGTTCCTGAAACCTGGGGATGCACAGGAATAGACAATACTGTGCTAAAAGTGTCAGAGGTAATGATAGCAGTACAGTGATGAAAGAGGATTATCAATACTCATAGCAATGATTTTAAAGTTCTGACCTGTATATCACAGTGTCTGTGCCCCTGTAAATTACAAGAATTCCCTATTGGGATGAAAAGTTTTAGTATTCTTAAAGGGTTATCACTTTATAAAATGATACAAACTCTGAGTCCTAAGCTATGTAAAATTGCCATATTATTTAAATTCTCCAAGTCTTGGTCATATTAACTTTAAAATGGAGACAAATTTTCCCCTTTAGAGACTAAAAGCAACATAGGTAAAGTGTGCCTAACAAAGCTCCTGACACAGTGCAGGCCCACTTGGTTGCAATTATTCATTACTGTGTTCACTCATTCATTCTTACTGATATTAACCAATTTCTCAATTCTTAAGGATATGCATTAAGCACCATGCTAGCAGCTAAAAGAAAGTTTCGATAAACATGTCAGCTTTCTCTCCACTTTGGGACTGTCATTCTTGTGACGCCAGAGTTCCTTCCAGCAATATACAATGAGACAAAGTACATAACATCTAAGGGTTCTGAGAGAATCCTTGCAGCTTGTACATATGTTGGCAAGCACTGAACTACAGTTAATTTCCAGCACCTATAATAAGTAGCAAACAAACAGAGCGTGCATCTTCACCTAAAATGCACATTATGGGACTATTTTCTCTCTGCTAAGGTTTTATGATAATACCTGGTTCTGAAACTTTATGTAGTCTCCAGCATCTAGAAAAGCCCATAGTAAATGCTCAGTAGATATATGTGTGTAGGATAAATGCCCTTGATAGTAATAATTTAACCATACTCTTAGAATGACCCTGTATAGCTAGATGCACCTGAATATGTGTTCTGAGCTAGGGAATCCGGGAATACCAACCTGGAGAGTCATTGATTACCTGATAGGAACATCTTAGCCCCTGGCCCCTTTCTTGGAACACAGGCTGTACAGGGGATTGAGGTCTTGAGTTTTAGGTTAAATGAAGGTTGCCAGATGGAGGTCGTTAAGGGGAGTCTATTATGTGAAAACGCTATATAAACTGCCTGATGTTTGCAACCAGTTGCGGTTTTGGTTTTCCTGCCCAGCCCACAGCCACTGGGCTGGGCAGTTATCTTGTGTAGCCCACCACCATTGGACTGTAGGAAGGCTGATACCTTGTCCAGCCCACCGCCACTGAATATGAGGCGGTTCCTAATCCAGCCCTCTGCCACTGGACTGTCTTCTTTGTAAGTAACCCCCTATTAAAACCCCATGTCTCACTTGCCAGCTCTAGGTCCCTTCTTCAGCCTCTTGAATGTGGCGCCTCCCCTGTTGAGGTTAACAGAGGTTTGGCACAACAGAATGAATAAATAAATGAATTAGCAAACAGATAAAGAGATGAGCTGGGTTGACCTTGCCCTGATCTAGAGATCAGGGTTTCTCAGCCTTAGCACTATTGATATTGTGGTTAGAATCATCCTTTGTCATGGAAGACTGTCCTGTGTATTACAGGATGCATAGCAGCACCCCTGGCCCCTTCCCACTTGATACTAGTAGCATCCCCCGGCTAATTCTGACAACCAAAAATGTCTCCAGACATTGCCAAGTGTCCCCTCAGGAGGACAAATTTGCCCCCAGATTGACAGCCATTGCTCTAGAACAAAGATTCTCAATTCTAGATGCATATTAGAATCACTTAGGAGATTTTTTTTTTTTTTTTTTGAGACGAAGTCTTGCTCTGTTGCCCAGGTTAGAGTGCAGTGGCATGATCTCGGCTCACTGCAACCTCCGCTTCCCAGGTGCAAGTGATTCTCCCGCCTCGGCCTCCTGAGTAGCTGGGACTACAAGCACATGCCACCATGCCCAGTTAATTTTTTTGTATTTTTAGTAGAGATGGGGTTTCCCCATGTTGGCCAGGATGGTCTTGATCTATTGACCTCGTGATCCACCCGCCTCAGCCTCCAAAAGTGCTGGGATTACAGGCGTGAGCCACCACGCCCGGCCAGGAAGATTTTAACAACCCACTGACAACCCAATGCTTAGGCAACACCTCAAACCAACTAAATCAAGCTCACTTGAGGTGACATATGGCCATTCCTATTTGCCTAAAGCTCCCAGGTGATTCAAATGTGCAGCCAAATATCGAGAACCACTTCTCTACACCTTTGAATAGCACTTCTGCTTGCCACTAAAAATGTGATCCATGGACCAGCGACTGGGCATTACCCGGGAGCTTGTCAGAAATGCAGAATCTTGGGCCCCACCTCAGACCTACTGCATCACTCAGGGTCAAGGGAAGGGAAAGAAACCACAGCAGTTATCTGAACAGTGAGAATCTTGTATAAAGAACTGTTAACTAGGGATAAAGTTAACTAGGTAATTGAAAGAGTAAAAGTAAAACTCTAACAATATATTATGGAGGTAACAATTGCAGAAAGCAGCTCCAACTCTAGAGTTAGGGGAACAAAAAGAAAGAGATTGGATCCCTGAGAAAGGGGCAGTTTCTTGGCCAGTGCTGGGGTGTTTGAAGGGGCAAGGTGAAGTTCATTTTGAGAGCACTGGAAAAAAAACTGCAAACTGGAAGCTGCTACCACAGAAAGGAACCGCTGCTGCCAGACTGAAGCAGCATTGCTGGGATGATACAGAAGCTGCAAACAGGCGGATGCCTTCTCCCACTTCTGGCCTTGCAGTCTCCCCCTGGCACCCACTACTGCAAAAGCTGAGCACAAAGTAGTGGGTGCTAGAGGGAGACTAAGAGCCAAAATGCGGGTCGCAGAGTCTAGCTCCAACACCACAAAGCAGAGCTTAGGAGGGTGGGTTTGGAGTTGAGAGGCAATAGCTGTAACTGGCACAGCTACTGAATCAGACTCGGCATTGTAGCAAGAACCCCAAGGGATTCTTACATGTACTATACTGTGAAAAGTCCTGTGTTAGAGGATGTCACTCTATCTTGACTTCTAAAATAAGTTATCTCCTGTTAGTCAGTAGCTTGGCAGCAATCCCCATTTTAAAATAATCACAATTCGTTCCCTAATGCTGAAGATACAAACCACTACTTCACCATGGTTTATCATCTTACATGTAAAGACTATTTTCAGGCCGGGTGTGGTGCCTGTAATCCCAGCACTTTGGGAGGCCAAGGTGGGCAGATCACCTGAGTTTTAGGAGTTCGAGACCAGCCTGGCCAACGTAGTGAAACCCTGTCTCTGCTAAAAACACAAAAATTATCTGGGTGTGGTGGTACACGCCTGTAATCTGAGCTACTCGGGAGGCTGAGGCAGGAGAATAGCTTGAACCCGGGACGTGGAGGTTGCAGTGAGCTGAGATCACACTACTGCACTCCAGCCTGGGCCGCAGAATGAGACTCTGTCTCAAAAAAATAAAAATTAAAAATAAAGAGTATTTTCAATGGGATGAAGAAATGAGTTCAGTCAAGGTGTTATCTCTAAAGTTAGATATTTTCTTGCCTGTTACTCTGCTTTTGTTTAAAATTATTACAAACATCTTTTTCTTGGTCCTTCCTTAATTGCCCGAGTAAATTCAAAAACTTCACTTTGAATTTATATATGGTGTAATTAATATCAACAAAACAGGGACCCCCCCCCTCCCCCGCCAAAGAGAGTCTGGGTTCTTGAACTCACCAGGGAAATAGTAAGTCCAGGCATTAAGTTTTTGTTTTTTGTTTTGTTTTGCTTTTTGTTTTTCCCCCATGCAGGTGCCTCAGCCTCTCACAGAGAAAGCCCTGTTAGCCAGAGCTTGGAGTATCTCCCTCTACCAGGCATCTGGCAAATGTGCCTGGTTCACCACAAGGGATACCAGGTGGGAGAACATAGTAGCTCAGTGCCAACACATGGACACAGCTGAAGAAATAACTGGTCAGTGCATGACCTTCTTAGGGGCATCAGCATATTCTCCTAGGTAACATCCACACACTGACAACACATTCCCTGAGCCAGGGTCTATTTGTGAATATTCCTGGTATGCTTCTGCCACCCAGTGGAGGATCTCTAACTCAAGCTTAGATTGTAATTGTAAAGTCTAGTATTTTGAATTTAAATCTTAAGCATAATTATTCCTGAAAGTTGTCAATCCTTTTAACAATTGTATTAAAACATCATTTAAAGTAGGATGCATTCATGTATGTGTTAATATAAAGTATATATACATATGTATTCAATTTTATGCTTAAAAATTTATAGTATGCTTTTATCATTAGACTAGCTCATATCAAAGTGCAAATAAAAAGTGATATTTTTCAAATCTAGGAAGATTCTGCATAATTTTAAAATACACTAAGATTGAGTTTGCATTGAATCTACAGTGAAAGCAGAAGTTTCCGTATATTTGTGCATGTTCAGTTTTTAGTTTTAAACACATTATTAATTCTCTTTCAACTTTTACGTGAAATAAAATTAAGTAATGTAAAAAGTGTCAATAATTTTGATTCAAAAGTTCTCATCTGTGTTCCAGATTTGCCAAAACAATGTCATTTTATACGATCATTGTCTTGTATATAGGATTCTTTTTCTCACATGTTTTATGAGTCATGTATTCTGAAATTTTCAGGTTTTTTAAAGTTTCCATGACATATGACATTAAGGATTCTTTTAGTGTAGATGAATGAGCTGATGAATAAATATGAAGATAAAGATATTATGACAGTCTTCAGACAACAACAAAAAAGGTGTAACTCACTATAATCATATTTACTATGTAGAAACTAGAAGACCTAGTGTCCAGTATTAAAAGAAAAACCCAATGTTAAACTGTCATATAAATGTATTAATTTTAATCATTAATGAAATAAAACATGAGATTATAGATAAAAATCTCTTCTAACTTTCACATTTCCTTAGGCAGCTTTGACTTGGTTGCCAAAAATATCTTATGGGAATCTTGATTTAAAATGAAAATTATCAAATAAATCTAAGAATTACTATGAAAAATTTATGATGAAGACACATGAAAGCTGATAATGATTTGGATTTTGAAATTTAATTAAAATAAATGAAAAAGTCCCATGAAAATTTCCAAACAGTTGGCTAATTATGCAAAATGCATTCAGCCATGAGAAACTTTTATGAAAGGAAGAAAGGTTTCTATTGTATTAAGTTGCAACTGAACTTGAACTGTAACAGCTGAGATGCGCTAGCGCCTTTTGGAATTTATCCTGGTTTATTGCAAAGTGCATATGGTGAAAACTGCATGTGGTGAGTCAAACGTAATTAAAATAAAACCACAAAATTGATTTGAAATGGCAATTTAGTTGAACCAGAACTGAACTCAAATTGTTATGTTACTCTACCAGTCATAATCACACTAAACTCCTATCTTTACTATACTAAATGGGACTATCACTTACAATTATATTTTGACTCTGAATCAAACAAAAAGGCAAGATTGAATTAAGTAGCAAATCTCTACTGCCTTTGTGAATTTATTGCATTGTGTGAGGGCTTAACTTTGCCATTTTCAGTCAAAACTGAAAATCAATCAATACATTCCATAGATTAAAAACTTTCAAAGGGTCAAGAAATAATGCATAATGTTCTACGGTGCATATAAAATACATTGCATATTTCTACAATGTATATTCAAGTGAAAAGCAATTTCACATATTTTTTGTTTATAATGTTAGGCTTTAGGTTTATAGAAAACTGATCAGAATATTGAGAATTCCTGTCTATTCCCTTTGCCCATATACACACATATATTTTCACCTATTTTTAACATCTTGCATTAGTGTGGTATATTTGTTACAACTGATGCACTACTGATACGGCAATACTAACGATAGCCCATAATTTACATTAGGGGTCACTGTTTGTGTTACACATTCTATGGGCTTTGACAAATGTATAATGTGTATAGTGGTATCTCATTGTTTTAATGTACAGTTCTCTAAATGACAAATGATGTTGAGTATCTCCTGTATGTTTATTTTTTGGTGAGGCGTCTGTTCAGATCTTTTGCTCATATTTTAGTTGGGTCATTTGCTTTTGTATTTTTGAGTTTTAAAAGGAGTTCTTTGTATATTTTGGATACTAGCCCTTTATCAGATATGGTGGCAGAAATTTTTTTCCCAGTCAGTGGCTGTTTCTTCCTTCTCTTAAAAGTGTCTTTCACAAAGCAGAAGTTTTTAATTTTAATAAAGTCCAACTTCTCAATTTTTCTTTCATGAATAGTGTTTTTGGTATTGTATATAAAAAAGTCAAAGTCACTTAAGAGTTTCTCCTGTGTTATCTTCCAGCTGTTCTACAGTTTTGCATTTTGCATGTACGTCTATGATCCATTTTGAGTTAATTTTTGTGAAGGGTGCAAGGTCTGTGTTTGGAATCTTTTTCATTTTATTTTATTTTTTTTACTCATGGGTATTCAATTATTCCAGTAGCATTTGTTGAAAAGATTGGGTTTTTTTCTATTGAATTGCCTTTGTCCTTCGTCAAAGATCAGTTGACTACATTCATGTGAGTCTATTTCTGGGCTCCCTGTTCCATTCCATTGGTCTATTTGCCTGTTCTTTCACCAGTACCACACTGTTTTGAATACTGTAGCTTCATAGTAAGTTTTGAAGTCCAGCTATGTCGACCTGCTGACTTTGCTTTTCTCCTTCAATATGTTTTTATTCTGGGTCTTTTGACTTTTCAAATAAACTTTAGAATCAGTTTGTCAACATCCACAAAGTAACTTGTTGAGATTTTATTAGGATTCCATTGAATCCATAGATGAAGTTAGGAGGAAATGACATCTTAATATTGAGTCTTCCTTTCATTGTATATGGAGTATCTTTTCATTTATTTAGATTTTCTTTGATTTCTTTCATCAGAGTTTTGTACTTTTCCTCACATAGATTTTGGACATATTCTGTAAAATTTATACCTGTTTATTTCTTTTTGGAGCTAATCTGAATAGTATTATATTTTTAACTTTAAATTTCAATTATTCATTCCTGGTATATAGGGAAAAAATTGACTTTTTATTAACCTTATATCCTGCAACTTTGCTATGAGTAAGGTTGCTTATTAGTATTAGGATTTTTTTGTTGATTCCTTGGGATTTTCCACATAGACAATCATGTCATCTGAAAACAATTTTATTTCTTCCCTTCCAGTTGGTATACCTTTGATTTACTTTTCATGTCTTTTTACATTATCTAGGACTTACAGTATGATATTGAATAGGGGTAGTGAGAGGAGACATCCTTGCCTTATTCCTGATCTTAGTGAGAAAGCATCTAGTTTCTCATCATTAAGTATGATGTTAGCTATAAGTTTTTTACAGATGTTCTTTATCAAGTTGAGGAAATTCCCTCCATTCCTAGTTTATTGAGATATTGGTTGATTTTAATGTAAATATTAGTATATTTCAGCATTAAAGTAATCAAAATCTGTCTTAAAACATGGTAGGTACTCTTTTCTTGTCTAACATAAAATTTTTAAGTAACAACATATCCAATATATATCATATTTTTAAATGAAGATAAGAAATGGGCAATCCAATTAACTTGCAATGGGTATAGTTAAACAGCAAGGGCATTTTCCAGTCTTCAGTGAAAACTATATTTAAGCAAAACAATTCTCCAATCTTCCTGGTCACAATCACTTCTTTAAACTATTGTATCTACTAATGACTTTAAAATTTGGTCCATGATACTTAGCTGTATCTCCAATTACCTCATATCTATAATGATACGTTTAAAGTATTACGTTCCCTCTCATTTTCTCTTGATACACAGACAGGTACCACCTATAATAAACATCCAAAGGCAATTTCGTAATTTGTTTCATTCACTCTGGGTTGTTAACATATACACTGTATGTTATCCCAGGTTTCCTCCTATGACAATATTTAGGCTGTGTCTTGAATTATAGTGAACCAACATGTCAGAAGAAATATACAAATTCAGGGATGGTGAGATTGGAGGGGTTCATGTAAAATTCCTATAATACTAACCACCAACATTTTACATTTTGTTTCTAGAAAAATACCCACAAGTGTCCATAAAACACTTGAGAAATCATGTACTCTAGGCACTAAATATATGAAATGGATTACAGGAATGGAAATATGCCACATTTTATCAAAGATGGGTTTCCAATATGATTTTCTAACCTCATATTCTTCATCATTGACATGACTAGCAACCCAAATTAGGCTCAACCTAGGCTATTACCATCCATGAGCTGTCTGAAGGCCCTTCAACTCTTTACCCACTTATTTAAATTTTAGTCAGCAGAACTTTTGTTGTAGCTTTATCATAATAGTCTTCTGCTTTATTAAATTGCCAATCTCCCATAGAGATACAATACTGAGCCCAAACATTTTTTAATTTTTAAAGGAGGGGAATTAAATGCAGGCCAAAATGACAACATATTTCAATAGAAGAAAGACTCAACACAGATTAAGTTGCCATGCGCATGAGTTACTCAGCATGAATAAAAGCCTGGACAAGTGAAAACTGGTTTCTATATTCCCTGTCCTTTGAAGTCATCTCAGTAAATTCCTCCCCAAAAAAACCTGCAAATCTCAGAATTCCCTTCAAATTACTTCATTGTTTTTTTTATTCTCTTCTGCTTAAATCAGGTGAAACTTGAGGTTACTTGTCACTACCTTAAAATTTAATCAGTAGTCCTCTGGACTTACAAAGACAGACAGGTCCCTTTATATGGGCCAACATACTCATTTTTACTTTGCTTAATGTTCTGGCATATTGTGAAACAATTCCAAGTGTGTAAAGGGTACTTAAAAATAGTTAAGAATATTTACTATACTCTTTTACTGACTGTAACTTATTTGGCTTCATGAGCAACTGGCTGTTCTAACTCTGATCAAAGAATCACTTGGTTTTTTATTGATGGCAATGTGAAAAGTAAAATCCCTAAAAAACAAGCATGTTTTACAATGATAATAAAATGAGATATTGGAAAGTAGAAACAAGTTATACACAATGAAGTTATGGTTCTCAAAAGGTCACAACACTCTGGACTGATGGCATCTAAATGCCATTATTATGACTCAGAATTTTGCCTTCAAGCCACTGAACATTATGTTACAGTTAGGGTTTAAAAGCTGGTAGCCGTCTATCATTTTTATCCTTTGGTTGGGGCCTCAATTCTGCACTGTTCATTCTTTTGGGGTGCACATTTCTCTAGACCTTAGAAGGGGCATCTGGAAGATGACAAAATCCTGGTGTGGAACCAGAATATCTGGCTCTAACACTTAAGAGTTGTGTCAGTGTGAGCAAGCTTTTTGGTTTTCCTGGAGTTCAATTTCTTTTATGAAAGTAATATAGTAATACGGATGCTAAATTAAAAAAAAAAAAAACCTTGCACACATGGTTGTCACCAAGCAAGTGAACAGATTGGAAGGCGCCAAGTCCAATGGTGAAGGGAATACTCCGGAAGATGTGGCCACAGTTCAGGAGAGGTGATGTTGACTAGAATTAATGTGAGCCAACAGGTTTGCAGAACAAAAAACAATTTTAGATATATTTAACTATTAAAATCAATAGAATTTGAGTTAAATGGAATGCAGTTAAGTCAGGGTGGTGTCGTGTATCATTCTCAGATGTCTGTCTCAGGCAGTTGCAAACTTGGGGTGCCTTTCACTGAAACAGTAAGAGCAGGGAGTAGATTTGACAGTGGGATGGTTGAGGATGGGAATCAGAAGCAGTTGAGTTTGTTGTCTCTGTAACCTATAATGTGCAACTGGGAGCCAGACATGTGGTCTGAGGATGAAGGAGAAATGATCTAAAAATAGTAATAAGGAGTGAAAAGGACACCACCCCACTCTCAGCCCCAAGGTCTAAAGAGTTGGTGGCAAGGGATGGTATATTCAGGATAGAGCCAGTTCTAATTAAGGTGAGGAGTTGGAAGGAGTCTTCAGAGAAACAGGTGACTTATGGGAAGATTGCTGCAAGTATTCTTGCTCAGCACAGCTATAAACATACTGCCAGCCCCATCAACAGCAACAGCAACAGAGACCAGACGCAGAGTTCCAATTTCCTTTCTCTCTATTTAATCTTTTTGAAGTTTCTTATTCAATTTAAGAAATGCAAGTTACTACCTGCTATTACAAATACATCATCATCCTCTTAGAGCTTAAGGGGACCTTAAAAGTCATATAACTCCTTGAAACAACTTATATTCAAAGTCATAGTATCAAAGTACAAATTTCTACACAATCACAGTAAACAGAATCAAATAATTTTCTTCATGTGTCACTTGCAACAAAAACCTCATCTTTTGTAATGAGAGAGAGCAGGGACACAAACCTGGGAGGCAGGAAAGTCAGCTTCTTGTCTCCAAACTGTTGCTTTTTAGATGTGTGGCCTTTAGCAATACATTTAATCCAGAGACATCAGGGTTCAAACACGGAGCTAAATTAGATCACTTCATATATTCTATCCAGCTAAAAATTCTTAGGACTCTGTGAATGGAATGGCTACATAGAACCTTTCTGCTTTGGGGAAAAGTGGCATAACAGAGAGTTTCAGCTTAATGTATTTTCAAATGCCAAATTGGATTTGAAAAATTGATTTTACTTGTTCCCTCAAATATTTCAAGTCATATCTTTAAGAACAAAGCATTGTGATTCAGGTCCATTGCATGGACAAATTAGCTGTGGTTCTTGGTAGTTAAAAGTGGCAGAAAGACAGAAACAACTATTTGATAACATTATGTAATTTTACAATAAGGTAATTCTCCAGCCCAACCACCTTAATAATGTGCACTTTTGTTAATATATTTAATATATTGAGAAAAGTCATTTATAATCACTGTATACAGACTCATATGAAAAAAAGACATTTTCATTCCCATAAGAAATATTTCATGTGAAATCACATTTTTATGGCCTCATATTTTCTGATCAGACTTCCATCTTCATCAATATCTTATTTCTCAGTTAAAATTCTGGTTTCCCCTAATTATTATTCTGAGAAATTCTCCCTCAGAATATTCCCTAATCCCAGAAGGTCTCTATGTTCCTTCTACAACTGAATGATATGTCTTACCTCAACATTATTTAATATGTTCCTAAAATAAAAGGGAGTAGAACTTGGATATTTTTATTCATATTTCCCCTGCGGTTAAGAGCTCCCCTTTCTCCCGATAAATAAAAATATAAATATTGTTTTAACTCTACTTGCAATCTCATATAGTTCCACTTTGTAAGCTGTTTTCTAAAATATGAATTGAAGTAATAGGAAAATTAAACAAGGCTAGCCAGCTTAGTGTTTTCTATATTTAGTTGTTATGTTTTTCCTTCAGTACAAAATTCCACATAAGGTAAAGAAAAGACAATAAATACCAGAAAGATTATGGAGTAGCCAAAATGTGCCGGAAGCCAACATGAATATGAGGAAATTCATTAACAGATCCTTCTAAATGTGTGTATAATGATTAAATGTACAGATAAAATGATATTTTTATGGGATTTGCTTTGAAATAATCAGAGTAGAGGCTGGAAGTGGGGATAAGGAGTGGAGAGTGGAATTAGATTAAAACAAGGCAGTCATGGGATGATAGTTGCTTGTTCAAGCTGAGTAACAGGTACCTGAGTTTGTTATATAATCCTCTTTGCTTTTGTATGTTTACATTTTGAAAAATAACCTTTTATTAAATGCTTACTTTATTTTAAAAATTTAAATTAGACATTTTTTGTCCTGGAATGTCTTCTAAAAAACTGGGTAAATTGCTCATTCATTGGATATAAATGTTTAATATATTTTTTCATACATTAACTTCTTTCATCAAATAATGTTTTAATCTTAAGATGTCATAGTGGCCTTGTGAAATGTTTTCTTGAGACATAATCCATTAACTGTCAATCTACCATTATTTGTTCTTGACTTAATTTCCAAAGAACCATACAAACAGGCTTTGGCTTCCATTGCTTTCATTAGCCCAAGACACATAATTAGCCAAAATAAATAGAAGAGGGTACAATTATTCAGTCTCTATTCAATTGGTGATTGATAAATACTGCTCTAAAATCTATTTTATTGATTGCTTGGTTGATTGACTGGTGAAGACTTCATGAAAATGATCAAAATCAATTTCCTACACCAGGACCCACCTTAAGGGGCTTTATTTACCCAATCTAAACCTATCAAATAGTCTTTCTATTTATCTTATTTCATTCCGACAAACATATTTTGAGCATCTGTGGTATGAAAGCCACAGTTTTAACCTAGGAATTAAAAATCATTCAGACCCAATTGTTACTCTCAAGGAGGTGGATAGAAAAGCACATGGGAAATTATAAGGCAAGGCAGAATAGCTACAATGGTTTGGTAAGCAGAATAATGGTTTCCCAAAGATGTCCACATCCTAATCTCTGGAACCTGCGAATATGTTGCCTTACATGGCAAAAGAGACTCTAAAGATGTGTCTAAATTAAGGATCTTGAAATGAGATTACCCTGGATTATCCAAGTGGGCCCAATGGAATCAAAAAGATCATTTTAAGGAGGCACAATGTCTGAGTTAGAAAGAAATTTGAAGATGCTATGCTGCTGGCATTGAAGATGGAAGAAGACACCACAAGCCAAGGAATGCAGGCATTCTCTAGAAGCTGAAAAGGCAAGGAAATGGATTCCTCTGGAGCCTCCAGACATGAATACATTTCTACCAATACCTTGGTCTTAGCCCATATGACCTATTTCAGACTCTGACCTACAGAAGATGATAAATTTCTGTTCTTTTAAGCCACTAAGTTTGTGATAGTTTTTTAGAGCAGGAACAAGAAACATAAAGATAGGAACAAGATTACTTCTAACTACAGACATCAGAAACAGTTTTCTCAAAGGGAAGAACTGGAAATATGACAGAGATTACCACTTCACCCTTTAGATATGTACTGTCCAACACAATAGCCACTAACCACATGTGGCTATTTTAATTTTAACTTTTTTCTTTTTTTTTCCATTATACTTTAAGTTTTAGGGTACATGTGCACAACGTGCAGGTTGGTTACATATGTATACATGTGCCATGCTGGTGTGCTGCACCCAGTAACTCGTCATTTAACATTAGGTATATCTCCAAATGCTATTTCTCCCCCCCCCAATCCCACAACAGGCCCCGGTGTGTGATGTTCCCCTTCCTGTGTCCCATGCTCCCCTTCCTGCATCCATGTGTTCTCATTGTTCAATTCCCACCTATGAGTGAGAACATGCGGTGTTTGGTTTTTTGTCCTTGTGATAGTTTGCTGAGAATGATGGTTTCCAGCTTCATCCATGTCCCTGCAAAGGACATGAACTCATCATTTTTTATGGCTGCATAGTATTCCATGGTGTATATGTGCCACATTTTCTTAATCCAGTCTATCATTGATGGACATTTGGGTTGGTTCCAAGTCTTTGCTATTGTGAATAGTGCCACAATAAACATATGTCTGCATGTGTCTTTATAGCAGCACGATTTATAATCCTTTGGGTATATACCCAGTAATGGGATGGCTGGGTCAAATGGTATTTCTAGTTCTAGATCCCTGAGGAATCACCACACTGACTTCCACAATGGTTGCACTAGTTTACAGTCCCACCAACAGTGTAAAAGTGTTCCAATTTCTCCACATCCTCTCCAGCACCTGTTGTTTCCTGACTTTTTAATGATCGCCATTCTAACTGGTGTGACATGGTATCTCATTGTGGTTTTGATTTGCATTTCTCTGATGGCCAGTGATGATGAGCATTTTTTCATGTGTCTGTTGGCTGCATAAATGTCTTCTTTTGAGAAGTGTCTGTTCATATCCTTTGCCCACTTTTTGATGGGGTTGTTTGTTTTTTTCTTGTAAATTTGTTAGAGTTCATTGTAGATTCTGGATATTAGCCCTTTGTCAGATGAGTAGGTTGCAAAAATTTTCTTCCATTCTGTAGGTTGCCTGTTCACTCTGATGGTAGTTTCTTTTGCTGTGCAGAAGCTCTTTAGTTTAATTAGATCCCATTTGTCAATTTTGGCTTTTGTTGCCATTGCTTTTGGTGTTTTAGACATGAAGTCCTTGCCCACACCTATGTCCTGAATGGTATTGCCTAGGTTTTCTTCTAGGGTTTTTATGGATTTAGGTCTAACATTTAAGTCTTTAATCCATCT
The DNA here is from genome assembly GCF_000001405.40 of Homo sapiens. Classification (NCBI taxonomy): domain Eukaryota; kingdom Metazoa; phylum Chordata; class Mammalia; order Primates; family Hominidae; genus Homo; species Homo sapiens. The sequence continues at coordinate 56,302,891 of NC_000006.12, forward strand.
TGAATTAATTTTTGCATAAGGTGTAAGGAAGGGATCCAGTTTCAGCTTTCTACATATGGCTAGCCAGTTTTCCCAGCACCATTTATTAAATAGGGAATCCTTTCCCCATTGCTTGTTTTTCTCAGGTTTGTCAAAGATCAGATAGTTGTAGATACGTGGCATTATTTCTGAGGGCTGTGTTCTCTTCCATTGGTCTATATCTCTGTTTTGGTACCAGTACCATGCTGTTTTGGTTACTGTAGCCTTGTAGTATAGTTTGAAGTCAGGTAGCGTGATGCCTCCAGCTTTATTCTTTTGGCTTAGGATTGACTTGGCAATGTGGGCTCTTTTTTGGGTCCATATGAACTTTAAAGTAGTTTTTTCCAATTCTGTGAAGCAAGTCACAAAGTAGCTTGATGGGGATGGCATTGAATCTATAAATTACCTTGGGCAGTATGGCCATTTTCACGATACTGATTCTTCCTACCCATGAGCATGGAATGTTCTTGCATTTGTTTGTATCCTCTTTTATTTCATTGAGCAGTGGTTTGTAGTTCTCCTTGAAGAGGTCCTTCACATCCCTTGTAAGTTGGATTCCTAGGTATTTTATACTCTTTGAAGCAATTGTGAATGGGAGTTCACTCATGATTTGACTCTCTGTTTGTCTGTTATGGGTGTATAAGAATGCTTGTGATTTTTGTACATTGATTTTGTATCCTGAGACTTTGCTGAAGTTGCCTATCAGCTTAAGGAGATTTGGGGCTGAGACCACGGGGTTTTCTAGATATACAATCATGTCATCTCCAAACAGGAACAATTTGACTTCCTCTTTTCCTAATTGAATACCCTTTATTTCCTTCTCCTGCCTGATTGCCCTGGCCAGAACTTCCAACACTATGTTGAATAGGAGTGGTGAGAGAGGGCATCCCTGTCTTGTACCAGTTTTCAAAGGGAATGCTCCCAGTTTTTGCCCATTCAGTATGATATGGGCTGTGGGTCTGTCATAGATAGCTCTTATGATTTTGAGATATGTCCCATCAATACCTAATTTATTGAGAGTTTTTAGCATGAAGGGTTGTTGAGTTTTGTCAAAGGCCTTTTCTGCATCTGTTGAGAGAATCATGCGGTTTTTGTCGTTGGTTCTGTTTATATGCTGGATTACGTTTATTGATTTGCATATGTTGAACCAGCCTTGCATCCCAGGGATGAAGCCCACTTGATCATGGTGGATAAGCTTTTTGACGTGCTGCTGGATTCGGTTTGTGAATATTTTATTGAGGATTTTTGCATCGATGTTCATCAGGGATATTGGTCTAAAATTCTCTTTTTTTGTTGTGTCTCTGCCCAGCTTTGGTATCAGGATGATGCTGGCCTCATAAAATGAGTTAGGGAGGATTCCCTCTTTTTCTATTGATTGGAATAGTTTCAGAAGGAATGGTACCAGCTCCTCCTTGTACCTCTGGTAGAATTCGGCTGTGAATCCATCTGGTCCTGGACTTTTTTTGGTTGGTAAGCTATTAATTATTGCCTCAATTTCAGAGCCTGTTATTGGTCTATTCAGAGATTCAACTTCTTCGTGGTTTAGTCTTGGGAGGGTGTATGTGTCGAGGAATTTATCCATTTCTTCTAGATTTTCTAGTTTATTTGCGTAGAGGTGTTTACAGTATTCTCTGATGGTAGTTTGTATTTCTGTGGGATCAGTGGTGATATCCCCTTTATCATTTTTTATTGTGTCTATTTCATTCTTCTCTCTTTTCTTCTTTATTAGTCTTGCTAGCAGTCTATCAATGTTGTTGATCTTTTCAAAAAACCAGCTCCTGGATTCATTGATTTTTTGAAGGGTTTTTTGTGTCTCTATTTCCTTCAGTTCTGCTCTGATCTTAGTTGTTTCTTGCCTTCTGCTAGCTTTTGAATGTGTTTGCTCTTGCTTCCTCAGTTCTTTTAATTGTGATGTTAGGGTGTCCATTTTAGATCTTTCCTGCTTTCTCTTGTGGACATTTAGTGCTATAAATTTCCCTCTACACACTGCTTTGAATGTGTCCCAGAGATTCTGGTATGTTGTGTCTTTGTTCTCTTTGGTTTCAAAGAACATCTTTATTTCTGCCTTCATTTCGTTATGTACCCAGTAGTCATTCAGGAGCAGGTTGTTCAGTTTCCATGTAGCTGAGTGGTTTTGAGTGAGTTTCTTAATCCTGAGTTCTAATTTGATTGCAGTGTGGTCTGAGAGACAGTTTGTTACAATTTCTATTCTTTTACATTTGCTGAGGAATGCTTTACTTCCAACTATGTGGTCAATTTTGGAATAAGTGTGGTGTGGTGCTGAGAAGAATGTATATTCTGTTGATTTGGGGTGGAGAGTTCTGTAGATGTCTATTAGGTCTGCTTGGTGTAGAGCTGAGTTCAATTCCTGCATATCCTTGTCAACTTTCTGTCTCGTTGATCTGTCTAATGTTGACAGTGGGGTGTTAAAGTCTCCCATGATTATTGTGTGGGAGTCTAAGTCTCTTTCTAGGTCTCTAAGGACTTGCTTTATGAATCTGGGGGCTCCTGTATTGGGTGCATATATATTTAGGATAGTTAGCTCTTCTTGTTGAATTGATCCCTTTACCATTATGTAATGGCCTTCTTTATCTTTTTTGATCTTTGTTGGTTTAAAGTCTGTTTTATCAGAGACTAGGATTGCAACCCCTGCCTTTTTTTGTTTTCCATTTGCTTGGTAGATCTTCCTCCATCCCTTTATTTTGAGCCTATCTGTGTCTCATGCACGTGAGATGGGTTTCCTAAATACAACACACTGATGGGTCTTGACTCTTGATCCAATTTGCCAGTCTGTGCCCTTTAATTGGAGCATTTAGTCCATTTACATTTAAGGTTAATATTGTTATGTGTGAATTTGATCCTGTCATTATGATGTTAGCTGGTTATTTTGCTTATTAGTTGATGCAGTTTCTTCCTAGCCTCGATGGTCTTTACAATTTGGCATGTTTTTGCAGTGGCTGGTACTGGTTGTTCCTTCCCATGTTTAGTGCTTCCTTCAGGAGCTCTTTTAGTGCAGGCCTGGTGGTGACAAAATCTCTCAGCATTTGCTTGTCTGTAAAGTATTTTATTTCTCCTTCACTTATGAAGCTTAGTTTGGCTGGATATGAAATTCTGGGTTGAAAATTCTTTTCTTTAAGAATGTTGAATATTGGCACTCTCTTCTGGCTTGTAGAGTTTCTGCCAAGAGATCAGCTGTTAGTCTGATGGGCTTCCTTTTGTGGGTAACCCAACCTTTCTCTTTGGCTGCCCTTAACATTTTTTCCTTCATTTCAACTTTGGTGAATCTGACAATTATGTGTCTTGGAGTTGCTCTTCTCGAGGAGTATCTTTGTGGAGTTCTCTGTATTTCCTGAATCTGAATGTTGGCCTGCCTTGCTAGATTGGGGAAGTTCTCCTGGATAATATCCTGCAGAGTGTTTTCCAATTTGGTTCCATTCTCCCCGTCACTTTCAGGTACACCGATCAGACATAGATTTGGTCTTTTCACATAGTCCCATATTTCTTGGAGGCTTTATTCATTTCTTCTTATTCTTTTTTCTCTAAACTTCTCTTCTTGCTTCATTTCATTCATTTCATCTTCCATCACTGATACCCTTTCTTCCAGTTGATCGAATTGGCTACTGAGACTTGTGCATTCATCGTGTAGTTCTCGTGCCTTGGTTTTCAGCTCCATCAGGTCTTTTAAGGACTTTTCTGCATTGATTATTCTAGTTAGCCATTTATCTAATTTTTTTTCAAGGTTTTTAACTTCTTTGCCATGGGTTTGAACTTCCTCCTTTAGCTCAGAGTAGTTTGATCATCTGAAGCCTTCTTCTCTCAACTCGTCAAAGTCATTCTCCATCCAGCTTTGTTCCGTTGCTGGTGCATTCCTTTAGAGGAGGAGAGGTGCTCTGATTTTTAGAGTTTCCAGTTTTTCTGCTCTGTTTTTTCCCCATCTTTGTGGTTTTATCTACCTTTTGTCTTTGATGATGGTGACGTACAGATGGGGTTTTGGTGTGGATGTCCTTTCTGTTTGTTAGTTTTCCTTCTAACAGTCAGAACCCTTAGCTGCAGGTCTGTTGGAGTTTGCTGGAGGTCCACTCCACACCCTGTTTGCCTGGGTATCAGCAGCAGAGGCTGCAGAACAGCAGATATTGGTGAACAGCAAATGTTGCTTCCTGATCGTTCCTCTGGAAGTTTTGTCTCAGAGAAGTACCCGGCCGTGTGAGGTGTCAGTCTGCCCCTACTGGGGGATGCCTCCCAGTTAGGCAACTTGGGGGTCAGGGACCCACTTGAGGAGGCAGTCTGTCCGTTCTCAGATCTCCAGCTACATGCTGGGAGAACCACTACTCTCTTCAAAGCTGTAAGACAGGGACATTTAAGTCTGCAGAGGATTCTGCTGCCTTTTGTTTGGCAATGTCCTGCCCCCAGAGGTGGAGTCTACAGAGGAAGGCAGGCCTCCTTAAGCTGCAGTGGGCTCCACCCAGTTCCAGCTTCCCAGCTGCTTTGTTTACCTACTCAAGCCTCAGCAATGGTGGGCACCCCTCCCCCAGCCTCGCTGCCGCCTTGCAGTTTGATCTCAGACTGCTGTGCTAGCAGTCAGCAAGGCTCCGTGGGCGTAGGACCCTCCAAGCCAGGCACGGGATATAATCTCCTGGTGTGCCATTTGCTAAGACCGTTGGAAAAACACAGTATTAGGGTGGGAGTGACCCGATTTTCCAGGTGCCGTCTGTCACCCCTGTCTTTGACTAGGAAAGGGAATTCCCTGACCCCTTGCTCTTCCTGGGTGAGGCAATGCCTCGCCCTGCTTGGGCTCATGCTCAGTGCACTGCACCCACGGTCCTGCACCCGCTTTCCGACACTCCCCAGTGAGATGAACCCGGTACCTCAGTTGGAAATGCAGAAATCACCCGTCTTCTGCGTCGCTCACCCTGGGAGCTGTAGACTGGAGCTGTTCCTATTCGGCCATCTTGGCTCCACCCCCTCTTTAATTTTAATTTTAATTAAAAATAAATATTCACAATAGCCAAGATGTGCAAACAACCTAAGGGTCCATCAACAGATGAATGGATAAAGAAATCTGGCTACATAAATACAATGAGATGCTGTTAATCCTTTAAAAAGAAGGAAATTCTGCAATATGCAACAATATGCATGCTATGGTGTGAATGACCCCCAACACTCAAGTGCTGAAACTAAATCCTTATTGCGGTGGTATCAAGAGGTGAGGCCTTTTGGCGAGTGATTAAGTCATGAAGGCTCTGCCTTATAAAAGGGCTGGTAACAGCCCATAAAGAATCCCTTATGGTTTTATGGGACTAGTGCCTTAGAAAAAGGCTGGTAAGAACTAGCTTACCAGCTTCCATCTTCTTCCATCTTCTGCCATGTGAGGATGCAACAAGGAGGCCCCCATCAGACATTGAACACTATTGCCTTGATCTTGGACTTCCCAGCCCCCAGGACTGTGAGAAATCAATTTCTATCATTTATAAATGACTCAGCCTGTGATATTTTTGTTAAACTAGCCCAAAGGGACTAAGACAATAAATTAACCTTGAGTACATTATACTAGGTGACGTAAGCCAGTCACCAAAAGACAAACATGGCATGATTCTATTAATACGAGGTATATAAAATAGTCAAATTCATAGAATCAGAGTGGAATAGTGGTTTCCAGGAACTGGGGAAATGGGAAATGCAAAGTTGCTACTCAAAGGACGTGAAGTTTCAGTCAAGCAAGATGAATAAGCTCTAGATATCTACCATAAAACATTGTACCTATAGTTAAGAATAATATATTGTACATCAAAATTTTTGTAGAGGATAGATCTCGTTAAATGTTCTTACTACAAAAAAACAAATAAGATTTAAAGCTCAATTTCTCAGTTGTACTAGCTACATATCAAGTGCTCAGTAGCCTCATGTGGCTAGTGGATACTCAGTTGGACAGGGTAAATATAAAACATTTCCACCATTACAGCAAATTCCACTGGGAAGTAGGTCCATAAGAGTGGCACTAATTTTTATCCTTCCCTTTGGATGTGATAAGCTTTAGATTTACTATCATAGTCAGGATGGAGGGCAGAAAGATAGAGAAGATTCAGAGACTTCCATTTGACCTTCGGCTGTTTGTTAATCACGCTCAGTCCTCAATTATCTTTTTTTTTTTTTTCCCCGAGACAGCCTTGATCTGTCGCCCGGCTGGAGTATAGTGGTGTGATCTCAGCTCACTGCAACCTCTGCCTCCCGGGTTAAGCGATTCCCCTGCCTCAGCCTCCTGAGTAGCTGGGACTACAGACACATGCCACCACACCCAGCAATTTTTTGTATTTTAGTAGAGACAGGGTTTCACCATGTTGGCTAGGATGGTCTTATCTCCTGACCTCGTGATCTGCCCGCCTCGGCCTCCCAAAGTGCTGGGATTACAGGCATGAGCCACCGTGCCCGGCCAATAATACTGGGTTTCCTCAGATCACCCTTTTTGCAGGCTGAGGTCTTCAGAAGCAGACTCTGAGATGGCACTTCTCGTGTAGAATGTTCATGAGAGAGTTTAGAGAGAGTGTCTTTGAACAGTATAGGTCCAACATTTTTCAGACAACCCCAGAGGTAGCTCTGGAATAAAATAGCCATCACATGTCTTATGTTGAGCTCTAATAGCAGGATTTTTATATTTCTGCCTCTATTGTTGGATGTGAGGTACTCCCAGGGGGGCAGTGACTATGAGCCAGGTAGCTCTCATAGTTTAGGCAATGTCTGTAAAGGGCTGATAGTGGAAAGATGTCTACTGACAGTACTCGCAACAGTTGAGTCAAAAAGTCTCCTCTGAAGGGACCTGAGCAGTTCATCACCTTATCCTATCATAATGGTCTTTAGAACATATAAGCCTATAAATGCATGCATTTTTGTCTACTTTGTTCATTAGACATCCCTAGAACCTAGAATATTGCCTAACATATATTATAGTAAGCACTCAATTATTACTTCTTCAATGAAAGGACAGATCGATGCAGGGATGGATGGATGCACTGATTAATTATAACAATAGATAAGGGTAAAACAAGGTCATTAATAGGGAGACTGTAGTCATAATTCAGTGGTGAATTTTTCCAAGACAAAAGGCTGTATTTTATTCTTCTTTGTACCCAGGCTTTAAAAGTCCAAGATTGATAACTGAGTGAAAGGGTAAAGTCAAGTATCAAAATCCAGGATCAGTTAGTTGGAGGATAAACTAGGCACAGCAAGAGCTAGGGAAGAAGACACTAAACATCTGTAATCAGAAACGCAAAAAGAAATGGAAGACGTAAGACAGAAAATTGAGCTAATGAGACTTGATTCCTGCAGATACAGCCTGGCTACTTTGGACTACTTTGGAAGACCTGGGTGCCTATCTTTTTGCTGCCACTAGAGGAAGTTTTAAAGCTGGGGGTCTCAACACCAGCCGCACATTGGAACCTACTAGGGAGTTTTTAAAAACACTAATGCCAAACTCCTCAGCCAAATCAGTTGAGTTGGAATCTCTAGGAGAAGAGTTTGAGTATCAGTATTTTTAGCACTCCCCAGATGATGCTAATATCCAAGATTGAGAACCACTGTCTTAAAGGCATACTGATGCCTGAAAAGTGGGGAGGTCTACAAAGTAAAAATAAATTCACCACTCCTGATGTTGTATACCATAGTATTTAATAGGACTATTACTGACTCATAATTTCATTTAAATGAGGTATTCTGATATTAAATCTCTTTTTATTTTTATAAAAATTACTTAGAGGCCACTTACAAATACATGATTGCAGCCCAAATAACTTGTCTGACTAGTTAAGTAAGTCTTGCTCAAAAGCTTTACCATCCAATGCTAAGGAATATATACAGACCAAATGAAGAAATACATATTAATATATGTATGTATTTGATATGAATATCCATAATATTGTTATATAATATTTAGAACATATTATATAAACATATATTACATTAATAGATACATTGATAGATTTTTTTTCCTTCTACCAGAAATCTATTTGACTATTTGACCCATAAGCATACTTGAGTTGACATGTAAACCATGGATTTTAGTCCCTGGCACAGATGTAGCAAATTAACAGATACTTAGCTCACAAAAGCCAGGAATAATATACGGCTATTAGGTTTTAAAAGATATAACAAGTATTTAGCAGTGCAATGCCAATGTATTTTAAAAGCACCATTTCCATAAACAGAAAACTTTCAAAACTCTTAATATTAGCCCATCAAATGCTAGTTCTACAGAATACAATGACCCTTTTCCTGGCCAAAATGAATACACAAAGATAGTGAGTAAATAGCATAAACCAGAGATTACAATTCTTGGATTAGTGTGTAGAAACTAGTTCCAGGATATGAGTTGCTACATCAGAGCATTTGTTTGAAAACATGTGTTCCTAGTATAATGAGGGAGTGGTCCAGATCAGAGCCCCTTGGCAGAGAGTCACTCGGGCTCAGGCAGTACCGCCCTAATTATTGTAATGTGTGCTCCAGTTCCTTTTCAGATAAGCAGTGAAAAGGAGGAAGAACATTGAGAAGAAAGCTAGTGGAACCCTTTATAATTATATTTTTATGAGGGGGTTGCACCGTGACAAAGTAACTTTTCTTTAAATGGACCTGTAGTACCACTCCAGATTTTTATAACAGGCAAACAGGGTTTTACTTTTGAAGAGAACTGCTACTTAAGGTGCTTATAGTTGTGTGTGTAAATATATGGTGTGTGTGTACATGTATTTCTGTAAAAATAAATAGTTACCCACAAGATGTTGAAACTGAAGGCTTTAACTTTAAATACTTGCCCTGGAAACACTTCTTGGGACCCATTAGGCCCTGGGCTGAGCCTTGACATGGTCACTCCCTTTGAGGAATGACTGAGGAAGGCAGATATACATGAAACTACAGAATGATCCTTGCAATGGCAGAGGGATGTTCAAGACTCTATGTTAGCACAAAGGGGAAACACTTATCCTAATGCAATATTGGGAAGGCTTTCTGGAGTGGGGGATGCCTCAACTGAGTCTTGAAAAAATGACAGCGAGGATGAGGACTGAAGGTTTGCGGTAGTAAGTCATAAACAGAAGAAAAGAGCATAATGAACTGACAACAGAATTGTGTGAGCAGGGAACTATAAAACTATTCAGCGAATCTGGAATATGACATGCTGAAAAGGTGACTGGTGATGAGGCTGGAAGGAAAGGCAGTGACTAGAGTATAAGGACCATATGCGCCTTGTTTTGAAGACAGCTCTGTCATTTGCAACCAGTCACATCTGATCTTAAGATTGTTTGATCTAGCTGTACTATAAAAGATTTAAGTGGGTCAACAATGGAAGCCGATTGTTGACTTAGAAGGTTAATGCAAACAAGCAAGGAAGAAGGTGTCAACTAGAGAAACAGCAGCAGGGAAGGAGAGGAGGGATGCAGTTTGTGATTACTTAGGTGATAACACAGAATTTGATGATTGATTGGCCATGGGAGAAGGGGTAAAAGAATTGAGACTGACTCCCAGCTTTCAGGCACATGTGACTGGGAACATGTTGGTATTTCTGAGTCAGGGAATGATGAGGTTTGAGTAGGAACATTCAGTAAATGAAAACTGTAAGTTCAGATACTTAAGTTGTTTGGTTTGAGATATCTCTCAGATGGTCAGATAAAAATATCCAGCAGGTACTTAGATACTTAGCTCACAATAGCCAGGAATAATATACAGCTATCAGTTTGGATACATGAATTGAAGGCTAGAAGAGATTTTAGGACAGGAATGAAAGAAAAAAGCTATTTTGGGAGGCCGAAAAATATGAATGGTAGTGAAAAAGAAAACATTATAAGACACAAGGTTGCCAAAAGAGAAAGCATTTAGAATGAGAATAATGGACTGATACCATCTGGCGCACCTCAGTACCACTGAGACCACTGAGGTACATACAGAGGAAATGGTGCCCTTGAGGGGAAAAGGAGGGAAGGATTGGAAAGGAAGCAAGAGAGCCAGTAGAAATTGATGTCTTTTACAAGGAGGGTATAGTCCACAGTAGCAAAAGTTTCAGAGATGTCAGTAAGGAAGTTGAATCCATAGCCTTCCGCACTAGGAAGACTGGCCGCATAGCACATATCTTTAATTGTTGTGACTACTTATCCATGCTTGGCAAATCCCCCTGGTTTCTCGGGATCATTCAAGGTGGGGCAGGGGAGGAGGATGCAGTTTAGAGATAGCTAGTAAGGAATTAAAATGGCCAAAGTACAGGGCAAGTGGAGTGATCTAGGGTATCTGGAGATTCTAGTAGGGGAGCACAATTCCTCATATATACACTGCACAAAACAGTCCTCCCTTATTTGTGAGGGTTACCCAAAAAAAGATAGGGATGGAGCAGTCAGAGAACAGACTAGTTGTTCTCTAGTGAGAACAGCTCACTAGTCTCTAGACTAGTGAACACATTACCTAGCTGTAACCTATCTCAGCTTGGGCTGTCATAACAACATATCATAGGATGCATGCCAAAACAGTAGAAATTTATTTTCTCATGGTTCTGGAAGCTGTAAGTGCAAGATCAGGGTGCCAGCATGGTTGGGTTCTGGTAAGAGCCCTTCTTCTGGATCACAGACAGTTCTTTCTCACTGCCTTCACAAATCAGAGAGAGATCTCTCTATTGTCTCCCTTTCCCTTCTTATAAGGCCGCAGTGTTATCAGATTAGGACTCCACCCTTATGACCTCCCTTAATCTTATTAACTTTTTATAGGCCCTGTCTCCAAATACAGTTACATTGGAGGTTTGAGTTCAACATACAACCATTAGGAAAACACAATTCAGTCCATAGCATAGCCATTTGGATCCTTGAGTTCAACATACAACCATTAGGAAAACACAATTCAGTCCATAGCATAGCCATTTAGATCCTTGATAGAAAGGGAACAGATGCCCCAGCCAAATCAGCCTAGTGACCTATTATTTGAGTAAGAGAAAGCACATGAGGTCAGAAACATGAAAGACTCCTGTAGTTCCTCTTCACTTGCGTCTGCTCCATTCAGTCTGTTTTCTGCTCTTTCTGCTTTGCCAAGAAATAATACTCTGAAATCAATAAAGAAGGTATATATATAGAGAGAGACATAGTATCACTCTGTCACCAGGCTGCAATGAAGTGGGGTGATCTCAGCTCACTGTAACCTCCACCTCCTGGGTTCAAGTGATTCCCTTGCCTCAGCCTCCCAAGTAGCTGGGACTACAGGCACGCACCACCACCCCTGGCTGATTTTTTGTATTTTAGTAGAGGCAGGGTTTCACCATGTTGGTCAGGATGATCTCCATCTCCTGAGCTTGTGATCTGCCCACCTTGGCCTCCCAAAGTGCTGGGATTACAGGCGTGAGCCACCGCACCTGGCCAGAAGGTATCCTTTTAAATTGTATTATTTTCCCAACAAAGAAAGGGTATATATCTTCTCCTTCCTTCAAACAAAAGAGAGATTCATTTTCCTGTTGGAGATGTCACACTTTTTTTCTTGATAACAGCCTGGACCTTGAGCCCTCTTCCCATTGAGTAAGTCTAATTGTAAGATATGGGTTGTATAAAAGAAAGATTCCTAGAATCAGGAAACCCAGATTCTAGGCTCAGTTCTAATGTAAATTGTCTGCAACACCTCGGCCAAGATATTTAAATCTTGGAGCTTTTTTCCTCAACTTCAAAGTGATTGGGTTGAATTCAGTGATCTTAAACTTTATTCCATTCCTAACATTATATAATTTTAACAACACGAAAAGCTTCTAAAGTTCAAAACACTCAGTTTTCATAGCTCCAACTTTGGATTTCCTATCAGAGTTTTATGTACCATTTGTGATTTTCCCACGAGAAGAAATAGAAACATATTGTGATGTTATGGTTCTTAGTGCATTCTCTAAATGGAACAAAAACACAGTTTCCCTTGTAATTTTGAATTAGCGGAGAAAGTTGCAGTGCAGTAACTGTAAACCCAAGCAAAACCACTAGAGGGCAGGACAGCAACACAGATTCTTTGGTTCCTTGGGATTTGAGCACCTGTAGACAAGAATCTCTGGAACCTCTGAGCACAAGCAGTATTATGGGGTGTTACCGCAAACGCAGACTACATAACTTTACAAAAATCAATGCAACCGATAATTATTTAAAGCCAGTGTAATAAATGCTATAAACATTTTGACAGTCTAGAAACAAGGTAAATACATGAATGTAAACTCAAATAACTAATTGACTTTCTCTTTTCATCCAGATGTCTGATTGTAAAACACAAGACAGCTATATTCTGTTTCCTTTGAAGGAATATCTCCTCATGGAGAGGCCCTGAGCGGGGTGACTGTGTTCTCCACCTGTGAGAGCTTCCTTGCCCCTCGGGCCTACATGCCTGCCTTTTGATTGATCCCACGGGGCAGATGAACACATAGGCTGACCAGTCACCTATGAGGCAGCTTGAAGAGTTCTCTACAAACACGGCCAAGGATGACAGCTACACCGATAAGATTATCTCATTATTAAAGTTAAATTTAGAAGTATGGAGAGAATTAGTCATTTAATTGCAGGAAGAAATACGTAAAAAGAAGAGAAAGAGTGATGATCTCTTATTCCTTCTGAAGGACCAACAGAAAGGCCCATCTTTAGATCCGGGTTGAATCTTGAATCTCCCATTTCCAAACTACAGTTTCTATTCTTCCCTAGAGGCTGTTCTTAGCTTCCTTTGAGACTTTTCTCTCCTTCTCTTCCGCCATCCCTCCCTCTCCTTCCCTCTTCCTTCCTCCTCTCCCTCTTCCTCCTCATCTCCCGCTCCTCCCTCTACCCCTCCTCTACCTGTTTTTGCACATAGATCTTTGCAATTGCCTGAGTTAGGTCAATCAAGTTCTTCTCTATTCCCCATGAAAAGGAACTTAAAAAGCATACCATAGTTAATAATAATGTATCATATAATCAAAATTTGCTGAGAGGGATCTCAAGTAATTTCACCACAAAAAAAAGATAAGTATGTGAAGTGATAGATATGTTAAATTAGCTTGACTGTAGTAATCACTTCACAAAGCATGTGTCTATTGAAACATCACAGTGAATACCTTAAATATATACAATTTTTATTTGTCAGTCATACCACAATAGATCTGGGAGAACAAAACACACCTATGCTAATTGCTATGCCATTGCTAACCAATTTTCTCTTTTTAATTTATTTTTAATCAACAAGTAAGAATTGTATATATTTATGGTATACAATATGTTTTGATATATGTATACACTGTGAAGTGGCTAAATCAAGTTACTTAATACATGTGTTGCCTCACATTCTTAACATTTTTTTGTGATGAAAATAATTAAAATCTACTCTCTTGGCAATTTTCAAGTATGCAATATATTGTTTTTATTGTAATCATTATGATGTGCACAGATCTCTTGCTTGAACTTATTGCTAACCAGTATTTTTGCACATGGTACTTAATGCATTATTATATTGCAGTTGTGTGAGCATATCCTTGAACTGCCATGGAGTCAAATTATAATTTTATTACATGCCTACTAAGAAAAACTACAATTAAAAGCACACCTTTTAAAATTCTAAATAGACTTTTTTTTTTTTTTTTTTTTTTGAGACAGAGTCTGTCTCTGTTACCCAGGCGGGAGTGCAGTTGCGTGATCTTGGCTCACTGCAACCTCTGTCTCTCAGGTTCAAGTGATTCTTGTGCCTCCGCCTCCCAAGTAGCCGGGAGTACAGGCATGTGCCACCACACCTGGCTAATTTGTGTATTTTTAGTAGAGATGAGGTTTTGTCATGTTGCCCAGGCTGGTCTTGAACTCCTGGCCTCAAGTGATCCACCCACTTCAGCCTCCCAAAGTGCCCTCAGTTCACAGGAATGAGTTACTGCACAAGGCCAATTATTCTTATTTTTTATAAAAAGGAAATATAGTTTTATAAAAATACTTCAAGAGATGAAGTAGTTTGACATTTAAAATTCTGAACAGCAGGCTGGGTTAGGGTGTACAAAATTTCAAGCCCAGTCTAGTCACTGGGGCATATTTCTTCTGCTTCAGAAGTGTCATTTAGTATACAAAGACTGCAGCCCCAAGGAGTTTCTCACTTTTAGATTACTTCACACTCAAATTCAAGCAATGAATCAAAATTATCATGTAAATATTAGCACCAGTTTATGGCTCTAGCACCTTCTGTTCCAGGTAAGCGGATCTCAGCTGTGACTGTCTGCACTCACCTCTCTCTCCAGATGTCAGGGTGGCAGTTTATCCCTCAACCTTGGTTCGCTTATAGACCAAGAAAAGTCACTGGTTTTCAATTTGTTCAGCTTCTTCTTGTAGTAAAGGTGAGAGTGATGAGTTCTGAGCTCTTTACTGCTGAAACTAAAACTAGAATCTCAAAAATGATATACTGAGCACTTACTACATGCCTGGCACCATGCAAAATATTTTATAAGCTTCTATCCCTTTATTTTCTCAATAACACTGTGGCTCTCTGCTGCAATCCCCCATACTGTCACAATGCCTCTTATATTGCAGTCATCTTCAGACCCCTAGGTGATTCCTCCTCAGTATGTGAAGATTTTAGTTCCTTATTCACTTGTTACTCCTCTCATAACTTTTAGAAATTTCAAAATCATGTAGATGACTCTTCCAATACCCCAGCCTCTTAATTCATTGACCACCTTCCTCTCCTCAGTAAATCATGTCCTTCATCCTGGCTCAACCCCCAATTCCATGGTCATACCAATGGCATTGGTCACTACAAATAACTGAATCCCTTCATAATCTCAATTTTAAACATATCACCTTCTGACTACCACCTCGTATATCTCCAGCTCAATTTCTCTAGTACTCCTATCCCACAGGTATTTCAATGGCAGTAGATATGCGACCATTCATTCTACTTTTCACCATCCCTTGCCGCCTTCATGATCCACCTTCCTTCACCTACTTGATCTCTTGGAGTATTTTTACAAAACTATATTTCCTTTTCTTAAAAAAATAAGAATAGTCTATTTACAATTTTTAAGCGTGTTTTTAATTGTAGTTTTTCTTAGCAGGCATGTAGCAAAGTTACAATTTGACTCCAAGACAGTTCAAGGATATGCTCACATAATTACAATACAGTAACACATTAAGTACCATGTGCAAAAAGAAAATCGGTTAGCACTAAGTTTAAGAGATCTATTGTACATTATAATGACCACAGTAAAAACAATATATTACATATTTGAAAATAGCCAAGACAGATTTTAATTATTTTCATCACAAAAAAATGTTAATGACCATGGTCCATCATTATTTTTCCCTTGCATACAACCTCAAACCCCTTTCTTCTTCTTTATATTCTCTTAGTATGACTCCCACTCTGGTGAAATCTAACTCTACTTACTCCTATCCCTGTACCTGTGAAAGTGAACATGGCTAAAAAATATTCAACCATCCTGACTGTTCTTAAGTTAAATATGTGTCCACTAACCCTTAGTGCTACCTAGAAGTCCAATTGGACTTCCTAGTGCACTCACTCCCCCATTCCCCTAAATCCCTTTTCAGATTTTTTCTCTCCTCAACCCTTCAACACCTTCACCACTCTTATAACTCTCAGCTGATGGCCACATTTCCCTTTTCTATTGCAGGGGGAAATAAAATAAGCCATCAGGAGAAAACTTCCATGCCCTCCCCTGACTACCTCTACCCACTTATCCTCCATCTCTGTCCATGTTCTCTGCCTTCATTCCTGCTGCACTTGATGAGTGGTTCCTTTATGTAACTAAGTTCAATCTTACCTCTTGTGCACTGGATCCTCTTCCTCTTACCTTCTCAAGCACACCTCTCCTGACTTCATTAATAGATTTTTCCTTCTCTAATAGATTATTCCCATCCAAAATATGCTATAAATTTTCCCATCTTAAAGAAGTATATGTCTAGTATTGAGCTCACTAGCTGCTAATCTATTTCTTTGAATCCGTTTTTTCAGTAAAACTTCTTCAAACTGTCTGTACCTATTGTCCAAAATTCCTTCCTACCCCACCTCCCCCCAAACACACACACACACACACACACACTCTTAAACCCACTTCATTGAAGCTTTTGCCTCATCTCCAAAACTGCTCTTGCCATGGTAACCAACCACAATGTTTGATCAAATAGTCAATTCTCAGTCTTCACCTCCCTTGACTTTCCAGCAGCACTTGACACAGTTGATCGCACCCTTCTCTCAACACTTTCTTCAGTTTCTGGGACATCGCCCTCCTTTACTTTTCCTAACCTGTTTTGCTGGTTCTTTTCATCTCTCCATTATCAAGAAGTAACTCAGAGACATTTAGATAGTTGTTTGGCAGTGTGTTTAGTTATTTTGCATGCAGAAGTTTTCACACCTGTCTGGTAGGCAGAGTCAAGAGGGGAAGGAAAGGTGGAAAAAAACTGCAGGTGGCCTGGAACAGAGATCTTTTGTACTGTTTATTTATTTGTTTGTGACGGAGTCTCACTCTGTCACCCAGGCTGGAGTGCAGTGGTGTACTCTCTGCTCATTGCAACCTCCACCTCCTGGATTCAAGAAATTCTCTTGCCTCAGCTTCCCAAGTAGCTGGGACTACAGGCACTTTCCACCAGGCCTGGTTAACTTTTGCATTTTTAGTAGAGACAAGGTTTCACCATGTTGTCCAGGCTGGTCTCAAACTCCTGACCTCAGGTGATCTGCCTACCCTGGCCCCCCAAAGTGTTGGCATTATAGGCATGAGCCACTGGGCCCGGCCTTTTTGTACATTTTTGAGTAAATTGATTAGTTGGCAGACAAAGAGATCAGCCTGAGCATTATGTTCTTGAATAAGCTGATTAGACTACCAAATTTAAAAATCTCAGTTTTTTATGGATTCTCCATGAAAGCTTAGGAGTTTAGCCATGGAATATATACCTGACAGGCTGTGTTAGGTCACGTCTGGCAGGATCCTTAACACCTCTACCTTAATTAGACCAGGTCTGTACTAGTTCCTCCATTTGAATTTCTCCCTAAACTTAAACTTTGTGGCCTCATACAGATCAATAGTTAGACATGTTATCTTTTTTATCTGGTTACTTGTGGCTTCCTCCAGCTCACCTCTTTAAATACCATCTAGATATTGACAACTCCAGACTCCTGGGTGTCTAACCACCTACTTGACACCTCTACTTGGATACTTAATAAGTCTCTCAAAGCAACACATATCTTAAACTGGCATCTTACCTTCTGCCATCCCCCAAATTATGTCTCACATAATCTTATATATTACAATAAATAGCAACTCCATCCTTCGAAGGTCCAAAACCCTAAAGTCATACTTGACTCCTTTCTTCCCCTAATACCCTATATCTAATCGTTCAGCAAATCTTGTTGGTTCTGCCTTCAAAATATGTCTAAAACTTGGTATCTTTACCTTGTTCCATATAGCCATCAGCTCTCTTACATCAGTGTGAAGCCTCCTCAGAGCCCTCTCTGCTTCTTTCCTTGTGCTTCTCCACCAGGATATCTTCAACTCAAGATTGTATTTTAAAGTAAGACCAGGCCACTTCCAAACTCAAAGCCCTAAATACCTTCCTATCTTATCCAGGGTCAATTTCAAAGTCCCTATGATAACCCCCAAGGTCCTACACAATCTGAACACACACACACACACACACACACACACACCCCTCCCACTCTCCTTTTCTTCTCTCTCCTACAGCCTCCACTCCAGCTATACAGCCTTCTTGCTAATTCTCCAACTCACCAATCAGGGTCTGCCTAATAATTTCACATTTTCTGCTTCCCCTCCCTAGAAATCTCTTTCCATTGATATTCATGTGGCTTGTACCTTCACATCTTTCAGATTTCTGTTCAATGTTCACCTTATCAAAAACCCTAATACCTTTCTAAAATAAAAACACACTCTACTCAGGACTCTCTTCCTTTCTTTTCTGCTTTACTTTTTCCAAAGCAATTACATCTTCATCTCACTATATACTTTTGATTTTTTTTATGACCAATATGTACTCATTAAAATATAAACTCCATAAGAGTGACTTTTGTCTGCTTTACTTACTACTTTATTTTAAATGCCTAGAACTGTGCCTGGACACAGTGGGGATTCAATATATATTAATTGAAAAAATACTAACTTTCACTGATGAAAAAAACAAATTTTAGACATGGAAAATAATAAGTAGCTCATCCACTAGGAGTACAGAACTGCTAGAAATTGCAGAGCTTCTAATTAAACACAGATCTTCCTCACAACATGTTTGGGAATCAATTCCCCATGGGTCTCTCACGTTTCTGCACATCTTATGAGTCAAGGCATTGATTGCCATTTGTTTTAGACCATGTTTTCAAGAATTTTTGTATACTGACCAGTCCTAGAAATTAAGAGATAGTATCTGCCTCCCAAACAAAGGTGTGCTTGTTGCCCATTATAAAAAAAATTGGGTTCTCTAGGTTCAGAGTTCCTCTCCTAAAATGAAGCCTATTACACATTAGTTTGGAGCAAAAGTCATTGAGATTTTTGCATTGGCATTTGCCATTTGATATTGGAATACATTCTTAAATAAATGTGGTTATGTTATACATCACTTTAGTGGGCATTTCTCACTTTATGTTTTTTTGCTAATGATTTCTTACTTGCTGTTTATGTTTATTGCAGACCATGTAAATGATGTTAGACAAAAAGTAAATTTGAGCAATTTTCTTATTTGAGTTCAAATTGGGTCGTAAAGCAATGGAAACAACTCACCACATCAACAACACATTCGGCCCAGAAACTGCTAACAAAGGTACAGTGCAGTGGTGGTTCAAGAAGTTTTGCAAAGGAGAAGAGAGTTTTGAAGTTGAGGAGCGCAGTGGCCAGCCATCAGAAGTTGACAATGACCAACTGAGAGAATCATCGAAGTTGAACCCCCTTACATCTACAAGAGAAGTTGCCAAAGATCTCAACGTCACCCATTCTTCTATGGTCGTTCAGCATTTGAAGCAAATTGGAAAGGTGAAAAAGCTCAATAAGTGGGTGTCTCATGAGCTGAGCGAAACATTTTTAAAATCGTTTTGAAGCGTCATCTTCTCTTATTCTATGCAACAACAACCAACCATTTCTAAATCAGCATGCAATGAAAAGTGGATTTTATATGACAACTGGCAACAACCAGCTAAGTGGTTGGACTGAGAAAAAGCTCCAAAGCATTTCCCAAAGCCAAACTTGCACCAAAAAAAGGTCATGGTCACTGGTGGTCTGCTGCCAGTCTGATCCTCTACAGCTTTCTGAATCCAGGCGAAACCATTGCATCTGAGAGGTATGCTCAGCAAATCAGTGAGATGCACTGAAAACTGCAATGCCTGCAGCCAGCATTGGTCAAGAGAAAGGGCCCAATTCTTCTCCATAACAACGCCCAACTACATGTCTCACAACCAGCTCTTCAAAAGTTGAAGAAATTGGGCTACGAAGTTTTGCCTCATCCACCATATTCACCTGACCTCTCATCAACCAACTACCACTTCTTCAAGCGTCTCAACAACTTTTTGCAGGGAAAACACTTCCACAACCAGGAGAATGCAGAAAATGCTTTCCAGGAGATTGTCAAATCCCAAAGCACAGATTTTTATGCTACAGGAATAAGCAAACTTATTTCTCATTGGCAAAAATGTGTTGATTGTAATGGCTCCTATTTTTATTAATAAAGATGTGTTTGAAAGTAAGTAAAATCTCAGAGAATTCATAGTTCTTGACAAACACTACACTACTATTCCCAGGTGTACTAAGTGAATACTAGCCATTTCTATCCCTGATTCTTATAAACCTTAAACTTATACAAGATATTCCATTTGGTTGACCCTTATTTTGTTCTCTGTATAACTTATATAGTTGACTGTTGAGGACAGGTTTAATCCTTTATTTGTGTTAATATTTAATCCAAAATGCCAGGTAAATCCTTTGAAATCAAAGTTTTCAATAATCTGATAACCCAGAGGTCGATGGATCAAAACCATCCTCTGCTATCAAAAAAAAAAAAAAAAAGTCAAGTCATCAAAGAATACAAGTTTTAAATTTTCAAGTTTTTTTTATTAATAAGAGCTAAGTAATGTGTACACACAGACATAGAGAGTGGAATAATAGACACTGGAGGCTCAGAAAGGTGGGAGGATAGGAGGTGGCGGTGAAGGATGAAATATTACCTATTGGGTACAATGTACACTATTTGCGTGATAGTTACAATAAAAATGAGACTTTACCACTACACAATATATCCATGCAACATGTATCCTTTGAATTTACAAGAATAAAAACTAAAAATAAATTTTAAAAAATTCTCAAGTATTTTTAAAGCCTATACTCATTTGTGCATGATTAAGAAACATTTAAGCAGAGAATTACAGATATGGCATGAACATCAAAGTTTTTCATATTGTTTTCTTGAAAAATCACTTGTTAATAGCTAATTGGAAACAAACTCAAAGATAATTCACATTGTTTTTCCTTAGGTATGCTTCAAATGATGTTTTGTTTGTTTATTTGTTTGTTTTGAGACCAAGTCTCGCTCTGTTACCCAGGCTGGAGTGCAATGGCACAATCTCAGCTGTCTGCAACCTCTGCTTCCCGGATTCAAGCCATTCTCCTGCCTCAGCCTCCCTAGTAGCTGGGATTACAGGTGCACACCACTGTGCCCAGATAATTTTTGTATTTTTAGTAGAGACAGGGTTTCAGCATGTTGGCCAGGCTGGTCTCAAACTTCTGAACTCGTGATCCACCCTCCTCAGCCTCCCAAAGTGCTGGGATTACAGTGATGTCATAATTTTAAGATAAATGTTGCCTCTTTGAAGGAGTAGCTCTTTCTTAAGTGTTCAATCTAAAATAGCAGAAAATACTCAGCTTACAGGTCAATAGTACATTGTTAGTACACTACAGTTAATAAGTATTTACTTAAGCATTCGGTGACTTTAATAATTATTACTATGATGTAGCCTGAAGTAAAAATGTTAGAAAACACTTTCTAAAACTATATAAGGAGCTACACAGATGGGGAGAGGGTTCAGGGCAGCCTGACTAACGCTTGGTCAAGCAAAGATTCTTGGTCAGTGTGTTCTGGTATTTTATTAAATACATCATTTTATGGGATATTATAAAGGCTGGTAGTATTATCTTATAAAAATAATGGTTTGTGCTCTTGGGTTGGAGGTAATCCTCACAGAAACACAGATGTAGGAAATAAAAGTATGGCACAGAGATCAACATTAATTTAATGTAGTGAGATAGTAATTCAAAGCATTTCTTTATGGTCTTCCCCACCCCTGAGTCCATTATCCTTCAATCTCTGAGGGTTTTCTCCTTTAACTCAACCAGCCTTCAATGCCCACTTCTTGAGTTCTAAGCATAACATGGCACAGGGACTCAGATAGAAACTTGCAGAGCAAGCCTTTCCTTCCCTTAGACTAAATAAAACATACCACAACTATCTAGAAAGGAGCAGAGTAAGGACAAGAGGTCTCCAGCCACCACAGGCACAAGCACCAAATCAGTGTCCAGTTGCCCTTCTTTCTATGGTCCAGTGAGCAGCCTGTGTGTTGCCTTGAATCGTCAGCAGGAATGACAGTCATCTCTGCCTCAACACGTTGCCTAACATCCCCCTCTGACCCTCTCATGGAGGCAATCTCTCCATTCACCGACCCGAATATGAGGTGGAGTAGGGTCCTGGATACCTGGCTGGGAGTAGTACCCACCCTGCACACATCTGATCATGGTGAAACTAGACAGAACCAGATGTTCTACCTCATCTGAACAGCCACGGACCCCCAAGTATATTACATTAATATAATCACTTGGACACTCTACACGAATATCTAACTGATGGGGTTCAAAACATACTACCCAAATCATTGAAACTTGGCACATTGATAACCTGAAGGTATTTGAAAAATAGCACGTGCAGGAAGGTCTCTCTGACCTCCTCCTCACCATCTATCTTAAAGCGGGTCAGTAAACCTAGGAAGGATTTTCTTATCTTGCCCCAAAGCAGATCAAGAGACCCTCATATGAAAGATGCCTTCCTATATACACAGTACTTTTATCTCTGAAGATGAAGGGTCACAAAGAATATGAACAAACAGATCTTGCCAAGTTTCTCCTAGTTTATTACCATTAGATCATACCCTTTTTGCGCTATCCTGTTTCTCCATGACTCTTCATTCTTCATCAAGCCCAGCATAATAATACTCAGGTTCACCTGTTTCTCAGGGTCTTTATTCTACATGAAGCCTCCTATGTTGCATAAAATTTATCAAATAAATTTGCATGCTTTTCTCTTGTTAGTCTGTCTTTTGTTATAGGAGCCTTGGTCATGAACCTAAGATGAGGAAAAGATTTTTTTTCTCCCTTAAATAATATTATGTATATTATATAATATTATATTACATTATATATTATAATATATATATTATATATTATATATATTATATATTATATATTATATATTATATATATTATATATTATATATATTATAATATATTATATATTATATATATTATATATATTATATATTATATATTATATAATATATCTGATATATATTATATATTATATAATATATCTGATATATTATATAATATATATTATATATTATATCTGTAATATATTATATATTATATATTATATATAAATATATAATACATATATAATATATAATATATTATCTATAATATATATCTATAATATATATAATATATTATCTATTATATATAATAATCTATTATATATAATATATAATATAATATATTATATATTAAATATATTATATATAATAGATAATATAAATATATATAATATATAATATATGTAACATTATATATACATATTATATATTATATATAATATTATAAATATTATATATTATATATATTTATATAATATATAATATATATTATACATATTATATATTATATATTATATGTTATACATATTATATATAATATATAATATATTATATATAATACAATATATAATATATAAATATAATATATATATTTACATAATATATATTATATAATATATATAATATATATTATATATTATATAATATATATAATATATATTATATATTATATAATATATGTATATACATACATATATTATGTATATGTATATACATAATATATTATGTATATGTATGTATACAAGTATTAATATTAATACATAATATTAATTATGATAACTGATTAAGAATTTTAACATAAAACAAAACTGGGAAACACATGGTTCTAATTTAATATCATATTTGATTAGATATGTTGTCTTTAATTATCAAAGTTCTTTATACATTTTAATTAAGTGCACATATACAAAATTGAAAAGATAATTAAGTTTTAAAAACCTTTTGAACATACTGAAAGTAATCAATGGAGGTTATTTTGAATAACTGAATTATTCAGTTAGCTAAAATTTACTATATTAAAAATGCAATCTGTAATTCACATATATTAATTCAAATAACCTGGAAAATTATAAAAATGTATTGAGTTAGAAGCAAAAGGATAATAATGATTCCCCACTTCGGAAAGTAGCTGCAACATGGGCTGTAGCATACCCATTGTTTCTGTCTTACCTAAAATTATCTTCTTTCCAATTTCATTAGACTCTCGAATCTTGCCAGAGGGACAAAAACTAATCTACTTGTAATTCAGTGATAGTGTATCACACTAATGTGAGATAGCATGACAAATCAAAATAACAGTCATGTTTTTCTCTCTGATTGACAATTTTACAATCTTACCTGTTGATTAGTTGAAACAACTTTTGGAATTCTTCAAAACATTAATTTTTAGCAAAGTGACCATTTTGATTAGGTTAGGAAGGAAATTGTAGAAACCTTTAATAAAATAACTTAATTCAATAAACAGCTCATCTGTTCAGTTAAAAACACATATTCATTTCTATCTTGACTAGATTAGGAACAATGGTGGGCAACACAGGACTGATTTAGTTTTACATAACACTAGACATTCACACCTGAATCTGCCTTTAAAAGTTACTTCCACTGGATAGCTGGACTCAATGAAAGGGAAATCTTAACAGAAAAGGGGGAATTCTTACATACCAATTATATATTTAGGAAATGACTTATAGAGACGCATATATCTTCAGAATGGACTTTTTCCCTTTTTATGTAAACCAGTATGATCAAGTTAACATTCTAATTTGTAGTAGATGATGTAAAACTTTATTACTTTGATTTGGTCCTTTTGTGCAACTATTAATATTATATATTGTCAAATGCTCTAAAACTCTAATTATTTTTTAAATTCAACAACTTGGTTTTAGATGAGCTTTAGATTTCATGAATTTGTTTTTATGTGTGAGTAGAAATAAATAATTATCTCATTAAATAAAATATTTAAAATGTTAAAAAATTAAAAATGTTAAAAAATACTTCATGAAATAAAGATAAATTACTAAATAAAATATGAAAATATCAAAATTAGAAATAAAATATTATTCATTTAAACAAAAGTAAATAAAAATGTAAACCTCGTACCACATGATCTATAGTGAATTTTGACAGCAGAATAAAAGTGTTTGGCCTGGGGAATGGAAGACACCAAGGTGATGGATTCAGAAACAAACAGGTGGCCATTTTTCCAGATGCCTACATGTGGTGTAGGGGAACATGAAGCAAAAGGAGAAATATCAGGTATCAGGTTAGAGACCAGAAGCCCCAGGTAGAGGAGCCCAAGGCAAGACAGTAGTCTGGAGCCAAGGAGGCACTTAGAAAACTGCTCAGAACCATACCCAGTTTGGAATCGTGGCTGAGATTTGAACTCAACAAATCAAGTAGGCCTGAGGTCAAATCCTGGCTCCATCAGTTAGATACTCCTGGGCAACTCATTGTCCTGCCTAAGCTTAGGTTTCTTCAAAATGTAGATGGAAATTATCACAGTACCTACCTGCTAGGGTTGCTATGAAGAATAATGAGACAACCATCCATAGAATGCCTGGCTAGGAAACCATCTCACAATGGGACTAACCCAGCACCTGCAGCTGAGAAAAGTCACTCTGAGAAATGGTTAAGTTTGGAATCAGGCTAACATAATAGCCTGATTAGAAGTAGCTATTTCGTGGATATAAGACAGATTACAAACGCATAAATATGGGGTCAGGCTGCCCATCATACATTTGGGAGTTGGGTCATTTTAAATGTTTGTTTTAAGGGGCTCACAATTTACCCTTAAAAATTCTTGAACTATTTCTCAGATCCTTAATTATGTGAGTCAAAATAAATTAATAGTTATATAAACCAAGTATGTAAACTTGTCTTTTCACAGTGACAGCTGCAAATACTTTTAAGGTCAACTATTTTTAAAATATGAGTTCTTTCCCATTAAAAACTCTTAAATATATTTTAATAGTCTGTCCTATCTCAAATTTGATAATACAATATGCATACTGAACTTTAGGTACAACGCAGAACAGCTTTCCCACTACCAAAGCCAGAGTATAATTGTCTCTTCAATTGCCATTGGTTGTAAGACATACTTCCCCATCACACTAGTGGTATGGCATAAAACAGTACTTCACCTATACTAAACAACTGAAAGGTGTTACAATTCATCAACTATTCACTGATTATATATCTGTCTTCTATTATACAAGGAAAAAAATAAAGCAGAGACCCTGCCTGTCACATTTTCCACAAAATCCTCAAAGTCCAGGAAAGACCTGAATAAATAACAAGTTATAATGAAGCATTAATATGAGTCACAGAAACAAAACTTCTTTCTAATTTGATGAAAGCTATACATTCACAAACATATCCAAAACAAAAAGGAGTTACTTTGTAAGTACTGAACTTTACTATTACAGCATGTTTTCCCACCCACTATCTTAAAATATATAACAGAAAAACATGCCTCGAAATAGCAGACAGGGAGAAAAATACTAACTGGCAAACTCTGCTAATCAAGCTCACAGACGGTCATTTTGGGGGTGCAGCTCCTAACACCATGACCACTTAACCAGCTGAATCTAAATACTCCAGTAGCAGCAAGGCTCCTGCGTCATCTGGACAATTCCAAAGGAAGAGTCGTATAGTTCAGAGCCTTCAGAGCCCAGGTTTAGGGTAAGAACAAGCCTGGATTCAAATCCCAACTTGGCACACGGGTTGTGTGACCACAGGGCAAGCAATGTATGGCTTTCTCATTTCAGTTTTGTCATCTTTAAAATGAAAAAAGCAGTATCTATTTACAAATTGCTTTAAACGGTGTAAGGCATATAGTACAGGCTCAAAAATTACAGCTAGTATCACTATCATTATTACATGACATGTGTCTACTGCCATGTCAAACTTGTTTCTTTAACTTTGACTATCTTAAATATTTTGTGTGTACATATAATCACACACAGATGCACACACACTTAATAATTATGAGGGCTATCCTTTTATCACTGGTTCCCTGGTTCTTTGAGCTTTGCCCCAGTTGCATGGCTGTGGGGGAGGAAAGAGATGGATGGAGAAAGTCAGGGGTGAAGGAAGTCAGGGAAATGTATTTCACATTCAAAAGCCAAATCTGTATAACCACATTGGACCATTTCCTATCTTGATTTTTATGTTGCTGCCTGGATAATGTAGGGCAGCTGCATTTTCTCCCCTCTTTACAACAGTTTAGTTCAGGGGTGAGAGGAAATGAAAAAGATTGTTTGTCAGGAAATGTTACTGTTTTTCAGCTGAGAACATGCATGGAACAACAGCTGTTTGTGTAGCAATATGCCGAGATAGTCCCACAAACTCCGGTCACAGGTTTAAATAAGGCTGCCACGAACTTGGAAGGCATCAAACTGTCAGAGAAGGTTCAAAAAAGTCCCCTAGGACTTCCCATAGGTGTAGCATGTAGTCTCCAATTTCTGAACTAAGTTTAATAAAGGCTTCATATATCAGCATGTGATTCTTAGCATAGTCTAGACCACTGTAATTTCAGCATGGAAAAGATATGACAGACACATACAGAATGCAGTCATAACCACAAGGTTAATTTTCTCCAAGGATAGAACTTTTGAAGACTCTTACTAAGTTTTCTGTAGCTGATTTGACCATGAAGTATCATACCACAAACTAATTTCATAAAAACTAAAATTATCTGCTCTTCTAAAAGTTTTCTATTCAATATAACCTCTATTAGATCTTAAAATCAGTGGAAGTCTACAAGCACACTTGGTTTTCTATATTGTGAAACACACATTGATTTTCTTTGAATATAAATGTACATTAATCTCCAAATATACTGGGCATGTTTAAGAAAATATAATTCATTTATTTAAATATTAAATTTTTGAATTATTTGGAAATAATTTGAAAATTTGGAAATTATTAAGATAGATTTTTGGTATAAACCAAATTAACTGCTATATTAGGAGGGTAAAGCAAAAATAAAATAGTTGTAAATAAACACAGAGAGAATACATTTTTAAACACTAAAAACGCATTGGCTAGTATTAACTATGTTCTTTAATTATGTAAATCATCAATAAAAATATTCAGATAGCAATTACTCCTTTATTTTTATTTTTCTGCTAGCAAAACTGGACTACCAGGTAGAGAAACATTCCTTTACTCCTCTGATATAAAGCCAAATACAAATGTTTTAGTTATATTTTTATGGATTTAGGGTTGCAAGGGCAGTGTTACATGAACATATTGCACAGTCGTGAAGTCTGGGCTTTTAATGTACCCATCACATGGATAATAAACATTGTACCCAATAAGTAATATTTCATCCCTCGCCTCTCTCCCACCCACTCACAGTTTGGAGTCTCCTGTATTATCCAATCATCCATTGATGGACACTTAGCTTGATTCCATGGTTTTGCTATTGTGAATGGAGCTGTGATGAACATGTGAGTGCAGGTGACTTTTTGATGTCAAGGTTTATTTTTCTTTGGGTAGATACCCAGTAATGGGATTGCTGAATCAAAGAGTAGTTATATTTTTAGATCTTCGAGAAATCTCCATACTGTTTTCCATAGAGGCTGTACTAATTCACATTCCCACCAACAGTTTATAAGCATTCCCTTTTCTCCATGCCAACATCTGTTGTCATCTGACTTTTTAATAATAGCCATTCTGAATTGTGTAGGATGGTATCTCATTGTCATTTTAATTTGCATTTATTTGATGATTAGTCATGTGGAGCATTTTTTCATATGCTTGTTGACCATTTATATGTGTTCTTTTGAAAAATGTCTGCTCCTGTCCTTTGCCCACTTTTTAATGGAGTTATTTGGTTTTTTTCTTGTTGGATTGTTTGAGTTCTTTGTAGATTCTGAATATTAGTCCATTGTTGGATGCATAGTTTGTCAATATTTTCTTCCATTCTGCAGGTTGTCTATTTTTTTTTTCTGTGTAGAAGCTTTTCAGTTTAAGTTCCATTTGTCAATTTTTGTTTTTGTTGCATTTCTTTTTTAGGTCTTTGTCATAAATTCTTTCTTAGGCCAATGTCCAGAAGAGTTGTTCCTAGATTTTCTTCCAGCAATTTAATAGTTACAGGTCTTATATTTAAGTCATTAATCCATCTTGAGTTAATTTTTTATATGGTGAAAGATGGGGGTCCAGTTTCACGCTTCTGTATATGACAGTGCAGTTTTCCCAGCACCATTTATTGAAAAGGATGTCCTTTCCCCAGTGTATTTTTTTGTCAACTTTGCCAAAGATCAGTTGGTTGTATGTATGTGGCTTTATTTCTGCATTCTCTATTCTGTCCCATTTATCTATGTGTCTATTTTTATACCAGTACCCATGCTGTTTTGGTTACTAAAGCCTGTTAGTATAATTTGAAATCAGGTAACGTGATGCTTCCAGCCTTATTCTTTTTGTTTAGGACTGCTTTGGCTAATTGAACTCTTTTTTGGTTCCCAAAATGTGAACATAAATATGAACTATCTGTACGCATCTGCAGGTCTAACTCAGAACTAAGGTACATAAAATCGAAAGCAAAACAATGTTTTAAGAATAAAAATAAAAGCTAGGATTGAACACTGCAATAAATCAGAAGTACTGCTTCGTGTACATACTTAACTATTTACAGATAAAAACAGGCATTACCACAACACTAAATATACTCATTTATATATAAAAAACACAAGTTTCATACATCACAAAAAACCTTCCATTATAACACAGAAGTGATGTTACCAGACAAGCTTCAGTGAAGTATACTGCCTTTTCTAGTTGTTATTGTACAATGCTGTAGGTATTAATTTAGAATTAATTAATTCTATTAATTTTAGAATTCTTTTTTTCTAATTCTGTGAAGAATAACTTTGGTCATTTGATGAGAGTTGTGTTGAATATGTAGATTGCCTTGTGCAGTATAGTTATTTTGATGATACTGATTCTCCCAATCCATGGGCATGGGCTATCTTTCCATTTTTGTTTCAACTATGATTTCTTTAATCAGTGTTTTGTAGTTCTCCTTGTTTTAGAATGCAAATTCTTAGCTGGTAAGGACTATATTAGAGGATCACTAATGTGATATAGCCAGAAGAATATTCAGAAGTGCGTTCAAAAAATCATTTAGTTGTGGTTGAATCTAGCTGCAACTTGGGTAAAACATTTTTTTTTTTTGCTACATTAGTAATATTTTCTTTGAATAGATTACTATGGTATGGAATTTATGTCTCAAAGGATTGGGGTTTTTAATACATGTCACCAAATAGCCCCCCCGCCCCCGCCAAAAAGGGTTACATGTTTGCCCTTCCATTAGCAGAGTAGGGTCGGAGACTGTTTATTCTCTTGTCACCATTTTCAACACTAGGTTATATGTTTTTTTTTAACTCCATGTCAATTAACTAGATAGAGAGTGTCATCTTTCTACTCAGTTATAATTTGCTTTTGTGTGATTTGTTTAAAAAATAAAAACTTCTAAATGTTTCTTAACCATTTTTATTTCTCCTTTTACAAGCCGCCTATTAAATGTTCCTTGCCCATTATTCAATGGGTATGTTCTCATACCAACTACTTTGTAAAAACTCTTTAGGTGTTAAAAATTATAAGCAGATATGTCTGGACATATTACTCAATATTTTACCAACTTGTCATTTTTCATTTAGTTTTCCATGTTGTTTAATTTTAAATTTTCATTTCATTAAATCTATTAACCTTTTCTCTTTTTATCCTGCACTTATGCTTCAGAAGCTCTTTCCACTCTGAGATTAGAAAGTGCCATATTTTCTAATTTTTTGAAACAGTTCTATTGAGGTATAACTGACATACAATAAACTACACATGTTTAAAGAATGCAATTTGATAAGTTTTGATAAATATACATACTTGTGAAACAATCACCACATCAACATAATAAACATGTCTATCACCTGCAAAAGTTTCCTGTGTTCCTTTCAACCCTTCATTTCCAATTCTCTCTGTTCCCTCCCACCCTCCCCTTCCTAGGCATCTGCTAATATACTTCCTGTCATCATAGATTACTTTGCAGTGTTTGAGAAATTTATACAGATAAACTCATACAGCATGTACCCTTATCTGGATTCCTCTGATCAGCATAATTATTCTGAGATTTATCCATATTGTAATGTATATCAATAGTTTATTAATTGCTTATTTCTTAGTAGTTCATAGTATAAATATATCACAATCATTTTATTCATTCACTTGATGTACATTGGGGTTGTTCTAGTTTTGGGCTATTACAAATAAAGCTGCTATGAACATTCACGTGTTAAGTCTTTGTATGGATGTATGCTTTCTCTTCTCTTGGGAAATACCTAGTAATTGAATGGCTGGATCATGTAGGTTAAGTTTCTTAAGAAACTATCAACCTATATTCCAAAGTATCATTTTACTTTCCGAACAGTAGCATATGAGAGTTTCGGTTCCTCCATACCCTTGCCATCACTTGGTGTGGTGAATCTTTCATGCAGCCATTGTAATAGATGAGTGGTGGTATCTACTGCTGCTTTAATTTACATTTCCTTAATAGTTAATGGTGTTGAGGATCTCTTCATGGGATTATTTTCCTGTTGTACGTCGTCTTTGATCCAATCTGTGTTTAAATATTTTGCCCATTTCTGATTCTGTTGTTTTGAGGGTTCTATATATGTTCTGGTTACAAGTCCTTTATCAGATAGATACAGTGTATGCTTTGCATATGACAGTATGGAGTTTCAGTAAAGAGTCATCAGGTAGCTAAGAGCTATAGAAAGAGGGAATAGATAAAAAGTCACTTATTCAGAGAAACCTTCCATGACTACTCAACAGAATTTGGGTCCTTTCTGTTATTTGTAAAATTCATCACAATTTCTAATTATGTATATACTTGTCCATCTGCCCTCCAGAAACATGGTGTCAAAGTAGGACCCCCAAGATTAGTAGCACCAGCATGAACTGGGAACGTAGAAACCCAAGTTCTTAGGCTGCCCAATCCCAGACCTGCTGAATTTGAAACTCATTAGTACAATAATGATACTACCTACCTTAGAGCACGTCTGTGGAGATTAAATGACATATGTAAAGCACTTTTGCACACTTTAGCTTAGTATACAAGGAAAACACAACAATTTTGAGTTATAATTGGCATTATTACTTCTGGCCCTGGTTTGGTGGCATGAAGAAGCGGTAAAAATAAATATAATCATAAGTTAATTGTAAACTACAATGAGATTAGTTTGTTTCCCATAGAAAGATGGCTGCATGGCCAGCAAGAGGCTTGTCACAAAGCATTAGCTTATAATTCAGTAAATTATAGGATCTGTTCCTTGGTTTTGGTTGGCTCAGAGTCTTGACTTGTCCTGTGGTTTGAATATTCCCTCCAAAATTCATATTGAAATGTAATTGCCAGTATAACACTATTGGAAGGTAGGGCCTTTAATGAGTGATTAGGTCATGAGGGCTCTGCCATCATAAGTGGATGAAGCATCATTGTGAAAATGGGTTAGTTATCACGGGAGAGGGCTCCTGATTAAAGAATGAGTTCAAACCAATTTCCTCTTTTTGTCTTGAGTGCATGTTTGCCCTTCTACCATCAAATATAGCAGCACAAAAGTCCACACCAAATGCTGGCACCATGTTCTTGAACTTCCAGGCCTTCAGAACTGTGAGAAATGAATTTATCTTCTTTGTATATTACCCAGTCTCTGGTATTGTTATAGCAGCAGGAAAAAAAGACAACTTGCCAGTGTGCCAAGAATGGATTGGTTTTTTTTGGATAGACTAATACTAACTGGGCTAACGATAGATGATGCAAAAATGAGTCAATCTATGAGCTGTCATAAGGGCTATAAGTACCACATGAGTTGGACCACTGGTTGGTGCAGTCAGAACTTCCTCTCTCTATAGATGGTCTCTGCACTGTGAAAGACTAAATATACAAATGGACAATGGCCAGGCTAGATATAAAAATTAAACTGTCACTCACAACCTGCAGCAAGCTTCCCAGGAACCAACCCCCTTACCTATAATGAACAGCCCAGATCAGCCTGCTACAAGTCAAACTTGCAGGAAATCAGATTGCTATCTCTAGTGACAATCCCAGAAATTAAGCCACAGCTCCTGTAACAATCGGCCCGAAATAGCCAGGATTTAATTTATAACTGACAGCTTCTCTAATCTTTGTCCCCTCTTTCAACTTAGGACCAACCAGAGAAAACCAAATTTGCATCTCTAACCAATCACATAGGATGCCCCACTTCTAGTTAGCCTTCTTACAGCCCCACTATGTGAACAGTCTCTAACTGGGGCATACCTAAACTCTTCATTTTTCCACTTTAAAGTTTTCCCACTCCTCTGCCTGCCTTTGTGTCCTTGCCAAAACACAAGTGACAATGGCCAATTCCCTTGCTATAGCAACTTCAGAATAAATGGCCTCTGCTTTTCTCATTTGTTTGGGCTTTATTTATTCCCACAACTGTATGGAGAAGCCAGGCTGAGCTACCTACAGGGAGGCCTGCCATGGATACCTAGTTTAATTTCTTCCAAGGTAATTGCCAAGGAATGCTGATACAGTCTCCACTTTGTGTTACTGCATTATTTTAACTGTGAGAGTCTGGGGGACTCTCTGCTATTGACTCATTGCATTATCATCTATTCCATGACGTTGATGATGATGACTAAGAGAATTGCAACAATAATGAGGACAACAGACAAGGCTAATAACAGCTAACATTTACAAAACACTTGCTGTGTGCTAAGTTCTTTGAGAAGCACTTTAGTCACATAAATTAACTCACTGAAGACCCCCAGATTTCTCAAAGTACATCAGCCTCAGCTGGGGACTTGTTAGATATGCAAATTCTCTGACCACTTCCCCACTGACCAAATCAAGACCTCTGGGGCTGGGGCACAGCTATCTGTTTTAAGTGGTCCTTTAGGTGATTCTGATTCAGCTTAAGTTTGAGAACAACTGGAATACTCCATGAATTCTAATTCCTATATAATTTAAGTTTAGAACATTGAAGCATACCTAGGGCAGTTAAGTAACTTAACCGAAGATATGGAGTATCCTGTTTTATTTTTAATCTAATTAGTCTATGTGGATACTATTCACTTTAGGAGATTTTAACTAAATATGGTAGAACAAAAACAGATTATAAGAAAATATTCTGATATTAAAAATGTTTTACCCAGATCCCTGAAAATGGGGGCATATAAGCCAGCCTTAGAGATTTGTGAGTTCCTTCAAAACCACCAAGATTAACTATTTTTCCCTGCAGCCATGTTTTCCTCAAGGATATGTAACAGTGAATTACTGAAGAACACAAATTGAAATCAGCTTCAACCAAATGAGATCATTTATGTGAAAACAGTTTTTCTTAAGGAGTTATACAAATTCAAGTTACTGTCATTATTGTTAGGACCAATAGCAGCATCTGTAAAATTATCCTCCTGGTATTCTCACTGCTCTGTGATTTAGGTTGTGTCTGCTCAACCAAAATTTTGGTCAGTGCAGTGGGAAAAAGAAATACGTCAAACCAGTTATTTGGTACTGTCTAGCCCAAAACAATGGGTGGATCATTTTTCATCCAGTTATTTTGGCAAAACCAATATGGGCACTTTTGCTTTGTTTTGACTAAGTAAATACTCTCTATGCCTTTTTTCACATTTAAATGTCCACAAATCTTCCCCTGCCACCCTTAATTGTTTCATGGAACTGCTCTTAGCTCAGACCTTAGCTCACTCTTCCAAGATATTTGTCTCATATCTATTTCTTTTTCAAATGTGCTCTACGAACTCACTTTTCCTGGATGCTCTTCTTGATCCACCAAAATAACAACTATGAGTGGACATGACAATGTTGGACACCCCTATTTTTAAACATTTTCTGGACAATGAACCTTTTTAATTTAGAATGGGTATCTGAAGGGCTCCACCACATAATAATGAAAATTGCTGTATCAACAGCAACTTCTACCATTTACTGAAGGCCTGCAATGTTCTAAGATCTTCCAGCTATAGTCCTACTCTGCAAGGCTGGAGAATGAAAGGATATATTCCTCTGAGAATAAATTATTTCTTCAAGGGGGTCTGCCTATAAATAGCCATTAGGCCTATATGAAAGTGTCACACCACACTAAAAACTATCATGATCAAAATGCTTTAGACCTTTGCGGTTCTTAATTCTTATTCTCAACCACCAATCCAGGTTTCTGGTTTAGGGCTTCAGCTCTGGAGTCAGACATCCCTCTCCCTGGCCATATTGAGGCCCATCTTGGGCCTCCCTCAGTGCCTCAGTCTTAACATCTGTGAAGTGGAGATAACATCTAGCTCACAGAATTCTAGTGAAGATAAAATGGGATAATGCATGTGTAACTGTGTCTAAACTCAGTGGAATACAAACATGAAAAGCTTTCCTTTCTCTTCATAGGCTGTCTTCCTTGTGTGCTATATCAAACTTTTCTTTTACCGTATTTTGGAGCGATTCCATTGATTTGGGATTATTTGCAGATATTCAAATTTAAAAGCCTTACCTAGACCAGATCGATTTTAAAAACATAGTTTCACATTCACTGTAATGCTCATCTCTTCCCTTAGCTTATGGCACTCAAAGTGAGGAAGAAAAGGGGTTTTTTTCTTTTCTTTTCTTTTCTTTTTTTTTTTTTTTTTTTGAGAGGGAGTCTCATTCTGTCGCCCAGGCTGGAGTGCAGTGGCGCAATCTCGGCTCACTGCAACCTCCGCCTCCCGGGTTCAAGCGATTCTCCTGCCTCATCCTCCCAAGTAGCTGGGACTACAGGTGTGTGCCACCATGCTTGACTAATTTTTGTATTTTTTTAGTAGAGACGGGGGTTTCACCATATTGGTCAGGCTGGTCTTGAACTCCTGTCCTCATGATCTGCCCGCCTGAGCCTCCCAAAGCACTGGGATTACAGGCGTGAGGGGTTTTTTCTTTTATGCCACCCCACTTTATTTCTCTTCCAGCGCTTTGGAGAAGAGGCACTTTTCTCTAACCCAGCTAGTAGTGCTCCATACCTATTGGCTGTCATACTCTCTAGAAGGCAGCATACTTCCCAGAGCACTGGAGCTTCCTGATTGCACAGTTCTCTGACAATGGAGATAGGCTCCACCCTGACCCTTTCTGAGCCCTGCCCCCTCTCACCCTGGCCATCTACCCCTCAGCATCTTGCTTTTGGGGTGGGGTCCCTGCAAGGTGGCCTAAGCCCAGGTACTTTCAACAGTGTCCAATGGACCAAGTGAAAACTCATTCACCTTTGCCAGCCAAACCATCTCCCTCTCTATCTCTTCTCCCTTTGATCAAAGATTCAGGCGGAAGACCAGCCAGCCTGCTACATAAGCAGTTGTATAACAGGCCAGGGCTCCATCTTAGGGGCTTCTCTAATAACTTTAAGAGATTCTCTTGGAGCCTCTGCTTGTCTGTGGGAGAAGACACATTCACAGGAAGGGAGAAAGTAATGGCTCACTATAAATACTGGATTCTCAACTCCTCTCTTGAATGAGTCCCTGGATCTTCTTGTCTCCTGCTTATATAGACTTCTGGGGAGAAAGGTGGTCCCATGATGGTTGGGGTGGCAGAAGCAGCTCACATGCTTCTTTATGATCCCTAAAAAGACTGCTTAGCAGATCTCTTTTTGTAACTATCTTTATAAAAGGGAGTATTTCTTGTCTCTAGTAGCCATTTCCCAAGCCAATAGGAACTACTCTGTAGCATGTATGAAGCATAGCATATTACATATTAGCCATCATCATCATCCTCTCAGATGGAAACTGGACTTAGAAAAGCTGCATCACTTCCCCCCAGGAACCACAGTTATCAAGTGGCAGAGGTGTGAATGGAACCCAGACCTGGCTCCAAAGCCTTCTTCCTTCATCAGGTTGCTTTACCTGCAGGCTATGGGAGCCTGTTTGGTGGTCAGAGGGACTTGTTTTTAGTTCACAGGCTGGTTTCCTAAAATTAGTAAAGGTTTATTAGATGGCAACGTCTATGTTTTATTATCCAACATAAATTTTATTACTGCGTTTAATAAAAACCTCCTACAGTGTCTGAAAGTAGTACTACCCTTATTATTTTGCTAGTGGTCTTTCAGAATTATTTTGTAGTTGTGGTTCTTGTTGGTATAATGAGGATTCATGTGGTTTTCCACCCCTGAAATAGTCTTAAAAACAAAAGAGTTTTGAATTACTGATCTAGAATATGAATTTATGTTGTTGATAGTCAATATTACCAAATCTTTGGTTTTCTCTCTGTTAGTGAAGGAAAAACTCCGGGTAGCACACACTTCATTAAAGCGACTCAGTTCACTTTTGAAAGCCACATTCTTTTGAACTTTATAGTAGATTTCCAGACATTTATATTCACCAGTGTTTAGTTAAAGTGAGAACTAAAGCTTGTGCAGAC
Organism: Homo sapiens; assembly: GCF_000001405.40. Lineage (NCBI taxonomy): Eukaryota > Metazoa > Chordata > Mammalia > Primates > Hominidae > Homo > Homo sapiens. The sequence continues at coordinate 56,339,726 of NC_000006.12, forward strand.
ACCATGAGTGGAATCTAAACCAGCTTTGGCTACTTCCAGAATCATAAGAAAAATATTTCCCTTTAACTCAACTGAAAGTATACCTTCCACATCTGGTTTTGTCATCATTCTTTAATGTTTTCTGTATAATGGATAAGTTTATAGGGAGAATACCGGAAAAAATATATAAATGCAAGCAGCTAGTCACAAATGAAAAACCTCCAAAAGATAATATGATGCAGTCAATATCACACTTTTGGAAAAAATGGGATTACTTGTGCCAGTAGTTTGGACATCTAAGTCAGGATTGGAGAGGCTCAATATCCTAGCACTGGATAATACCCCAGAGAGGAAAAAAAACGCCATCTCAGAACCGTACATGCCAAACACATCTTAATTAAAAATATTTTTCTTTAGAGATACATTGTTTTTCCTCTCTTATTTGATCTAGATTTATTTTTCCTGAGCCCCACCTCACCCCTCCCGCTTCAGTGGCCTGTTCATCAGTCACCTGGGAGCAATTCTGGGTTTCCTCCATTCCATTCTCAGCACAAGGCTGTGGTCTTTCTCCTTGAGGACTACAGAGATCATGGGACTGAAATGAGCTATCAATCCATGAAAAGACATGGAGGAAACTTGAAGGAGAAGTTGTGGTGGGGCAGGGACTTGGGGCAAGGCACACAGGGAGGAGGAGACAAAACAGATACAGAGGTTGGAGAGGGAGACTTTGTGCCCTGCCACAAAGTCATACAGCTGGGGAAGGACAGCAGCTTTTCAAGGCCAAGTTTAATGCTTTCACCACTTCTCCTGGTTGATGGGGAGAGGAGGACCAGCTAGGTCTAAGGACTAGTGGAATATTTCATATATAATTATTTGAAGACACTTATTTGATCAGTTTCCCACTAGACCTTTAAATTCAGAGATTCTCTGTTGGCTGTGTTTATTTTCAAGTAGCAATTTGGCTTTCCCTAGTGTTAATACCTTACTGAACACCTTCCTAACAATGAACGACGTTTTCCAATATTTTTCTCACACTGGAGTCATTTGAAAATCATGATAAATTAGTTAATATCCACAAGTGATTTTAGATTGGGTTGGATTCCAGTCTAAAATTACCTGCATATTTTTCCATGAGGAGTTGTTAGCTCATGGAGCAAGTAATCTATGTTCTCTGTCAGCCCAAGGTGTCAGCAAGTGGAAAGAAATCAGACCCCTTTGTTGATTGAACACACAAAATCAGCATTCATGTCTCCTTATGCCTACAGTACTAGGGGCTCTAGGCACTTTCATGGGTGTGTGAAACATACTTCCAGGACATGATAGAGTCATAACGTTTGTGGTCTGTGCAATGGTCACCACTTCAAAACTCATCTCCAAGGAGCTACATTGCTCTATTTACAGACAGGAAGCTGGATCCCAATATTAGACTTCCATGCTCCAGAAGAGAAGAGAGAATACATTTGGAAATAAGAAATTTAAAACTGAATGAAAGAAAAGAATATCGGTATATAAGGAAAATTATGATAATACATTTGTGGGAAACAGAAAATCCAAGAAATTTTTCTCAGCACATTTGAAAATTTTGATAAGGTATGATGGAATTTATTTTCAGATAATGTCAATAAACTCCATTATTCAAGGATGGAATAATAATTACATTTGTTGTGGTAAATCCATACAATGGAATATTATGCATTGATAAAAAGAAATGAACTGCCAAGCCATGAAAAGACATGGAGGAAACATAAATGAAAGTAAAGAAGCCAGTCAGAAGACCAGAAGACCACACACTCTATGATTCCCACTATATGATATTGTGGAAAAGGCACAACTATGGAGACAGTAAAAAGATCAGTGGTGTCAGGGATTAGGAGAAAGGAAGGGATGAATAGGTGGGGCACAGAGGATTTAATGGCAGTGAAACTACCTTGTATGCTATTACAATGATGGATATGTGTCATTATACATTTGTCTAAACCCATAGAATGTGCAACACCAAGAGTGAACCCCACGGACTTTGGAGGATAATGATGTGTCAGTGTAGGTTCATGGCTTGTAACAAGTGGACGACTCTGGTGCAGGCAGTTGATAGTGAGGGAGCCTGTGCATACATGGTGGCAGGGCATATATGAGAGGCCTCTGGCACATTCCTTTCAATTTTGCTATGAATGTTAAACTGCTCTCAAAGGTAAAGTCTATGTTTTTAAATCTAAAAATCACAAAAAATAATGATAAAAATATTTTTGAAATTTAAAAAAATTACACTTGTAAAAAATGATACTGAAATGTCATTAATAGTCACTAGATTTAAAAATGATCATTTTCCCTCCCCTGTTCCAAATAGCATGTGACTGGGCTCCAGTGTTTGTATTTCATGCTAAACAAAGTTTGTATTTGGTGCTGGTTTGGAAGTTCTGCTTATACATTGTAATTTGTGGTTCTAGCTTTTGCAAATAAAAACTTCAGAAAAGGAATAACGTGGTTTCTGCTGTACCTCGGGGAAAGGGCGGGTAAGTCAGAAGCAGCCAAACTTCTGGAAAACAGAAGTTTGATTCTGGACATGTATATACATGGTTTCTATTACAAAAACTCCTCTAAACATTCTGGATTATTATGACTGCACCATTGGGTTCCAAACAGACCATGTAAGTGATTGTTGTTTTAATGCGGTTCATCCTAACTCCCATATTATTTGTTCTTGCAAAAATCCCACTGACCTGAGGATGAAACTTAGCCATTAATGCTCTTCAGGAGTGGGCAAAGGGATTGCAGAGGAGGACAACTGAATTGTGTGCTGGCCTCACTGATGCTACACTAAGAAGACAAAATCAATGCCTTGCTTTATGCTTTATATAACATGTTCACATATATCAGAATTCTACCATCGACTATATATGTCATTTCTGCTTTCATTTTTCAGATGAGAAACACTCACATGTGATTTGCACAAAATGGCTTGGCTAGTAAACACTGGGGCTGGAAAAAGAAATTCAAAATTAATCTTGTTATCTCCTTTTAATGGAAAAGGAAATGAAGGCATGGATGCTTTGTAAAGCCCAACTCTGCAAATTAAAGAGACTGAGAGAACCACGATCTGAATCTTCTTTCTTCCATGCTCATACTTTTGCCAACGCACCACCCTGAAAGGTCTGTGCACTTGTGGGGCAGGAATCCAGCAGAATATGTTCAGCTAGAACTTTCCTGGGATTCCAGTCACTTTCTCAGTAGGTAAGAGACTCTCCTGTTACTTGGTACTGTGGGACCACTGCAGACAACTCATAGCTGATCAATTCAAATAAAATTTCAAGCTACAAATCATCTTTATGTGAGCAGAATCCTTGCCTTTATCAAGTAGAACCTCAGATTATTTCTCAAGACAGTCCCAGGAAAATGATGTTTGCATTCCTGGGGACCCATCTGTAAAATACCCCAAGGTTTAGAGGAAAGATTTCCTTTAAAAGTAATCACCATAGGGACCACCCAGAGAGACATGTGGGCCTTTTAGCAAGCAACTAAATGTCTGTATCTGGTCTTTGAAAAGATCCACAAAAAAGCTTACAATTCTTTGAGTTACATTTTACCTTCTGCTTTAAGGAGTAGCAGTTTACCTGAGCAAGGTAAGGCTTTTCAGTCTAGTTTCATTGCCTGAGAAGCCTTCCTAGTCTGTCCTTGTAAAAACTTCCAGAACCTGCAATAATAATTATTGCCAAGCTTTTAAAAAATTGCATGCTTCTCACATACGGAAGCAATAACTGTCAACTTCCATCATAATTTAAATGCTGAAACTTTATTTCGACCACATGTGGCTCTTTCTTGCTGGGTGAATGACTATCTGTTTTTGTTTGTGGCTCTTTACTCATTTGCTGGGATAGAGCTAGAAGTTACTTCAGCTTGTCTCAGATGCCTCTTTCTGATTTAGAAGCAAAGTCAACTTCACAATAATAATTGATTGTAGGCCAGGCACAGTGGCTTATGTCTGTAATCCCAGTACTTTGGGAAGCCCAGGCAGGAGGATCACTTGAGGCCAGGAGTTGGAGACCAAACTGAGCAACATAGCAAGATCCTGTTTGTACAAAAAAAATTTAAAAATTAGCCAGGCGTGGTGGCATGCACCTGTAGTCCCAGCTACTCGATGGTGGGGGAGCTGAGGTGGGAGGATTGAGCCCAGGAGGTCAAGGCTGTAGTGAGCCATAACTGTACGACTGCACTCCAGCCTGGGTGACAAAGAAAGACACTGTCTCACACACACAAAAATGTAAACCAATGGGAAGTTGAGACAGTGATGGATAACAATATTTGACTATTTTGGCCAGTTTTCATTGTGAAGAGTGACTCCAATTTCAAAATTCAAATTTGCCTTCAAAATTTTTCTACATTTTATTTTTGTGGCTAATGTTACTCAAATGAAATGCATTCCTAGATAGCACAGGGAATCAAAGAAAGGATTATTTTTCCTATAATCGCTAACATAAAGCAACTGAATTTTTGTTATATTTCACCAAGGACATTTACCCACAGTATGCCTGCCATCATATAATACTAACAATCTCTTAAAACTTACTCTTATAATCAAAATACCAAAAACTCTATTTCCAGAATTAATGTTTCCAAAAGAATTGCAGTTGTCCTATTTTCTTTCATGATAATGCTATACAAATAAGAAAAAGAAAAGAGATGTTTTACAAATAAATATCATAAAAAATTCCATGAAACTAAATTTTTCAGATATTCAAGTAAAAATTAAAGTAGCATTTGTCTAACTACAAAACAACATTTTTCTGTACATTAATGATAAACAATGTATTATCATGTGTATATTTACATAACAGATTAAGATTCATGTCATTTGTTTATAATAAGTTGGATGAGAGTTCAGTTAATAATAGCAGATTTCACATTCATTCGTTATTTCATTTACCCCATATTTCTGTCCCAGCTCAAATCTTACGTCAAGTTATAATCACCAATGTTGGAGGACAGGCCTGGTGGGGAGGTGACTGGGTCATGGGGGCAGATTTCCCCCTTGCTGTTCTCGTGATAGTGGGTGAGTTCTCATGAGATCTGGTTGTTTAAAAGTGTGTAGCACCTCCCCCTTCTCTTTCTTTTCCTCCTGCTTCAGCTATGTAGGACGTGCCTGCTTCCCCTTTGCCTTCCACCGTGATTATAAGTTTCCTGAGGCCTCCCTAACCATATTTCCTGTACAGCCTGTGGAACCATGAGCCAATTAAATCTCTTTTCTTTATAAATTACCCAGTCTTACGTAGTTCTTTACAGCAATGCAAGGATGGACTCATACAAGTATCCTTCGAATTACACAAACATTAGGTGCTTACCTACATGAAACACTGCTGGACCTCTGTGGGATGCACAGGTGAACAAGGAACTTATCCTGTAAGACCTTACCAGTTAACAAGGGTGACAAAAGGCAGAATCTGGTTTATCCTGATGATGGTTATAATCCTTATCTTACCAAAGAGCAACACGGATTACTTCTGGGTGGGAACAATAGGAAACATTTGAGTTAGGAGTAGAAAGACACTCCCAAAAGAATGCAACTGTGAAATAAGGTGCATGACTGCTGGGGGGAGATATTTGAGTAGGTGGCTTTTTGCAGTCCTTTAAGAACAATAACAATAAATACCCATTTGTTGAGGGTCTATCATATACCAAGTGCCCATATATGATCTAATTTTATATTCATAGTACTATCTGTACAAGAATTATCTCCTTTTTATAGATGAAGAAACAAAGGTTCTGAAAAATCAAGTAGCTTCTCTAAGATCACCCAGATAGAAATGGAGAAGTCAGTGGCTGAACTCAGACGTTTTTGATGTTGAAACCAATGCTCTTCCCACTACATGACAATGAAATGAAGCAGCTTTCCCAAGGACTCAGAACGTACACACGCCTGATCGCTACATCTTCCTGGGCCCCTTATGTCACCATTCTTTCTTCCCCCAAAATGCCATTAGGATGTGTTGACAGCTAAGTTTTTATTTTGAAGGAGCCAGTGTGTCTTTCAACAAATCAATTCCAGGAGAGTTTTGGAAATATGCTGTGGTAATATAATGGGATCTAAAAATTTCCAAGAGAGAATGAAGTTGTCAGAGGAGGCCCAGGGGCCTTCTGGTAAAACACATTTTCCTCATTGCTCATGTCTAAACTTTCTGTCTTCTCTCTCTGCTACTCAGGGGCCAGACTGAGTCAACCCTCGGTGGTTTTAAGCATCACGTATATTTCTATCTGTCACCATTCACTTTTCAACACTTGGCTTTATACTCTGACAATTTAGCCCAAGTCTTTGGGTGAAAAATGAGTAGAACTGTTTTCTTCATTTACCTCCTACCTTTTGTAGTATTTTTTAAATTATAATTTATATACAGTAAAATACACAATTTCAAATTGGACAACTCAATGACATTTCACATATGTACACATCTATGTGGCCAATGCGCAGATCAAAATATAGAACTTACTCATCACCCTAGAAAGTTTCCTCAAGGACCATTCACTCAATAACTACACCCCCACCAGCAGCAATTGCTGATACTCTGACTTCTAATCCTGTACATTGGTTTGTCTATTGACCATAGATTGGTTTGCCTATTCCTCAAATTTATTTGGTGGATTGATACAGCATGTACTCTTTTGGGTCTAGCTGCTTTTGTTCATTGTTTGTGCGTTCCACTCACGTTGTTGCAGGTATAGCAATAAGCAGTCTCTTTTTTACTACTGAATATCATTCTGTTGTACTAAAAGCTACTTTATGTGAAATAGTACTGAGAAATTATTTGGCTCTACCTTGTCAATATTTAAACTCATCTCTTATATTCTTTGTAGCATATCACAAATTTACATACCACAATCCAAACACACAAGAAGCATAGCTTTCTTTATTATAAGCCCTCTCGTTCCTACTTTCAATGATAGCAGAAGAAAAACACATTAAAAAATAAAAAGTAGTTCAGTATGGTGTAAAACAGTGTGTACTGGCCTAAGTTGATTTGGAATGAATATTAATCCCACTCAAAATTCCACCTCCCAGTGAGAGCTGTACCGCTCCTCTCAGAGTCATGCCTGAACGCAGAGGGAGGCATTCCTATACTCAGGGTAGCAGCAGATGGAGTTTCAGGCAAAAAACAATGTTCAGGTTTGTGCTGGTCTCCAGTGGGTGAGCCTCTATCCTCTGCGAGGATCTTGTCCCTCCTGGTCTCTTGGGTGTCATGATGTCACTCGCTGTAGCACTCAGCAGTCCCTGCCACAGCCTCTTGCAGGAGGCCCCTGCACTCAGCAGTCTCCCCATCTCAACTCCAGGTCTATCCAGTTAACAGTCTACCACAACTTCTGCATTGCTTTTGGGTCCCAGGAACACTCAGCTGCCTTTGCTGCACCAAACTGAAGAATGATGCGCTCTGTCGGGCTGCCTTCTGGTCCATCTACTTAGTCACATTCCTCAGACATTCCCCAGACATTCCCGGCAGCCCTATACTCAGCACCATATTGAATTCATGGCTTCCCTCTGTGGCTTGGGAGTCTCCTGTGAAACACCTGAGAAGCCATGCCTAAGACCCACACCAGGAATCCCCCAACCTTTCTGGGTGTTCCTACTGGCCCTTTCCCACCCCCTCACCGGGATTCAACTCTCACAAGGGAATCAAGTCATTCCTGTCTGATCTCCTTGCCCTGGTCTTCTATTATCCTTCCTGCATGCAATGGGTCTTACCAAAAGTCATTTTATCCAGCCTTCAAACAATACAGTTTACAGAAGTGTTCTCCTATTGGGCTGCACATTAGAATCACCTAGGAAGCATTTAAAAAAAAAAAAAAAAAAAAGCAAAGCAGTATTACCTGAACTACATCTCAGACCAGATAATTGAATCAGAGTCTCTAGAAGTAAGGCCTGAGCATTAGTATTTTCTAAGCCTCCCCAGGTAATTCTGATACACAACCAGGGTCAGAACCCACTCATTGCAATTAAACTCTGATTTGAATCAGGCTGACTCTTGATGAGTAAAGGGAAGCTTTTGGGATTTAGAAAATCTCTTTCTGATGATAAGACATTGTATTACTAAAGATTCAAGAATGTCAGCTCTGAGAACCAAAACCAAAAAATAACTTCTCTGCTCTGGAGTAGGAGTATCTATTATTTTTCAGAAATAACAAAACCCATTGATTCTATGTACAGGTAGCTGAGAAGTATTATAAGTTAAAGAAATTTAAAAACATATCAATTTAATATTTAAAAAATATTATCATTTCATATTCTATTTTGTGCATTCATTTATGCACTCACTATGGCTCACATTACTACATACAGGAGTAGGCAGGACCAGCATATACAGAGGAGGAATACGCAGTCACATGATTGTTGTGATTGGAGCAGCAAGAGAGGGCCCTCTTCATTCATTCATTTATTGAACAAATATGTCGTTTCTGAGTACTTACATGGGGCCATGTGCTTTAGCATGTAGGAAGGGCACAATGGAGAAATCTGCTTTCTTCCCTTAAGAAGCTAAGAGTCCAGAGAGGGAGGTGATCATATTGAAGTAGAGACATAAGGGCACATAGCTGTGGCTCGGTGAGTTGAGAAAGGATTTTCAGTGAAGTGAAAATTCCAGGATATGTGGGGACCAACTCAGGGCACACCTCTGAATTGCCCTTTCCTCTTTTTCATTTCACTTTCTCCATTACCCCAACTTTTGTCCCCTGGAAACACTTTCCACATAAGCTACTGCACAGGAGTCTTAGGGGAAACACAGGCTCAGCTCCACCTGGCCATCAACTGAAATTTTTCCAGCAGAGGTAAGATTTCTGGTAAAATGAGAATAAGGAGGGAGAGGTTCTTCTGTAGCATGGGAAGGTGGCTGGGAAGAATTCTAGGACAACAAAAGAGGCCAAGGGGAGACGACAACTTGCTGGGAGACCAGAAAGAGCCAATAACAGAAGTCAACAAAGAATCCTGGTCCAAAAGGTGAGGGGAGGAAGGGGAAGCAAATTTTTCTGCTTTTCTGTTCAAGCTGGGGCCAGCCTCTCTCAGAACACTGGGATTAGATAACAGGGCAATTGTCCTCCTTTGTGAAGACAGGAAGTGGGATCTTTCCCAATCCTATATAAGTGGACTTTCTTGTTTTAGCCAGAATGTATCATTAGAATCCTCACATCATTTATCTTTGAAATTGAAAAAGCAAAGGGGATAGGTGTATCCACTTAATTTGCAGCAGATGGACCAAGATGGGGTAAAAATTCAATGTGAAAGTTTAGACAGGTTAAACTGAGTGATGAAGATGCTAAACATGTCTCTGTCACTTAGGACAGAACACTGACCTTCCTTTTAGAGTGTTCCTAAAGGGGAAAAATGTCCTTAAAGTGGAGAAAAGAGCAAAGAATAGCTTCTGAAGAAGAGAAATTTAAAATACCCTCTTTCTGGCCTTGGCTAGGGCACTAGGAAAATGAACCTTGAAAATAATCCACTGCACTGATAAAATAAATTTAGTGAGACGGGAAATTTATGGTTGGACAACTTAATACTGAACAACCCAAATGAAGTAAAACGGATTGAGGTAAGAAATGAAACCACATTTCTTTTAATTGTATGTTTTTAATAAAGAAAGCTTGGCTAAACCATAAAGACCCGCCCCCCTGAAAAAAAAAAAAAATTTAACCACATAGACTGAGATGTTGAGTCATCATAAATCAAAATAACTCTTAAAAAGCAAACTCAGAGTGCAAAGCCATAATTATCTGAAGTTGCATTCTTGCCAGAAAGTGGTTTTTGACCAAAAAAATGAAGGATGTTAAGAGCTATCACCAAAGTGGCAATAGGTATATCTCTACATGTTTAAATTCATTAAAATCACCAATCAGAAATAAAATAATTTAAAATTGCAGGACACTGATTTTTAATTTTTATTCTTAGAAATGTAAGAAGAGGCACAGCAATGAGTCAGAAGTGGTATAAAATGAACATGCCTGTCTTTTAAACTAACCCATCAAAATCATTTCTATTTCTTCTTTTACATTATTGCTTATACTTGTATTTAGGTTGCCTTACCTTCTGTTTTGTCATTTTAATGAAAGACCATTTTGTTGTCAAAAGAAAGCAAACAACCTAGAAATCTCCTCAAGTTGCCACTACTGGGAGTTTTATCATAAAGAATCCAAGGGCAGGAGGACAGCAGCCTGATGGGGGCCTGGGACATCATTAGGAACCAAGCAGGATTCTCTCTCCATCTCTCTTGGGGGCTGATGTGAACTCTGTTGGGATCCTGTCTGCATTCTGTTTTCCTTGTCTTTCTGTAGCAGACAGAGCAGTGCACTTCCCTTACTAATTAGCCACCAACTCCCGAAAGTCTGCTCAAAATGGCAGCTTCTATGTCTGAATGCACATCAGCATGTTAGACTAGCCAATTCAGAACATGGCCCCCAGTCAAAATTATCAGAAGGAATCTAATTGACCAGCTAGGATTCAATATACACTTGCAGTCCACTCCAAACTGGGGAGCAGGGGCAAGTGTACTCAAGGTCACATGGCCTGCCACTAACTTAGCAGGGTCAAGACTGCACAAGATGATGGCATGGGCAGGTGAAAAGGGTGATGTGAAGGAGCAACAGAGAGGATGATAGAGGATTGGTGACCTCTTAGGCACTTGTACTACATGGGAGGTTATAGGTTTTGGCCTCCAGAAGAATGTTAGCTGGGAGAAACAGGGAGGACAGGGCAGTGATTATATCTTTTTCAATAGATCCTTTTTTTCATCCCTCAAAAGCGTATTAAATATTGCTGCTCACAAAACAGACTTTAAGCAGTGTTTACTAAATGAATAAACAAAAGGTAAACTAAAATACATTTCGGGGAAAATATACTCAACAAGAACACTGCTAACTTTTTAGTTAAGTTTGTTTTCTAGACCTTCCATAAGGGGCCTTGAGTGTTAGTAGCTCTCTCCTGGATGACTTGGGGATCTATTAATAGAAGAAGAAGATATAAGCATTGCCCGATGTGTACCAGAATTGTATTCTGAGACTCCCCACCAGTTGGGGCTACTTTCCATAAGTTAGTAACCTAGGGCCTTGGACTAGAGAAGAACAGCACAGAGCCAAGTTACAGCGTTAGTGCGAAATGCCCACACCCTAGGACTCAGCCCATTCCTGCAGCAACCCAGCTACCGGAGGTCCCCGTTTCTGTCATGACAAATAAAGACACTTGCATAATGTAACATTAGCTTATTGCTGAATATTTAAAACTTGGAAACATAATTTGCTGTAGTCAAGCTTTAAATGGCTATGGTGCTGGAGTCTGTCTCTCTAACATTTAGCAAATATTTGCTTCATGCCTACTCTGTGCCCGGCCTTCTGCCATGCATTAGAGACAGAGCCATGACAACTCAGGCATGAAGCTAACAACCTAGCAAGGACTCTAGGCTCTAAGCAAATAATAAGCTGCCCACTTTGATGCAAAGAACCCATGCTTTGTATGACTTTAGCAGCACTGCTAAACTCTCTTTGGGTTCTTGGTTGTATTCTTTGAAGGCCACTGCCAAAGAAAGTGATACACTTAACAAATATTTTTGTAGTGCAATGAACAATGCTGAGAGGGATACAGAAAAGGGGGTCCCCGTTGTGAAAAGAGTACGGGGAGGGGGAATTTCCGTTGTTTCCTTTCTCTTGTCTCTCCCAGCTTCTCCTAAGGGCAGGCCCTGTCACATGTAACTGCACACCAGCACATGAAGCTAAAACTGTTAAGAAAATCCATCTTTCTGGACAGAGAACCAGTAAATGGGGGACCTGGGAGCTAGAGACTATTGCTGAAATCTCAGAGAGGAGAGACTTTGGAGAGGGGAATCCTAAATCTGCATGTGAACCAACCCAAGTCCTGGGATCAGCCCAAGCTGCACATGTGTATAATGCACCCAAAGAAGCAGAGCAAAGGCCTCAAGAACTGAACTGTGCAACATATTCCATGCTCACATCCCAAACTAATCCTGGGTGGCCAGAGGCAGGCCTCTTTGAAGTCTGTACTGACATTGGAACCACTGCTGGAAGAAGGTGAAATAGACCTTGCAGCCTAATGGGGCTGATTGCTTGATAAAACAAAAATAAAACAGACAAACAAAAATCAACATTCTCCAGATGATTTTAACAAGACATAGAGTCTTACAACATGATATGTTAAATGTCAGGGCTGCGACTAGTGTGAGGTAAATGAAGCACTCACTTTGGACACAAAATTTAAAAGATAGGGGGACCAAAAAACTCAGTAATCAATATAAAAGATATTTTAATGGCCAGGTGCAGTTGTACACACCTGTAGTCCCAGCTACTCAGGAGGCTGAGGCAGAAAGATCATTGGAGCTCAGGAGTTCAAGACAGCCTGGGAAACATAGTGAGACCTTATCTCAAAAAAGAAAACATATTTTACTGCATTATTTTTTTAAAATCAAAATTGATGCAAAAAATCCATGATGAACAAAATATCACAATTTTAAATAAGGGCAGGATCACTATGAATTATTTTTCCTTTTTCCTCAGGCTCCATTATGGCTCAGCACAGCACTGTTACTAATCCTGAAAGCCAGAACATAAGGGAGGCCCATGGTGTAGTCCACATAGTCGGTCTTGTGGACAAGTGGGAGAAGAATGGAGAGTAAATCTAGAGTGGCAAAGGAAGGTTTCCAGAACACCCAGAAAGACTCATGGTTCCCAGGTACCAAGTATCAAAAAGTCAAATAGGTGTATGTCAGAAAATGGAGATCGGCTGGAACAGTTAAACTCCCTGGCTCCACGCAGCAAAACACCAGAGCTCCCAGGGAATCTGAATTCAGAGAATGCAACTAAGGAAAAAAAAAAGAAAAAATGCAGTTGAAGAAGGGGAGATTAAATGAAAATTTGTATAGTAAATCATGAGACAGTCACAAGCAAACTGTAATCGCCTTCCTTCCTCCATTAAGTATACTAGCAGACAACTATTCAACTCTGACCTGCCTCCTATCCTCACTAGTATAATGGAGAATTTATTTTAGGAAGAACTCAAGAGTCTTACAGAAAAGATCTTCAGGCCAGGTGCAGTGGTTCACACCTGTAATCCCAGCACTTTGGGAGGCCAAGGCGGGCAAATCAGCTGAGGTCAGGAGTTTGAGATCAGCCTGGGCCAACATGGCAAAACCCTATCTCTACTAAAAATACAAAAATTAGCTGGGCGTGGTGGCGCAAGTCTGTAGTCCCTGCTACTCGGGAGGCTGAGGCAGGAGAATCACTTGAATCGGGGAAGTGGAGGTTGCAGTGAGCCGAAATCGACCACTGCACTCCATCCTGGGCCACAGAGCGAGACTCTGTTTCAAAGAAAAAAAAAGAAGAAGAAAAGATCTTCAGATCGTGACTCTAGTGGTTTTAAAACATGCCTACAAATTATTTGGAATTTATCCCATCATGAAGTGGAGTTCAATTTTGCTCCCTATGAACATGGGCTGGCTTTAGTAGCTCACTTCTACTGACTACAGTGCTATATAGAAAGTGATGTTGCATGATTTCTGAAGCTAGATAAGAAGAGGCCATTCCTACAGCTTCTGTCCACCTTAAGACACATGCTTTTGGAACCCTGAGCTACCATGTAAAAAGTCTACCTATTCCACAGCTGCCAGACTGGAGAGACCACAGAGAGACAGAGATATGCCTGAAGAACCCCACCACTTCCAGCTTCCAGCTATTTGAGTCTTCCTGGCCCAGGAGCCAGAAGCTTCCAGAAGCTTCTGTGAGGTCAGAAGCCTCCAGATGACCCAGTCCCAGACATTCCTACAGCAACCACATGAGAGACCCTGAATGGGAACCAGCTTAGCTTAGTTCATTCAACCCTTGGCATCATGCGAGATAATAAAAACTAGTGTTGTCTTATAACACTAAGCCTGGAGTGGTTTATTATGAATCAATTAGGTAAAACTTGGCTCTTCATCCAGTCATCCAATAGTTGTTTCCATATGGCTGTTTAGCCCTAATATCAAAATGTGAATAACCAGTTAGAAATTACCTAAGAATGCCAATAGAATAAAAGACAAAGACCAAAATCATCAGGAAAAACAAAAACAAAAAGGACAAACAAAACAAACATGCTACAGGGAACAGAAGAATACTTAAACATAAAGCTGAGAAAATCAACAAAAAGTAGAACAAAAAAAATTAAAACATGAGAAATACAAGAGAACATAATTTTTAAATTTAAATATCACACTCTACCCCATAGATATGTATAATTATTATGTGTCAATTAAAAACAAAATATAAAACATAATTTAAATGCTTTTAAAAGATTTTTGAAAGTAGGGAATCTGTCCAAGAGGTGTGACATCTGATAACAGAGAATGAACTATTGCTACACTCAAGAACATGGATGAATTTCACAAATATAAAGTTGAGTAAAAGAAACCAGACATTAAAAAGAACAAACTGTGTGATCTCATTTACATAAAGTCAAAAACAGGCAAAATGAATCTGTGGGGCTAAAAGTCAGGTGGTGGTTATCTTTGAAGGGATAATGACCAGAAAGGGCAAACAGTGTGTTGGTAATAAAACCTGTCTCTTGATATAGTTGTTATACAGGTGTGGTTGTCCCATGCATATTCCAGCTATACTTTCATAAATTGTGCTTTTTTGAATATATGCTATATTTCAATTAAAAATGTATCTTAAAAATTAAAGGAGAAAATCAACCCATGCATTTATATTGCTAGGTAAAACTAATGACAAAAAGAGTAGCCATTTTAGAAATAAAATCATAAAGCTGCTGAAATTAGAAAAACAAACAAACAAAAAAAGACACAGGAGCTGACATGACTAGATTCCCATTGGCCACAGATAGAAGAATTTAACTTGAGCATTAATGATAATAAAAATAATAAATACAATGGCTGGGCATGGCGGCTCATGCCTGTAATCCCAGCACTTTGGAAGGCCAAAGTGGGAGGACTACTTGAGTCCAGGAGTTTGAGACCAGCCTGGGCAACATGGCAAGATCCCGACTCAAAAAATGGTGTGGTATGGTGGTGCATGCCTGCAGCCCCATCTACTGCGAGGAGGATCTCTTGATCCTGGGAGGTCAAGTCTGCAGTGAACTGTGATCGCACCACTGCACTCAACCTGGGTGATGGAGTGAGACTTTCACAAATAAATAAATGAGATGATATATACAATGGAAGAAAACATATCCAACAAGTTCAAGTCTATGAAAAAAAGTAATCCTCATTGGTCACCATTGGACAGTAATAAAAAGTTCAACTTACTATTTTAAGAAAATAATTGGGCCTTTATCCTGCCATTCCTATACAAATTAAACCTCAGAGGGACTTAAGAATTGACTCAGGGGGTTCTCGTTGTAGATTATACTGGCTAATTAACTAAGAAGGAATGATAGGATTGGAATATCACCACTTTGCAATCTCTAATGAAGTATAGGTAAATGGTTACTAATATCACAAAAAGAGACAGTCATTACAAAGCTTAAGATAGAAGTACTGACACCCGCTATGGAATAGTGCTGCCAAGGGGATTGAATATGAATCTGATCATACTTCTAAATGTAACTGCCAATTTCTAGAAACACAGTGGACAGAGAAGTTCATTAATCAGCACCACACCATGGGGGTGCAATCAACAAGATTCAGACTGTGGGAAACACAAGAGCACAAATAACCAGTTTTTCAGTGAGGAAATTACAAGGAAAAAAAAGGGAGAGACGGGGTGGGGGGTAAACCTGTAGATTAAAAAGAGACCTAAGAGGTCTATCAACCAATTGTAACACATAAACCTTATTTGAATCCTGCCTCCAAAAAACCTGTAAATTATAAATGGATGAATGGATAAATTTTAAAAATCATAAAAATGTAAACATTGCTGGATATTTCACGTTATTAAGGAAATAGTGCTCATTTTTAAGGTATGATAATGGTATTGTGATTTTTAAGAGTCCTGTCTTTCAGAAACAAGTTTTTGTAGATAAAATTTCTCCAGGGGCTTGGGAAGGATGGAGGAAGCATGTAGTGATATGAATGATGCAGGATAAACCATGAGTTGAGGGTTGTTGGAGCCAGCTGATGGATCCAAAGATATTCTTATACTATTCTCTATTCTTGTTGGCAATTCCCTGTAACAATATAAAGACCTTTTCTCATCTTGTATGTTGCAATTTAAAAGAAAAAGAACTCATTACTCTCCTAAACATATATGCCCTCAACTGAGGCTCTGCCATCAAACTGAAGCTCCCAAAAAAGTGGAAGACTAGGATGCAGAAGCTGAGGAGGAAATGGATTCGGACCTTGCTGAAGCTGGGTTTTTCAATATTTCCTGAGATTCTTTATTTTGCCTAAGCTAGTTCTAATTAAATTTCTGTCATTCATTTGTAACCAATGTAATGTATTCAAGCACAATGCCAGTTTCTAAGGACATAATAGAGACCAAGAACAGAATAATGAGTTCTGTGAAGGCAGTGAGCATAGGATGCCAGGCAGCTCATGGAAGAGGCACCCAAAAGGCTTTCCAGAAGAGATGCTATTTTGTAGGAGCTGAAGTACTATAAGGGGCTAGACTGAGATGTCTCAATCTCAGCACTATTGACATTTTGGGCCTGATCATTCCTGGTTGGGGGCGGGGACAGAGAGGCAGTGATTGTCCTGTGAACTGCGACATATTTAGCAACATCCTTGGCCTCTACCCACTATATGTCAGGGGTACTCACTCCCCTCTGCCCCCCAAAGAGACAAAAAGATATTACTTCTACCCAATGTCTTCACATTAAAAACAGAGGGCTGAGTTGCATGAAATGTGGCCAACATAAAATAATGACTGCCTTATGGAATAACAACATGATTTTCTCATAAAAGGTATCCTTTGTGGCCAGATGGTGACAACTTGCAGGCAGCTTAAATTCCTTAGGCAGTTCCTTGGCACACGCCTGGGAAAATTTGTTGACACATTCTTGTTTCGATAGGATGAATCTCTTAGCCACCATTTCCTGCTGTGAAGCACTTCTCTCTGAAGAAGCTTTTGGATCTTTGCTGAAAATAATTAAAATTTCTCCATGGAGGAGCCCTGCTGCCCAATTACAAAAATAACATCAAAAGTTCAGTCTCCACAATACTGAAGCAATCACAGCAGCTTCGATGATTTTGGTACAGGAGACAATGAAAAAAATGTTATGAAATGCATCTCTATTTGTTTTTCAGAAATCAAAACTAGAGGTCAGTTACATTTTATCAGTACTTTTACACATTCTTCAGTATTCTGTGCATTTTTTTTCTGGGCCCACTAAAGACAATATATATCATAAATTTACTTCTTTGTAAATAGGATACATACCTAATACCAGGTCCCATGAACTGAAACAATCACTCCTCATTTCTTCTAATTGCTTAGAAAGGACTAACTCAAAGCAACCATTCCTCTTGCAAAGTCTGTTCTCTGTATTCTTAAATCTTCCTTTAGTGCTATAGTTTCACTGAATAATCCGTAAATTAGAGAAAACAGTATCTACCTCACAAGGTTATAATGGAAATTAAAGAGTACCACATCATACTTCACTGATTCAAAAAATTATGTCTCCCCATGTCTGACATCTCCAAAATGGAAGTGTATCTTACAATCTACAGCATCTTACAATTGCCATCCGTAAGAGTGTAGCTGCATGTAGCTATCATCGCCTGTCCATGCACAAACTCGCTAACACTGGTAGCATGACTGGAACTCAACTTCCAGTGGAGGTGAAAGAAATACACAAGACACTACACAATGTGTGAAAGTACGCATAAAATGTAAGTGGGCTCTGATTGTGATTTCTGAAAAACAAATAAAGATGAATTCCATAACATTTTTCACCACATCCTGTACCAAAATCATCAAAGCTGCCATGATTGCTTCAGGATTGTGGAGATTGATCTGTTGATGTTATTTTTGTAATTGGGCAGCAGGGCTCTGCCACGGAGAAATTTTAATTATCTTCAGCAATGACAGAAAACAATAACAAAGTTCTCAGAACCATTTGAGAAAGGAGTTTGGGTCCTGGTTATTCTCTGGAAACCTTCTGCTGACACCTCAAGAATGCTTCACGGCATGCCAAGCCTTGCAGAAGAGGTATCAGTGGCATGGGAGATAATAGGCATCTTCTAAAAAATGCTGTGCTACCCACAGAAGACAATACTGGTAGTGAAACAAGAACCTCAACAATTCTGAGTCAGAGTGATTCAGTGAAGATAGACTGAATGCAAAAAACGTTTAGAAATACCTCAATTTCTTCGTACTTACCTTTTTATACATGCACAAGAGTGATATCTGATAAAAGAATCAATGTCTAGCTAAGCCTAATACAGCTCTTTCAATATATATACAATGACATTCTATGTGATATTAAATCATTTAGCAATATTTCAGTTGCACTTTTTTTCTAAGGGGTATATAAAATGATGATGTGTCACTTTTGATACGGTTTTAGGTTTCAGGGAATGCAATATAGAGAAGGCCAAGTGCAGTGGCTCACACCTAGTCCATTCTCAACGAGATGTAGATGTTCTTGCTGTTGTTGTTAGGACTTTTTAGTTGCCAAATCTGATTGAATCAAATCAAGCAACATTTGAAGATAATCTGAAATTTTAATATGTAAAAAAAAAACCCCAAACCAAGTTTGAGACAGACGATGTTATATTACAATTTGAACATAAATGTCCTCTCTAAACAATTGATTTCACGTCTGAATTTGAATCTTCAAACGATGATTGCAAAGTGTAATTTGATTTATATCTTCCCTTCTCCTCTTTCCCTAGATCTCTTGTCTACATGGTAAAATTCAACAGCCTAAGGAGGCAGAAAGAGAAAGAAAAATAGAAATTAAAACAACTCCAACCCACTGGTATACACAATCCATAATTCAATTCTGTATGTTTTTAAGCTTCTAGCAGTTTTGATTAAATCTTGCTGGAATTTAAATTGTATCAGAAGAAAAGTTTAGCATTAAAATATGGAATTCTACCAAACATGTCCCCAAGTCAGGAGAGATACTCAAAGAATATAAATTAAAGAAGAAAGAAAAAAGCCTAAAATCTCCAAATATTCTGGAAAAGTCACATTTATTAATATTTTAAATTGCATGAAAATGCACGTTATGGTCAAATGGATAAATAGAGCTATAGGAATATGTGTAGAAGTTTTGTCTTATCCAACAGTATAATGTGGTGTATTTTCCCTTCCCAATGGTTAAAAAAAAAATTCCATTCAACAGATGTTTGGTTAAAGCTTGGCAATTTTTCTATTTTATCAATGTCACATTTTCTATCTATAATATATTGAATAATTTTTCTCAAAACTTTCATAGAATTTAGTAAGTATTTAAACTGACTATAATTCACTTCTAAAATATAATTTCATTGTCTAAAAGTTATCATAAAATACATCAGATCATTCCACACCAAAATTACTCTGTGGAAGAATTTTTCTGATAATATTTTCTGAAAACAATTTCAAATATATGATAATTATATACTTATCCAGTAACCTTAACAAGAATGCTTCAAGTTAGACTGACACGGGATTACGATTTCCTGGAACTCTGCACCAGTCACTGGGCCCCGTGGGCTCTGTTTTGTCTCCTATAGTTTGGGGATTGGAACAGATTTCCAAGGCCCCTTCAAAATGAACTATGACTAAAACACCGTCTGTGTTGTTCAGATGATTACCCACCAGAGGGCACCAAAGCACCTCACAATACCTTTCTTCAACTCAGTTCCCTGAATCAGATCATGGAAGTAGGTGGGGGTTGGTTGGTTTGGGTTTTTTTCTGTTTATGTCCTGTAATTCGTTATTACATTAATAAAGTCACATTTCAAACCTGAAAATATGAGGCAATCGGACATCTGTTATTGATTATTCTAAAGGAGACATTTCTGAGCACATGCACAAATTTATCTTTACGAGTAATGTACCCATTTTTCAGTCATGCTTAAGATTGATATATTAATGGAGGATGGAAGATAAAGACTTCCAGTCTTGACCAAGTAGTGCATTAAATTAAACTCAGTGGTTTTGGCAGAGAGATCCTTTGCAAGATTGATGTTCTATTATGTGAGTCTGAAAAGCAAGACAAAGGAGAATTGCTGGAGTCTCTGAAGTCCTATCCGTGTCCTAGATCGAAGGAAATGAAACATATTCCTTAATCTAATTTGTGATCTTCCTTCTGCAAAGAGTCATTGCAAACTGTGGAATAATAAACTAGCAAGATATGATGTGCTCAAAACATCACTGAATAATCGTATTTGCACTGCAAATAATCACATAAATGAACATTTCTATTGACCTAAAAAGAATGACAGAGAGAGGTTTTGAAGCACTGATTCTTTTTCACAGGATTTTAAATCATTCTCCTGGAATTGGAAGTCCTTGAAGATACAATGGTGATGAGAAAGCAGAAGGCTTAGACTACTAAAAGTGACAGGGGAGTGGAGGGAGGGTCGTGTCACATCTACCACCGAATAGGTTGAGCACATAAAGAGAGTAAAGCCAGTTGCATTGTGCCATGGCATCTGTTCGACTTCACACTGATGTGATGTGGACCACTTTGAAGGTTACAATAGCAGAATTCAAAATTGCAAAGTCAGGGAGAACAGATGCTAGACTCAGGGATGTGCATGATACTGAGATTATTGCAAACCCGATGAAAGACATGAACAGGCCCTTTTATTAAATATGAGAAGAGTCTAAGCCATAATAAACACTGTGAACCTGAGGACTCAGAGTGATGATGTGGTGGCAAGAGTTAACAGAAATAGAAACCAAAATGGAAGGGGATGGAATAATGCAATAGCAACAGGTAAAAACGTTTTTGCAAAAAGTTGCCAGCATGAATTTAAAAAGGCATTGAAAAGATTTAAAACCAAAATCGTGTAGGTTGACAACACCAAATACATACGGTATCTTTCCAGGGCACCATCCCTAAAATAAGTGGAAATGTATCTAAATAACAGAAATATGATTCTATAAGTCTCAGGTAGAAAGGATGCTGGAATTATTATCAGCAACAACCCTCACCTTTTTTCTTATTTGTATTTTTAGATCTAAGAATATTGGATTTAAATATTAACCAAATAGGCTGGGCGCAGTGGCTCATGCCTGTAATCACAGCACTTTGGGAGGCCAAGGTGGGCAGATCACCTGAAGTCAGGAGTTCAAGACCAGTCTGGCCATCATGGGGAAACTCCGTCTCTACTAAAAATACGAAAATAAGCCAGGTTGTGGTGACGCGTGCCTGTAATCCCAGCTACTTAGGAGGCTGAGAATCGCTCAAACCTGGGAGGTGGAGGTTGCAGTGAGCCAAGATTGCGCCACTGCACTCCAGCCTTAGTGACAGAGCAAGACTCCGTCTCAATCAATCAATCAATCAATATTAACCAAATAAAGGGCATAAGACAGCAAGTCAGAGACTTTCGGGTTTTATGATTTGCTTGTTCTGTGGTTGGGAGAGGTAACTCAAGTTTGTTGACTCTCAGTTCTCTACACTGTAAAACGAGGATGAGACTAAACTACATCCTCAAAAGCAGAGCCAGTGGGATGTCCGTCTCCTGAGTTTCTTCCATGTCATGCTCCGTCTCATAAAAGAATAACCAGGGTATTCAGTGATCATGATTTTGTTTGCAGGTTGCACAACTATTTGCTTAATTTTATTTTTAATATTATAAACATTATTGGAAAACAAGCCTAAAGTTGGAAATAACCTAAATGCTCAGTGACAAAGGATTATTTTTCATCCTTATAATCCATTCAGTGGACTATCAGGTACCTGTTTGAAATGATGTAGAAGATTATCCAGTGGCTTAAGGAAAACACTTGGTTACTACAGGAAGATAAAGAAGCTCCAAATCAGAATAACTACAATTTTGGTTTTAAAAATAATGGCACCAAAATGGTAATAATAGGAAACTCTGGTTGGCAGAATTATTTTAAATTAGGAACGAAAGATCCAAGCATAAAAAAAAATCAAAAAGTCAAAGCAGTTATCTCTGTGGGGTTATGAGTGATGGCTGCGTATGTGCGTGTGCGTGTGTGTGTGTGGTGTGTGTGTGTGTGTTCTTTTCTACAACATAAACAACACAAAGGCAACCAATATCTCTTTAAGTAGCATTTCTACTGAAGCCTGTGTAAGGAAGCACAGCTCAAAGTGTCCATGGTTCATCCACAAGGATATCAAGCATTGTTTTCAAACAGACGTAACCTTTTCCTTTGGCTCTCTGGCTGTTTGGCCTTCCATCAGGAACAGTCACCTTCCTGGTCACTAAGAGGATATGAATCAGGTCTCCAGGTTAACTGAACACAATGAGCGCTTGCCCCTGGAAACCCTTGCCCAATCCACCCCCGACCCGTCCACCATCTCCTACTACCACAGGGGCACCCTGAAATTGCCAGATGACAAACCATTGACAAGTAGCAAGTTCAGCCAAGCTAGAGAGATACTAGCAGTATAGCAAGTGAAAAAAATTATATAAAGTATGATCTCATTTATTATATTTTAAATGTATAATCGTGTCTGAAGAAAACTCACTAAAATGTTAACCATGGTTATCTCTGTGTGGTGGGACTATGAGTGCCTTAAGTTTTCTTATTTTTGCTTAGCTCTATTTTCTAAATTTTCTACAATAAGTATGTATTATTTTTTAATTTTAAATAAAATAAGTAATTTTGCCAATTTGATCAAGCCAATAATTTGGGATCCCTGATTTATAAATAGACCAGTAGGTAAAGGACTCAATGGTTTAAAATATTGAGACTTTTACTAAATTTGTTCAAATACATTTTACTAAATTTACTCAAAGTAGCAGTGGCCCCATGTTTAAGAAACGCTGATTTTGGCTCTCCCTCTGACATCTCCTTCTCGGCCTTTCCTTCAAAGATATGCTCCTCCCCCAGTCCACTTACCATGAAGACACCTCTCTCTACTTTCCACACGGGCACAACCCCTCTCATTCCTGAATTCCTGCCAGCATTTATACACAGTCTGCCTGGATCAGCCCTCCCCACTCCCACCACCTCTACCACCTAGGCCCCTCTGTTAAGAACCTCAGCAGCCTTCTCTTGTTGCTGTGCAAGTCCCTAGCTGTTTGTGTGTTTGATCCCAGGTCCCGGGCCGGTGCGTATTTGAAAACTTTATTAATTCTTCCACTTGGCAGCAAACCCTACCCCCCACGCCCACATTGCCCCTTATATTTCCAGGGCTTATCACAATGATGCCTTTCTCCCACCTTCTTTGCAACATCTCTGCCCTGAATCTCCATCAGGGCCAGGCACTACCAAAAGCCAGAAGAGACAATCAGTAACTTCTTTGGGGCATTCTTCCTAGAAACATGAATGTTTGACATCTGTTATGCACAGCCTTCAAAATGAGTGTCCTACATATGTGCCCAAGAAATGGAGAGACAAATTGTCCTCTCTAAACTCATAAACGAATGCATGATTTTGGAGAGCAAAGCTCACTTCCTAGCCTTCTGGGAACCAGGCTTAGGCCTCGTTCTCCTAAGTGTCTCAGACAGCAGAAGCAGCAGGTCATATACACGTAATAAGTATCATGTGTATGGAGCTTTTTATTTGCAGTGATTGCACACTTATCGTCTATTTTAATCTGCACAGCCCTGTGAGGTATGTTTTCATATCTTCATTTTTCTGATCTGAAAACTGAGGCTTACAGAGGTTAAGTCACTCAGCAGAGGCCACACCACTAGGAAATGATAGAATGAGACTTGAATCCAGGTCTTTGGACTCATTTAGGTGGTCCTGTTGTGCCACAGATCACTGTGGGAGCCATTTTGAGGTCAGTCACCCTGTGGCATTACCAGGTGATTGTGTGTTTCAGAAGATTTGCTTCATCCAGAGATAAGTGAAGTTCCTAGGAGGGGCCATCAGGACTGAGAGGGAGGTATTGGGTAATATTTGTCCATTTAAACTCACCTTGGACATTTGGGGTGAGGAGATCTTATACTGAACAGGTCTGTCCTGTGTGTTTCAGGAAGCTTAGCATCACTGCTCTCTGCCTGATAAAATCTGACTGGACAACCCAAAATACCCCCCGACACATTCCCAAACAACCCCCAAGGGGACTGTGCCTTCCTTGGAAGAGAACTACTTCAGAAATCTGAGAACCTCTGATTTAAAAGCAAGAATGCCTATATTGCTAATAGGTGACAAGTCAGAACAAAAATTAGATCAATGGGCAGGTAATTACTGGGACAGACAGACCTGGACAAACTCAGAGTTTGCACTGGACAGCAAATTTGATGGCTGACATAATCAGCAAGCGTTCAATAGGTTGGAAAGCTGCCAAGATAAGTGCATTATGAGCACAATGAGTGTTGTGTGATTTCATTAGAATAGAAAAAACAAATATCTACATCTTTGACGGAGTGTGTGCCTCTCCCAGTTGTCCCTTGAGTTGCTGCTGATGAGCTCTTTAGTGCCCCAGCCCCTCATTAATGTTAAATTCTTTGTAATTGGCAGAGGGAACCATCGAGACAGTACTAATGGATCCTGGCAGAAGTAGCAGTGTCAGGTGCTGTAAATGAGAAAACCTAGGCGGCGACCTTTCAGAAAAGAGGCAGGCAAAAATTAAAACCCTCAATGATTCCTCTACCTCCATGGAAACAAACAGTTTCTTTGACTAGCACACAATGCTTTTTCACAGATATTATCTTCAAGGGCCATTTTCTCCTGGATGCTGTTAACAGATGAATAAGGTTTCCCATTTGTCTAGAAGAGAGGATTGTGTGCTAGACCCTTTGGGGAGACCCTCTCCCATAAATCCAACTTATCTCCATCCATAGCAAACCATCTGAATGGCACAGGCAGCTGGTGAAAGGGGCTTTGTGCTATGCTGCTTTTCCCATCACAAGCCTTGCCTGGTTCTCAGACAGCTGAGCTTGGTGCCCTTCATTTTATCTTGCCTGGCTTTAGGGCAACAATTTACTTCTCCCTCAGTAAAGACTACAAAGAGCAGCTATGATTTTTTTCTACCCAATTTGCTAGATGTTATCTCTCTCTGTAAAGAGCCCAGGAAAAAAAAAAAAAAAAGATTCAGAAATTTAAGCAGTCTATTTTCTCACACAGAGGACACAGTCTCTTTTACCACAGCTATTATTGGGCACCATTTAAGGCTTATACAAGAAGGATTATATGAGTTTCAAGAAAGTATTTTGGTTCCATTTTTGTTTCTGAGTCACTGGTGAGTTGAATACTCTATGAACTCTGTGAGCATGTGTAAAATCCTTTCCCCAAGAGACGACTCTGGGATGCTCATGTTATTGCCCCAGAACTTTGCTTCATACATAACATGTCCAGGAAACATACTTCTTGGGGTTCCTAACATGGATTAAGGCAACCCCTTTAATCTCAGGAATCCTAAACCACCAGGAATCAAATTTATCAGGAATAAAAACAATTACAGCTCACCACAAACCTCTCCCCCACATTTTCAAATCTCTATTAATCTTAAATAGCTATCTACACTTGACCAAAATGACTCACAGGAATAAATCATCTTATCCTCTGTATTGTCGAATATTCCCCCACATAAAAGCTTGCATAATGGATTATTTCCTAAACTGAGGACTAGAATTCTTCTACTCCCCTAATGGCTAGACAAGGAAGAAAAGCAGACCTGTGTACCTTTCAACTTCTTCTTGATTCTAAGTTCAGCACTAACTTATATGCTGCAAAGAATAGTTTAATATAAATAATTTTCTGGTATAATCCTACCCTTACCATTTAACTTCTTGGTTCTTGAATCTTTTTTTTCGTGGTTTTGCTATTTTATTGCTTAGGATGTCTTAATGTAAGCTGCCTCCCCTCCCCTTTAGCTATAGGTAGGACATAAATTCAGTGTTTATAATTTTCTAAAATATTCCTGTCTCAATTCTATTCCCAATAGTCTAATGCACTAAAGTTACCAGGCCTCCCAAAGTTATAAAACTGTGGGTTCCAATGTGGTAATAAAATGCTCCCACCATTCTTATATGTCAATGCCTCACAGACTGGGAGGGTGGTGAGTGGGTATGACATCGAGCAGTTTCATTGACCTGATGGGTTTAACTCTGAATCTTTACACCATGTATAACAACCACTTCTTTCCAAGCCTGTTTTCCTTTCACTATAGCCCCTTATAGATTAAGATGCCACCTCAGTATATGGAAGGATTTTTTTAGGACTGCAAGAAGAATTCTAATCCCTAAAAAAGAATAAAAAGACAACCTTTCTTCCTGGCTTTTTTGGAAAACCCAAATGTCACAATTAGAAATGCAATCTTTGACTTAGAGATTTGTCTTACTTGAAAATTCAAGGAAAAGGTTAATGCAAATGTGTCTCTCACCTTATAGCATTTACCCTTGTATGTTATGGAGTTTACTGGATTCCTTTTCTGCAATTAGATTTGATAGAGGGAAAGAGATAAAAAGGATGTAGACACTGAAGCCACAGCAGGAGGGAACGTGCAAAAAAGAACTAAAAGGTGAGACAGTCTCGCTCAACATACAAAACCCTGATTACAACACAGCCTCGCCAAGTCTGAGCCTGAGCAGTGCTCTCCCTCCTCCCATAACAACCCTCTCTGCAAGTCAGAGATCACTGGTCTTATACTAGGACTGACTTTTAGCTTTGACAGCCAAGTACCGCAGCAGGAAAATCTGACGAGTGTCTGGTTGGGATCATGTCAATTCTCAGAAGCTGAGAATCAGGAGTAAGAATGGGCTACTCCCATTTGAAAATAAATATGTTTTTTAGAATGCAGAAAAAATCCCAATGTACAACTAAGTAGTGCCAAAAAAGCAACTAGCTGGGAGGAAGATGTCATGTAAAGTCATATTTCTCTCTTCTCTTGCAAGCAATAGATCTTGTGGAGCTCTGCCCCCTCTGTCAGGTTACAAAGGGAGCATTCTCTACTCTTGAGGCCCTGTGGCAGGAGCAATTAGGTTGATGGGATTTGGTCTGAACTGCAGGCCAACACCTCTCAAAAGGATAAATTCAAGTTTCTTCCAGATGAGTGTTTCCACACTTCCACGAGTGGAAAACTGTTTCACAGCAAGAAAAACAGCACAACACTTTTAGCAACTATTGCAGCAATAGTTTGTAAGATGGTTTCATTCCCATTGGGCCAGTTTGCGTGCTTAGCAGAACTGTTCAACCATGTAAGTATAACTGTACTTCTAAGATTTTAGGGTGTCCTTTGTACTATTAAAAACACATCCGTCTAAACCTTACCTCAATTTACTTAACAAAAAATATAATCTTTTCAGAGTTAGACCTTTACTAGAATGGTAAATATTTTAAGACTATGTAAGGTCTCTGTGATCTTACAAATAAATACAAGTTTTAATGGCTCATCAGAAACATGTTAATTTAGTAGCTTTTCCATTTTAGTTAAAATCAACTTTAAAATATTTAGAATTGATTTAAAATGCCATTATTCACTGATTACTGTTCATATATAATATATGGGAAATCACTTTCAAATGCTGATTGTTGTTTACACAATAGCCTCTCCCTTCCTCCTGGCTGGTAGAATCTCAATACTCTTTGCTTGCATGTTCACGCCTTCCCTATGTGATCCAAGTCTAAACTGATTGGTCTGAACCAACTACAGTCAGTTTATTTCCTTTGCCAGTGATTAGTCTGGGAGTGGGCAATTGGTTTAGATCTGGCCAATGACCTGTGAAGGACAGTCTTCTGAAGACTACTAGAAAAAATTTCCTCCCTCTCAAGAGAAACAAGAGAAAACACTCCCACTCTTCTACAGTATAATTTTGTGTCTACAAAGGACGCTTTGAGACAATAAGGGGAGATAACCAATCCCTCTCAGACCCTGAGAATGGCAGAGCAGCAGAAAGTAGGAACCTAAATGACCAAGCCAATGAATTCATCTTCTCTGGAACATTAACCTCTGAATTCCTTGTTATGTAAGTTAGTAAATATCCTCATTGTTTAAGCTAATTCATCTAGTTTTCTATTACTTGGAACTGAGACAATTTTTTGTTTTTTTGTATTTCTTTGTCACCCAGGCTGGAGTGCAGTGGAGGAATCACAGCTCACTGCAGCCTCGAACTCCTGAGCACAAGAGATCCTCCCGCCTCAGCCTCACGGGTAGCTGGGACTACAGGCATACGCCTCTGTGCCCAGCTATTTTTTAATTTTTTGTAGAGATGGAGTTTCCTTATGTTGCCCAGGTTGGTCTTGAATTCCTGGACTAAAGTGATCTGCCCACCTTGGCCTCCCAAAGTGCTGGAGTAACAGGAATGAGCCACTGCACCTGGAAGAAACAATTCTTAAAGGTATATCATAAACACCCAAAAGCATTTGCGCACAATCATTTCAATTAAACTACTGTGAAAAAAAATTTTAACCTTTTCTAATTTGTGCTAATCTCAGCACTCTAACCAGAAATTATTCAACAAGCTGTCCTTTGACTCAACTAAGCAGGGGGGTATTTGCAGAATATTTGTAATTTTTTATTTCATAAATAATTCTAAACATTAAAATAAGTTATTCTAGGACAACCTAACCATTTTAAATTATTCTCTCATTTGTTGAGCTATAATTTTTATATACTAGACAAATATAAAATTTTAAATCTCTGCACCTATACACATCAAAAGTGTGTTCTTCAGAGATGTGGACAAATCAAAAAGAATTGAAATGACACTTCTTTCATAAGATAATTTTAGGTGGATGATTACACAGCTTCATGCATTGCAGAGGAAAAAATTCAATGTGAAATGGCTTGATTTGTCTACAGTTAGAAGAAAATCTCGGTTAAGAGCACAACAGTGGCTATCCAGGGCAGTGACCACTTTGTTATTTGATTAAAATTCCAGTTGGTCATGGTTGGAACCAGGTTCTTACTCCACAACCTCTTCTCCTCACCCCCCTTAAAATTCACTTACATTCCTTTTGTTTCAGAGTTATCTGCCATTGGCTGCCAGGGAAAGTTTGTTTATATTTCTTGGGAACGAAGCTTCAAGGTCACTTCCTATCATTAATTCTCTGTGAGCAAGTGTCGCTTGGGACATTTCCTGTTCCTATTCTCAGTGGTGCTGAGGAAGAGAAATTTTCAATGGTCTCTAATTTTTAATCTTCTACAGCAGTCTTCAAATATATGCTGGATGCTGGTATACCATTCATTTTATTTAACTGTGACTATTTCAGTAGAAAAATGTCCACATAATTTCTCCATTAAAAATGTAATATGCTCACTGCTGAGACTCTATCTGTAGAATGGGCAGCATGGTATTTTCTGCCATCTTTGGAAACAAGCTAGGTGGAGTACAGATTGCTTAGAAATCAATGCAAATAAATACTAAGTATGAATCCAGAGTATCTACTATTAGCTGAATATCGAGAACCAATTGTTTTGGTCATCTTTCCTAACTATAGCCAAAAGACAAAATTCAATTCAAAACACTTAAGTAAAAGTGTTATTTTAATCATTGGTGGCTTTTTAAAGATGGAAATACTAGTAAAAAGTGGAAGGACTTACCCTAGAAGATAATGAAGGCATACTATAAAGTTATAATAGTTCAAGCAGTCTGATAACAGGGTAAGAATAGCCATAAGTCAATTCAAAACAAAATGAATACTAGATAAACGCAGGACCCATCAAAAACCATCCTACATATCACACAGCAAAAGAAATCTAAGATGTGAGAGGGTGTTATGTAAAATTGTGTCCATGAAAGAATCAAAATATTGATAAAAAAAGTGTCTGATGTTGAGACCCAGAGGCTTTTCTGGACATAAAGGTAGAAAAAAAATAAAGAAAAAAAACTGATGTATGTGACTGCAAAAGAATGTAAATCTTCCCATCTTAAAAGAATCCTGAACAAGATAAGAAAGGAAACAATTGTGAAAACTTTTTTTATAAGATATGATAAAAGGAGTTAATGTGTTCAACAGAGAGAGATCTTTTAAATCAATTAGAATTAATTCAATGTCTCCATCATAGAAATATGGGCAAAGGATGTAAATAGCCAATTCGCCAAAGAAGAATCACATAAATGGCCATAAATACGAAAAAATTGCTCAACCTCAATGATATTCAAACAGAAACTAATTAAAACAGCCACAGTAAATATTTATACAAAACCAATTGATATTCAGAGTGAATGTACAGCTATTAAAGGTAATCACACTCAGCTACTAAAACTTCTTTCATTTGAATTAAAAGCAAGGGAAATGCTCATGATATATTTTAATTGGAAAAGTATCATACAAAACAGTTTATGTTGAATGGTTGTAATTATTCAAAAATATATGCTTACGTGTAAACATAAGCTAGAAAAAGACTTGAGGCCATATAGGCGTTATCTCTAGGTGGTGAGATTTTAGGCTACTTTAAATTTCTTGTTATGCTTTTCTGTATTTGTCTTTTCCTTTATTAATCAAAAAAACAGAAAAGGTCAACGGCCCACATGGAGTCTGATCTCCAGGTCCTCGCCTACATTCACGTTCCCAGCAGTGGCCGCTTGAGGACACTAGGCTCCTGGATTGCCTGATTCAGATCCCGATCTGGAAAAACCTGTCTCTGTTCCCGGCCTTCCTCAGAGTTCAGCTTCCACCGGCATCACGTCCCTCTCTGAGCACACACCGTGAGAATTAATCAGAGCCTCTCTGTAAAATGTGAGATTTGTCAAATATATGAAAAGCTAAGCAATAAAATTTGACACACCAGCTAAATACAGGTGGTGTTAACATGCAGTTTAAAATAACTGCGGTCCCTCTGTGAGGGCACTGCACATGATTAACACAGAACTCTATCCTATAGCTGGTGTTATTCCTGCATTTTTCAAATGCTTTTACTTGGACCTTTTCAAAATAAACCGTACAATTGGGCTTTATGTGCTTATATGGCAAAGCTGCTCCCTATGATACCATCACAAGGCGAAAGCATAAAATCTAGTTAAGAGTTCTTGCCAAAACATGAATCAGTTGTAGCATAATATTCTGAACTCTGGTCTTCTTTTTTTCCATTCTCTAATATTTCTTCACATCACAGCCCAAACAATTGCTCATAATTAAACTGAGTGCAGGAACAGGCCCTGGCAGGAAATGTACTTGGCAAAGATCCAATAGCTCTTCATTGTCCTCCACACAGAACAATTACATCAGTTCCTTCCATTCCCAGAAAAAGAATGGATTTTGCAGAGCAACAGATGAAAATAAAAGGAAGGAGGCAGCTTATTTACATATTTCTAATCAGGTTAATATATAATCTTTTTATGGAAAAAGGAAATGCCTTGAAGAATTGAATGATCATCTTAAAAACCTGCTTTCCCTTCCTCTAGGATCTGCACCACATGCTGACCACAACTTCTGCTCACCAGTTACTCATGTCTGCTGAAAACCCTCCAGGTTCAAAGGGAAATTCAGCCAATAAGTGTGATATATTCCAGAGTCTGGAAGCTTCAAGAGAAGTTAAATGCCATCAAGTTGCTGTTTGAAAAGTTAAAAATGTATCGTCACTCAGTTCTTCAGCATCTGCTATTTATTCAGTAGATTCACTGAAAATCCTAATGCAGAAAGAGGATTTAGGGACTACATTTGTACACTGGGATAGGGTAAGATAAGAGACATCTTATGAGTTGTTTGGCTTCAGCTCATCTAAATGACAAGGAATCACAGCCCAATCTGCTGCATTCTGATGACCAATGCTTTATCAGCTTAAGGGCATGCCAGGAGAGTCAGGTGCCCAGCCCCACCTCAGGGGCAACCAAGGTGAAGAGATATCGGCCTTCAACCCAAGTTCCCCCCATTCACGTGGACCATCCCAGGCCTTTCCTCTTCTGCCTGTTCACCAGCTCCTGGGTAGACTGGAACTTCTCAGGGTTCCCCAGGAAAGGGCAGTTTGAGTAGAGGGGCCCATCCTCATAAATCCAAGAAGTGCCAGAGACATGCAGAATCTGCAGTTCAGCCTCTCATTGACATCAGATGAAAGAACACTATATCCACAGGAGTGTCTGAGCCATTCAGGAGAAGTGGGTACCATTTTGGGTGCCAAGAAGACCTTAGACTTTCCATTCATATGTTATTTGAATTCCTTGACCTTTCATCTATTTCTCCTGGGCTAAACCCCTAAAGGCCTCAGCTCCCTGGGCCATCAGAGAAGTGAAGATGATCGGACAAGCAGAAAGGAGTTTCCAGAATCCACACCCAAGTCCCTGCTCCACAGAGCTGGGCTGAGTCCCCTTGTGACTGGGTTGGACCCAAGAAACAGGGAGGCCAGAGGTGCTTAGCAAAGTGAAGGGGGACAAGGCAACAAGTATTGTGCCCCAGAAAATGAGGGGACAGCTCCAAGATGTTTATTCCCCCAGAGAATAAATCCTTGAGGTGTGTCCTACACCAGAACACTAATTCAACAGGGCCAGAGATATGCCAACTCCTGGAGAGGAAGGAGCCGGCTTCTAATCAAATGTTTACAAATGGATTCCTGTACAAATCCACAAATCTTAGAGACAGTCAAAGCAGACACTTTGACCCTGCAACTGGACATAGAGCATGGATTTCATGCTCTCATTAGCTGAGAACAGTATTCCTTGAAATACAGGAGACAGGAGCAAAATTAGAGAAAATCTGGATAATTTGATCTGAGAAAGCATTTACACAGGACAAGGAGAGACTGGCCAACCTACCAGGCTGGCTGACAGGAATGGTGGTTCTCTTCCTCCTCACTCAGGCTTGTCCATGTGTCAACGCATCAAGAGTATTCAGAAAGTATTGGCAGGGAGAACTCTGTAAAAATGCCCCAATAAAGAAGCAAGAATATGATTTCTACACTAATAATGAACACAGCACCATATAAGGCAGGAATTTCTTGTTTACAAGTGACAGACGCTCAACTCATAAGGGAGTATGTAACTAAAGCCAAAAAGGGAATTTATCAGCTTATGTAAGGCTGGAGTGGGGGGAAAAAAGCTTCAGGAACATCTAGATTCAGAGGCTTCAATAATGTCATCTGGGCTTTGTCTGTCTCTCCATCTCTTGGTTTTTCTCCCTCCTTTATGTTGGCTTAATTCTGCAGTCCAGTTCTCCCATGATAGGGAAGGTGGCTGTTGTAATGGTATTGGTCATTCTTTTGTTCTGTAGCATCTGGAACTCCTCTCTATGTTTAGGGAATTTCCTGCCTCATAACTCTTGGTGAGGCGTGTGCCCTCCCAGTATAAAAACTGAAAATGTCAGATGTTTGATTTCCCATATGCCTTTGCAGCTGGGGATCTGGCATATAACCCAGACTACCCCTAAATTTGGAGCTAGAAAGCAAAATAAAAAAAAAAAAGAAACTTTGAGGTCTTGTCCCTGTTGAACTCACATTTTGGGGGCAACAGCAGCAGCTGCTGCACTAATGTGATGTCCAGCATCCCAGGTTCAGTGTCAGGTCTGTGGGCTGGAGAGCTTAGGGCTCAGCCATGATGGCAATGGTGTCCTCACCGGACCAGGCCTGAGGCATAATTTAGAGCCATATTCCAGTTGGTGAACATAGTACCTGATGCTCTGGCCACCCTAGGGATTCCATCTGCTACTTACTAATAAGCTATTTTAAAAATTAATTTTTTTATTTAAAAATGTTTAGGCCAGGTGCAGTGGCTCATGCCTGTAATCCCAGCACTTTGGGAGGCCAAGACGGGTGGATCACTTGAGGTCAGGAGTTCAAGACCAGCCTGGCCAATATGGTGAAACCCCGCCTCTACTAAAAATACAAAAATTAGCCGGGTGTGGTGGCACATGCCTGTAGTCCCAGCTACTCGGGAGGCTGAGGCAGAAGAATCACTTGAACCCAGGAGGCAGAGGTTTCAGTGAGCTGAGATCGGGCCACTGTATTCCAGCCTGGGTGACAGAGCGAGACTCTGTCTCAAAAAACAAACAAACAAAAAAGTTTAACTGACATATAAAATTGTACCTATTTATCTTGTATAACATGTTTTGAAATATGTATACATAGTGGAATGACTAAATCAAGACAATTAACATATGCATTACCTCACATACTTTTTTTGTACTGAAAACACTTCAAATCTACTGTCTTAGCAATTTTCAAGAATATAATACATTATTATTAACCAGTGAGGGTATTTTAAAATAGGTTTCTTGAACTTATTGTTTCTGTGTAACGGAAATTGTATATCCTTTGACCAACATCTCCTCGTAAACAGGCTTTTAATAAATTTATTTTCTGCTTAAATCATCCAGAGTGGATTTCTACAGCTTCCAAATAAGAACCTGACTACAAATAGCTGCCCCAGATTCACACCTTCCCAACTTAGCCACCCTATTTTAAAAGGAGTGTGTCTCTTCCAGTGTGTACATCAATCCAGGAAAAGATTTTTATTGATCTCTTAAGGGTCACATGCTCACTTCTACCCCAGACATGTTGCTAGAGGAAGGATACTTTCTTTTTGGCACGACTTGTATGAAATATCCATTTCTATGGCTAAGGATGATGGAGCTCATGGAAGACCACCTTACAAAGACCTTACGGAATGGATGAAGTGACATTTCCCCAAGAAAAGAGGCATCCATGATAAGCATTTTCCTCTTACATAGAATTTTTTTCCTATTTACCAGCCTTTTGACAGCCACAAATGCCAAGCTGCAAATAATTGAAGACATCTTGTTTGCTAATTCTACCTCCCCAGTAGAACAAAATAGGATATTTTAAAGTGAAAGAACCAAGAAATATGATAAGTAAAAGGGATCTTGTGTGTAGGATTTCTCAAACTAAGATATATTACATTGGGAGGCCCAGGCTAGCGGATCACAAGGTCAAGAGATTGAGACCATCCTGGCCAACATGGTGAAACCCCATCTCTACTGAAACTACAAAATTAGCTGGGCATGGTGGCGCGTACCTGGAGTCCCAGCTACTCGGGAAGCTGAGGCAGGAGAATCTCTTGAACCCGGGAGGCGGAGTTTGCAGTGAGCCAAGATCGCATCACTGCACTCCAGCCTTGTGACAGAGTGAGACTTCGTCTCAAAAAAAAAAAAAAAAAAAAAAGATATTATATTTTCATGTCTCCAAACCTTGGAATGTTTGTAAAAAAGACATTCAGTAACATCTAGGTATTATTAGGAAATCACTGCTTCTAAACAAAATCCCTCCCTCCCTCCCATCTAATTACTCATTTCTGGTCACCTAGAACTTGGTGAGATTCTTTAGACTCTCATGAACAGATGATTCTCCAGGTGGAAATTTGCCAGGAAACTTTGCTGAGGGAAATAAACAGTTTCAACCCTCATCTAGTGTCACTGTCCCAGAGAACAGGAATCCCACCACATGCCTGAGTAGAGCCTTACATGATGCCAGAACTCTTGGGACATATGGACTCAGCCAGAGGCAGAAAGCCAGTTTGAAAGAAAAGTGAGAGAACGCCAGAGCCAAAGGGGAAAAAGAGAAAGAATGTTAGAGACCGAGAAAGGAAAAGTATGAAATTACATCAAGGTCAGCAAAACCCTAGTATAAATAGTAACAGCTGTATGCTGAGTCCCCACAGGAGTCTGTCCTGGATATTTTCCACTTGGCCCTCCAGATCCACCCTCCTCACTTCTCCACCCAGCTCTCTAACTGAGGAGGCTGAACCGTATGGACTGACTGAATCAGCTCCTTGTCCACTCGCTTCCAATTGAGTTCAGCCAGTGGTAGGCACCCGTGGAAGAAGGATAGGAGGAAAGTGAGTCTGAGATTATTTTCCCTGCCTCCTTCCTGGCCAGATGACAGCTCTCACCAAGCAGTCTTCTCTGGAAAGGCACGGCCTCCAGGTTCTAGTCACCTCCCCTTCTTCTTGCCCTGTCAGGATGAGGGTGGTGGGCACTCTCTGCTGTTCTAGTCCAGTGCATGGTGCCATTATTTTATGGTTCCCCTAAGCCCTGCCCACACTTTGTAACAAGTCCCTTTACACAGTGGTTTTCATATTCCTTAGTCACATCATTTGTTCATGCCATCAGGTTCCTGCCAGGACCACGACTGATGCAAAATCAAATCAAAATATTCCCTGAAAGACTTCATTATTGACCACATGTGGCTTGGGGTGGGTGTGGGGGAGAGCTCATGGGGAAATTAAAGGCAGGAAGAAAGCAAGTTGAATGAGAATGAGGGTAGCAGACATATTGCATTCAGTTTAGACATGTTCTTATGTGGCCTCCAGGTATAGATATCAAATATGTTCATAGCTGGAGGGTTCACTTTTAGAGATGGAAGTTTAGTGCTTAACATGTTG
This sequence comes from Homo sapiens, assembly GCF_000001405.40. NCBI lineage: Eukaryota > Metazoa > Chordata > Mammalia > Primates > Hominidae > Homo > Homo sapiens. Next base: position 56,375,962 of record NC_000006.12, read on the forward strand.
GAAGTAAATAAAACTAGTGGATTTGGTTGTTTAGGAAACAACAATAGGGTAAGAAGAGCTGCGGGTAGCTGACGTATTCTCCAGAACATAGATGTTTAATGGGTAAAAGGAAGACTCGCTTCTGACAAGGAGTGCTCAAGAAGTGGGATAAAACAAGTAGAGTGATGTCACCCAAGCCACAGGAGTAGAGGGTTTTAAGAGGAAAAAACTAGCTAGCTAACACTGTATATCCAATAAGAGGTCTCTTAAGATAAGGATTAAAACCTCTCCACTGGCTGCAACATTTGAGAAGACAAGTATAACCTTTGGCATAACAGTTTCCAAGGAGTGGGACTGTGGACACCAGCTTACTGTGAAACCCACAGTGAAGAGAAAACGGAGGAAGAGGAGGCAGGATGAGAAGACATGCTTTTGGAAAGCTTGGCTGAGAAAAGAAGCATGAGTAAGAAATACCAGTAACCAGAGTGGTAACAAGGTAAAGAAAGTTTTTTTTTTTTTAATGAAATGTGAGAATATTTATATGCAGAGGGGAATAAATCAGTAGAGAAGGAGAGTTTCAACCTGCCAGAGAACAAAGAGAGGCAGGCTCTAGCAAGTTGAACTTGGATTCAAGAAACTTCATCCTTCATCTATAAGGGGGAAAAGTAAGGCTAAGTAGATATCTAGACAAATCTTTTAGAGATAGGGGAGAAGTCAAGACATTTTATACTTTATGGCTTCAATTTTCTCCATAAGTTAAGAGCTATGAAAATTTGATGTGAAGTGTTGAAATAGGATAGGGGTCTTGAGATTTTGAATAGTTACAGAAAATAAAAAGGAGGAGACAGAGCAAGATGGTAGAATAGAAGGCTCCACCAATCGACGCCCACCCCCCACCCCCCCCAAACAAGGACACCAATTTAACAACTGTCTATAGAAAAAAATCACCTTCATAAGAACCAAAAATCAGGTGGGCACCCACAGTACTTGGTTTTAACTTCATATCACTAAAAGAGTCACACGAGAGGTAGAAAAAAGTCTTTTTTTTTTTTTTTGAGACAGAGTCTCACACTGTCTCTCAGGCTGGAGTGCAATGGTGCAATCTCAGCTCACTGCAACCTCCACCTGCCAGGTTCAAACAATTCTCCTGCCTCAGCCTCCCGAGTAGCTGGGACTACAGGCATGTGCCACCATGCCCAGCTAATTTATTTATTTATTTTTTGTATTTTTAGTAGAGACGGGGTTTCACCATGCTGGCCAGGCTGGTCTCAAACTCCTGACCTTGTGATCCACCCACCTCGGCCTCCCAAAGTGCTGGGATTACAGGCGTGAGCCACCGCGCCCGGCCCGGAAAAACAGTCTTAAATCACAGATGTCATCCCTCCCCAATCCCCGATTCCCCACTCCCCTCTCCCCCATTTTCCCCCTTCCTCCAGCAGTGATGGTGTGAGTGGAGAGAAGGGCATTTCAGTGCTCTGGGAGAGGGAAAGTGCAGCAATCATGACCCATTGAACTCAGTGCTGTCCTGTTACAGCAGAAAGGAAAACCAAACCAAACTCAGCTGACATTCACCTATAGAGAGAGCATTTAAACTAGCCCTAGCCAGAGGGGAATCACCATTTTCAGTGGTGGGAACTTGAGTTCTTGCAAGCCTCGCCACAGCAGGCTAAAGCACTCTGGGGGTCTAAATAAACTTGAAAGGCAGTCCAGGCTGAAACTCCTAGACAAGTCCTAGGGCTGAACTGGGCCCAGAGACAGTGGATTGAGGAGGCACACAACCTACTAAGACACCAGCTGCGGCAACTAAGAGAGTACTGGAATCACCCTTCTCCTAATTCCAGGCTGCACAGTTTGCAGCTCCAAAAGAGATATGTTCCTTCCACTGAAGGAAAGGAGAGGGAAGAGTAGAGAGGACTTTGTCTTGCATCCTGGATACCGCCAGCCACAGCAGGATAGGGCACTGGTCAGAGTCATGAGGTCCCGTTCCAGGCCCTAGCTCCTGAACAACATTCCTAGATACACACTGGGCCAGAAGGGAACCTGCTTCCCTAAAGGGAAGGACCCAGTCCTAGCAGCATTCGTCACCTGCTAACTAAAGAGCCCTTGGGCCCCAAATAACCAGCAGCGATACCCAGGTACTACGTGGAGGGCCATAGGTGAGACTCTGAGACTTACTGGCTTCAGGTGAGACTCAGCACATGCCCAGCTGTGGCGGCTATAAGGCAAGACTCCTTCTGCTTGAGAAAAGCAGATGGAAAAGAAAAGCAGACTTTGACATGCACCTTAGGTACTAGCTTGGCCACAGTGGGGCCCCAAGAACTAAGCAGGCTCTTGGGGTCCCCGATCCCAGGACTCAGCTCTTGGATGACATTTCTGGACCGCCCTGGGATAGAGCAGAGCCCATTCCCCTGAAGATGAGTCCCAGGCCAGATAGCATCCACCACAAGCTGATAGAGGAGCCCTTGCTTGGACTTTAAGGGTACTTTGGAGGTAGTCTGGCAGTACTCCCTGTGGGCCTGCCGAGGCAGTGGCCACAGGTGAAGCTCTCTGCCTTTTAAAAGAGGAAGGAAGAATGGGAAGGGCTATGTCTTGTGATTTCAGTGCCAGCTCAGCTGCGGTACAATAGAACACCAGGTAGACTTCCAAGGTTTTGACTCTAGTCTCTGGCTCCTGGATAGCACCTCTGGACCTGCCTGGGGCCTGTGGGAACTTTCTGCCCTTAAGGGAAGGACATGGGCCTGGCTGGCGTTGCCACTTGCTGATTATAGAGCCCCAGGGCCTTAAGCGAACATACGCAATAGCCAGAGAGTGGTTACAGGGGGCCTTGGGCAAGACCCAGTGCTGTGCTGGCTTCAGGTCTGACCCAGCACAGTCATAGTGGTGGTGGCCACAGGAGTGCTTGTGTCACTCCACCCCCAGCTTCAGGTGGCTCAGAACACAGAAAGAGACTCTGTTTGTCTGGGAGAAAGTAAGAAAATAAAACAAGAGTCTCTGGGTAATCCAGAGAATTCTCTTGGATCTTGTCCAAGACCATCAAGGCAGTACCTCTACAAGTCTGCAAGAACCACACAGCGTTACTGGGCTTGGGAGGCTACCTAAAGCAGATACAGCTTAGATCACAACGCCTGAGTCTTTTCAGAAATCTGGACAGCCTTCCCAAGAAGGGCGGGTACAAACAAGCCCAGACGGCGAAGACTACAATAAATACCTAACTCTTCAACGCCCAGACACAGATGAACATCTACAAGTATCAAGACCATCCAGGAAAACATGACCTCACCAAATGCAATAAGGCACCAGGGACCAATCAATCCTGGAGAAACAGAGATATGTGACCTTTCAGACACAGAACCCAAAAAGCTGTTTTGAGGAAGGTCAAAGAAATTTAAGATAACACAGAGAAGGAATTCAGAATTCTATCAGATAAATTTAACAGCAGAAAAAAAGGAGAGGCATCTGAAAATAGCCTGAGGCTGATCCGAAATGGGGAGAATGCAAGACCTAGATTTTTATCATTAAAGACCCAGGGCAGGAATGCTTGGTGTCCACTAGCAGGAAGATATAATTAAATATAAATAAGATATAGATGAATATAGAGAAGTAGGATAAAGCAATACTGCATACTCTCTTCTACCTCCTCCTCATCCTACGTTCCTGCCTAGAAACATATGTACATAAACATCAAAAACTGTAATTTTAAAGGGGCAGGGGTAGGGAAAAGAGTACTCTGGTATCCCCAAGTACCAGACGTGGTCATGGGAAAGAGCATAGGATTTCGTATTTAATATTGTATCATTTTATACACACATAGGCAAAGTATGAGAGTGCCTATTTCCTCACTATCTCTTCAACACAATAGTTTATTAAAATTCTTTATCTTTGATAATCTGATAGGTTTAAAAATGGCATCTCAATATAATTTTAACTTAATGTGATAATTTTTCTTATTATGAGGGAGGTTGAGCATCTGTTCATATATTTAGGAGTCATTTGTCTTTCCTATTTTGAGATCTGTCTATTCATTACTGATATACTTTGAGTGTTTGTCCCCTCCAAATCTCCTGTTGAAATGCAATCCCCAGTGTTGGAGGTAGGGCCTAGTAGAAGATGTTTGGATCCTGGGGTAGATCCCTCATGAATGGCTTGATGCCATCCCCTTGGTGATGAATTGGTGCAACCCCCTCTAGTTTACACGAGAGCTGGTTGTTTACAAGACCCTAGCACCTCCTCCCCTCTCTCTTGCTCCCTCTCTTGCCATGTGACACAGCAGCTCCCCTTTCTTTCCACATGACTATAAGCTTCCTTAGGCCTCACTAGAAACTGAGCAGATGCTGGCACCATGCTTCTTATACAACCTGCAGAACTGTGAGCCAAATAAACCGCTTTTCTTTATAAATTACTCAGTCTCAGGTATTCTTTTATAGCAATGCAAAATGGACTAATATGACTGCCTTTGCCCATTTTTTCTAATGGGCAGGTGGTCTTTTTCATATTGCTTTTTGTAAACCCTTTAAATATAAAATTGATCCTCATTATTCATGAATTCCTTTTTTGCAAATCTACTCAATAAAATTATCTGTAATCTTCAAACCAATACTCACAGGGCCTTCGTGGTCACTCACAGACAGGCACAGAGCAGCAAAACATTTGTTAGCTGAGGTCAAACAAGGTGACTCTCTGCCTTCCTGTTCCAGTTCTCATACTGTAAACAAGTGTCCTTTTCATGGTCTATTTAGTGCCATATTTTCCACATTTTCCACATTTTTGTGCTTTTTACTGGTGATGTTGCTGTTGAAAATGGCCCCTAAATGTAGGGCTGCAGAGCTGTCTAGTGTTCCTAAGGGTGAGAAGGCTGTGGTGTGCCTATGGAGAAAATCCAGGTGTTAGATAAGCTTCTTTAATGCATGAGTTATAGCACTGTTGGCCATGAGTTCAATGTTAATGAACATTATATACTAAAAAATACATAACAATAATATGTATTCGGTAAGGTGTCTTTAAATAGAAATACATACAGAACAACGTTACATATTGATTGGTTGAGGAAAATCTTGTGACCAAAGGCTCTCACAGGGAACTAACCCTTTATTTCCCATAGGAGCAATAGTTCAGCAGTCGCTAATTCAGGTTTCTCAGTGACTTTATAGAACATAACTATGTTATGTTCTATAAATGATGCCAATCTGCTATATTTAGGAAATTAACTCTTTGTTTATACCATGAAATTATCTTGTCCAGTTTGTCATTTGTCATTTAATTTTGCTTATTTTGGGGGCAAGAATTTTTTTAATTTTTATGTGGTCGAGTTTACGAATTTATATTTACTATATGCCTCTGGTTGTTGTGATTTAGTTAGAAAGGGGAAAAAATGAATGAGTGGAATAGACACCTAAATTCAGATATTACCTGCCATCTGGTTTGTGGACCTCTGCCCAAGCAGAAACAAGCTATCTCTCCATCCGCTCAAATAAAACCCACCTGGTAGAGAGGCAAAGAGAGATTATATGACTGTTACTTCAAAGGAGCACAATTAGACTCTCTGGGGTACTATTTCACTTTATCCTTGAAATATTTATTTGATGATGGCATAAGCCCATGGCCTCAGTTACAAAGAAATGCATGAAAGCTTTCACTATTCCTGTTACAAAACACACAGCAAGGGTGTTGTTATATTTTGGGTGTCACATTAAATTTCACCGAACATAAGCTACAAAAGTTGCTTTTAACAATTATATAAAACTTTCCCTTTAATCAAGTTTGACTGGGAGCATCCCTAAAAGAATGAGAACCAACCTTCTAGCAAAATAAGGAATGTTTTGTCAATTATCAGCTAAGATTGTCCACAGTTGTATTTTAATGAAGCTGAAAGTGACAAACTGACTCCAAATTGGAAGTCACACTTCCAGCACCTCAACTTGTCAAATCTCAGGTGAAGGTTGATTTTCAGACTCTGATAGCAACACTCTTGCACAATGCCACCACGCAAAAGCCTCTCCTTACCCACAATCTTCCTCACCAGTAATTTGACTTCAGCAACAGATATGAATCTGTGACCTAGATGCAAATTATTCCTGATGACATGGATACTAAACTGTAAAAAGGAACTAACAAAAGCATCCTGTTTGACAAGGGTTCGATTTTACCACCACTAGGGCAGTAAATAGGTCACGCCTGTCAGGACTGGTGAGATTTATTATGTGTCATCTACACAATAGTACCATTGAATTTTCAGTGTCTGGTGATTAATCCCACGTTTGTGAGTTCTGGTGCCCTAGAAATGTGTTTGGAATGCTCAAGGCCTCCCTTCTAGTTCACCATTGGTTATTAGAAAACATTTGTCTTTTGTGTAAAAACAAAAGCACTGTACTCTCTATATTCTCATAATTCCATTAGAAAAATGAAGTGGATATGTTGTTCTTTAAAGAGGAAAGCGTTATGAAGAAACGAATATCACTGGAGGTGAAGTTATGAGATAGGTTCTCTGTTCTTCCCACCTCCTTCTTTCTCTGTCTGCTATGAACTAAATTGTGTCCCCCTTAGCCCACTCCAAAAATTCATAGGTTGAAGCCCTAACCTTCAAAGGGACTGTGTTTGGAGATAGGGCTTTTAGGAGGTAATTGTGGCTAAATGAAGTCATAAGGGAGAGGCAGTAATCTGATAGGATTGGTGGTTTTATAAGAAGAGGAAGAGAGGAAGATCCTTTCCTCTCCCTCACCCTCTAGGCTCAGGAACCAAGAAAGGTCTTGTGAGGTCACTGCAAAAAAACAGCTGGAAGCCAGGAAGAGGGCCCTCACCAGAAACAAACCATGATGGCACCCTGATGTCAAATGTCCAGCCTCCATAATTCTAAGAAAATTAATTTCTATTGCTTACACCACCCATCCTATGGTATTTTGTTATGGCAGCCCAAACCAAGGCACTGCCTCTCCTTAGACCAGAGGCTCTGGTGCTTCTGCCATATTGGTTGTGAACAGTCTACTCTGCAGCCACACATTTCCTCACATAGTCCCCCGACCCATACCTCAACAGTACTCACAGTCCTAACCTTTGCTAATAACTTCCTCCTCCTCCCAATTAATCAGAATTTCTCCTTTCTAACCACTGTTCCCTTGAAACATTGTCAATACAGGATGCTATAACAGATTGCCATAGACTAGGTGACTTAAACAATAAGAATATACTTTCTCACAGTTCTGGAGGCTGGAAGTCTGAGATTAGGGTGCCAGCATGGTTGGGTTCTGATAGGGGCCCTCTTCTAGATTCCAGACAGCTGCCTTCTCCTTGGATCCTCACGTGGCAGACAGAGAACTAGCTAGCTTTCTGGCCCCTTCCTATAAGGGCATTAATCACATTTATAAGGGCTCCACCCTCATGACCTAATTACCTCCCCAAAGCCCCACTGCTAAGCACTATCATACTGGGATTAAGGTTTCAACATATGAATTTGGGGAGACACAAATATTCATTCCATTGCAAGAACTGTTTTCTTAGGTGACTGGATGATCTGATAAACTATTCCACACTACAGTGTTGATGTCTGTTAATGATTTTATGTGTCACATTCATTTCTTCTCCTTCTCCTAACCCAGGTAGGTACCTGAAGACAGAGTAGGTCTCCTGAAACTTTCCCGGGTTATTCTCACAGATTCTGATAAGGAAAGAAAAGGCCTGAAAACACAGCTTATTCTGGAGATGGGCAGAGGAAGTGGGCAGAAGCACCACCCAGAGGGCTAACATCAAAGTCAAACTACTTCCTTCACAGTCTGGTTCAATGCATTAGGAATTGACCCAGGTTTTTGGCTTTCTATTCAACAGTCCTTGCAACATATACTCTTGCCTCCTTCAGTGACTTTATTAAAATAAGTTTTAAAAAAACCAAAATGTGATAATTTCAGGCAATAAAACAGGTCTCGAGAAGAGATATTTGAGGGTGAGGGATTCGTTTTGATCCCCCTTTCCTCTATAGCTCGAGGCTTTCATCCATTTATCAATATTTAAGTGTGTATTAATCTTAGTTCACAAATCCAAAGATGTGAGAAATATAGATTAATTTTTTTCCTTAGATTAAACTAGGCACAATTCTTAGCCCCCTTCGCACTAATTTGTGGTGCATCCATCCCTCCAAAGCCCCTTCTCAGCATACAGTCACACCAGAGTCCAAGAGGCTAGGCAGTGCATGGAAATTGGGGGAAAGACACTTAATGATTGGTGTCTCCCTAGTGCCCTGTCATCCTCGTTAGCCAAGCCCAGAGTGCTTCCTTGAACAGGCATTTATTTGCTTCTGCACCATGAGTGGGGTACAGTACCTAAGGTACAACTACCACTCTCACACCCTCCCTGGCAGGTCCTTCCAATTGCACAGGCCTTGACCATGCAATAGGGCATGGGTTTTCCTTCTCCCCTTTCATCTACTTCAAATACTTACATGTCTTTGACCTTTTATTTTGATCTGTGGGAAAAAAAATCTATCTCCTTCTAATTGTCCTTAAAATGTTTTGCATAAACTTGTCAAAGCTGAGGCTTTAGGAAAAGAAAAGCCAGGAAGATAAATTCTTACTGACAACTTCTGCTTCTGGTCCATAATAAAAACTTTTTCTAAGCCAAAAGAACACCAAAGGGTTTGGTTACATTCGGGGAACTGGGAAAGGAAAAGTACAAGGAGAAAGAGTAATATTTTCTTAAGTATTCTGGCCCACAAACAACAGATTCTGTGTAGAACTATCTGATAATATTACAGGGCAAATTTTTTTTTTCTGAATATTTTTAGGCGGCTGGTAAGAGCACCAGCCTGGAGAGAAGACTCAACCCCACTTCTGCTAATAACACTTATAAGCCACTTTTCCTCTGTGGACTAAATTCTGTACACTTGTTCATTCAACAAACTTTTATAAGCACTATGCTCTGCAGGAATTGAGGGAGGATGTGGTATAGGTCCTGAGGCTTCAAGGATATATGTTGACCTCCAGGAGAACATAATCAGCACATAAGCCAAAGGTCACAATTGCAAGGATAGAGACACTTCCGAGATGCTATGGAGCACTGAGGAAGGAAACTTAACATGACCTGGAGAGGAGCAGTCTCAACTGAGTCCTGCAGAAGCAGATGAAAATCAGGCCAAGGGTGATGGAAAGGAAGCACTAGAAAGGGTAGCACCGCCAACAGGAGTGACGTGTTAGACTCGTGGAGAGGTTAGTAGGGATCAAATCTGAGTGTGGCTTTCATGGTGTATTGTCTTTTAGTAGCAATGAAGTATCTTGGAAAAGTTTTGGTGGGAGGTGATGTCATATGCTAAGAATTACAGGTCTTTTGCTTTGCTTCGTTTTGTTTGGGCTGCTTAAACAACATCAACTTATCTCACAGTTCTGTAAGTCAGAAGTCTGAAACAGGTCTCACTAGCTTAAAATCAAAGTGTTGGCAGAGCTGCATTCCTTTCTGGAAGCTTGAGGGGAGACACCATTTTCTTGCCTTTTCCAGCTTCTAGAGCATGGCCACAGTCCTTAGCTCATGGCCCCTTCCACCTTCAAAGTTAGCAAAGGCAATTCGAGTCCTTCTCACATTGTATCACTCTGACTCTTTTTTTTTAGTCTTCCTCCTCCACTTTTTCTGACATTTTTAAAAAATTGAGATAAAATCCACATAACATAAAATTAACTGTTTAAAGCATATAATTCAGTGTCATATAGTACATCCACAGTGTTGTGCAGCCACCATCTATATCAAGTTCCAGAACATTTTTATCACCCCAAAAGAAATCCTGTACCCATTGAGTAGCCACTCCCCCTCCCTTCCTCCCAGCTCCTGACAACCCTCAATCTGCTTTCTATCTCTGTGAATTTACCTATTCTGAATATTTCTTATAAAAGGAATTACACTATATGTGACCTTTTGTGTTTGGCTTCTTCCACTTAGCATAATGCTTTTGAGGTTCTTCCATGTTGCAGCATGTGTCAGTACTTCATTCCTTTTTTTTTTTTTTGAAATGGAATTTCGCTCTTGTCACCTAGGCTGGAGTGCAGTGGTGCAATCTCAGCCCACTGCAACCTCCACCTCCCGGGTTCAAGCGATTCTCCTGCCTCAGCTTCCCTGTTATGTAAAACAGGAAGCTGTTTTACATAACATTCCATAAGTCAATCCCATAGCTGGGATTACAGGCGCTTGCCACCACGCCCAGCTAATTTATGTATTTTTAGTAGAGATGGAGTTTTACCATGTTAGCCTGGCTAGTCTCAAACTCCTGACCTCAGGCAATCTGCCCACCTCAGCCTGTCAAATTGCTGGGATTACAGGCATGAGCCACTGCACCTGGCCTCATTCCTTTTTATGGCTGAATAATACCCCATTGTAGGGCTATGAAACATTATGTTTATCCATTCATTCGTTGATGAACATTTGGGTTGTTTCCACCTTTTGGCTAATGTGAATAGTGCTGCTATACATAGTGTTTGGGTGCCTTCTTTCAGTTTCTTCTATGTACAAGTGTTTGATGTCTGTTTTCAGATTTTTTTACTATACCTAGGAGTGGAATTGTTGGGTCATGTAGTAGTTCTTTTTAAGAAACCCCCAAACTGTTTCCCACAGCAGCTTTACCATTTTACATTCCTACCAACAAGGTATGAGGGTTCCAATTTCTTCGCATTCTTGATAAAACTTGTTGTTGTTGTTTTTTTTTAAGTTATATTATAGCTAGCCTAAGGGGTGTGAAGTGATCTCGTTATGGCTTTGATTTGCATTTCCCTAGTGATTAATGATTCTGAGCATCTTTTTATGATTTTCTTTTTAAATAACTGAATTTGAAGGTTGTATGTAAGAAGGATTTTAAAGGAAGCAAAAAGAAAGTAGAAAAGCCAGTTTTCCAGATTAAATCTGATGACCTCATGAACAAACAGTAGGGAAAGGGAAAAAAAGATGAATTGGAGAAATATTTAGAAAGTAAAACTGTAAGAATTTGGAGCCAGCTGAATGTGGTGGTTTGAAAGAAAGGGAGAAGTGAAAGCCCTTCCATCTCCCTCATTCCTAAAATGAAAGGGTTAGGCCAGATGGCCTAGAGTGCTTCCCAGCACAAACATTCCCTCTTAAAAGTGAACTCACCTTGCAAATGTCAAAAGGGTTTATCAAGTGAAATTTACTCAAGGCTCCTTAAAACTGATGTTGCATGCGTTAAATGCTTCTAAGGATAAGCTCCTCTGATTTCAGGGACAGCTGAGACAGGACAAAATTTAAATGAAAACAATTCAATCTCATTATTTACAAATTAATTGTTAATTAACTGAATTAATTTAAACCATGTTAGCCTCTAAATATTCGTCACCCTGTTTTACATAACATTCCACAAGTCAAGCACCAGGGATTTATCATGCTGTTTGGGAATATGGATTCCAATGAGAATTATTTTTTAAAGTCTGTGCAAGAGGAGGACAGAACAAGATGGCCAAATAGAACCCTTCAGCAATTGTCCCCCTGAAAGAACATCTAATTGAACAACTATCCATGCAAGAAAGCACCTTCACAAACACCAAAAAAAATCAGGTAAGCAATCATAGTACCTGGTTTTAACATAATATTAAGGATAGAGGCATTGAATAGTGTAGGAAAGACAGTCTTGCATTGCCTACACCACCCCTCTCCCAGCCCTCCTCAGTGCTATACATGTGGAAGGAGAATCTGTGTGCTTGGGAGAAAGAGACCTAAGTGAGTGTGTGGGACTTTGCACTGGAACTCCCTGTAGCCCTGTCACAGTGTTGTGAAACACAACCCAAAACAGATTTCTGCTGGTACCCATGGAGGGAGCATTTAGATAAGCCCTGGACCAGAGGGAAATTATCCCCAGCAGAAGTCCTGGCTGGCTCCACCTTTAGCTGACTCATGGACCTGTGGCCCAGAATAAATTTGAGTGGCAGTCAGGCCACAAAAACTACAGTCCTTGGGCAAGCCTTAGTGCTGACCTGGTCTGATAAGCAGTGGACCTGGGGTACACATGACCCAGTGCAATACCAGCTGTGGAGGCCAAGGGAGTGCCTGCATCATCCCGCCCCCAGCTCCAGGCAGTTCAGCTCCAAGAGAGACTACCTCCACTTGGGGAAAGGAGAGGGAAGAGTACAGAGAACTTTGTCTTGCAACTTGGGTACCAGCTCAGCCACAGTAAAATAAAGCACCAAGCAGATTCCCAAAGCCCCTGATTGCAAGCCTTAATTCCTGGATTGTATTTCTAAACCCACCTTGGGCCAGAAGGAAATACACTGCCCTGAAGGGAAGGATCTAGTCCTAGCAGGATTTACCACCTGCTGACTAAAGAGCCCTTGAGTCTTGAATAAACATCAGTAGTAGTCAGGCAGTAGTTGCTACGGGCCTTGGGTGAGACCCAGTACTGCATTGGCTTCAGGTGTAACCCAGCACAGTGCCAGCTGTGGTGGACATAGGAGTGCTTACATCCCCTCTGCCAATTCCAGGCAGCCCAGCATGGTCAGAGACTCCTGCTGATTGGAGGAATGAGAGAGAAAAAAGCAAGAGACTTTTCAGGATAACCTAGGAATTCTCCCTTATTTTACCCAAGTCAACCAATGCTGTCCAATGTTGTGCCTCTAGGAGTTGGCAAGAGTGACAGTGCTTCTGGATTTGGGGAACTCCCTGTCCTCTTCTGCCCCCAGTGCTGATACAGCTGCAGCTGCAGTGACTACAGGCTTAAATCACAACACTCAATCTTCTTTGAATATGTCCTTCTCAAAAAGGATGAGTACAAACAAGCCCAGACTGCAAAGATAGAAATAAATAACTCTTCAGTGCCCAGATATTGACAAATGTCCACAAGCATGAAGAACATTCAGGAAAATTTGACATCAGAAAACAAACTAAATAAGGCACTAGTGACCAATCTCAGAGTAATAGACTATGTGACCTTTCAGACAGAATTCAAAACAGTTGTCTTGAGGAAGCTCAGCGAATTTCAAGATAACACAGAGAAGGAATTCAGAATTCTATCAGAAAAAATGTACCAAGAGAAATACAAACAACAAGAAATCCTGGAGCTGCAAAATTCAATTGACAAACTGAAAAACGTGTCAGAGTCTCCCAAGAGCAGAATTGATCAAGCAGAAAAAATAACTAATGAGCCTGAAGACAGACTACATAAAAATATGCAAAGGAGGCTGGGCGTGGTGGCTCATGCCTATAATCCCAGCACTTTGGGAGGCTGAGGCAGTGGATCATCTGAGGTCAGGAGTTTGAGACCAGCCTGACCAATATGGCGAAACCCCATCTCTACTAAATATACAAAAATTAGCTGGGTGTGGTGGCGTGCACCTGTAGTCCCAGCTACTTGGGAGGCTGAGACAGAATTACTTGAACGTGGGAGGTGGAGGTTGCAGTGGGCCAAGATCACGCCACTGCACTCCAGCCTGGGCAACAGAGCAAGACTCCATCTCAAAAAACAAAACAAAACAAAACAAAAAATATACAAAGGAGAAAAAATTAAAAAAAAAAAAGCATGCCTACAACATCAAGAAAGTAGACTTAAAATGACAGATCTAAGAGTTACTGGCCTTAAAGAGGATGTAGAGAGAGATACTGGGGTGGGAAGTTTATTCAAAAAAGTAACAACACATAACCCTCTAGATTTAGAGAAAGATGTGAACATCTAGGTACAAAAAGGTTATATAACACCAAGTGGATTCAACCCAAATAAGACTGCCTGAAGGCATATCATAATCAAACTCTCGAAGGTCAAGGATAAAAGATCCTAAAAGCAACAACAGAAAATAAGTAAATAACATATAAAGGAGCTTTGATACATCTCACAGCAGACTTTTCAGTGGAACCTTACAGGGCAAGAGAGAATGGGATAACATATTCAACATCTGAAGGAAAAATCTTCCAACCTATAATATTATATCAGCAAAATTATCCTTCAAACATGAAGGAGAAATAGACTTCCCCAGACAAACAAAAGTTGAGGGATTTCATCAACATCAGACCTGTCTTATAAGAAATGCTAAAGGGAGTTCCTCAATCTTAAAGAAAAGGACATTGATAAACAACAATAAATCATCTGTAGGTATAAAACGCACTGGTAATAGTAAATACACAAACAAATACAGAATACTCTAACACTACAATTAGTGTGTAAACCACTCATATATTTAGTAGAAAGACTAGAAGACAAAACAATCAAAGAATAACCACAACAACTTTTTACGAGATAGACAATATAAAAAGATATAAATAGAGACAACAAAAAGTCAAGAGGTAGGAGACAAAGTGCAGAGTTTTTTTAGTTTTCTCTGCTATGTGTTTGTTTGTTTATTTGTTTTGCAATCATCAACATTGTCATCAGTTTAAAATATTGGTTATAAGATGTTATTTGCAAGCCTCATGATAACCACAAAATGAAAACATATAACAGAGACACACATACAAAAATGCAAGAAATTAAAACATACTACCAGAGAAAATCACTTTTACACAAATTACAAAATGGCAGTAGTAAGTCCTTACCTATCGATAATAACATTGACTGTAACTGGACTAAATCCCTTAATCAAATACATAGAGTGGCTGAATGGACACACACACACACACACACACACACACACACACACACACGACCCTACTATATGCTGCCTACAAGAAATTCAATCTATAAAGATACAAACAGCCTGATAATAAAGGAATGGAAAAAATATCCAATGCAAATGGAAACTAAAAAAGAGCAGGAGTACCTACACTTGTACTGTCAGATAAAATAGATTTCATGACAAAAACTGTGAAAAAAAAGAAAAAAGAAGAAGACAAACAAGGTCATTATATAATGATAAAGGGGTCAATTCAGCAAGAAGATATTACACTTGTAAACATATATGCACCCAATACTGAAGCATACAGATATGTAAAGCAAATATTAGAGGTATATAGAGAGATATACCCCAATTCAATAATTGTTGGGAACCTCAACCACCTACTTTTAGCATTGGACAAATCATCCAGACAAAAAATCAACATAGAAACATCAGACTTAATCTGCACTATGGACCAAATGGATCTAATAGACATTTACAGAGCATTTGATCCAGTACCTGCCAAATACACATTCTTCTCCTCTGCTTATGGAACATTCTCAAGGATAGACCATATGGTAGGTCACAAAACAAGTCCCAAAAAATTCAGAAAAACTGAAATCATATCAAGTAACTTTTCCAACCACCATAGAATAAAACTAGAAATCAGTAACAGAGGAATTTTGGAAACTATACCAACACATGGAAATTAAACATTACACTCCTGAATGGCTACTGGGTCAATGAAGAAATTAAAAAGGAAATTTTAAAATTTTGTGAAACATACCAAAACTTACAAGATACAGCAAAAGCAGTACCAAGAGGGAAGTGTATAACAATAGACACTTCCATCAAAAAAGCAGAAAAACTTCAAACAAATAACAATGCATCATAAAGTACTAGAAAAGCAAAGCAAATCAAATTCAAAATTAATAGAAGAAATAATAAAGGTCAGAGTAGACATAAATGTAACGAGACTAAGAAAACACAAAGTATCAATAAAATGAAAAGTTTTTTAAAAACCTTTTTAAATGAACAAAATTGACAAACCTTTAGCCAGACTAAGAAAAAAAGAGAGAAGACCCAAATAAATAAAATCAGAGATAAAAAAGGAGATAGTAAAACGAATACTACAGAAATTCAAGGATTATTAGAGACCATTATGAGCAACCACATGCCAATAAGTTGGAAAACCTAGAACAATTGGATATGTTTATAGATGTATAAATGTATTGGATAAACTGGATACATTTATAGATGTTATAGAACAACTGGATACATTATACAATTTTATACATACAACCTACCAACATGGAACCATGAAGAAATACAAAAACTCAATAGACCAACAACAAGTAACAAGACAGAAACTGTAATTAAAAAGTCTCCCAGCAAAGAAAAGCCCAAGACCTGATGGTTTTACTGCTGAATTCTACCAGACACTTAAAGAAGAACTAATACTAATCCTACTCAAACTATTCCCCAAAATCAGGAAGGGAATACTTCCAAATTTGTTCTGTGAGGCCACTATTACCCTCATATCAAAACCAGACAAAGACACAACAAAAGAAGAAAACTACAGGCCAATAACTCAGATGAACATAGACGCAACAAAATACTAGCAAACAAAATTCAACAACACATTAAAAGGATCACGCATCATGATCAAGTGGGATTCATCCCATGGATGCCAGGATAATTCAACATACACAAATCAATCAATGTGATATATCATACCAACAGAACAAAGGACAAAACCCATATGATCATTTCAATTGATGACAAAAAAAATTTGATAAAATTTAACATCCCTTCATGATAAAAACCCTCAGAAATGGGTATAGAAGGAACATACCTCAACAATATAAAAGCCATATATGACAAACTCATAGCTAGTATCATATCGAAGGGGGAAAAACTGAAAGCCTTTTCTCTAAGATCTGGAACAAGACAAGGATGCCCATTTTCACTACTGTTTTTTCAACATGTTCTGGAAGTCCTAGCAAGAGCAATCAGACAAGAGAACAAAATAAAGGGCATCCAAATTGGAAAGGAGGAAGTCAACCTATCCGTATTTGCAGATAATATGATCTTATATTTGGAAAACCCTAAAGATGACACCAAAACACTACTAGAACTCATTCAGTAAACGAATTCAGTAAATTTGCAGGATACAAAATAAACACACAAAACTCAGCAGCACTTCTAAAAACAGTGAATAATCTGAAAAAGAAACCAAGAAAGTAATCTCATTTATAATAGCTACAAATAAAATTAAATGCCTAGGAATAATCTTACCCAATGAAGTAAGAGATCTCTACAATGAAAACTATAAAACATTGATAAAAGAAATTGAAGAGGACACACAAAAAATGGAAATATATTCCCATGTTCATAGAGAAGAAGAATCAATATTGTTAAAAATGTTCAACTACCCAAAGAAATCTACAGATTCAATGCAATCTCTGTCAAAATACAAATAACATTCTTCACAGAAAAAGAAAGAAGTCCTAATATTTATATGACACCACAAAAGACCCAGGATAACTAAAGCAATCCTTAGCAAAAAAAAAAAAAGAAAACTGAAGGAATCACATTATCTGACTTCACATTATACCACAGAGCTATAGTAACCAAAACAACATGGTATTGGCAAAAACAGACAAACAGACCAATGGAACAGAAGAGAGAACACAGAAATAAATGCACAGATTTATAGTCAATTCATTTTCAACAAAAATGCCAAGAATATAATTGGGGAAAGGACAGTCTCTTCAATAAATGGTACTGGAAAAACTGGATATCTATGTGCAGAAGAATGAAACTTGACCCCATCTCTTTCGATGTACAAAAATCAAATCAAAATAGATTAAAGACTTAAATCTAAGACCTTGAACTATGAAACAACACAAAGAAAAAATTGGGGAAACTCTCCAGAATATTGGTCTGGGCAAAGATTTTTGGAGTAAGACCTCAAAAGCACAGACAACCAAAGCACAAATGGATAAATGGAGTCACATTTAAGCTCAAAATCTTCTGCACAGCAAAGGAAACAATCAACAAAGTGGAAGATGGTGGATTGGTGGAATTGTTAGCATGCGTCTCCCACTTGGAAAGACAAAATAGTGTATAGAGATTCATGCTGTGAACATTTTACCAAGGAGCAACACAAACTTAACAGGAAAACTGAAAGAAACCACAGGCCCTTTGAAATAAGCGGCAGGCTGCAGCCTACACCATGAGGCAGGTAGAAAATTGCCAGTCCCCAGAGTGTGCTAGTCCCCAGAGGGATAAACTGCCTCCAGGACTCACACTCCTACTGGCGGACCTGGCAATACAGGCCACAGGAGTAGGCCTGAACCCTACCCAGTAATGGAACTGACTTAGAGAGCGGTGGGAAATACAAAAGTAGAAACGGCGAGAAGAGCCTCACATGCATGCCCAATCTCCAACCCGTATGAACCGAAGCCATTCTTGATCCTACCTCACTGGGAACCTCACAGAAGTCGGCCAGCTAACTCATGTGGTGGCTGCAGGTTGAGAGAAGCTCCCATCTGAAATTCGTAATATAATCTTTGAGTGGGTATGAACTCCCTTGGCCAGAACCAGGGGTGTGAGTGGGAAGTGTGCTGCAGCCACAATGCAGGAGCTGGGTGCCCTGGCCTCATAGGCGGAGTGGGAGGGGCGTGGCCTGAAAGCTATGGTTGCTATCTCCACTGGGAAAGCTTATGGCCTGTGGCAGTTTTGAGTCCTGCCCCCAGACTGCCTGGAACTTAGCTAGCTGCTGCTAGTGGAACCCTGCGGATGTGAGGCCTGCCTTGCCAAGTGTGTGGGAGCTGAGTGTGGCTTACCTCTACCTGCTATTCCCCACTACCGATGTAAACTTCTGTGCAACAGAGACAGCTGTGCTACTTCCTGGAACATAACCCCAGAGGCCAGAGAGCTGGCCACAGACCTCCACTGGGGTTTCTGCTTGTCTTACACATGCAGAGCTAGAGCATGGACTTGCCTGACCCAGCACCTACCTGGCTTTACCCCTCTATCTGCTTTTGCAGCTCAACACAAAGGACAGAAATTGTGGGAGCTCTATGGGGTAGCCCATTGCCTGAAACTGACCAAAGTACCTCTCCTGGGTAACATAAGGCAAGCACAAATCCCACCACTACCACCTCAGCTGGTGTTCTCTTGCAAGCATCACCTCCTGTTTGGAGGCCAACTGACACAATCCATTGCAGCATCTCCGGGTAGCATAATGAAGTGCCCAGGAAGGAGAAAACTTGTACATGACCTCAGCTATCGCCATTGCCTGTAACAAGCGGGCTGACTAGGAAGTTCTGAGTGTCCATTTGACCAGTTCATCATGACTACAACTGGCATTTGAGAAAGCCAACACAGTAAGGTTATTTATAACCAAGGAATCGCACAGAGTCTATGTCACCCCCCTGCCACCTCCACCAGTGCTGCTGGTGGTACCTGCTACTGAGAGACTTGAGGATAGATCACATCACTAGATCCCTTGCAGACATTCCCCAGTACTAGCCTTGAGTGTGGCAACTCCACTGGGTGGCTAGACCCAGAGGAGCAGCAGCATTCACAGTAGTCTGGTTCTCAGGGACTCCTACTCCTAGGGGAAGGGGGAGTGCACCACATTAAGGGAACACCCCATGGGACAAAAGAATCCAGGTGGCAGGCCTTAAGTCCCAAAACTTTTCTGCTTGTAGAAAATCTCTTTCAGCAGAGGCACAGGTGAAGTGCTGGGCTAAGGAGGTTGAGGAGAAGCCTGTGACTCTACAATGGTCTGGCAGCCCTGGTGCTCATGAAGTGTCTTGAAGAAGGGGAATTATTTTCCCCCTTATCCACCACTACAGACACAGCTGGGTCTTCTCCCACAGGAGGTCGGCATGGGTGCACCCATAGACAGCCTTTCCGGAAAACTTCAGGATAACAGCATCCCCATAGGTTCAGGTTTGCACATGGGTAGAGCCACAATCCCTGTCTACTTGGAACACCAACATATCTGCAGATGAAAACAAGTGCCTGTCTGATTGGACTAGCTGGAACACTGGATTAGGAGTGAGTCTCAGAGCTGGATCACTTCCCTGCTGGCCCAGTAGGGGAGCTGAAGTGGCTCCCACCCTTCCCCCTGATGAGACCTCAGTATGTTTTACTGAGCCCCCAGCCACCTCTGTCAAGGCTGGGACCTCTGCCCACCACTGGGCATTGCATTTATCTATCTGCTTTAGCCACAACAAGTTTCTATCCAGGGGCACCTTATGTACTGGCCTGAAACCTGAATTATTCAACTTAGTAAATAAAATACTGGGGAAAAATTAAAGAGATAAATCTCACAGAGAATAAGATAAACTTCAGGAAACCTCTACCATTCCAACTCCATAGGAGACAGTGCACTTGCTCACACACCAAGCACGTTGCTACTAAAATCAACATCTGACAAAGCCATAATACAAAGATTCATACAAAAAACCAAGGAACTCATACAAATTCTTCACCTCTGAAAGCACCAAAGGCCAAATTAGGTTACAAAGAACTATAAACATTAAAGTAATATCCTAAAGGGAAAAAGGAAATTTAAAAAATAAACACAGTTAAATCACATATAAACCAAGAACAAACAGAAGAAGTAGCCTACCCAAATGAGAAGGAACCAGAAAAATAATTCTGACAATATGACAAAACAAGGTTCTATAACACACCCAAAAGATCACATTATTCCCCAGCACTGGATCCAAACCGAGATGAAATCTTTGAAATAACAGATAATAAATTCAAAAGACTGATGATGAAGCTACTCAAGGAGATACAAGTGAAAGGTGAAAACCAACATAAACCAACATAAAAAAGTGTTCAAGAAATATGGATTATGTAAAACGACCAAACCTAAGAATAGTTGGTGATCCTGAGGGAGAAAAGAAAGCAAAAAGTTTGGAAAACTAGAAAACTTCCTTGGCCTTGCTAGAGAATTAGATATCCAAATAGAAGAAGCTCAAAGAACATCTGGGAGCTTCATTGCAAAAAGGACATCGCCAAGGTATATAGCCATGAGGCTATCTAAAGTTAATGTAGAAAAGAATTCCAAGAGCAGTGAGACTAAAGCATCCACTAACCCATAAGATTAACAGCAGACTTCTCAGCAGAAACTTTACATGCCAAAAGGGATTGAGGTCGTATTTTCAACCTCCTTAAACAGAACAACTGTTGGCTAAGAATTATTTTACAAAACTAAGTTTCATAAATCAAGGGGAAATAAAGTCTTTTTCAGACAAACAAATGCTGAGAGAATTGTCACTACCAGACAAGTCCTACAAGAAATGCTAAAAAGAGTTATAAATCCTGAAATAAAAGGTCCATATGTACCAGAATAGAACCTCTTGAAGCCATAAAACCCACAGGGCCTATATAACAAAAACACAGTGAAGAAAAGAAAGTATCTAGGTAACAATCCACATGATGACTGGAGTAGTACCTCACATCTCAATATTAATATTGCATAAATGGCCTACTTAAAAGATACAGATTGGCAGAATGGATAAAAATCATAAACCAAATATCTATTGTTTTTAAGAGACTCACCTAACATGTAATGATTCATATAAACTCAAGGTAAAGGGATGGAGAAAGATATCCCATGCAAATAGAAGCCAAAAGCAAGCAGTAGTAGCTATTCTTATGTCAGATAAAACAGACTTTAAAAAAAAACAGTAAAAAAAATAGACAAAGTCATTGTATATAATAGAAGGATCAATCCAAAAAGAAGATATTACAACCTTAAATATATGCACACCTAACTCTAAAGCTGCCAGATTCATAAAACAATTACTACTAGACTTAAGAAATGAGATAAAAAGCAACACAATAATACTAGGGGACTTCAACACTCCACTGACAACTCTAGACAGATCATCAAGTCAAAAAGCCAACAAAGAAATAATAGACTTAAACTATATTCTAGAACAAATGAACCTAACAGATATTTACAATTCTACCCAAGACCTGCAGAATATACATTTTTCTCATCAGCATGTGTAACATTTCTCAAGATAGACCATATGATAGGCCACAAAACAAGTTTAATAATTTTTTAAAACTCAAAATCACATCAGGTATCTTCTCAGGCCACAGTGAATAAAACCATAAATCATCTTTAAAAGGAACCTTTAAAACTATACAAATATATGGACATCAAACAATCTGCTTCCAAATGATTTGGGGCTTAACAATAAAATGAAGATGAAAATTTAAAAATTATTTGAAATAAGTGATAATAGCAACACAAATTATCAATAACCCTGGGATACAGCAAAAGCAGTGCTAAGAGGAAAGTTTATAGTGCTAAATGCCTACATCAAAAAGCCTGAAAAATCACAAATTGACAACCTAACATCACACCTTAAGGAACTAGAGAAACAAGAACAAACAAAACCCAAAGCTAGCAGAAGAAAAGAAACAACAAAGATCAGAGAAGAACTGAATGAAGTTAAAACAAAAAAATTCAAAAGATCAATGAAACAAAAAATTGATTCTTTGAAAAGATAAACAAAATTGATAGAGCATTAGCTAGATTAACCAAGAAAAAAAGAGAGAGGATTTAAATAAGCTCAATTAGAAATAAAAATGGAGACATTATAACCAAAACCATAGAAATACAAGAGATCATTCATGACTAGTATGAACACCTCTATAAACACAAACTAGAAAATCTAGAGGAAATGGATAAATTCCTGAAAAAATAAAACTCTTCTAGATTAAATCAGGAAGAAACAGAAATCTTGAACAGACTAATAACAATCAGTGAGATTGAATCAATAAAAAAAAATTGCCAACAAAAATAAAGCCCAG
Source organism: Homo sapiens (assembly GCF_000001405.40). Lineage (NCBI taxonomy): Eukaryota > Metazoa > Chordata > Mammalia > Primates > Hominidae > Homo > Homo sapiens. Next base: position 56,398,344 of record NC_000006.12, read on the forward strand.
GGCCACATGGATTCACAGTAGAAATCACGCCCCTGCACCCCAACCTGGGTGACAGGGTAAGACCCCATCTCACAAAAAAAAAAAAAAAAAAAAAAAAAAAAAAGAATGAATCTAATTCAGAGAATGAAGTAAATGATATGATCCCAATAAGCACCTACTTTTTAAAATTAAAAGTGATAATTTTATTATGTGTGTTGATCCTAAATAAATGCAATTTGACAGTGCTATGTTGACGTGATTATAAAACTACTTTGTTTTTTGAAAGATTGAGGAATCCTTTGGTTTTATTATCATTGTCATTAAAATAGCAAAATAATTGAAACATTTTGCCTTTCATAGCTAAAACACCTTTCATTTTCTTGAGGGCTTTTTTCCCCTTCATTCATAACTGTTCATCATTTCTTTTTCTTAGCTTAATCTTCTTTGAGGCACACATTCCATTTAACCATTAAGTGGAATTACCATCCTACCAAATAATTTCTGTCCTCTCAATCTTGTTCTTAACAAGATATAAAATGTACATTTTTCTAGAACCCAACCTGATCATGAGATTATTGTTACTGAGGGCTCACAGGAAGGTCATAGTAAAGGCCAATTAAATGTTGATCTGTGAGGTTTGTGGGGAAAGGGATTCCAAGTTATGTCTTCTTCCCCCTGACTTTGTTTCTCCTAGCTCATATTCCTAGGACATTTTTTACTCTAATGGGCCTCGTCCTGTTGATGTCTTCCCCAGTTCCTAAACCCAATCATAAAGGAGCAAGCAAACATTGTAGCTTCAGATTCTCCCCTTCTTTCCACTCACCAATTCCTCTTTCCAGGATATTAGGGAATTGTAAAATGTTCCTCTCTGTCTCTAGCAACATTTTTTGCTTAAAGTCTATTTCATTTCATCTTTGTATAGATACTTGAGCTCTCTTATGATACTTGAGCTCTCTTATGATACTTCAGCTTTTATGTTTGCATGGTGTGTGTGTGTGTGTGTGTGTGTATTTATCTGTAGTATAATAAAAAATAAATACTTGATCTTTGATCCTCTACTCTTGGCACAAATCTCCTAAAACCTTTGGAATTTACTGGCTTTGCATCTGGATAAGATGACTCATGGTAGTGGGCAGCAGTGGGCTGCGTAGATATTCAGGTTAGGGGCTGGTCACCAGATAAACCAATCATGTAATTAGAGGGTTGCAACTTGCAGCCCCACCCCCTGACCTCCAGTGCTGGGATTCACTCAGGATGCTGGCAGAAATATTAAAGGGAAATATTAGGGAAAGTTATAGGGAATAGTCACAAACCTTTTTGGAAGGCCGAAAGGTTACATAGCTTGTAATAACTGAACAGGCTGAAGGCAGCTGGTTCTTACCTTAGAGCATTATGTCATAGGGTAAATACTAGAGATAACAGAGTCTTCCCCAGTTAATTTTGTTTACTCTACCTCCATTAACTAACCTTTGAGCCAGATAGCCCTCTCGGGGTGGGGGGTGGGGGAGGTCGACCAGGGATATTGCCCCCTAATGGTATTTACTTTAGACTGCGGTACCTGAACTTTAATCATTCATAAAACTACTCTCTTAACCATGTTAATTATTCACAAGAGTGTTGACTCAGAGCTTCTGTTGTTAATTCTATACTAAATAAATGCCTGGAGTGCAAGCTGCTCAGGGCCGGCCGCAGTGACAAACCTCTCTTGGTGTGCAGGCGGTCGGACACTCAGCAGGACTGGCAAAACAGAATATCTGTGTGTCAGTGTACGTTTTATTCATCTGTCGTTGGGTCAGGGTCTGAAGGCAGACCCCCGCAGCTAATGCCCTTTTGTGGGGAGCAATGTCTCACTCCAGGGAAGACAGAGGGACTAGAGACTGAATTCAATCACCAATGGCCAATGATTTCATCAATCATGACTATGAATGAAACCTCCAAAAAAGAAAAAAAAAACAAAACCCCTAGATGATGAAGTTCAGAGAGCTTCCAAGTTTGAATACATCTGCATGCTAGAAGGGTGATGCACCCTGACTCCATGAGGGCAGTGGCTCCTGTGCAGGGATATCATCCTGAAGTACCTGGGCAGCCCACTCCTGCCCACTACCATGAGTCATCTTATTCGGACACAAAGCCAGTAATAGTAAGTAGAGTGCTTTTCTGAGTCCTGAAGGCTGTTCTAGCAAATAATTGAACCTGAGAGACGGTGGGAAGCCCCAAACTTGTCAACTGGGAAGGAGTTTCAGTGACCTGAGAATCCCACTCGCAGCTGGCATCTAAACTGAAAGTGATCTTCCGGGACTAAGTCCTTTAACTTGTGGGATCTGACACTAACTCCAGGTAGATAGTATCAGAATAGGATCGAATTTTGGGGCACCCAGTTGGCGTCAGAGAGTTGGAGAATTGATGTGGGGAAATGATACATATGCAGTGCTGGGGAAAAAAAACAAACTATACACCATCCTTTAATTTTCAACCTATTTTTAGATTGGAATCTAAAGTGTTTCTTACAGACAGCAAAGAGTTGGATCTTGTTTTTTTGTCATTATGACAATCTCTACCTTTTGATTGGATTGTTTCATTCCTTCACATTTAATATTATTATTGATATAGTTGGATTTGCATCCCATTTTACTTTTTAGTTTGTCTCATGTCTTTTTTGTTTCTCTATTTTTTATTTACTGTGTTCTTTTTGTATTAAGTGGGTAATTTTTCTGGTGTATTATTTTAATTTCTTTAATGACTTTTAGATTATATTTTTGAGTTATTTTATTAGCATTCACTAGAGGAATTACAATATATACCTTAATTTATTAGATTCTACTTTAGATTATTACTGTCCTCTTCTTTTCTTTCTCTGGATTTGAGTTACCATAATGCCATTTTCTTACTCCAGTATAGTTTCTTTCTCTCCTTGTGTCAAATATATTGTCAAATATATTATGCCTCTATATGTTATAGGACCAACAATATAATTTCATAGATCTTATGAAATTATATTGCAACTTTTAAATCAGTTAGAGAAAAAAAGAAGAAATATGTAATTATACTTTTTTATAGCTACCTATATAATTACATTTACCAGTCCTTGAGTTTTTCATGTGAATTCAAATTACTCTCCAATTTAATCTTCTTTCAGCCTCAAAAACTTCCTTGTAGGTCTTGGAAGTATTTCTGCTATAAATAAATTTTCTCTGTTTCTGTTAATCTGGGGATTTGTTTCATTTTTAAAAGATAGTTTTGGTTTTTTTTTTGCTTCAGCAGATTGAATATGTTACCCCCTTCTCTTCTGAAATTCACTGTTTCTGACAAAAAGTCAGCTGTTAATCTTATCACTTGTATGTGATAAGTCATTTTTCTTTTGCTACTTTTAATATTATCTCTTTCTCTTTGTTTCACTATGATGTGTCAGAATGTGAATCTCTTTGTGTTTATCCTTCTTGGGGTTCATTGAGCTTCTTAAAGGGTAGTTTAATGTTTTTTCATTAGATTTGGAAAGTTTCCAGCCATTACTTCTTTGAATACAGATGCTCCTAAACTTACACTTTGAATACAGATGCTCCTAAACTTACAATTGGGTTTCATCCTGATAAACCCATTGTAAGTTGAAAATCTAGGTTGAAAATGCACTTAATACACCTAACCTACTGAACATCATAGCTTAGCGTCATCTACCTTAAACATGCTTGGAACATTTACATTAGCCTACAGTTGGGCAAAATCATCTAACACAAAGCTTATATTATAATGAAGTTATTATGAAGAATTTTAAAATTCAAAGTACAATTTCTACTGAATGTGTATTGCTTTCTCTACATTGTAAAATCAAAAAGTTGTTAAGTTAAACCATAGTATACTGGGGACTGCCTGCATTTTTTTTGCCTCCTCTCTCTTCTCCTTCCGGCACTCCCATTACACACATTTTGGTGCACTTAAGGCTGCTCCACATTTCTCTGAGGCCCTTCATTTTTCTTCATTATTTTCTATTCTTCAAATTGTGTGATCTCTATTGAACTATCTTTAAGTCTGCTGATTCTTTCTTCTGCCAGAAAAAGTACCCATTTGAATCCTTCTAGTGGATTCCCATAGAAGTACCTCTTGGCATTTCTTCTGGGTAATTCCTTTTTCTAAACCCACCAATTCCATTCTGCCTTCCAGAGATGATGCAAGCCTTACCCCCAATTACTCCCTCTTGGGGAATTTCTAGACCTTGTCTCTGCCAACTTTCATGGCAGATTGGTCATTATTATCAGATAGCAGATTCTTGCTACAATCCTCTATTCTCTGCAAGGCAACTATCATCACTCCTGTTTTAAATAAATGAGTGTTGGTGTTTGGTGTCCCTGTAAGAGGAGCGCTGCTGCAAATGAGAAACTTTTTTTTTTTTTAAGAGACGGAGTCTTCCTCTGTCGCCCAGGCTGGAGTGCAGTGGCGCGATCTCGGCTCACTGCAACCTCCGCCTCCCGGGTTCAATCAATTCTCCTGCCTCAGCCTCCCAAATAGCTGGGACTACAGACGCATGCCGCCGCACCCAGCTAATTTTTTGTGTTTTAGTAGAGACAGAGTTTCACCATGTGAAAATGTAAACCCAGAATTGAGTAGTAATTTGTCCAGAAATTGAAGGACTAGAACACGGGTCTCTGGAATTTTAACCAGAGTAGTTATTGCATATAAGAATCACCTGAGATTTATTTAAAAGATGTGATGATTATCCAAACCTATAGTGAACATGCAACAAAGAGTTATTTAACTTATTAATGAGGAAATCAGCTGGATAGCAATGGCAATTCAAGGTAGTATGGGAGAGACCGACACCCATAGTAAATGAAAGAAAGTGCTGGAATAAGAATGCCAAATTATTTACAAAGGTGCCAAATATCCTGTAGAGTAATAAAACTTAACATGTGTAATTACCTTTTCTATAACAATTATTTGGATGTCTATCACCCAAAAATTATTTTAAATACATTAATCTCCTACAAGTTACCATCTAATGTCATACAATCTGGGTCTGAATCAATAGTAAATAGAAAGTCAAAAACACAGTCCTGGAAAATTAGATAAACCTTGGATGGACCTGCTAGACAATGCTTCATCATGAAAAGACATGCAGTCATCATTTCATGTTATTTCCAAGTTTTGGATTTTTAAAAAATACACATAAAGTGTTTAGCCCAGATCCTGCCACATAATAAATGCTTGACATATTATAGCATCTTTGTTATTTCTATCTTTGTAATCCTGGCTCAGTCACAACTAGTTGGGTGATGTTGGTCAGTGTACTCTCTTTGTTTTCCTTTTCTCATCTGTAAAGTGGTGATAATGATGGTTTCTATCTTACTATTATGAAGATTAAGGATTTAATATACACAAGGCACTTAGTATCTGGCACAGAATAATCACAAAATAAGTAAAAGTGAATGCTGTCATTCCTCACAGCATTTGGTGTCTCACTACAGTTGACATTTTTACAATATAAGGAAATGAAGCAGTGGGAGGGAACCATTGCTGCCATGGCAAGATGGTGTGTACAGCTAGTCAATGGATGCCTGAAGAACTTTTGCAGCTTGTACTCAAACTGAAGAGCAAGCTATTTATATCTGGGCTGGGAAACTAGCTCAGCGTTGCCTCAAATATTATTAAAATGGACATATTCCAGGGTTCTGAAAGCAAAGATAAATTTTATACTCTTGTTTGTCTGCTTTTTGCCTTCATCCTGACACAGTAATAACATGCAACACACTTTCACAGATTACTGCAAGAACTGCCTGAGGTTTTTCAACCAAATCCAGGCCTATCGTGTCCATGACATATTTCCCTGGGGATGAAAATTTTAACTATTTTCTACTAAGAGCAGCTTCCTCAACATGTTTGACTGCCTTATTTGATGTGGAAATAGAAAGCAAACGTCATTACCAACCAACCTCTCCATATAATCGCAGCACAAATAGCCTACAAGATATTGCTATTTTCATAATCCCATTTTCTCCTACATACAAGGAACATCTGAAATGTGTATAGAGAAAACTAATAACTATCTTTCCAGCAACGCTCTCTTGGCATTGGTATATTGGGAAACACATTTTAGATCAATGGTCAGCTTATGCTGGCATTAATAAGACATCCTTTTGAGCTTTGTAGAAATCTCTTTTCAATGACTCATTATATGAAGGACACGGAAGATAATTATAAAGACTCAAAACTCAGAGACAGCCTGGTAATTTTGTTTCAAAACACAATTAGTATTGGTGAAAATAGGTTTGATGACAATTCCGGTAGAGACGAGTTACTGGGCAGCCATCTGGGGTCATGACTCTTTCTTCTCAGGCTGTGTCTCCTAAGTTGAGAATGCAGCTTCTATGAAAGCAGAGAACTTAGCACACTGTCACAGAAGGTGTGCGTTTTCTTTAATAGGTATATTTCAAGAATGAGATGGGCTATAATGTGTCACTTGTATAAACAGGTGATTAGTGTTGAAAGGCTTTCATGACCTTTCTCAGAAGTGATTCATCCTTCCCTATTTATTTATTCAGCTATTCATTTATTTATTTCTCCTTTAATGATAGAAGTAATAAATGTATTACCAATTGCAGATAATGCATATGTCATTTAAAAAAAGCACAAAGGAATAGACAAAAATTCTCCATAATTTGTAGGTAGCAGTAATCCTACCTACACATTTTGTTTTGTGTAATTCTAGTGTCTTTTCATGATTTACACATAGAGGGAGTAGGGGGAGAGAGAGATCATACATATGGTTTGTAACTTGCCTGGCAGATAAGGGCTTGTTTGAGTTACTTAAGTGTGCATAAGAAAGTACCTCAAAATTTAGTGGCCTTAAAAACAACATTGATTTTGCTCACAAATCTGCAATCTGAGCAGGGCTTGATGGGGGCAGCTTATGTTTGTTGCACTTCATGTCCAGTGAGGTGGCTCAAGAGCTGGGGCTGGTGTTATCTGAGGGCTCTCTCACTTGCCTGCCTGATGCCCAGGCTGGGAGACCCAAACAGCTGGGGCTGGAACAACTGTGCTTCCTCAGGCATCCTTTGCTCTCTGTGTAGCCTCTTCTCATGGTGTATCCCGTGTGGAAGCTTCAGAAGATCCAGACTTCTTATACGTGAACTTAAGGTTCCCAAGGCTTGTGGCTGGCAAAGAGCAGGGATGGGGAGGGAGAGAGGAAACTGTATCACCTTTCATGACAGCCTTAGAAGTACACAGAGTCACTAGCCAGTCCATTTTTACAGGGGGTGGCGGAGGACTAGAATCCATTCACCTTGTTGGAGGGAGTGTGAGTCAAAGAGGTTCTGAATATTTTTTAAAACTACCAGGGGACCTAACAAACTAAACAGTTAGCAACTGAATAGTTGAATAAATAAATAGGGAAGGGCAAATCACTCTTAGAAAGGTCATAAAAATCTATTAATACTAATCGCTTGTTTCCACAGTGTCACATTACAGACCTATCTCATTCTTGAAATATGCCTAGTAAAGAAAATGCATACGTTCTTTGTGTTCAGTAAATGTTTATTGGCTGAATGAGTTTAGCAAGTCATGAATATTTTCCTACATCCATGAATATTTTATAGCATATATTTAAAGGATTGCATTGGGGTTATATAATTATTTATTTAACCAATCTCTAGTTACTCATTATTAGATATTTAGATTATTAATTTTGCTGTGTAGATAATTCTAAGATTAACATCCTAGAACAGAAATCTCTATTTTCTTTCAATCAATTTGGACATAAAATTTCTGGATGAAAGGGCTATATATTTTTAAGGTTTTTGGATAGCTACTGCAAAAATGCCCTACATTTTTTATGTCCTTGTTGCCTACTGCAAAAACATCTGTCAATTAGCCTGGTAAGCCAAGATATAAATACAGGGTGGAATATCAATATAAGTCTGGAAGCAAATACATAATAAATTGTTATTGATGTTGTATTACATGATAGAATAATATTACTGATGTTTTCAGATTTTATAGGCATCCTGTTCATTTAGAGGAAAAAATGGAAGTAGAAATAGAATTCATTCAAGAAAAGAAAGCCATGAAATCCTATTTGCTTATTAGTGTTGGGCTACCAAGTTGACTCAATATTTCCAGGCAGGGTGACAACTGAAAGAGAAAATAACAAGTAATAACAGAATTGAAATGTATTTAAGGTAAAAGCAAACTGGTTGCTCACCAGAAGCATGGTTATTTTTGCTCCTAATTCTAGTGAGAAACTTCTTTGAGAAAGGACACTGTAAAAGTAATGCAGGGAATCCTTACTGGCTCTTACTTAGCCACTGTGTCTTATCTGTAAAACTGGGGTGATAGCAAGACTGTGATAAAAACTACATGCATTAGTACATGTAAGGTGATTGGAACAATTCATGGCACATAAATACTCTCTATATGCTAGCTGTTGCATCAAGAACTGACAGTAGAGCAGCAGTTAAGAGACCAGGTCTGTAGTTAGACCACCTGGGTTCAAATCCTAGATCCACCACGTACTAGCTGGTCATTGGTGTTCATGAAATATTAGCTATGGCGATTATTAAAAGTCCTATAGTAAGCCTATTAGCAGGTTACCCCAGGGCCACCTTGTAACAGATTCCTGATGTAAACAGACACCACACCAAGTTTCAATTCAGTAAAATCAATTATGCAGAAGATACAACTGTGTGGCTCAGTTACAGAGCTCTCTGTAGCTTTAAGAATAAAGGGGTTAAAAGTTGTAAGAATTGCCCATACATTATTTTTTCAATCCAGCATTAAACTGAAACCCATACCTAATTTGCTTATGACCATAATACTATCATTTTTAGCTGCTAAAAGTACAAATTTAACCACTGAAGGACTTCTATCATAGAACCCAAAACAAGGCTACCGTGTTTCAAAAAAGAGATTCTGGTTCTGTTTCTCAACATGCTGTTGGGTGAGATTTAAATTTTTAATTATTGTTTTCTGAAACACCAATTCACAGTAGTGAATTCACCATGTCACTTTTTCTCAAGTAATGTTAATTTTAATAGCTTCACCATACTTCTTAATATAAAAAAAGAAAGATAAAAAAGCACTATGAATCTTGTATATATCTGAAAATATTAAACATATAATATATAAATATAATATAAATAATATGTAGAATTCTGCAGCATTTTGAATAGACATAATTAAATATCTAGAATATATTAAAAGATAGACTCTACAACAATGAAGTCCCTGCCTTCATATGTCCAATAGGAGCAATTCAGTCTACACAGTTTCAGCTCTTCATCTAGGAGGTCAAAAATATGTTCCTATTCACTTGTTTTCTTGAATAATGATTCAAAGCTGATATCCAATGCAAAGGCTACTGAAAATGTGGCTGAAAAATAACTTAGAAACACAGAACTGTGTAAAACAAAATGATATTTGTTTGGATAGTGTTTCATATCAGTTGTGTGTCTCGATCTAGCATTATTTAATTCCTTTCCCTATTAACTGCTTTGCTATGGCCATTTTTTAAAATTTGCATAATAATTTCTCTTAAATTGAATGATTAACAAATATATAGGACTTCATTGTCTCTTAATCTGTTTCTGTTCTTTGAAATGAATTCCTTTCTATTGATCTATTTCTGAATTTCTTTAAAATTATGGCCTATGCTTAATATGCTGTGTAAATGTTTTTCATGTTGGAACTGGAAATTGTGCTACCCAATCCCAGCTTTCCTCTAGCTCTGCTTTTAATTAAAGTTCAATTTTACCCTGTTGTTGGTCATATTATGAGAAGCATTATATAAAATCCAATTTGCATATACTGAAACATTAGAAGCATACCAGAGGCACTTTTTAGTTATTTAAATTCTAAAATTATTCCCTTATCCCACATCTGGTGAAATCATGTAATGTTCACTTTTCCTATCCTTTGAAACTCCCCTGTGAGCTGTTAGCATCAGATGAAATCATCCTCAAAGGCTCTGAAAAGAACTTAACTAAACATTTGTACCTCTCACATCATGCGTTCTTGTTTTATTCACATATAAAAACTACAAATTCACCTTAACAATTTAGTTTTACTTATTTCTAAAAGCACAATGGCATTATATTCATACTTAGGAAAATAAGCAAAATTGATTATTTCTTTGGAATTCTTTCTCCCACACACACATACACACACCTCTAAACACACATTCTAGACCTTGTATATACTCTACTTTGGTTATGACCCCTGTGATTTTATATAGCAGAAACCCAACACAACTAATTTAAACAAGAAAAAATTATTTAAAAATTCACATTACCCAAAAGTGCAAGTGTACATTTTTCAGACTTTGATATACCCAGGAGCTTTAGCAGCAAGCAACATCATCAGGTCTCAATCTCAATCTCTCTCTCTCTCTCTTCCCCCTCCCTCTCCTACATCCCCCCCCCCCGCCCCGGCCCCTTCACGGCCTCCCCTGCTTTTCTTTATTCTTACATAGGCATTTACCTACATGCACATAGAGCATTTACCAGTAGCTTTGGCTTACAGCCTGCCATCTCAGTGACCACAGTGAAAAATATCATTTCTTCTTGCAGAGTTCCAACGACAGTCTCAGACTGTGCTGCCTTGAATTGAACTGATATGTATCAGGTGCTCATGCCTGAACCAAACACTGTGGCCAGAGGGTGAAAGCTACTCATTGAACAGGCCAGGTCCTGTGTATCCCCCAAATCCAGGAGTAGAGTCAGGCCCACCCAAAACACTTGCACAGAGAGTGGAGATAGAGAGTAGTTCCCAGTAAAACAAATAAAACCTATTGCCAGAAAATGGTGGACTATTCTGGGAAGGTACATAAAATAAGTGTTCAATACCCTTCATGGATAGTTTGAGAAATCCAGTATCCCTCCAACCTGGATGTGACACTTGGCCTTCTCACTCAACTACTGTGCTTAAACAAACCAAACAGTCTGTAAATCAGGTCACTGAAAAATATCTGAAAACAGGTATTGTGTTGAAATATAGACTTCAAGTATTTCTCTTCTCAAACAGTTGAGTTATCCCCCTATACACATAGCCCCTGACAACCAATGCAGTAGCTTGTTATAGTCAACAGAAACTCACCACCAGTAAAAAATAAGAAACTCAACACCAGTAAAAAAGAGGGGTAAATAATTCAAGTTAAAATAACATTTATATCACCTATACTCCAAAAACTCGTTCAAATTATAGTAAAAATAATTCTTCACGTAATCCCATGGCACAAAGTATCATAGAAGAGATGACAGTAAAAATATTTTGGAAGCTGAAAACAGATGGAAAAGAACTGTGAAAGCTGAAAACCAAGCCAGTATGGAATCTGAGTCCCAGAAGCAAGCCAGATGAAAGCAGAAGGGCCTAAGAGTTAGGGCATCAAGTAGAGTTCAGGTGAGTCTGAAAACAGAAGAATTAGAAGGAGAGTAGATAGATATCCAGACCTGCTTCCTGATCCAGAGAAGCCTGGGACTGGCATCACAGCATTCAGGTATAGTTTCTGGGGAGGTTGGATGAGGGAGACTCTGTGCATGGCATACCATGCATGCTTGAGTGTAAAGACACAATTCTGAAAACACAGTTCTGAAAAGTGAGTCCCAAGCCCTCTTTCCCTCTCAGGAGTCTGAGAATTCTAAATTTGAGTATGGCTTTCCAAGTGATTAAAAAGGTGTAGTCCTCCTGGTAGAAGGATAGAATATATGTAAAAGTTGTGACTTATCATTTTTGTGTTTCATCATTTTTGTGTTTTTGTTTATCATTCTTGGCTGTCTGCAAGAACACCAACTTTGTAAGAGATTCCACATGCTGTCATTGGCATCACCTTCCACAGTCTCCAGAAGGTAGGACTGAAGGGGGTCCCATGGAGCTGTGTGCTCATGGCAGGACCTCTCAGCCTTGCACCTTAGTGGCTAGAGAAGATCAAGACCAGAATCTCAGCCGGATGGTTCAATATACCCTTAAATGGCCCAATCATATTCTGTTCCCTAGCCCTAAATCACCACTGTGACCTCTGGAATATAGGGTCAGACACAAACTCAAGCACTGACAAAACCCCTACATCCTCGTCTTCTTTTCCAGAAATTCCCTTCACTTATGGTCCTCAAAGAGACATGGCTTCTCCTGAAGCTACAGTTTTCTGTGTTCCCTATTCAAGTAGTGTCTGTTTATCTCCCAATCCCACACACCAGAAGGCCTGGAAGAAAGGAAGGCCAACCCTCTGCTCCTCATTGCCATTTCCATTTCCATTTCCATCTATCCCTCCTCCCTCACCCCGCTCAGTTCTTCTGAAGCTCAGGTATTCACAGTCTATTATCCACCTCTGTTTATTAGATTCTTCTCCATCTCTGGGTCACTTCTCATATCATGAAGATTTTAGCTCCTAGCTTATGTGACCACTTTCTCCAACTCTACCCCAGTCATAACACTTCGTTATTTCAATTTGTACCTAATCTATCCCATCCTCTGGCTGCTCAGCTCCTTGAGCTCCTCCCCTCCAGTGATCCTTTCTTCAGCTCACCTACCCTCAGAATCCTTCTTTATTCCCTTGCATCCATGCTCAGCTCTCTCACTTTGTCATACTCTCTTAGCCAAACACCAGCTCTGCCTGCTCCCTCCTCACCGCCCCCCCCCCCCACCCCACACACACATATGCAGCTGAATGTGGCTGGAAAAACATCAGGCCACCATGCTGACTGGCCTTACTCTAAGTTTGTGCTCAATAACTTCACCTTGGCCTTTAGGACTGATCTCTAGCATCATAACACTTCCTTGTTTTGTTTTCAGTCCCATTTTTCTAGATTAACATTTCATATCTTCTCCTTTCTCCTCAAACCTCCAACATTTCCATGCCCATTCCCATCCTTCTCCTCAAATGATGCCCTTCCTTCTTATTTCATCAAGTCAATAGACACAATTAGAAGAGAGGATCTATGCGCTACTACCAACAAATTTCCTAACCTACCTGCATCTGTATCCTCGTACTCTGCCTTTATTACCATTAAAAATGGATGTGTGGGCTGGGCATGGTGGCTCATGCCTGTAATCCCAGCACTTTGGGAGGCCGAGGTGGGCTGATCACTTGAGGTCAGGAGTTTGAGACCCAGCCTAGCCAACACGGCGAAAACCCTGTCTCTACTAAAAATACAAAAATTAGCCAGGCATGGTGATGCACATCTGTAATCCCAGCCACTTGGGAGGCTGAGGCAGGAGAATCACCTGAACCCGGAAGGCAGAAGCTGCAGTGAGATGAGACTGGGCCACTGCACTCCAGCCTGAGTGACAGAGACTGACTCTGCCTCAAAAAGAAAAAAAAAAAAAGATGAGTGGTCCCAGCTCCAATCTAAGGCCAACTCCTTCAACACTTACTGGATTCCACACGTCCCCCACCCAAACCTACTCAAGAACAAGGGGTCCAGCAAATGTCTTGTCCCTATACTGAATTATCCATTTTCTCCTCTCAACTAGATTATCACTATTGGCACTTCCTAAAAGGAGGAGAAGGGCCGGGCATTGTGGCTCACGCCTGTAATCCCAGCATTTTGGGAGGCCAAGGCGGGCAGTTCCCTTAAGACCAGAAGTTTGAGACCAGCCTGGCCAACATGGTGAAACCCTGTCTCTACTAAAAATACAAAAATTAGCCAGGTATGGCAGTGCATGCCTGTAGTCCCAGCTACTCGGGAGGCTGAGGCACAAGAATCACTTGAACTCCAGAGGCAGAGGTTGCAGTGAGCCGAGATCGCACCACTGCACTCCAGCATGGGCAACAGAGCGAGACTCTGTCTCAAAATGAAAAAAGGTGGGGGGGAGGGGAGAAGGAGGAAGAAACAAGGAGGAAGAGAAGGAAAAGGAGACACCGTTAAATTCATATCCATCCAGCTCTCACTGCATCATTCTGCCACCCTTTCAGCAAAAGCCTCAAAAGATTATCTAACTGTTTGTATCAAATTTTTCGCCTTCATTCCTTCTTGAATCCACAGCAGTTAGACTTTGGCCCTTGTCAATCAGAACAGATTTTTCTCTTGTCAGTGCAATGATTAATCCTCAGTCCTCATTTTATTCAATCTGGCGGCCAAATTTGATAGTTATTCAGTCCCTTTCTCCTAAAACACTCCCTCCTCTTGGTTTCTAAGATATCACTCTCAGTTTTCCTTCTACCTTGCTGAGTATTCCTCATCTGCCTTCTTGGCTGGTTTCTCCTCACCTTCCCAGTCTCTGACTTGGGACTGACATTAGGACATTCCTTAGCATGCAGTCCTTCTGCAAGTCTTCTGCTTCCTTGTTCTTGCTGTGTATGTTGAATATAACCCTTGAAAAAGATTTGTGGATACCACTCAATACTGAAAATTATACATTTATCTGCTTACCAAATAAAATAGTGGAAAACAATTTAATGAGGTACATGGTCATACTTAAAAGGCTTTAATAAAACCAGAGACTGGTAGGAGGTCATTTTAAGAAGTCCTCTGGATTCTGATACTAGGTAATTTTAAAACCATAATTACAGCAAACTCATTAAATGCCATTTTTATTTTATAATCTTTTTCTAAAATGTTTATTTCTAGAAAGTTAATATTGGTTACACTGTGCTACAGAAAAAAACTCAAAATAGCCTGTTTGCTCCAATTTTTGGATTTCGAATAAGATTTTTACCCACAAAATGAGAGTCACTAAGACTATATTTTATTAATTAAATTTGAAAATAATGTTCTCTCTTTTTAAAGACAATTTTAAAAGCCTTAATAGACTGTCCAAAAACCATTTTAAGGATCAGCCTCAGTAATACATGTCAGGTTCATTTGGGGATGGAGTCTTTGAGATGCCAGACCTGGGTTCCCCTGTGGCTTTACCCAAATGGGAGCCCTAGAACCTCCCTGAACTTTCTGACTCTAACCATCTCTTTATTGGATAGTTTTCTGTCTGATGGAATGTCATTACTAATCACAGCTGTGTTGTGTTTAGATTTCATCCACTGTCATCCTTTGTGATTACCTTCATTTTGAGTAATACAAACTTTTCAGCAATTTGTACAAGAATAAAATGTATTTTAAATCAATGCCAGATGAAACTAATGATAAATCTGTGCCAAAGGTCAAAGCTATTCATTGTCACCCATTGTGTGCAAAATTTGGCCTTTATACTCACTTTTTCTTTTTCAATGTCTTTTACTTTAATACATTAATACGAAATTGATGTTCCAACTGTTTGCTTTTACTGACACTTTGAAGTTTAGACTCCAAATATTAATCTATTAAAGAGAACTGATGGGAGTAAAGACAGCAGAAAGTGTTGGTTTATTTGTGTTTTGATTTTCCTCAGTGGAAGGTATAGAAGTTGAAAAGAAGATTAAGGAGGAGGTGGGGTTTCTATTTGGCCAAAACCAAAAAATAATAAAATAACAAATTAAAAATATTACTTATAAAGATGTAATACTTCAAAAAATACTTTAAGCTTCTCACTAATACTGCACCTTACCATAGAATAACTACTAATGGTCACATGTTATATGGTTTGCTTTTAAAGTACTTTTTAAATTATTTACCTTTAATAACTCTATTAATATGTTACAGTTGAGTTATTATGCACATTTTTATCAAGAGAAAGTGTTCTATATTTCAGTGCATTATATAGAAGTTCTGTTATTTTAATTGTGAATTATACCAGAGAAAACTGTTTTTAAAAGTCTATTTGTGGCCAGGCGCGGTGGCTCATGCCTGTAATCCAAGCACTTTGGGAAGTTGAGGTGGACAGATCACGAGGTCAAGAGATCAAGACCATGCTGGCCAACATGGTTAAACCCTGTCTCTACTAAAAATACAAAAATTAGCTGGGCATGGTGGCACGCACCTGTAGTCCCAGCTACTTGGGAGGCTGAGGCAGGAGAATCGCTTGAACCCAGAAGGCAGAGGTTGAAGTGAGCCGAGATCACGCCACTGCACTCCAGCCTGGCGACAGAGCAAGACTCCGTCTAAGAAAATAAAAATAAATTAAAAAAAAACCTACTTGTAAATTACCACTACAAACTAATCCCTGTGGTGTTTGAGTAAAATTATCACTTGGCAGAAGTTAACATTTAATAATATTTATGTGATATGCTTTTTATGTCAGTTTTTGTTTTGCTGCCCAGATTTGACAGTATGCTTTTGCTAATAATATTTTATTTTATTTTGCCAAGAGATAATTAATCTCTACTTTTAAAAATGTATTTTGAAAACACTTATTTTACACAACAATTTTATAAGCACCAAACTTTTTATCAATAAAATGCTATTGTTTGGATATTTTCAAAACTTCTGAGAGAAAATAATTTTCAATCCACAATTCTATAAGAAGCCAAACTCTCAAACAATTGTGAGGGTAGGACTAAGACATTTTCAAACATGCAGACTTTCAAAACATCTGTTACCCATGCAGCCTTCCTTTGGACGTTTTCAGAGAATATATTCTAATAAAATGAATGTGCAAACCAATACAGAGGAAGGCATGAGTCCATCAAGCAGGGGATCCAATCACAGGAAGGAAGGAGTCCAGGGGTGATGATAAAAGCAAATCCAGGGACAACAGGCACAGGCAACAGCCACAAGGACAGAAGTCTCCAGAAGCTGTTCTCCAAGAAATAATGCTGGTGATGGACAGCCTGGTAGAGCAGAACATTATATATATATCTGGAGGAGAGTTGGGGGATAAATTAAAAAAAAACACCAAAAATTATTTCGGGTTGTCATTTTAGGACACCAAAAAATATATATTAGATTATTAGATCCTAAAGAAACAAAGTTATATAAAATAAATCTATTCATAGCATAAACTATGTGATCTAACTACAAATAAAGTTTACACAGGAATAATAATGTAAGCAGTGAAGGTTGAGCTAGCCAAATATTATTATTTAAATATGTTAGAAAAATGGAGGAAGGAAAATTGTGTGAGTGTGTGTACATGCTTGCATAAGTATCTGCAATATCTTAGGCCTTTATGGGAGGAAACGAAGAGAGCTCTACCCTCACTTTCCTTAAATGGTACATCAGTGGATAACAGCTAACACTGCAAAAGCCAACAATAGCAAAATAATCATATTATTTAGAAATAATGGCAGTAAACTCCAAAAGAAATAGTTATAAAAGTTGAAACTGGTCACTTATATGAAGCAGAAATGAGATGTGGGAGTGCTATACTTTTACAGTAAACAAAATGAAACTGTTTAACTATGAAAATATGTACAACTTTAATTTAAAAAATAAAACTTTCTTAAAGGAGAGAAATATAAGAAAAAATACATTCAGAACTCACTTACTCATCCTCACTATTTAGTATTCAGCTCTACACAGGAGAGAGAAATCTTACAAAAGGGGTTCAAAATATCTTGAATATATAAGTCTTTAGGAAGTGGTAATGAAGTTTTGTGGATGATCATCAATGACTCTTCAGAATCAGATGTAGATTAAGGTGTCTTTCCAAGAAAAATGGATTCAGAACTCCACAGTGTTCCACAGACTTCCCAAAACCCATTCACAGATGCTTTGGACATCCACATATCATAATTTAAAAACCCTTGTTTTGGAGAAGATAAGAAATATGCAGATATAATGTGAAAGCCTTGAAGTGGCCCACCTGAAAAGGGTTTCTTTACTCATCTGAGTGAGGTTCATAAAGCTGGCTGTGATCATGCAGCAAGGGGATGAGCCATGACATCTTTTCCTACAAGTCTACTGTTCCCAGTAGATCTCAGATAAAGCCAGATTCTGAGCCTCTGAAATTATTTCCTGCTCTCAGTGGTATTAAGACCAGAGGACAGTGTTTCCCTCAAGTATTAAATAGAGCTCTGTGCCAAGAGTTAAAGAAGGCAAACATTGGAAACTTGATGGTACAGGGTCTCCACACATTTTCTCTCCATTGGCAATACTTTGTTTAGTTAGAAAATGTAGGTCCACAGTTTCATCTTCTGGACCCGATTTGGCCATAAAAGATTAAAGAAACCAAAACCAGATTCTTTTCACATTACAAATGATGAAGGCCCCATGGAATTTGGTGTACGAATGTTTGCAGTTAACATAGAAAGTCTTCAAAACACTACTGAGGCAAACCAGAATTGGCCAGGAAAACATATTTTCCAGATTTTGAGTCATTTGTGGGGGTCCATTTTGAGGTTTTTCAGACATATTATAAAAGACATGCAAAGAAAAGAACTATATTAAGAAGCATTAGGTAAAGTGCTGGTATGGAGTGGCTTTGAACCAGTGAGCTTTCACAGTTGTACAATGACTATCTGTTGAGTAAGACTTTATACCAATCACTCCCTTCAGTAATCTGTAATTCATACACAGCCTGCTGCCAGATTAAAGCATGCCAAATAACATTAGTTACAAGAAGCAGAAGAAAATTTGTCTATCTTTTTGTTATACTGGCAGCCCTCCCTATCTAAAAGAAAAAAAATTAAGATTTTGCCAGACACATAAAAGAAAAGAAACTTCATTTATTTTTCAGTCTTTTAAGAACTGGTCAATTACAAAGCTGTCCTTCCTCCAAATGACTTTTTTAAATATAAAAAGCTACAAAAGTACCAATTTTCCATATTTGGGCCTGTATTCAATTGAATTTCACTACAACCCCCCTTAGTTCCTTGGCGGTTTCCAAAAAAGGCCCTTGTGAACAGGAATATTTAATGAAATTATTTTTCACTACCAGTTTAGAGGCTTCCCACACTAAACAAAACAAAAAAAGAATCCCAACGGAATTTAGTAAGAAGAATTAAGAATAAACTCTGACAAATTATATATTGATTAATCACATGTAATGAAATTGTAGGGATATAATAAAAAAAACAAGCCAAATTCTTTACCACTTAAGAGGCACCTCCTCTAATAGCAGTGCAGAGGAGAAGGCTTTCAACCAGTCTCCATAACTGTACTCACTATGCCCTTCAGAATTATGGCATAGTACCCAGTCATTCCATCTTTCTGGCCCACCTCTCCAGCCCACCTCTCCAGCCCACTTCCCTGTAATCAGAGGCCAAACTGCTTTGGATATCCATTTTAAATTCTATCAGCTACATTTTAACTAATCTACCTCAGTACCCATAATGGGAAAATTTGCAAGTGGGTGTTTAACAGTACTTTTAAATAGTGGGGAATGGTGACAGGAACAATAAATGAACTCTTTGTAACTCAGAAGCTCTGTTTTCACTGAGGTCATTAGTGTCCCCTAACCACCAAAGCTTTTCCCCCGCTTTCTTATTTACTGCTTGCTAACTGTAAGGTGGATAAGGACTGTCAAATCTTTTAGAGTTAGAACTCTCTCTGGCATGGCATGATCAAGAATACAAATTTATTTTAGCTCTGTAACCCTAATGCTTTAGTGTCTTGCCTAATTCCTCTTTACTTCAAGTATTTGAAAGATTGCCTTGTGCTTCTGGACCCATCTACAGACACTTGGAACAAGTCAAAAACCCAGTCTACATTTCTTGTTTTTCCAAAGTCTCCCCTTGATCATCCTCCAAGAGTACAGCTGAAGCTCTTGGTTGCCTACACTAAAGCCATTGCTCTTGCTGCCCCTGATTTCATCTAGATAACCTGCTCCCTCAAAAAGCAGCAAATGTCACCAACGTATCACGCCAATCCCATCCAGCTTGCTATTGACTGGTTTAGGAATAGTCCTGGCTGCAACTTTGCCACTCACTCATCAAGAAAGGTCTGGTAGGAGTTCATAGGAAAGACATGCCCTTAAAAACAAAGGATTGGAAAGCCACCTACTGGGTATTATGTGCACTATTTGTGTGACAGGTTCACTAGAAGCCCAAATCTCAGCATCATGCAAAATATCCATGTAATGAACCTGGACATGTACCCCCTGAATCTAAAATTTTAAACAAAGACACACACTGTCTCTGGGGACACTCTCATGTCTGGGGATAATGCCTGGGATTGTTGCAGCCTCTCATTACCAGCCCAAGGATAAAGCCAATACTCAGAGGATGACTGGGCCAAGGAATCACAGAGAAGGACAAACAGAGTCTGACACATTGTGCCTGGAACCTGCTCTGCTTCAAGATGTCTGACAATGTGAAATAATGAATCCCCTTATTGTCCAAGATAGTTTGGGCTGAGTTTTCTAAGCCTTTTTGCAGACAGAGGGTAAATTCCTAGGACCTTCTCTTTGGTCTCTGCTCCGTTTGTTGTTAGCATTCTCACAATCCCCATCCCAGAGTGCCAATAAGCAGTGAAATAAACCAAAGGGGAAAGACCCATAGGCCAGAATATTCATGACATTTCCCATAATGTCATCTGAAAGAGGCCAGATTTCTTGAAACATCTCAAGATGTATCTTCAGATAATTCTTGGAAACTAAGTTATAGTAATTCATAATGAAACAGAGTAGCACCCCTACAGAGTGAGTATAGAGTGAACTTGTGGGCAATAACCAGTCGATCAATTATTGTCATTTGTGTTGGAGGGTTTAAAGAAAAAAAGTGACAATTTATAAAACAAACAAACAAAAAGAACTCTTCCTAAATCATAGAGATAAGGATAAAGTAGGGGGCTATAAATTGAAAAAGAAAAGAAAAGGAATTATAACACAAAGATAATTCTCCCCAATCAAGGGACCTTATGTAGTTTTCTTGAGAGATTTCACTTCTAAGTCAATCATATGTTAAAATCACCAACACATAAGGGTAATAAACAGCTTTCTTACCAGCAGTATATTCTCAGCATTAAAGTCTACAATTCATATGCCTGTAAGTGGACTACTGCACATTGTAGGGGTGTCTACAGAGGGCTAGGTTTCCTCAATTTACATTAAAACAAGGTTTCTAACATGAACTAAATACACAGTATGGGCCCAGCAGTCAGAGGCAGTATTGGGTTGCTGTGGGCTTTAGCTCTTTGCTAGAATAACCCTCAACACAAGTTAGGAGCAGAGGACAGTGATCCCACCAGCTCCCTACACTTTGCCTGGAACATCTGAGAGGATGTTATTCTGCTTCCTCCTTTCTTTCCAACAGACAAAATTGACTCTTCAGATGGAATTGATAGAAAGTGAACCACCGAGTCTAATGTGGTAAGGAGCTGTAAAAAGATTAGTAATGGCTTTTGGTGGAAAAACAATTATGCTGAATTACAAACACATCTGCCACACACTCAGCAAACTATCAGAGAAGCCAGATTTTCCTCACATTTTACTTCTTGGACCATTTTCAATTTTCAAATAGAAGATAGTGCTCTAGTTATTGCTAACATGCATTTTCTTTAAATAAATTCAGAATAAAAGTTAGAAAGCCTGATACTATTTCCCATAGAACTTGTTTTTTTCCCCTCCACTTACCCAACAGGAAATAAAAATAACAACCTCTATTTCTATAGTACTTTACAATTTCAAAATTCTTTTATAGGTGTTCATTTGATAAAGAACATTCATTAATCCATTTGCATTAATTCATCTGATAAAGAACAATAAACTTACCCTCTTTGTAGCTCTGCTTAGAGTAATTCCATAAAGATATGAGTGTGCACTCATGCCTGCTGCCTCATTCATTCAATAAATACTTATGGCCTAATCTGAGGCAGGCACAGTTCTAAAGTCTGAGAATACAGCAGTGGGAAAAAGAAACAGACAAAATCCTGTCCTCATGGTGTTTACGTCCTCAGGAACACAATAGAATTGTCTGACATATATCAATTTAGTTGTGAGTCCATGAATACCAAATAGCTTAGTTTTTCTGTACTGTGTTAAGTAGAGAAGGAGGTTTAAATAATTATTATAAGCAGGAAGACCCAAAAACTAATAAATTGAGGTAGGTTACTGCCTAATAGTATGGGGAAAGTTTATTAATTCACCATAAGAAAAAACACACTCCTTTGAAGTATTTCTCAAGTAAGAAAATGGATCTTTCCATTTACCATAAATCCAGCACAGAATAATGAACAGCATGGTACTTCTCACATCCATTCATCACTCACAGATTCATTATCAGTGGAGCATATTACATTTGTTTTCACTTGAATGCTTGCATCAACTTTCAGGAGATAGTAAAATTATCCAAATTTTCCAGATTAAAACACACACACACACACACACAGACACACAAACTCAGAGAGGTAAGGTAATGTGCCCAGAGTCACAAATTTTTGGCCTCTATAGTCTCAGACCCAGATTTTTCCACTTGATCTTTCTATTTCTGAGGACCCATGACTCATACGAACTTAAACTTCTCATTTTGAAGAGATTCCAGGACGAATGCCTTTTCCATTGAACTTCTAAAACATGTTTTCTGTGTACCTCCTGTGACATTTATCATCCCAATCGTCTATTAGGTTTATTGCATTCTTGTCCTACACCTTCCTTTGGACTAGAAGGACCTTATGGTCATGCAGTCTGGTTGGTTAAATGAATATGTGACTGTGTTTGCTTGTTTGTTTATTAAATAGAACAGTGGATTCTACTATGCAGCTCCTCTCATCAAAGGGGAGCTGAAATTGCCCAAGCAATAGATTATCAGAGCAGAACCTTCAGTAGGGCAGTTCTTTCAGGAAGACAGATCAACAATATTATTATTGAGTACCCACTGCACATCAGGCACAGTTTTGGGTGTTTTTCATGTATTACATGGCAGAAAGTCAGCATTGAGGATTGGTATGTGTAGCAGTCAAGCACATGAGTTCCAGAACCAGATCACCTTTGTTTGATGACCAGCTCTGCCACCTGCTAGCTGAGTGGCTTTTGGCAAGTATGTAACCTTTCTGTGCCTCAGTTACATTTTCTCATTAAGTGTATTGTGAGGCTTCAATAAATTAGTTAATATGACATGCTTAAAACAGTGCCTGGTTTCATTCTTCTTTCTACCTGTGGCTTGCACATGGTGCTGGTGGTTTCCCAGCACCATTTATTGAATAGGGCATCCTTTTCCCAATTTATGTTTTTATATGTTTTGTCAAAACTCAATTGGCTGTAAGTATTTGGCTTTATTTTTGGGTTCTCTATTCTGTTCCATTAGTCTACATGCCTATTTTTATACCAGTACCATGCTGTTTTGGTAACTGCAGACTTGTAGTATAATTTGAAGTTGGTTAATGTGATGCCTCCAGATTTGTTCTTTTTGCTCAGGACTTTGGCTCTTGCTTATTGCTTATGGCTTGGTGCTTATTGCTTTGGTTATGTGGGCTCTTTTTTGGTACAATATGAATTTTAGGATTTTTTTTTCTAGTTCTGTGAAGAATGATGATGATAGTTTGATGGGAATTGCATTGAATCTGCGGATTGCTTTGAATAGCACGGTCATTTTCACAATATTGATTCTTCCCACTCATGAGCATGGGCTGTGTCTCCAGTTGTTTGTGACATCTATGATTTCTTTAGGCAGTGTTTCATAGTTTTCCTTTTAGCAGTCTTTCACATCCTTGGTTATCTCTCACTATACAAAAATCAACTCAAGATATAGCAAAGACTTAAATCTAAGACCTAAAACCATAAAAATCCTAGAAGGTAACATCAGAAAAAGTCTTCTGGACATTGGGTTTGGCAAAGAATTCATGACTAAGACCCCAAAAGCAAATGCAACAGGAACAAAAGTAAATAAATAAATGGGACCTAACTAAACTAAAAAGCTTCTGCACAGCAAAAGCAATAATCAACAAAGTAAATAGACAACCCATAGAGTGGGAGAAAATATTCGCAAACTATGCACCTGACAAAGGACTAAGATCCAGAATCTACAAGGAACTCAAACTAATCAACAAGAAAAAAAAAATAATCCCATTAAAAAGTGGGCAAAGGACATGAATAGATATTTCCCAAAAGAAGATATAATGAATAGCCAACAAACATATGAAAAAATGCTCAACATATGTAATCATCAGAAAAATACAAATTAAAGCCACAATGAGATACCACCTTACTCCTATAAAAATGGCCATTATTAAAAAGTCGAAAAACAATAGGTGTTGGCATGCATGTGGTGAAAAAGGAACACTTTTACACTGCTGGTGGGAATGTAAATTAGTACAACCACTATGGAATACAGTGTAGAGATTTCTTAAAGGACTAAAACTAGATCTACCATTCAATTCAGCAATCCCACTACTGGGTATCTACTCACAGGAAAAGAAGTCATTATATGAAAAACACATGCACACACACTTATAGCAGTACAATTCACAATTGCAAAGATACGGAACCAACCTAAGTGCCCACCAACCAACCAGTGGATAAAAAAAATGTGGTATATATACACCATGGAACACTACTCAGCCATAAAAAGGAATGAGATAATGTCCTTTGCAGCAACTTGGATGGACCAGGAGTCCATTATTCTAAGTGAAGTAAATTCAGGAATGGAAAACAAAAAAACCATATGTTTTCACTTATAACTGGGAGCTAAGCTATGGAAACGCAAAGGTATGGAGAGTGGTATAATGGACTTTGAGGACTCGGGGGTGGGAAACGTTGGGAGGGAGGTGAGGGATAAAAGACTACATATTGGGTACGGTGTACCCTGCTCAGGTGACAGATGCACTAAAATCTCAGAAATCACGACTATAGATCTCAACCATGTAACCAAAAACCACCTGTACCCCAAAACCTACTGAAATTAAAAAATTTTTAAAAAGCCTGGAAAATAAGCATTCAATAAATGCTATGTGTTACTATTATTTCACCAAATTTAAAGATGAGAAAACAGAAGCTGGTAGAGGTAACTTGTGCAAGATTACCAAGCTGGTGAGTAACTATCCTCAGAGGGACTGAAGAGGGGCCTGGGCCTGATCTTCCCCCTCTAGAAGTCTATCATATCCAGCCTATCCTGCATATGGTGGAATTAGCCACTGCTAGAGTACTGTCTACATAATATGTTAAAGTACACTTAACTTGGGTAAGAAAAATGAGTAGGCGGCCGAGCACCCACTAGTTATAAGCCTATCTACTTGCTACTTTAGAAATGGGTAAAAAGGGTTTTAAAAATATTAGACACAGAATGTTTCTCTTATGAGGAAGGGACAAGGTATCAGTGACAGACAGGCCTGGGTAGGGTGAAATTCCACCCACGCCCCATCAGGACTAGGTTTAGGGCACCAGGGGTTAGGAAACACCAAAGATAAATAGGTCAATTTTGTCATTTTCCTGGGTTTTTGCTCTTCATCCCTTACCAGACATACTTCTGGGGCAATAGAGACAAGGACAAGGACAGGGAAAACCTTGGAGCTGCGTAACTCCTGATGGTTCTGTCCCCTTCCTTGGGCACAGTTCATTGAAACCTACTTGTGGAGAGGTCTATGGTGATGGGACACAGTTGAGGCAGAGAGAGTAAAGAAGCAAAATAAGAGTCCTCCCTTTGAGAGGAAAAATTGTCCCTATCCAAGTCAGTTCAAATTAGTAATCTAAAAGAAAAAGAAAACTAATTGAGTTTAACACCCTCATCACTCCTCATATGCCTTTACAGGGCAAAACTGTCTTGTCAAAATTTTTGTATGGTTTTCATTCTCTGAGGTTTGCTTTAATTACTAAAACATTTACCCAATGTAATAGCGTCCTGAGTAGCTGGCATTAAGGTCTTTACTTCTTTAGACTGGACCTGTTAGATAACATAAGGAAGCTTTCTTGGATGATTTGAGTCTAAAGGCATCTCTATCAAGACTCAGTGCTAGGGTTTTCCTGGGATACTCAGGAACAGAGCATGTTCACCTTTGCAGAAGCCCTCTGTGCTACACCATCCCCTCCAAAAGTCCTGGCAGAAGAGTGCTCTCCTGTTCTGTTTGTAGCTGGCTGGGGTTACAGATGGAAATGAGCAGAAACTGAGCAGTGCCTTGCTACCTCCTGGGGGGCTGCCAGAACCCGTTCACACTAGAGGGGCTGTTGGAGCCATCCTCCTCAGAGCACTAAAGGCTCAGGCCCTTTCCTACTTTTGGGACCTGTAGACTGTTTTCCATTTCCCCATGAAAGCTGGAATGCTAGATAAGTGCTGGCTTTAGTTACAAAACCTAAGGGATCCTAGAAAGCCAAGTATGTGTGCCAAGCAGCTCTGACCTGCAGTATCCATCAAGGACCTGGTTGCAACTGCAGTTCTTACAGTTTTAGAAGGGAATCCTGCTCAGAGGCCAGAAAGAATCATTTGGTGTCACACAGGATCAATTTATTGGTTTAAAAAAAGGCCAATGATAACCGAAGAATTGTGAAATTTTCTTAGTTGTTATTTAAAAAATCCAAGTATTTGGCATCCTTCAAATGATAAAAGCATGTAGCAAAGTTTAAAAGACTATTGTCCTTTGTAAGCCTATCCACAAGGCCAAGAAGGCCTTTGAACTCTTGAGAGGACTGTACTTGGCTGATAATTCTTTGGAGATATGAGCTGATGGATGTGCTGAAACCTCCTCAAGAACCATTTCCCTCCACCAGCCAGGAGTCAGGGAATAGTAGAGCTGAGCAAGGCAACCTTGGCAAAGACAGGAAAGTCACCCTGGATGCTCAGTTCAAGAGGAGGTCAAGAGCTGTGCAGCGAACACCACTCCATTATAATCTATTTGTGGAAAGCATAATGTGTATTTTTGTTAAAGGACAATCATACACTGAGGAGAATTAAGTTGGCAGTCTGGTGTTTAAAGGATCAGTATGATAGACAAATAGAGTAAGTGTGAGGGGAAATTTTCAGCAACAAAAAAAAATGACTTGGGAGAAGATGTGCTGAGATGACAGTTACTATATGAACCATTTACTTAGGTCAAAGCGCCCGAGATGACAGAAAAGTCACTTAGCTTTCTTAAACAGACAAGCCCTGAAAAACGGCATCCTGCTCAAGCAGTTCATTTACTACCCAGTCAACCACAGACTTACCCAGGAGGGCATGAAATTGTGTCTGGAGCAAACTGTGGCCAAGCCCATGAAGACAAATCATTACTTTCTGGAGTGGCTTTTAAAAATTAAAAATAGGAAAGATATTCCATGAGAAACTATATTCTTTATTGGATAAGTCTAACTGGACCAAGAAAATAGCACGTTTAACTCTCTATTTAAAGGGCAAGAATCAAAATGAGGATAGTTTTAAAGGACCTCCAAAAATAAATGAGTTAAGACTATCTTTTACCTTATGTTTTCAGATTGTGGCAGCAAGGGGTTAGCTTGGTAAGTGGGTGAAGCATTGTGAGGCTATGTTTCTGTGCTTCCTAAAGAAGAATTATTAATATCACCAATCATAGAATTACCTCTGCTTCCTCACAGCATCTAATCCAGAATAAAATCCTACTTCCTTGAACTCTTACCAAAATCACCCAAATCCTATAATAAGTCTTTTCTAACACCCCCTTTTCAAGACACCCCACAATTTCCCACGGAGTGAGATTATCTTCACTGCAACAAATGGATAAACCCAAACTTTCTTACATTTACAGGCAGATTCATGATTGTCTTTGACCAGAGAGCACTGACAATGTAATAATGGACAGAAGTGTTGGTAAAATTCCGCAGTTCAAACTGAGACAGCTCCCTTAGGCTGTGTCCACATGCATTAAAAAACTTGTCATTCAGTGAATTCAGTCAGACTCTTGCAAGAACCACTTCTATTCATTCATTAAAACAGGGTCCAAAATCATTAGTCAATGCGTATTTGTAGCCTCTTTCCCTGTTTCTGCCTTTAATAAGACTCCTAGACCGTTCTTCCTCACTCCTTACCCCATATTCCTAAGAAGGAAAGATCCTGACTGGCTTAGTCAACCCTGGGCCATTGATTGTACAAAATCTAGGGACTGGGAGAACCAGTAGTAACTGAGAGACAGGAAAGGTGAACTCAATCCGTGCAATAAAGAATTGAGCTAGGGTGGGTGGGGAGAAAAAAGAAAGACTGAAGCATCGGGTTTAGAGGAGCCAAATTGGTGAGGATGTGGGAATCTGGGAAGAGAGACACTAAAGCACCTGCAGGAGCTGAGACAGTGGATGTGAAATACAATGAGGAAAAAGAATTTTAAAGAAGTTTCCCTGTGCTTTATGAAAGCGCCGTATACCCCCCAGCCCTCTCTCATGTTCACAGCCTTCTTTACATAAAAGCAAAAACAAAATAACTTGGTATTTTGGAGATTGATTTAAGGCTTAAATGCAAAGCCTGAAACCTTAAAAATTCTTGAAGAAAA
This sequence comes from Homo sapiens, assembly GCF_000001405.40. Lineage (NCBI taxonomy): Eukaryota > Metazoa > Chordata > Mammalia > Primates > Hominidae > Homo > Homo sapiens. The sequence continues at coordinate 56,426,408 of NC_000006.12, forward strand.
CCTAGGAAAAACTTTTCTGAACATTGGCCTAGGAAAAGAATTCATGATTCAGGCCTCAAAAGTAAATGCAACAAAAACAAAAATAGGCAAATGGGATTTAATTAAACTAAAAAGCTTCTGCACAGCAAAAGAAATAATCAACAGAATGAAAGACAATCTACAGAATGGGAGAAAATATTGGCAAACTCTGCATCCAACAAAGGACTAATACCTAGAATCTACAGGGAACTCAAACAATTCAACAAGAGAAAAACCAAATAACCCCATTACACAGTAGGCAAAAGACAAGAACACACACTGTTCAAAAGAAGACATACAAATGGCCAATAAGTATAAGAAAAAAATGTTCAATGCCACTGATCATCAGAGAAGTGCAAATTAAAACCACAATGAGATACTATATTATATCAGTCAGAATGGCTATTATTAAAAAGTCAAAAAATAATAGATGTTGGTGAGGATGCAGAGAAAAGAGAATGCTTATACACTGTTGGTGGAAATGTAAATTCATACAATCTTTATGGAAAACAGTGTGGAGCTTTCTCAAAGCACTACAAATAGAACCACCCTGTAATCCAGAAATCCCAATACTGAGTATCTACCCAAAGGAAAAAAATTATTGTATCAAAAAGATAACCTGCACTCACATGTTTAGCACAACGCTATTTACAATAGCAAAATCATGAAATTAACCTGTGTCCATAAATGAATAATTAAAGCAAATGTGATATATATGTACATATATATATGCATACATATATACACACACACACACACACACATATATATATACACACACACACATACATACACCATGGAATACTACTTAGTCATGAAAAAGAATGAAATCATGTGTTTTTTTGCAGCAACATGGATGGAATTGGAGGCCATGATCTTAAGCGAAATAACTCAGAAAGTCAAATATTCCATGTTCTCACTTATAAATATAGACTAGATCCTACTTGTTTTATCCTCAGTATGCAACACAGTGCCTGGCATGGGGCAGTTACTTGACATACTTTGTTTCATCAAATAAGTGTTATCTGGCTTCTTGTTCTAGTCATCACCACCATGCTTTGTCACTGGCAAAGCATTGTAAGGTACCTGTCTCTGTTCAACCAGCATAGGCAAATATCCTAGTACTTCTGCTTTTTCCCTCCTTTTCTTTCCCAATTCAGGCTGTCTTTCAGGATAATAATAATGATAAATCCTGTGTATGGGCATTGTACTAAACTCTTCCTTTTCATTATTTCTACTAATCCTCACAACAATTCTGGAGGTAAACATTGCCCACTTTAAGGTTAGAAATCTGAGGCTTGGAGAGGTTTCATAACATGTCTAGGACATAGCTACTAAGTAAGGAAACAGCAATGCAAAGCCCAGCCCCACTAAATTTCAGACTTTACAAAACCCTTCAGTCAATCCCTAACTTGTGTCGTCAGACCTATTTCTCATCATCTTCCTAAATTCCAGCTCAATAGGACCACCAGAAATTCTCCTCATGTATCCTCACAACTTTGCTTCTATTGTTGCCTCCTCCAGATGCCCCCCTCACATGCCCTGCGCAAAGCCCAACTCAAACATTTCCTCTGTCATGAGGCTATCTCTGCTTTCTCTACCCCTCCATTGGCTACAATCTTGCTTCTTTGTCATATTTAGCTTGAACTTCTCTTACAACAGGTATTATATTCTGCCCCGAATTAGAGCTATTCTGATGCACATCTTTTACTTTATCCTTCTTTACCTTCTCAACTAGGTATAATAACAGCAAACACATATACTGCTTACTAGGTGTCTGAGAACAGTCTAAGCACTTAACATATACTAAGTTACTGAATTCTTATAATAACTCTCTAAGGCATGTACAATGCATATGCATCCTCTCTGTTTTGCCGATGAGGAAACTAAGGCACAAAAAGTTCAGTAAACTTGCCTGGGGTCATAAAACCAATGAGTAGCAATAACAGAGCTTGCACCCAGGTAATACAGCACCAGCACCCATGCCATGAACCATTAGGCCAGGTTGCTCACGTGTAGCAAGATCTGCTGAGCCAAAGAATAAATGAATATACAAATGAATGAATGTAAGCCAGCAAATTCAGTGTAAAATTAAACAAGCCAGTCACATTATTTGGTTTATATGACATCAAGTTACCCTAAATTTGTGGCATTAAAAATAATTTTTATGTGTTAATCATTCACTTTAAAAAATTCCTTCAATAAATATTTTCTGAAGACATTATGCCTGGCCCAGGGCTAGAAGCTGGCTAAGTTTGTGCTGTAAGATCTCACAATCATCCAGGGTGGAGCTTGCAGGTGTCTGCCATTTGCACTGGAGTTGGTTGTGTAGATATTTAATAACTGAGACTTTATGACTGTACTTAATTTTCTTCCTATTATGAACCATGAACTAAAGCAGTGGTTCTTCCCTCCTCATTTGACATTGTCTGAAGACATTTTTGGCGTCACAACTGAAGGTGCAGATGTTACTGGTATCAGGTGGTTAAAATCCAAGAATGCCACCAAGCATTCCAAAATGCACAGGACAGCCGCCATGACAAAGATATATATGGCCCAAAATGTCAATAGTGCCCAGACCGAGAAACCCTACAGCAAAAATATAAAGAAAAATTCCTATGCCAAAAACCAAAGATGAACAAGAAGCTCTCACTGAGAGGGAACCTCTCAGACTCCTTGGAGGAAAGGCCAGTGTAAAATTGAGAAAAATTAATTAAACCATGGCAGTAATAAAGAAATAAACAAAGCATACCCAGCAAAATAAAATCAAGTCTAAAATACTCCTTGAATCTGCAGTAGCATTTAGTAAATTAATCTAATTACTGGGATTTTTGCAAATGCTGCCAGTGGTACGGTTGTTCTGCAAGGAGGAAGATTCAATTGCCAGCCTCCCCAGAAATTCACTTAGGAAAATTTATTATTTAGTTATCCTTGTGTGCTACAGGGTTGAGGTTCTAGAATGAGCAATTGCTTCATCTAAGACAAAACATCTAAACTCAGTGTGTGCAGACGCCTGGCTCAGGAATACCCCCTCTATTTTAGAGGTTAAATATGGACCCAGAGACCACATCCTGCAGATCAGCCCTCAGAGCGGAAGGTAAGATGGCTTCTCCTTTACTGACTACATAGGAAAATTTGGGCTTCCTTGAAGCTCCAAAGAGGGGTCCCTAAGGGATCCTGAGGGGAAAATCACCCCATTCTCCTTTTCCCAAATTATTTTTTTTAGTAGACAATGATGTCGTTTATTTAAAATGTTTACTCCAAGAAATATATATGTATTTATGTATGTATATGACAATTACAGCACTAAACCAGGCACCTTCGACCAAATCACAACCTCCTCTTTGATTCCCCTTCACTCTAAGCCTCTTTCAAATTCTTTCTCCTGAGCTGGGAGACCAGTGAGTTGCCTGCGGAGTCAGCGCCAAACACGTTCACAGCAGGGCAACTGTGTACCTCTCTCTAGGAGTGCACGACGCCCTTCTCCCCAACTCCTTGTTTTAAAGGATTTAACCCATTAGGAAGTTCATTTTGCAATCTAAGCCAAAAGGAGGTATGGGACAAGGCAGTCTTCACTTCGAAGGCCCCTTTCCTGCTCCAGACCCTGGCTAGGGTTCTAGAAGGGGCTGGCCACCGGAAGATCTAAGTCTAGCTCCTGCAAAGGCTGGGACCTCGAGTGTTGCTTCCTCAACTCTCTCGGTGACCACGACTCAAAGGGAGACCTCAAGGGTGCCAGAAGCACAGGTGCCTGGGCTGCGTTCCAGGAAAGAGAACTGTCCAGGGAAACAGATTAGGTTATCGCATGGAAGCCTGAGTCAGAAATGGTGGTTTTGGGGTGATTTGGACAAATTAGGTTAGTTTAGCAAAGCTCTGAAGTGGCAGAAGCTTCTCCCCTGGACTACTGATTGAACACAGAACAAGAGATGCGCGGGGCCTCAGACTAAGTCTTAGAGAGATGCAGGCCAGTCTCCTCCCACAGGGCCTTGGGACTGGCGCGACAGACACTGCTATGTGGCCTCCAAGGGCAGGAGTCACGGTAAGGAGAGACTGGGGTGGAGCAACAACACCTAGATCATTTTTGGCATTTTAACATGGAGACAGTGACAAGCGGTAACAATAGCAAAGCAAAAAAAAAAAACACATTTGAAGAGACCAAAATTTAACTTTCCCATCCACCCAAGTCTCACACTCACTTAAGTTCTATTCCCATCTCCCTCATAAGCACCACTGAACTAAATATCTATTTTAAAGCGCCCAAACCAGTCCAGACCCTCTGGAAACCAAGAGCCCCAGCCAGAGCTGTCCCCCGTTTTGCGTCCAGGCGAGAAGAGCGTTCCGGGAAAGGCACCTCATAACTCACTCAGCACAGCGCACACGCAGAGAGCTCGGGCACTTGATGGGGACACGGGTGGCAGCCACAGCATCAGTGCTGATGCGCAAGGAAGGGAACTCTTCAGTAATCCCAACTATTTAGTACCAGAGCCAACCAAACGTGACTAAAGGGAGCTGAGCCAGCAGAACGGTACCCCGAGTCTCAGCAACAGGATGGCCAGTGCGAGGCAGGATGCAGGTAGGGTAGAAAAGGAGACCAAAGCACAAGGTGATCAAGGCTGGTATGGAAAGGGCTGATCCTTCTTGCAAGGACTAGATCTCTAATTGGCGAGTGCGTGTAACAAGGCTCAGCCAGGGCTCCACAGGAAGCCACTAAGCCGACTCAGCTGATACAAATGTTTCCACCTCTGCCCCACCCCCAAGTCCCCATGGTTCTACCACCAACTGATTTTCATTTGGACTTCTTTAACAGCTGAGGTAGATATAAATGGCTAAACACAGACCCCCCTCCCCCACCAGGGGAGCCAGGGCAGATTCTCTATGTTGCAGCCAGAAGGCTGTGGGCGTACAGGCCGCCAAGGGGAGAAACAGAACCGACGCCGGCCTAGGCGGATCTGCAAAAAAAAGCGGGAAAGGAGTGACCCGTATGCTTCCGAAGCACGCGACCGTGATTTTGGATGGAGGCGGGCGGGCAGGGACTGACTTTGCCTAGCTGCTGCCGGTTCCTGTAAAGGACTATTTTTTCTGAGTAAATGGTGATTCCTCTTCCATGTAGCATCTGCTTGGATCACGGATGCTAATTATAACTGGAAAGGGGGTGTTTTGGGGAGTGTATTCAGGAAAGGAAAAAAGAAAAAACTTAAAAAAAAAAAAACTCTAGATTGCTCAAAGTTTCTACCTCTTCTGTAGGAATGGTAAGTCAACTATGAGCAAGTATTTTAATTCGACATTAAGGGGAAAAACGTACTTTGGAAAGCATAGAAAAAAAGGTGGTTAACGTTGGATCACTTGTAAAACGGAACCTCAAGGAGTCTAAACAAAAATGCACCTTTGGTCGACTTTCACTTTTTTAAATTCCTCATTTCACTTCACGAAGTCCCAGTGCACATGGAAATGACAGCTGCCGCCAGAGGTATGGAGTCGGAGGAGTCTCCGGAAGCATGGGAGGGTTCGGGGTTGTATTCTGGCAGTTTCTTGATCTCTTTCTCGGTCTCACTTTCGTCTCTTGCTATCACCAAGGAGTGTGAGTAGCCCATGGCGACCTTCTCTGAGAAAATGAAGACTGTGGATGCAGAGTCTTCACCTCCTGGGCTGCAGTGGAAGACTTGGGCTTGTGGTCCCCCTAGCCCAGTTCCCCGAAGGTCGGTGATAGGCCCCAGCTGATGGCGCTCTCGTCGGCGGCCACAATGATACTGCTCTTCCCACAAGCCAGGCTCTGGATTCTCCAGCCACAGAGGTCCTGCACTGCTTTCGGGTACATGGCAGATTCACGGGAGGTAGTGGTGGCCCTCCGGAAAAACAGACCACCCACTTCACTGACGGCCAAGGAGCAGGTGTAACCAGCATAGATCTGGGACGCACCACGCCAAGGGAAGTCAAACAGCTTCACCAGGCGGCGGACCATCTCGTCCTTCTGCTCTGCGTGGCCGAGCCGGCCATAGCCACCGAAGCCCCAGGAGAAGACTCGCTTCTGGGAGTCCAGGACCACGTGTGGTTAGCACCACAGGCCACGTCTCACACAACCACGTTTGGTACAGGCAGAATCTGTCCGTCTTTCGTCTTCTCAATGAATATGGCCAGTCGCGGGGGAACCAGTTCGCAGTCGTACTCTATCCGCCGTGCCCCAAAGATGAACTTCCCATCCGAGTTGTGTCCCAGCTGGCCATATTCAGGGCACCCAAAGGAATAGAGGTTTCCTTTTCAGTCCATTATCATACTGAATTCAGCCCCACAGGCCATTTTGGTAATTGGCTGGCCGTTATACATTATCCGCGCGGGGCTGCACAGCGTCTGTCTGGTTGGCAAGGCCCAGCTGCCCCATCTTGTTCTCCCCAAACGCAAACACAGAGCCCGTTTTCGTCAAGGCCAAGGTGTGGTTCCACCCACATGCTGCAGACATGGTCACTTCATGGCAGAGACCCTCGATGAATCTGGGGGCCTCTACTCTCTTGGTGTCGCCATGTCCCAGCTGCCCCTTCTCATTTCGACCCCAACTCCACAGCTTCCCTTCCATGGTGATGAGGAGGCTGTGTGCAGCACAGGAACCTGAGATCACTGTCCGTATCCGGACCCCCGCCAGACAGCCATACCTGTGGGGACCCCACAAATTCTGACCGAGATCGCGGTAAGCAGTTTGCTGTTTAGGCACTTCTTTTCGACCAATCATGTCCCAGTTAGTTGCCCCCAAAATCAAAAGCTGCCCATTGCACTTTGACCCTTTAAGTTTGACGCGCTCCTTGGCGCCCCGCGCGCTTGTCCCCGCACGGGTCCCAGTCGAGCTCCACGCGGTCCTAGTCACCACTGCAGCCGCAGCCGCGGCTGCTGCTGCAGCGTTCGGGCCGCTCGCCCTTCCTGCCCGCCGGACCTCCGAGCTTCCTGGGCCCGGCGCGGGCAGTGCCGTTGTCCGAGCTCGGCTCCTCCCAGGCCGCCTCCGCCGCCGCCTTCTTCCTGGGCTAGTTGGAGTGATGAGAAATAGGAGAGAAAAAAACGAAGAGAAGCAATTAAAAGACGGATCGGAGGGCTTTTTTTTTTCCCCGGCCCAGAGAGGGATCCAGCCCACTCACCAGGTACACTTCCCAAAGTACTTCTATCCAACCCTAAATCCTAGTAAGAAAAGAAGTGCACGCTCTCAAAGAGGGCTAAAGGAAATAAAAACATGGGATAGCGCCAGAACCCTGGGTTCAAATCCCAGCTGTAGCACTTACTAGCTGGGATGACCTTTGATAAAGTGATAGGCTTCTCAGTGCCTCGGTTTTGTCGTCTGTAAAATGGGAGATAATAACTCACCTCACGGGGTTCTTGGGGGAATTAATACAAATAAAGCATTTGAAATAGTTCCTCGCACACAAAAAGTGCTGTGTAAACCTTGGTTATTATTATTATTAAAGTATGAGTTCATTGAAGGAAAATGCTGTACCTCATTTTTATGGATTTCCCTAGGCTTAACGTAGTGCCTATGTTACTCCCAGAATATATTATCATAATTCAATTTTCAGGTGACTATATTTTGGTTTCATATCAATACTTTAGTCAAAGTGCCCTCTCATCATCTAAGGCTGATATAATTTTGGGGTTTTGCCAGGTCTGATTGAAAAAGAATATATGCTGCAGTTTTGGGATACTGCCTTTTTGTCTTCTTATTTTATCAGCTACAGAGAGGTATTTTTAAATCTACATGTATGATTGTGAATTTTTCTAGTTTAAACAATTTTTGTTTTATATATTTTAAAGATACATTATTAGATGCATATACATTTAGAATTGTGTTTTCCTGCTGAATTGACCCTTTTTATCATGAAATGTCACTCTATATATCTAGTATTATTCTTTGTCTTAAAGTATACTTTGTTTGTAACATAGCTGTGCCAGCTTTCCTTTGGTTAGTGTTTGCATGGTATACATTTACCATCCTTTGACTTTCACCCTATCTGCGTCCTTATATTTAATGTGTATCCTACAAACAGGAATTATTTGGGATAATTAAAAATTATTCTTTCAACCCAGAGAACTTACTTCAGTAATTCTTGTATTGCAGGTCTGCTAATGACAGCTTTGTTCAACTTCTAATTGACTGAAAATGTCTGGTTTGCTATAATTTTTGAAAATTCTTTTAGAATACAGAATTCTAGACTAGCAGGTTTGTTTTCGTTAGCACTTAAAAATATCATTCCATTAACTTCTGCTTTCATAATTCTTGTTGAAAAGTTTGCTATTTATCTTAGGGTTGCTCTTTGAAGAAGATTAGTCTGAAGCACATGTTTCTTATATGTCTATATTTTACAACTTCCTCCATCATGTTATGTAAGCTACTTAGTGGCAGGGATCATGTGCGACTTGTTCATCAGCAGCATCTGGAATTGTGCCTGGCACATCTATATTCAAGGCATATTTTTTAAAGCATTTATAAATAAATGAATGAATTGTACATCATGAGCACAAGGCAATGAGCACAAAGTAGCCACTCACCAAAGAGTGAATAAATTAAGTCATTGTTCCTGGACAAGATCTCTACTGTTATTTCTAAGTTCACAATACCATTCAGACTGTCGCATAGACCTGTAGCTTAAATTAAATTTGACCACTGCATAAACATTTTCTTGACCACTTATAGTAGTTTTGAAAAATTCTACTTACTTGTATATTAAATATCTTGATAACATCTGAAAATATGACGTTAGTGATTCTTTTTAGGTTATTTATTACATTGAAGATGAGCCAAGCCAAAATGTGTTCTTTTGGAATTAGCTTTCAAACAAATGTACTTCATAATGTAATCTCCAAAGAATGAAACTCTTTTAGACACAGATATTAAAAGAAGTTTCAGGTGATTTTAATGAAATAAATTTGGTGGTCATCCCCGCATCAGTTTTAACAACCATAAGAGCCAGACTTACAGATAGCTGACATTTCTTCTCCTTGTCAAAGGGAAGGAAGACCCTGTATTTTAAAACAGATCTGTCTTGCAGTTTACTCTCAGCTACTTTTTGCAGCCTCAGGACATTTCATCATCTTGTTGGTTTATAAATGTTACAGAATAACCTTAAGTTGCACCTAAGTGGTTACTTTACAATGCAAGAAGCGAGCCATTGAAGTTCAAATGTTTATTCAACCTCTAGTTCTTTGATGACATGATGAAAAAGAGATATGCTATGCATTAGTTGGAGAGGACTACTGATGTGCCATATCTGATAAAGGGTGTAGAAAATTATGGAGAAATGAAAAACCTGACCATTTCTTTCTGAGTCATAATTTAAAATGTAGCTTCATCTTTTGAATTCCTAAAACAGCAACCATTTTCAAACATAAGCATGAAGGGTGCTATAGAGTTCACCACGTAGTCTTTGGATAATCCACATCCTGGAACTTATCTAACACTGAAAAGACCTGACACTTGGCTATCTTAGTATTTTGAAGCATTCGTCTGAAACCAAGTTGTCTTAAAAGCAGGAACAGAAATGAATACCTTATTTGTTTATTCAGCAAATATTTGTTGGTCACCTATTATGCGCTTAGGTTCTTGGGATGGAGTGGTGAATAAAATAGTCAAAATCAAAATGGTCAAGCAACTCACATTCAGTGGGAAAGCCTGAGAAGAGGGACAGAGCGTAGGCAGTGTGCCATGATCAGGAAAGTGCCCTGAACAGGAAAGGGCAGGTTACAAAGCTGGCAAGAATGGAATGTACAGGAGTCAGCCAGATGATGGTAGGGCAGAGACTGTGGGGTAGGGATGGAGAAGGTGGGGTGGAGATGAGGAACATTCACAATGAGGCAAGTGATTTTATAGGAACTAGGAGCATGGAGATAGCAAAACTTTTTAACTATGAACACATTCCCCACTGTAATGGATGCCATCTGAGGCAGACAAGAACCCATAAAGAGAACAGTTCTAGCTCTGTGGAAATTCCTGTCTGTGGAAATTCCCATGGACCTGTTGTTACTGATACTTATTTCTTATAAGTGTCTATTAATATGGTAATACCAGCAACTATTTGTTGCATGATTGCTGTATCAAAGACATTACCCTGAGGGTTGTGGAGACCAACTCATCTCATCCTCTACTAACCTAATGAGGTGAGCACTTTCTTTCCATATAATAGATATGGCCAAAAAGCCTTAGGCAGGGTAATTTGCTCAAGTTCACAGAACTAATAAATTGTGGAGCCAAGGTATTAACCTGGTTCTGCCAGATAGCAGAACTATTGTATTTGGTAGAGGTCAAAATATGTGACTAAGTATACAGAATTATTCAACAATTATTTATCCAGTATCTACCATGGCCAGGAACTACACTAAAATCATAGATCCAAGGAAACGTTAAACAATTTCTGGCCCCATCCTCTCATTTTAGGTGTGAGAAAACTGAGGCTCACAGGAGCTCACAGGAGCTGAAGACTTAATAATATGCCATACTATCTGTGTCAACCATGAATGGGAGAGAAAACATAAAAAGAACAGAAGAAATAATGGAACTGTGGATTTTAATTTTAAAACATTTAAAAGATTGAGGGTGTAAATATTCCCTCAAAGTTGCCCCTCTTTTCTTCAGTTAGTCACCCAGAATGAAAATGCATTAGAGGAAAGTTTAAATCAAAATCAGTTAAATGACATCAACTTTTCTCTCCAAAAATGCTTTTAAGGTGAAGATCGTAGCTTGTATGTCTTTGTGTTTTTGCATTTTTACAATATGCTCTTAGGTACCCTTCCTGGAGTAATCCTTCGATGTGTTTATAATGACTTCTATAGACTGGCTGGAGATTGGTCTACTTAAAAATGGCAACCGAAAGAAGCAAGACCTTCCCAACAAACGACTCTTGGCTTTTCACTGGAGTCAGGAAGACTTTAAACATTCCCCACACTGGTCCACCAAACACTGGAATTTGCCATTACCATGGCATCACATGAGATGCATTCACTAAATTAACATCTGGGTATGATTATCAGTTTCTTTTCATCTGGAGTATTCATTTTTAAAGTTTGACCCATACTTCCCATTTACTTTCCAGAAGGTAAATAAGATTCCAAATGTTTTAAGCAACCTGTGGCACAGGCACCAACCTGGCTCCATTCTTGGAAACCACGCACGAGAGGAAAACCTCTATAAGCTAAGTTACACCCAAGTAATTTGGGCAAATTGCAGTGGGGAAGGAGATCAGGGCATATTAATTACTTGGCAAGGGTGTTCTTTATATAAACCACAAAGGTAAACCTTAATCCAGTTCCAGGAATGTCTGACTAATAGGCCATGATTTATGGGAAGTTCTTGGCCATGATAATTCTTGTCTTTGGCCAGTAAGAAATCAATGATCCAGAGCAACTATTTTCAAAGTATGTTCCCTAGAAAGTTGACAGAAAATTAATGTGGAAAAAAAAAATAACCTTAAACAAATGTGTTGCAAGCAAATAGGTTTGGTGAAATCTAAGGCCAAGGAGTTTTTCTACTGACAATAGTTTAGAATGGTCAACGATCTATGGTGTATTGAGCCTCTCCAAACTTATTTAAAGACAGCCTTTCTTTTGCAGGGTAATCTCACCTTTATCTTTCCCTTGCTGTAGGTCCTCATGTCCTAGGCCCAGTCCCTAACCACTCTAACATTTACCTCTCTCCTTTAAAAAATAGAATAACACTTCATATCATGGGGTTAATATGAGGATTAAGTGTACTTTATATACATCTGTAGTTGCCCTGTAAATGATAAAGTATTAGAAAAATGTCTGTGTTTTTAGGCAGGGCCATAACCCTGGTGGTGAATTAAAATATATGTCTCTTCACACTTTTTAGCTCTATTTAGACATGTATATAGTCCTTTATGGCTTAAAAATGTGTCTTTCTTGAGCAACTTCATCCCTGCTTAAGCTACTTTGGCCTCTGTTTCTTAAAATTCTGCCCATGGCCTCATTGTTGCATTTGCCCTGCCTGTTGCAGTACACACATGTACACAGCATTTTTCCAAGGTGTAAAATTTTGAGGAAAAATGGGATTAAACAATGTTCAACAAATGTCACATGTGTTGGTTCAGCCGGACGTCTCAGAGCCTTCATTACACATAGCATTATGAGACTCTAACAGGGAAATATAACTTGCAGCATATACTTGCATAACATGCAGGGAAATATAACTTGTAGCATCTTTTCCAAATTTATTTTACAATGGAATTCCTTTTGTCCTGTGATATCTATGAGTACCAGTGGTTTGCAGAACACACCTTTGGAAAAGCTGCTGTATAGGCTTGGTAGAAATCAAATGGCTTCGCTGAGAAGGAACATCTCAGAGACTATATCTCCAGTAATCTCACATTATTCCTTGATATTGATCTATAGTTTAAGTATGACACTTAAACCTAAGTATGAAATTATGGAAGTAAAATGTACAAATTGCAACCAGTTTAGTTACATATCATAAAAAGGTTTTGACAATGTCATAGCTAAACAACTTCACAGATAACATCTTGGGTAACTTAAGTTTGCAGAGTATAAAGTAACTGAATAAGTTGAGTTTTCTGATTAACTTAGATAAAATATTGGGCTAGACATGTCTGTAAAATTCTATAAGTATACTTTTTAGGCTTTGTCAACTCAGTAAATAAACATATTTGAAGCATATTTTGATGATTCAGGATCTTTATCTGTGCAGGATGTTCATTTTATTCAGTGACTATTAGGTAGTCCTACAGAAGTAGAGGGTTCTGGGAGTTTGCCTAGAATATGTACTGATCCACAACATATGTTAGAAGCTTTTTAAAAAAAAATTAACAAAAGCTTATTTTCTATGTATTTGTATAATATAACACCTCATGGGTTTAGGCAAGCCAGTAATTATTATCTCTTCTATATCCCACTATCAGTGAACCTACGACACTGATAGTCTTTGGCTGGTGCAGCTCTCTGTACCACATGACTTGCCTCCTCCCTACTCAACCCCAAAACCCCAGTTATTTTCAGTTATAGATGATTAGACCAGGCTAGATACTTGACCTGAGCTTGAGCAATCAGATTCCTTCTCATCAGAATTTGGAAATGAAGACTAAATGTTTGGGTCAGTTGGACAATGATGAGTGTTTGTGATATTGATTTGGGGACAAGAGAGGGCAAAGCTACCCAAGCCCCTGAGAGTAAATGATTCATCTGTTAGCACACAGATTCAACCACTGTATTAAAGACAAAATAAAATGCCTCAAAAAAGGTAGGAGATATTGTTTTTCTCGAACCCAGACTTGAGATAGCAATTTCCCATTGCTGGGGACCTAGACTTCTGGCCTACTCATTGTTAGGGTGGCTCAGTCCAAAATAGCTTACTACTATACTTATGTCGCAGTCAAAAGGATGCAGAAAGGAGGCTGTCCTCTCCTATGACGACAAAGTTACATATGCCACGTGTACATGAATCCAGAACTTGATTGAGTGGCCACACCTAGCTGCAAGGGAGTCCAGAAAATATAACGTTTACCAAGGAGGCCATGTGTCCAACTAAACAAAAGGGCTCTATTGTTAAAGGAAGAAAAAAAGAATGGATATTGAAGAACAACTAGCAGTCTACCACAGGATGTGAATAAGCTGAGAAAAAAGGTACTCAGAGAATCAGTAGAGAGAAGTCAACAGGCAGCAAGAAGCAGAAATGACAGAGAGACAGAGTCAGAATCAGAGAGTCAGGGAGTGGTTGTCTGTGACTTCCCATTTCCTGGACATCCATCTGTCCTTACTACATAGAAACTGGCTTCTGTGAAATTTATCATCTGTAGCCTTTCAACAAGCCCCACTGTTTCTTGAACTAAACTGAGTATGTTTATCTTTTTTGCAACTGAAATAATGCAGATAACATGTATTGTATTTATTGAGCACTTAAAATATGTTAGGCATTGTGGTAAGTGCTTTCCATGGACTGTTTTGTTTAAACCTCATAGCAATTCCATGAGGTAATTTCTGTTCATTCTCAATTTTTGTGCCTGAGAAAAATGAGGCTTGGAAAAGCCTCACTGTTAGCAGGTAGCAGAGCATAATTTGAACCTGAACTCTAAAGTCTTGCTCCACATTGATGATCTTTACCACCACTGAAGTCAGGCATGAGCTTGCAGACCTATGGTAGGATGAGGCCAGGCAAGGCTGGGGCCTGAGACCAGGCTGACTCATTAAAATGAGGTAGGTACTGAGGAACAACACACAGTGATATGTCCTGGCAAGAAGCCCAGTTGGAGGCAGGAACTCGATGTCTGGGGCCACACAGGTAGGCTGTTGAGCGTATCTAACCTGCAGAGTTGGGGTTGTCCATTAGGCATAGTGATGATCAATTCATGAGTAGACAGGAAGGCTGGCAGGTGGACATCAGTGGATAAGCTTATCAACGGGATTCTTGGAAAACGACTCAATATGTTGTTGAAAGTCATCCAATTATTCTACTATCAAGAGTTAAACAGTAAACTGATAAGGTTAGGTAACTAAGAGGTTAGGGCACTAAGAAAAGCCTCACAAAGGCATGGCAGGGTCTGTGAACTAGGCAGGTTATGATAATCCTTTGCTCCTTCCAGGAAGTTGAAGGGCTCCAGTTATAGCAGGTTAATTGCACTTGAATAATTTTAGTTTATACCAAATCATGTTGACTTCTGACTCCTTGGTAAGGTCTAGCCCTATGACTTCTTGCTTAGAGGCTTGTCTGTTACCACACCTCCTGTCTTTGTATGACCCAAACAACATGAAGCAGTCCCACTGTTGGAACTTAAGACAATTTTCACCAAGCAGCTCATAGGACTACAGATTGAAGTCATTGGAGAAAAGGTCTTTCTCCTAAGCAGATCTACACAAACCCTAACTGGTATCAAGGGAAAATGTTTACTATGTTTACCTCTTCATAGTAGAATAATTGGATGACTTTCAATAATTGGATGAGTTTAAGGAATGAGAATTCCAACAGTCACAGATTCTAGAAGTGGTACATAGTGAGAGTGATTCCATAAGTTGACCTAAGAGCAAAGGGTTCTGAAGTTTCCAAAGAGAGATAAATTGACTTAGTTTCTACGCATTTTAAATTGCTAATCTTCCCCACTATTGTTTCTACTCATTTTGCTGCTAGTCTCATAATTATCTTGCCTCTCCAGCTGCATATGTATCTTTAACATAGCATTCACCAGCTGGCATATCTTCAGATAATTTTTAGTAGAATTCTAGAACTACAGAAATCAGCCTCCAAAGGTTTTCCAACAAGCCTTGAACCAAATATTTGCCAATATGTGTTCCTGCTTGTAGAAGGCGTTTGAGGGTGAAGTAGGAAAGATATTTTCTTCTACCCTGTTCCTGACAGGCTAGAGAAATATGAAGGGTAAAAAGAGAGACACATTGCTTTCACAGCTGTAAGAAGGAAAGGGGATTTGTGATTGGATCAGAGAGCCTGAAGTGCAAATAATAATTAACAGAGGATAAAACCTTAGAGAACTAACTGTGGTGATTACCCCAGAGATAGCCCAATCTAGGATACTATTGAGACAAGCCTTTTAAGTTATAATAGAGAGTGAATAAGATGTATTAATAACATTCATTAATAAGATTAATTTTTCCAAAAATTTAGGTCAGTAGTTCTCAACACTGGCTGCACATTAGAATCCCCATGCTCTGGCTACAGTTAAATCAATTAAGTAAAAGCCTCTGGGGGTGAGGCCTAGACATCAGTCTTTTAAAAAATCTACCCAGCCAATGCCAATCTACAGCCAAAGTTGAGAACCACTGATTTAGGGATATTGGGAAAGGAAGATAGAAAAGGTGAGCACAAATTAACTGGAGCCTGATTAGGTAGTTTCAGAATTCAAGAGTTGGCAAAAGTGGAAGTATTGATCATCTACAAGGGAATATCCAATAAACATCCTCCAGTGGAAGATGCAGGTGAAGCCTGGCAGAGGAGAAGCAGAAGGATAACAAAAGATCTAGGCCTGATTAGCGAACCTTTCATTGACAGGGTTTGTTTAAACAATGGATGTCTTTAGGAGACCCAGAACTTTCTGACTTGTCTCTCCCTCTCTAGGGTACCCACATAAGGCAGAATCTGGAGGACTGTGTCAGACAGAAAGTAAAGAGAGTTAAGGTAGTAAAGACACCATGATTCAGCAGTGTCTTTACAGCTTGTAGAAATGGCAAGAACTAACCTCAGAAGCAGATGACGATTTTACACATTCAGCAGAAAGAAGTAGGGAAATGAAATATTACTGATATATTCCCCTATTACAAATAGACATGTGGCCTAAAGAAGGGGGGCCAAATGTTTCTGTTACTGCCGAAGCTGGCAAGGTATTCAAGGTCTGTAATAGGCAAAGGCTAAGGACAAAATGGTCAACAAGCACATGAAAAGATTCTTAATATCAGCCATTTCTAGAGAAAGGCAAATCAAACCCACAATGAAACCTCACACCCGTTAGGATGGCTACTATCAAAAATGAAACAAATCAAACAAAAAATCCAGAAAATAACTAGTGCTATTTTTGGAAACTTGTGCACCATTGGCGGGAATATAAAATGATACAGCCACCACTATGGAAAACAGTGTGGAGGTTCTTTAAAACATTTAAAAAAGATTTATCATATAAGCTAACAATTCTACTTCTGAGTAGATATCCAAAAGAACTCAAAGAAAGGTTTCAGAAATATCTGTGTACCCATGTTTATATCAGCATTATTCATAATAGCCAAGAGGTGGAAGCAACCCAAATATCTATTGATAGATGAATAGATAAAGAAAGTGTGGCCTTATACATACAACAGAATATTCAACCTTAAAAAGAAAGAAAATTCTGACAGGTGCTGTAACATGGATGAGTCTCAAGTACTTTATGCTAAGCCAATAGCAAAAAGACAGATACTGTATGATCCTACTTATATATGTACTTACAGGAGTCAAACTGATAGAGATAGAAAGTAAATGGTGGTTGCCAGGGCTTGTGAGGAGGAGAACATGTGGAGTTATTGTTTAATGGGTACAGAGTTTCAGTTTTGCAAGATGGAAGAGTTACGAAGATAAATGGTGATGATGGTTGCACAACCACGTGGATGGATTTAATACCACTGAGCTGTACCTTTAAAAATGATTAATTTGGTACATTTTATGTTCTGTGTATTTACCACAATTAAAATTTTAAAAATATATATGACCAGATATTTTTAAGTGCAAAAAACCAAGGTGGAGTATAGTTTATATCATAGTCAAACACTTTGGGGGTAAGAAAGGGGGATAAAATTTAGCATAATCTGTGTTATGACTTACTTTATTTGTATGTATACACACACTACACACACATTCATATCAAGAACCATTAGAAGAACAGAAAATGAATAAAATGAGAGAGGCGGAACTAAGACTTCTCAGGTACACATTACTTACAGTATTGACTTTTGAATCATGTAAATGAATTGCTTATTAACAATAATATTAAGACATTTTTAAAAAGTTGAGAAGAGGCAACGTTCGAGGAGAAGCTGGTGAAGCAAGAGCCTCCCTGGGCCTCTTGGGGGCCTTAGGATTTAATGGACATATGAGCAGTGGCTTCATTCCAGGTGTTTGCAGCTCCCATTTGTATCTGGCTGAGACGAATGTGAACTAAAAAGAAAAACACTCCTGGGCAAGACGGTGCAAGGGCCTAAGAATTCCCGAGCGGGAGGGGGTGGAGCAGCTACCTTGGTATAGGACTAACAGGGCCCAGCATCTTGCTGAGGATGGAAGAGTACAGAGGACTGGAGGGGTGGGAGTGTGCTTGGAGAACTGCCTGCCATATATGAAGGAAGCCATGGTCCCAAGAGGGAGTGAAGGCCACATCATCCTGGAGGAGCAGGGAACATGGGGCTCAAAGGGGAAAGAGCAAAACATAAAGGAAGAATCCTAGAGTGTCACAAATGCCACTCTTTCCAAGAGGATTCAGTGTGATAGGGATCCCCTCCCTCTATATGGAAATACAGTGTCCCCTGTAATCCCAGCACTTTGGGAGGCCGAAGCGGGCGGATCACGAGGTCAGGAGATCGAGACCATCCTGGCTAACATGGTGAAACCCTGTCTCTACTAAAAATACAAAAAATTAGCCGGGCATGGTGGCGGGCACCTGTAGTCCCAGCTACCCGGGAGGCTGAGGCAGGAGAATGGCGTGAACCCAGGAGGCGGAGCTTGCAGTGAGCCGAGATTACGCCACTGCACTCCAGTCTGGGCAACAGAGCGAGACTCCATCTCAAAAAAAAAAAAAAAAAAAAAAAAGGAAAAGGAAAAAGGAAATACAGTGTCCCAAGTAACTTCTAGACCAGCTCTCTGTATGGAATTAAGTTCACAAACTGCATACTTGCTCTAGACTCCAGCTCAGGTTGACCAGCAACCTGGCCGGCTTGAAACCAAGGACATCGTCCTTGTGCTCTGCATTTCCTTCTATTTCTTCCCCAAGGCAATGTTATTTTACCACTTGGGGCTTTGGTTGGCAAAGCAACGTGGGTCTGATGAGGAGAATATATTTTTCCAGGAAAATTGTTCTAGGTTAGCGCACATTCTTGTTGGGTACATTTCCAGAAGCAGTATTGCCAGGTCAAAAGGTATGTGCACTTAAAGCTCTGATAAACATTGTCAAATTGTCTCCTAAAAAGGCCACTTCAACTTGCACTTCTGGCAACAGCATAGGAGGCCTGCACCCACTTGTTCTCACCAATGTGATGTGTACAGCCAAACTTTTCTACATTTGCCAAACTACTAGGGGAGAAATGTGGTCTTATAACTCTTAAATTTCAGTAGCAAGAGCCATTTATACTACTTAATATAAATTGTATTTTTGTGTCAATTAGGAAAATTTTTCCCTTTGCTATTATAATGCAACTATTTCCCCCAGTTTGTCTTTTGACTTTGTGGCATTTTTGGTGGGCAGACATTTATCCATCTTTCCTTCATGGTTCCTGGATTTTGCATCTTGCTTAGAAAAGCTTTCCCTGCTGGCCAGATATGGTGGCTCAGGCCTGTAATCCCAACACTTTGGGAGGCTGAGGCAGGTGGATTGCCTGAGCTCAGGAGTTCAAACCAGCTTGGGCAACATGGCAAAACCATGTCTCTACTAAAAATACAAAAAATTAGCTGAGCATGGTGGTGCATGCCTGTAGTTCCAGCTACTTGGGAGGCTGAGGCAGGAGAATCACTTGAGCCTGGGAGGCAGAGGTTGCAGTGAGCTGACATTGTGCCACTGCACTCCAGCCTGGGTGACAGGGTAAGACCCTGTCTAAAAAAAAAAAAAAAGAAAAGCTTTCTCCACTGTAAGACTGTATTTTTAAAAATTCTCTCTTGTATTGTCAGACTCTTACAGTCTTATTTTGAGGGAAGGCAGGTTTCCACCAGTTAAAATAACGAAAGCATTTCATAAAATCGGGTATTTTACTTACATATTGGTTTTGCAAAAATATCATAGTTTTGGTCTCCGCTTCTACTGGAACGTTTTCAAGCATTTCTCACAATTGTAACCTAGAAATATGTCTACAGACACATAATTACATGAAACACATGCGGGACTGATTCTTCAGGCCCTGGGCAGCCTGTGTTCCGTTCCGGCACCCAGACGGGAATTGTATTTACAGTCTTCACAACAGTCTCCAGTAAACAGATCACACTGTGTGGGAGAACCACATTTGAAAGGGGCCTCAGCTGAACTTTCATTATTTGTCAATTTTCAGCATGAAGCCACTTCTTAATGAATTTCATGGGACAGGTCGTTAATACCATGTGCTATAAGATATCCACTAAAGAAGAATTTTCCTAAAGTGTTTTATTCAGAAACTTTAAGAAATATTTCCAGAGCGATGGTTTTATCAACTTCAAAATAGGGCCAACTTTTAACTTGTCTTGTGTGAGTTGGAGGATATTGCAGAAGCTGTCATAAATCCCATCTCTAAGAAAAACACTCCCATTGCCTTATTCTTTTGGGACAAAACACAAAATATATTTAACATGCTGCATCTTGGGGGTTAAAAATTCTAGAATTCTTGACAGAAACACAATCCTTTATAGAGATGTGTTTCCAAGGATCCCCACCAACATAGTTCAAGAAACCTTCATAAGGAGTAATTTGTTGTTCTCTTTTGTACCCTCCACTGTCCCATGTACCTACCAGAAGCTGGTGAGCAGTGAGGTGATCCTGCCAAAGGAATAAAAAACAAGGAATGGAAAGAAAACTTTAAAGAGCTGCTGTTCCTTAAAGCCAAGAACTGTAGAGTCATTCATTTTCCCCCTACACCTAGCCCAGCTCTGGACTCAAAGGAGACAGCCATGAAGATGATGAAATCACAACCCCTCTCAGATCCTCAATACCACATCTCCATGGGAGCACTGATATTTTCGATTACCAGCACCTGGAAATACAATCGTTCTCAAGGAGGATTGATTGACAGATTTAGCAAATAAAAATACAAATTGACTGGGTATGGTGGTTCACGCCTGTAATCCCAGCACTTTGGGAGGCCGAGGCAGGTGGATCATTTGAGGTCAAGGGTTTGATGCCATTCTGGCCAACATGGTATTTTAGTCTCTACTAAAAATACAAAAATTAGCTGGACGTGAGAGCATGTGCCTGTAATCCCAGCTACTCGAGAAGCTGAGGCAGGAGAATCGTTTGAATCCGGGAGGTGGAGGTTGCAGTGAGCCGAGCCGAGATCGGCCACTGCACTCCAGTCTGGGTGTAAGGGCAAGACACTGTCTCCAAAAAAAAAAAAAAAAAAAAAAAGTAGAATGCCTAATCTTAAATTTCATATAAGCAATAAATAATATTTAGCATAGGAATTCCCTATGCAGTATGTGGGACATATACTTTAAAAGTTTTTTTAGTGTTTATCTGAAATTCAAATTTACCTGGGTGTCCTGTACATTATCTGGCAAGGCAGATACTTTCAAGGCAGCCATCTTAAGAACAGATGTAATGAATAAAAAATTCTTCCTTATGATGAAATAAAACCTTGTCTTCTACCCATTGGTGGTCCTTCAAATATTCAGAAAGCTACAGAGTCATTAAAGTCAGAGAGACTTGGGTTTGGTTCTGTTACTATGTGACCTTGGGCAGTTTATTTAACCTCTCTTTTTTCTGGTCTCTAAAATGGGCTATAATACCTGCATTACAGGAAAACCATGATTATTATAAGCTCAAATGATCTTATTCAGCCCAGGTAAAATAATTGTAATCAGTCACAATTGTGAATGTTAATCGAAATCTAGAAAAGACTGTTCTCTTAAGGGTGAACCGCTGAGCCGACCATTATCCCTTTCTTGGGGGATGGGGAGAAATATGAGAGAAATAGAGAATGGCTACCCTCTGATTACCACGGAATTTAAGTTAACTGTGTACATATTCTCTATCTGGTTATTGTCAGGTTCCTAAATCTGTTGCCTAAAAAGTACAAAGAGTGTTCCTACAATACATGGAGGTTTTAATATTTTCCAAGTGTACTAACAATAATTTTGAGACTATGTTTATTTGTTATAAAAAATGAATATTAGTTGTAAAGTAATTCTTGTTAACTCACTTAAAGGTTAAATAAATTTATTCACCAAAGTTGTGATAATTAACATGTTAACCGGATTTCCCTGATCTGTTATAATTAACATGCGCAGTATATAAACTTTGTAGATTCCTTTGCAAAACAGATTTCCTTGCAATAATTAAATTGCAGTTGTTTATACTAAAAATTACATAAAATATTATTTTTCCACATTATGTCCATTTCCAATATGGTTTTGAGTTGCTTCCTGGTCCCTTGCCTGTAGAAGCTGGCCAGTTGCCCATATCTTATAATGAGGTACCACAGTGGAACAGAACTTCCTTCCCCACACCCCCTGCTGAGCACTATATTTCCATTAATGCAGCTCAAAATCATTTGATAGCCACATCACCAACTCACTTCACTTGAGCTGTCAACTATAACTCCTTTTCTTTTCTTACCTATGCTGTGGATAAATTTATCTTATATCCTGCATTTCATTTTCCTATTCCCAAATATATACGACTTAGTAAATTTTACTTTTTATTTGTAGGTTAACAATCTAGCATGTCCAGATCATTTTTGCATGTTTCTAAATCTTCATCTGTCATCTGATTATTTTAAAAACACTTCTTAATATAGAAACTCAAGCTTTGAGACAGGATGACTGAGGAATCTTAGGTTTAAAAACTAAAAGAGAGCACTGTGTAGAGTTGCATTGGGATAAGGTGGTTTTTCTTACCAGCAATTGTTTGGTAACCATCATTCGGGTCCATCAATAAACAACAGGAGTGACCAGTGAGTCAATCGCTGTAGTGCATCTGCTTCCCAGGGAGGCCATAGAGGGAAGGCAATTGACAAAGATGATAGGAGGTTTCTGCAGTATTATGAGCCCAGCAGAAAAATAGATAAGATTTATTTTACATTGTCAAACATATGTTCAAGAATGTGAACTACAATCAGATGATCATTCTTCCCTACTATTTTTTCACCAGCCTGTTGGTAAGTGCACATCATATACTGTTATAGCTCTGGCACTTGTAGTCATAAATATGGTTTTGGAACAGCTTTCTAACTGGCAGCCGGGAAGAAAAAGGCACTTTCCTCCAAAGGCCATCCTTGGTCTTAAGAGACTCAAGTACCACATATCAAAGAGATAAGAGGCAACTATCAGCCAACATCACCAACTCTTGGCACAGAGGATGGACTCCTCCATCCTGTTGAAAACATAATTCAGCCTAATCCTAAACAGTGTTTTCATATTATCCTCTAAAGCCAAAAATTTTCCTGCAAAGCTGAGCATAAATCAATTGTGCATTTTGAATTTACATCAGGTCAAAGACCCACATTTCTTGTTGCTTCCCAGTAGCTATTTTAAATCCTTCTACCTTTCTCTTTTTCTTTGCAAAAGAATTTTTTCTGCTTTTCTCTTTCTAATCTTTCCCCACATTTAGCTGTCAGGGAGGTACTCTTTGCATAAACTAGGTGAATTCCATGTTTAAAAAATATGTGCTTGGCCGGGCGCGGTGGCTCACGCCTGTAATCCCAGCACTTTGGGAGGCCGAGGTGGGCGGATCGCAAGGTCAGGAGATCGAGACCATCCTGGCTAACACGGTGAAACCCCGTCTCTACTAAAAATACAAAAAATTAGCCGGGCACGGTGGCGGGCGCCTGTAGTCCCAGCTACTCGGGGAGGCTGAGGCAGGAGAATGGCGTGAACCTGGGCGGCGGAGCTTGCAGTGAGCCAAGATTGAGCCACTGCACTCCAGCCTGGGTGGCAGAGCGAGACTCTGTCTCAAAAAAAATAAAAAATAAAAAATATGTGCTTTGTTGCTTTCCTTTTTTTGTTGTTGTTGGTGGTGGTGGGGAAGCAGGATAAGGAAGAATATATTTTTAGTGTCTGTTAAATTGCTAAAGCACTCACATTAGGAACAAACAGGCAAGAAACTAATCAATAAGATACGGGCCAGGACAGAAAATAAATCTAAAAAATAGCCACTCAGAAAGTAGCATGGTACAGTAGAAAGACTGAGGGCTTTCAGTTCAGCCAGAAACATGGAGTCCTCTACTTCTTGTGTAGCCTTCGGCATGTAATTCTCAAAGCCTTTTTACTTACCAGCAATCTGGGGTAACTCTTAACTCAAAATGTCGATTGAGAATTAAGAAAACATAGGTCCTACCACAGAAAGACCTGCAAAATCCTAATTCCTTTCAGTACCTACCAATAGTATGTGTAGGTGAGGGGAAGCAGGGAAGGTAGAGAGGAAGGAGTCAATCTGTCCAAAACGACTTCTGGATTCTTTTGGCTTTTCTCCAGAAGCAATAAAAACTGGAAATTAGCTCTGTCCCCTAAAAGCTGGTGTATGTACATGGTATGAAAAGCACTATCTCCATTGTTCATAGATTAACAATAATTCATAGGCAAGTTGGCTGATGACTCCTGCAAAATCTCTAAGCAGTGTGGCTTCATTATACATAAAATCTCGTGGATAAACTTCATTTTGAGGGCCCTGCTCATGAGGTGTTTTGTGCAGTACAGTTTTTTTAAGAGAACATTGTGAAGCAGTCCCTTTGAATATAAAAGGAATCTCACTGGCACAAACCAAATGTCCAACCATGACTGAAACATGCAGACAGGAAGGAGAGGCCACAGGGGCATGTTTTATCTGCTGCCATGCTTATTTCCTTTGCTTCACGAAGGAGTATGGATCTTTTAAGATGCATGTGCTGCAAATGTGGGATTCCTTGGAGGAAAATTTGAATTAGATATTAACGCTGACCAGCTAGTTAATTCCTGGGAGCTCCTAGGCCAGCAGAGAAGTACTTAGGTGCCAATGACAGCAAGCATATATTCCCGACTGTGGGAATTACGTATTCCCTGTGGAGAGAATCTACTATCTCCAAGTGACAGCAACCTAGAGCCTCCAGGGTAACAAAACAAGGGTGTTAAGAGAAGGGGAATGAGGTAAAACAACATTTCACCAAGGATGAGGTAGCATCCAGTGAGTTCCAACCTAAACAGTATTTATCCCATCAATCCTCACAACCATATTTGAAGAATGTTCAGTAACTTCCCAGTGCCTCTCTCCCCACTGACCCTGTTAGGGAGTCACTGATGCCCATTTGGACTCTAACCTTGTTTGTTGTTCTGAATGACAGACAAACTCCTGTGGCTTGGGATAGACAATCTTTGCTTGGATGTTTGTGCTACTCATTTCCAAACATTTTAAGTAAACTTCTGTGGTAAAGTGAAGTATTTAAGAAAGACTGCTCTTCTAATCTAGATTGTGTTAAACCAGAAATTGAATTTTGATGTGTCATGCTTTAAACCATATAATGATGGAAAGAACTATAGAAATTTTTCAAAAGCGATTTTTAAACCAGTCTCTTCATTACATAAAGAATTCAAGGGATTAGAGTCCAGCTTTTCTGATTTAGCACTGTGGCAGACAGTTTTCAAAGACAGCCCTCAGTGATCCCTGCCTCCTGGTAATCAGGCCCTTCTGTAATCCCCTACCCTTGAATGTGGACAGACCTAGTGATTTGCTTCTAATAGAACATGGCAAAAGTGATAGGAGGTCACTTCTATACTTAGGTTATGAAAAACTTCATCCTGCCTTCTTGGTTTGCACACTTTGATGAAACAAGCTTCCCTGTTGAAGGGCCCCATATTGGCAAAGAACTGAGGATGGCCTCCAGCCAACAGCCAGCAAGAACTGAGCCCTTACTCCAACAGCCTATGAGAAACAAAATCTTGGCACCAACCAACCAACGAGCTCAAAAATGGATCTGGCTCCAGAAAAGCCTGAGATAAGCCTGCTCAGATTCCACACCACAGAAAACTGTGAGATAACTGGTTCGAAGTCAGTTTTATGACAATTTGTTGTCCAGCAATAGATCACAAGTATCACCTTATTTCCAACTTTAAATAGTAATTACCAATACCTTATAGTGTCTTTGGTCTATTTTAGTTTAAAAACATAATTGGGAATACCAAAATGAAAGTACATTATGACATCAAAAACTTAAAATAACAATCACCCCACAAATTTATCTGTGACTCATCCTGAGTATTGGGGTGATCCATGTTTTTATTTTCTTCTTAGTACTTTTATGTATTTTCTAAATTGTCTACAATTAACAGGCATAGTTTTAGAATCAAAAACTGACAATAAATGTATCACTGAACGTATAAAATATCCCACTCTCAAAATGCAGTCAATAAAAATCAAATAAATGCACTAAATACAAATTCTTCACAGAATTAACTACCTTTCAAACATCGTTTCACAAAAGCAAATGATCCTTCTAATACTGATACATTAAACTGATACTTAAAAGATACATTTCTAGAGTAAGAGTGAGAAAAAGAACACATGCTTGAAAGTACTAACATAATCTGAAATATATTTGAGTGACAGAATCAGGATAAACGGCCAGGACCACCTTATCTTAAAGCACTGTACTCAAGCTGACTAAAAATGAAGTAAGAAAATCTGAGTGTATATCACTCTTTATATCTTTTAATTAGAACCTTTTTTTGTTAGGTTACATTGTATATGTCTCCACACTTCAAATATATTTTTGGGGAATAACTTGATTTAAAAATGACACACCAAGCTGGGCACAGCGGCTCACGCCTGTAATCCCAGCAATTTGGGAGGCCAAGGTGGGTGGATCACAAGGTCAGGAGTTCGGGACCAGCCTGGCCAATATGGTGAAACCCTGTCTCCACTAAAAATACAAAAATTAGCCAGGTGTGGTGGTGGGCGCCTGTAGTCCCAGCTACTCAGGAGGCTGAGGCTGGAGAATCATTGGAACCAGGGAGGCGGAGGTTGCAGTGAGCCGAGATCGCACCACTGCACTCCAGCCTGGGTGACAGAGCGAGACTCTGTCTCCAAAAAAAAAAAAGAAAAAAAAAAGACACACCAAAATATAGTCAAAATATAGTCAATGAAGAGTTCCAACACTTATTTATATACATTGTCAATGAACTTAAGCAGAAGGTAGAATATTCAAAATCTGACTCAAGTAAGTCATTTGGGATGCCTATTTGGCAAAGGGAGGAATCGGGACTCTGGTCGCTAAATGATGAAACAACTTTGCAGGGGAACTCAACATGCATTTTGTTATTGTTGAAGTAGAAAAGGATATTAGATATTTAGCTACCTCAAATCAGATCTGAGTTAGCAAATCGGTTTTACTGACTTGTTTGGAATGAGATCAGGTTGAGACATGAAACAATCGAAAATCTGTCTAGTTATGGAACATAAGACATATCCAATGCTCCAAAGAAGAGCTTACAACTATCTTAATATGAATTTTGCTACTCTGGAAAATCCAGATGTGGTATAGCTTCCTGAAAGAGGCCATGAACATGTCTTCCTTATGAAGTTACCATCTTTTTAGAAAAGAATGCATAAGCCCTGGTATAAGGGTGAGGGGCAGTGGAATGATCATTGGTCTCAGCCTGAAAAGATCTATCTACTCAGTCATTTTCTAGCTGTGTGATCCTGGACAAATAAAAACCTCTCTAGCTTCATTAAAATTATTTATACAATTCAAGTGATATTTATTTACTATTTCATTGGCTGGTTGAAAACCTTGTATGAGAATTAGAGCTTTATAAACCAAAATTGACACATAAATGTAGGGCTTCAAAAAATCACTATGAGCATAATGAAGTGGCTAAGACACAAAAGGTTGCCCAAGAGAAACAACTCAAAATTAATCCATGATCAGATATGGCACTGTAAAGTCTAAGAAAACATTGCTCCAAGCCTATTATATTCCTCTGAATTCACTGGTCCATTCTCAAGCAAGTATGCTGTGACGAGACTACTGACCGGGACATATGTCCATTGGCTGGTTATTTTTGAAACAAATTTTCCTACACTGGATAATTAAAAACACAGCTATGTACATTTGTCTTCCTGGTTGGCCCTCCTTTCAGAAATGGTCTTTATGTTAATTCATTTTTAACTCATGCCCAGAGACATTTCTGAAAGTATATACCAAAACACTATATTTCTGCCTCCTTGAAAAGCCAGAGCTACACACACACATACCGCTAAGCCTACTTGGGGCTTTGAAGCACAACCAACTGCAGCTGAAAGGCAGGCTCTTGTACTCTCTCCCTCACTCTAGGGACTATTATTGCTTTCTCCATGCAGATTCTGCTATAAGCACAATAAAAATCAATGAAGACTTGGAACAGCTAAGACTAATATTTAAAAAAACGCTGAGGCTCCCGAAGTTCACATTCTTGCAAATTTTAGATAATGCCCCAAATATAAGTCACTCTTGATCATATACACACTCCTGTGTGTGCAAGCATAGTGTTCTAGCTTTCTACCACTCTGACCCAAATACTCACCCACGGTGTGCCTTCCTCCCAAATCCTTTCCTCTGGGTACCCTAAAACCTGCTTCTGAGGTAAAAGCCCATCCTAGAGCCCCCGCTTCCTTCCATTGCTCTGTTGAGCCTGACTGAAGAAACCAACTGTAGATCAATGAACTTTCTGTCACCTCTCTTCCTAAACCAGGCCATACACTGGAGGCCAGGATAACTATCAGTCCAGGGCCTTGGCTACTTCTAACCTTCTCTGGTCAAGTCAAAAATCTGTCTTCCAATTTACTGAGATAAATAAAGAGTGCAGGGTAACTCCCTCAATGTCTCTTCTCCCATTTCAATCTCCCTTTCCTCCAGTCCTTCATATCAAAAGGCACGTCCTTCCCCATAAGACCAGTTCCTCCAAGCTGATGTCTAGAGGAGAAGACATTGAAAATGAGGAAATCAACAGATGGTCGTTGTAGTAATACAAGTGAGAGGTAACAAGGGCTGGAACTAGAACTGAGGCTTCAAGAATGTTAGTATGTCCCCTCAGCCTCCCTCAACTGGAATTTTCAGAGAACCGGCAATCAGTGATATAACCACTAGCACAGGTGTGCATGCCCTTGCAAAACTAGTATCAGAGGAGAAAGGAAGAAACTTTACAGCATACTTCCATTCTCTGGAAAAAGATGGTTGAGAAGAGGCAGAAAGAAGAAAATAGTATAGAACAATGATCCCTAAAATTAGATTATGTAAAGTAACTTCATAGAATGTTGGAAGAAAATGTCTATTTATATTTACATTTCATCTTAAAAGAGGAGGAAATTACCTTTACTAACATTTACTACAGACTGACACTGCTACCATCTCTCCAGTGACATCGACATCGTTTGCATCTTCTCACGATCTGTAGCTTAGGTGACCCAAGGGCAGAGTGGAAGTCCCAACAGTTCCCACACTCTTTGGGTTGCTTTTAGCATGCAGCAAACCGAAGTTTATTTATGTCAAGTTGGGTGAATGTACAGATTTTTATTAACTCTTCTGAATTAAATAATCTTTACAAAAAAAAAAAAGGCTTAAACAGATCCCTGCAACAGAACCGTGGATTTAAGATGTTTATAATGCAAGAAACAAACAAGCAATAAGAAAAATGGCAGAGACAACGCTTCTCCTAGAACAAAGGAGTTAAATATCAGGCGTTAAACCAGAGAGAATCTCATCTGATTTGGCAAAACTCAGCCACACCAGGAGTTAAACCAGAAAGAGTCTCATCTGATTTGGCAAAAACTTGGCCAAAATAATTATGAAGACTATTTGAACTAAGGATGTACACCAATGTTGTTAGGATAAATTTTAAGATTAGAGTGAGCCCTGAGAAATTAGCTAATGATAAAATATGTGCAAATAATATCTTGGGATAAATTAATATATATATATATGGGGGTGTTTGCACAGAAAAACTTTTACTGATAAGAAGATGCCAACCAAGAAGTCTAGAGGCCATTGGCATAGAAGTTGGAGTCTAAGGCTGTGGGAACTACATTTCCTAGTCTTTGCGCTGGGGCAAAAATAACTGTACTTTAAGATTAGTAACATTCTAAAAGAATGTTTTATTTTTATTTGGGGGAAATTGTTGAAAACTTCTTAACCTCTATTTTATTTTCTTCTCTGTTAAAGTCTTTTAATTTGCAATAATGAAGTATGATAAAAATGTGGGTAAACTAATATTATTCCCTTAACACACTTTGCTTTACATATATTCTTAACTTAGCACATGAGAAGTAGTAGCAAGAAAAAAAAGAAACCTATTTTTGTTATACTTCACCCTAGCTAGACACTCAACATCTACATAGACGTTAAGAGTTACATAAAATCAACCAAAGTTGCAGAGTTTGGTAGGTTAAGTCAGATATTTCAAATAGTCATACAAACTATTTCCTGCCCAAACACCTTGTCCTTTACTCTACTGACTTCCAAGCAGATTTTGGTAACTGACAAGTCCATCCTCAACATGCCTGAAAGGACCTTAGTTACTAAAGTATTATACTAAAAGACAAAGCTCAAGTGTCTTTGCCTTCTTTGTGGGACCCCAGTGGCAGTGGCATCAGACATACACAGACAAGCAGGCATGGCAAATGTACTGTTTGGTGGTATCAGATCACCATTTAACAATAAAAACACACATTTCAAAGCACCTTGTCAAAAAGGAATAGATAACTGTATCTCATTACAATTTCCCTTACTACAAATACGGAAAGCAACTTTTAAAATGATCCAAAAAAGGAAACAAGATCCTTTCTTCTCCTCCGCCTCCTTTTCATTTTACAGGTCAATCCCGGACAGCCATGGGGGCACTTCCCAAACTCTCCCACCTATATCCGAGACTTGGCCAGGCCCATCTACTTCTGCACGGATGTCAAAGAGGACAGTCCACTATTTCCAAAGAAGGTAGCAGTACATGCGAATTAGGAGCTTTGATTTTTAAAACAAAAAAAGTCCACGATTCAACTTCCCTAATGCTTAAGATTCAATTTTTCCAATTAAGATTTTTAGAGTTGAGATTCACTGTAGTGTTCTTTTTTTTAAAGAAAAAAAAAAAAAAAAAAACGAAAAAAAGAAAGAGAAAAAGAAAAGAGAAGGAATGTGTGTAGGGTGGGGAAGAGGTTTCTGTTACATTAACTGAAACTTACAGGACACTAGAGAAGTCAGCCTGAGGCTCTAGGACTATTAGCACAAGAGGAAAGAAATGAGTAGGCATCATGTCAAAGTTTGAAAAGCTCACCTGGGGCAAATACTGACAACTGGGAGCAGTTCCTTAAGACTTCTCTTATTTTAAACCACTTATCTTTTCCAAAAAGCTTATTTTACTACTTAAAAAGAAAAACCCCTAGCTCTTTCGGAGGGGTAGCATAGAAACAGACTGAGATAAAAATCATTGCCTTAAATTTGTCTTTGAAGTGGAAATGTGATCATATGCAAAGCACTAAAGGAATAAAAACAATTTCAATTGCCTTCTAAGATGACATGTTAATAATCAAATGCATGAACTAAATAGCATGTGATCTCATAGGTTAGAATTCCCCTTCTCATCAAGGGCTCCCACCTGAGACCCATGCCTGGACAAAGAAGGGATTACTATTGCTTAAAAATAGCACCTAATTTATGCCAATAGAAACTCCAGGCTCTTCAGTGTTGGCCTCCACTGAAAAGGCCAAGAAAGAAAAATGTAATAATGTTCCCTTGAATCTGAACACCATCAGTGACATTTGCTACAGCAAATCCACAAAGTTATGCAGAATGTTGGGACCCTCATACCTAAAGTTACAACCTGCCATCCTTCTGAGGATATCTGATACTATTTTCATATTCAGGAAAATTTTACAATTTGACTTTTAAATGTACAGAGGCCAGAAGAATACTACTATATTACCTTAATTAAATCTGTAATCCTGCCACACATCCCTTGCTTTTTAGTGACTTATTAACTGATTCCCTCTTGAAGAGGGGAGGGCAGGAACCTTATAGTTTCATGTCACTTACAATGGCTGGTGCATGGCTAATACTTATTAGAAATATTTGTTGAAAGAGTGGTTAACATTATTATAACTCCCTGTTTTTGATGTCCCCCAAATTTACCCTATTTGTTTCTTAGTAAACATATATCATACATATAACCTTTATTTAAAACAAATAATAGAAGAAGTTCACTTTAAATAATCAGGTATTCCATATATTCAAGTGAATATGTTTTATTAAATGCATACTAATATCTTTCTATAGTATGTGAGTACACATAATAAATTAAAATGTATATATTTATTAAATATAGATAGATATAATACCAGAACATGATTATTTCAGATGAGAAATCAAAATAAACCCATTTTTAAGTATCTTTTGGTCACTCCAAATTGATATTGCTCATAAAAAAATACACTAGTTTTCCCTGGGGAAAAAAAATTAATTCCATAGCAATGCAGTTAAGGGACGTGTTTTATTTCATAGCTTTCTGCAAGCAAAATTGCTC
The DNA here is from genome assembly GCF_000001405.40 of Homo sapiens. Lineage (NCBI taxonomy): Eukaryota > Metazoa > Chordata > Mammalia > Primates > Hominidae > Homo > Homo sapiens. The sequence continues at coordinate 56,458,290 of NC_000006.12, forward strand.
TGATACAAAATGAGTTCAATGATACAGGTGCTACTGTCCACTCAAGCAAAAGAAAACCTCACATGTATATGAACGCACTTTATACTTATATTCTTACAGTATAATAGGTCTAATATCCAGGATGCCTCTGGCCTCATTGAAAGCAATGGCAGAGAAATGCTGCAAGGTACTTGAATATCATAGTACTGGCAAGTGCTTGAAGTAACTTCCTGTGAGTTCTCTGTCAGATACTGCAAAGACTGCGTGTGGGTGTGTTTGTCTTTTTGTCTTCCATCTTTTGGTTTACATTTAAATCATCTCAAAAAATATCCCCTGCATGTATCATTCAGCTTCTCAGAGTTTCCATAAAAACAGGAAAATGTCATGAGGTATCCCTAACGTCAGGGATTGATGTAGTGCTGTGGCTGTCAGAGAGGATGTAGACTTACCTGTAGGTACAGTAACTGAGTTTAGTGTGTGCCCGGCACGTTACAGTGCAGAAATGTTAGTTCATGTTAAACTTTTCCTCCTCACATATGATGTGACTTTAACCCCAGAATATCTGACAAAAAAAATTATACAGATAAAATAAAAAGACAAATACACAAATAAGGCCATCTGCAGAATTTTAAACTCGCCTCTTGCAATATTTCACAAGAATTTCTACACCATATTTTACATCGTTCAAACTTAAATAATAAATGCTCAAGGAAGGGCCTTGGTAGAACCAATTGCACTATCTCTTTGAGGACTTGTCCAATTTGCTGGCAGGTGATTTCCTCTGGGGCGTGGGGATTTTTGAAGGCTTCGCTGTGGATGGCCGAGAACCTGCTCGGGGTGTAGGTCTGTGTGTCTGGGGGACAGTTTCCACATCTGAGCACACGGACTGGATTTCTGAAATGTCAAAGTCTGATGCATCACTGCCTCGGCGGCTGCTGGCCCTGCTGCCAGCTTTGCTTCCAGCTCGACTTCCTGGTCGGCTGGGAGTCTTCTTGGAATCTGAGGAAAGAAGGTAGAGACAGCTCACCCTTATTATTGGGTCCATCTGCAACTAATTTTTGAAACCCGATGCCACCTTTAATCTTAACTTTTTTTCCTGGTGTGTAGTAGGCACTCAGAAAACAGTTGTGGATTCACAGCCTTTCTCTATTACACAAGGGTATGCAGGCTTACTCTAAGTAGACATAATATAGAAAAGGCTAGATTTCCAACTACAAGGTAAGTTTCGGCTTCCCCTACTTAAAACAGGATTCCATTTATTGCAAACAGACATAAGGAATATACCTATCCTTTAAGATTGTGCTTTCTAAAGTTTAAATTATGCCTCCAGGGATGCGTGTGATGCAAACATAGAACAAACAAGACAGGTTTAAGTCTTGCCCAAGAATAGGTAACTCCAAGAATGTAGGAATTCAACAGATGAGATTGGAAACTTTAAAGAGGCTTCTTGCTTGCTGAGCTCAGAACCCAGAGATTAGTAGGTTCATTATTTTGCGAAGCAATGTGAGCTACACTGGTGTGAGGCTCAGTGTGGCTGGGTTCTTCCAACCACCCCAAAACAGGGCCCTGTGCAATCGCTGAGCTGGCAGAAGAGCCAAAATCTTTCAGCTTGAAGGGGTAGAATACCACTGTATATTTTCCTCTGTTGTACAGTAATTCTTTCATCTTTCTTGGACACTTTTAGACACTTGCACCCATGACTCACTTTATCCCCAACTTTTGGAGGACTGGGGCTACATATCATTTTAAGACTACCTCAGGGTCAATTTGTAATTTCTTCCCCAATGAGGAGGAAAAGGGACTTTAATCCTCAGATGACCATGCTGCAAAAGCCATTGAAAAAAGAAAGGCACCACACTCACCAGCAAACTGTGTTCGGACTCTGGCAGCTGCAGTTGTTATCAAGCCACTGTCCTCCCCAGAGTGGAAGCCTTTCCCTGATAAATATCCTGGAAGTCGAAGCTTGCTTCCTTGTATTGGCGTTCCCTGTATTTAACCAGCAACAAGACATTTCAAAATATTGCTCCTGTACCATGATATTCCACTGACACCACTTCTTTACATATGGGTGGAAACTCTCTACTATTCCTCTTTAGGAGGTGAAGGGGGAGAAACTCTTCAATTAAATAAGGCATGGGGTTCTCACTTGATTTTCTCTTCTAATTTCTCATTCTCTCTCAGAATTCAAAGAAACTTTCTAAACAATATGAATTCATGGTTGAAGAGAAAACAAAATGGAGACCCCCAAAACTGAGCATAAAAGTGATGGCAAGGAGAAATAAATGGTGAGTATGTTAGTATCTTTCAGACTGTCAGTGAATATTCCAGAGTTAATGGTGTATTGCTAAAAAGATGGTGACTGCATGCATAGAGGGGGCATGGAGCAGAGAAAAACTGTGTCTGGATATTCTGCTGCCTCCATTGCTTTTATGGAGCCAGGCAGAGACAGACACAGAATGATAAGTAAATAAATAATGGATACAGACATCATTTAAATAAACTTAACTGCAAAAAGAAAAAAAGTGATTTTTAAATAACTTGCTACCACATCACTTCACTTCCTGGCTCTATCACTTCTACAGTCTTTACAGACAAAATACATAGGCAACATTTGGAGAAGTTTTTTTTTTACAATCTTTATATGAGTTTGTAGAGAATGTCTAAAACAATCATAAGTATGAGATTTTATTATACAATCATTGCACTTTTTCCAGATCACAACATTTAAAAAATTCTCCCAAAGTTAAAAAAAATAAACAAGTATCTTGAGGAACATAGGGAATGTAATATAATATTCCTCAATGAAAACACAGCCAGAGAACTATTTGGAGGAAATGCATTGAAACAAATTACATGTATATTTTTAAACAACTGATTTTCCCTTTATTAGCTTAAAATGTTATAATCATCTGATACATGAGTTACTCTTATTAATATTAATAGTCATTTATCTACATATGTGTATACTATACATACACTTAAGTGTAGTATCTATATGTGATTTGTATACATAGAATGTTCAAGTTTTCAAAATACTTTTACACACATAACCACAATTAATCCTCACACTCACCTAATCATAACCTTGAAAATGTGAAAAATCAAGAGCCTGAGGAGGCACATGATTTGCCCAAGATCTGACAATGCTGATCTAGCTAAATTCCTAACTTAAACAGAATCTCAACAACACGAGGGAGTGAGAAGCCACAAATTATGAAACATACCACTCAAGGTGGCAGAATTCATAACCGTGAAAGACCAAAATCATTCTTCTCAGAATGCCTTGATTGTTTTGATTTTATTTCACAGTCCCTCCCATAGAAACATGTTGTTTTTTGGTTTTTTGTTTCATCACGTTATTTGAAATGAAACACAGTTTTGCACTAGTCAAAATAACTACTTAGACTTTGAGAGAGTTTCCACTTAAAAAAAATTTTGAACACAGCATCATAGCCTTCAATATTTAAAGCAAATGTTAATATGTCCCTTGAGGTTGTTTGAACCTTTCTCTGTTTTTGCTATAATAGATCCATAATAATTGACAGACATCTCTAGAGGTAATATATAATACTAACATCACCCAGTTGGTGGGAAGGGGTGGAAATGAGGGGCTTGGGAAAATGAGGAGGAAGAAATGAGGAAACGCTAAAGAATGGGTTGTTTTTGTTCCAATTCTCCCACTTCTCAGCAATGAGATTGCCATGGAGTCATGAAGGTAACACATTTTTTCTCTGCCTGTCACTTATTATTAATGTGAGGATTAAGTAACAGACAAGAAAGTGTTTTGAAAAGCATAAGAGGGCTTTTAAAAGTTATTATATTACTTTTATTTGAGGATCCTGGCCTTTAAGTTACGTCCTTTATCATTAAGGTGAAATACCTTCTTCAATTTCAAGAAAAGGTATTTAGGGATTTTTCCCCACTAATTATTGGGATTCTAATAAAATATCTGATTATTTTGTACCTATGTCTGTTGTTTCACAGTGAAATTTCTTAAAAAGATATACAGCTGATTTTCAATTGAATGTAAATGACCTGATACATGAGTTCATCTTGGCAAATTTTATATCACCTAAATATCTTCTCCCCATATATCATGCCGTATTAAAAAGTTAGAGCATGCTTAAATTAGTTATTAAAATCTTTAAAAAAAACCCATACATTTATTACCTGTTGAAAATGACAAATAACTTTCTGCATACCTAAGCCTACCCCTCTGACCCCCCTGCACTGATACTGAGAGCTTATGTCACACCTGCCCAAAGTTTTGGGGCAGGTATAAATGTAACAGACATCCAGAAGGACCATGCCCACAGTGAACATTCAGTAAACATTCTTTTCAGTGATGCTCTTGCAAATCATACTGCCTTTTACTCCCATTTGAAGGGAATGTGTTGCACTTCTTGCCCATATTATATCTAGTATATTTAGTAGCTTTAAAAGAAATTTTACTTAAGTCTGGCTATAACCTACTCTATGTTACTCTCCCAAGAGATAACAGTGGAACTAAGTACGAATGAGAACAAAAAGGAGGTAGTCTGCAGGAGTGACTGGGTCAAATTGACACTGTTTAAAGAGCTGCAGACTATCTTTTCTGTTAACCCCTTACTCTCACATCTTCCAAGAACTGCTCGGTTGATACTTATCTTATAGAAGTGTATAAAAAGACATAGGGTTAGCAAAGTACATATATTTAGGGAGTGGTGCAACGATGTTAGTGAGTGATAGCTTCAGTTAAAGGAGAATGTTAAGACTGGACTCTGGGGCCTTACAATACCTCTGCAGATGGCACGGGAAAGTCTGAGCACTCTGCTGCTTTACAAGGAGTTGACATTTTGCTGTTTGTCAACCATGGTTTACCATAATTGCGTGTTAAAGGATGGAGAATCTGTATGGAACAATGGCAAATCAAATGAAAAGGATAGCAGATAAAAAAAACAAAGCCACAGAAAGAGATATTCATAGCAAAGAGTCACATTTCACAGTAAGAATAATAATTTAAAATAAGTGAAAAGATCCAATGGCAAATCATACACACCAAAAAAATGAATGAAGCTTTAAAAAGAAAAATCAATCTGGAAGATCACAAAGGCTTCCTAAATAGATCATCTCTATGTGGGCCACTAGGCAAAAGCATACATTCAAAAAAAAATTCCTGTATTTCCCACAGTATGAGAAGGTGCACAAATGGAGATAGCTGGTCCTACAAATTCTAGGGCCCTAAATAGAACATTCAAAAGTCTACTTGGGACATTGATTGCAAAGGTGGAGGAAAAGTCTTCATCCTGAGTCTTACCTTGGGTGTGGTGGTGGCAGGGACCTGTGGGGAGGCCGCCTGCGCAGCCTGACTGGACACAGAAGTGGATCTGTTGGGTGAAGCGCCTCGTGATGATGGCCGGGATCTTCGGCCTCGGGGTCGGAAAGCAGCCATACCCTGGCTGGCACCATCTGCTAAAATGAACTTCTCACGCAGTTCCATGTTTGTCCTTCCTTTGGCTGGGTTATACACACACAACAATGCACACAAAGAAAAGACGGAAAAGAAGAGGCGCTCAATCGTTAATGGGAAGAACGGCCACCTGGCACCAGAGATCACGTTGAGAATTTCAAGAACATCTTTTTGCCATGCCAACTCCAACTCAGCATAACAAAAAGTTAAATGCATTCCTTTACAATGCATTCCTTTTGGATACAGGTGAGTTCGGGGAGGAAAAAATAAAGTGTGCTTATTCTAACACTAGACACCAGCAAGAATAACCACTATTAAAGAAAGTGTCAGCATGAAAATGGAAAGCTCATGCTAAAATATCATTAATCCACCAGCTACAGATGCCCACATGGTTTCATTACCCTCTCATCACACTGAGAAGACAGACCAGTAAGGCAGGGACTGTGTCTTTTGCATGTACTATTGAGGTAAAGAGAATGCCAGTATTTCAACATGGGGATAAATTAAAGAATATAATTACACACAATGATTGATGGCTTGTTAGTCATGATGACAACATATAAACTTCTGGATTTTTCACTTAAATGAGGCAGCTAGTATTTTTATTTTATGCCTTGAAAAACTGTTTTACCAACATGCAATAACAAACACCAGACCCAAGGATCTGTGAGGTAGTCAGTGATGCAGCACTCATACAAACACATACGCACACGGAGAACACTCCACAAGAACCCGGTGAGCAACGTGTTAGCATGTGTTTGATCACTTATAACACCTGCATGTGTAACACAACCAAAGTCATCAAATTTTCAGAATTTAAATTTGGAAGCACCAGCTCAGCTGGATATGAGTTAAGCCATACGCGATGGATGAAGCATGTTATTTTAAAACAAATGACTGAAGCAAGAATGGAAAAGTAGGAAAGAGAAAAGGAAAGAGGGGAGAGGCAAAGAGAGAGGTTGCCAACCTATAGTAGGCTGAGTAGTAGTAATTGAAGAGTTTGATTCCGAACGTAACATTTTACTCCCATGATGATGAACTAGAAAAAATGACACAGGATACCAATCACATTAAAGAATACTGTTAGCAGAAGAAGAAACAAAGTACAGTAGTTGAATATGCAAAGGGTGCTCACATCTGGCCTTTAGCACACATTTTAGAAGAAAAGTTGCATCAGGAAAAGAAGCACTCAAGGGATTGGCTCAATAAGAAAAATGTATTTGGAAGACTGTGCCACAGCCATGCTAACCTTCCTAAGCAACCCAACAGAACACTATGTATTCTGATTTCTTCATAAATGGAGTTGCATTTTACCTTAGGCTACATTATTTTCAAAATATAAAACAAACAGGAGCTTTTGTTCTTGTTTTACTTCTCTCGCAGGTGTGTCTTTGGCCAGGAGAGAGCAGGGCTACTGTATAACATGTATAACAATCCATGGTGGCCTTGGTGGAGAAGCCTGATGACTGATATGTCTATGTGTACCAGATGGTGACACCATCACCAAAACCAAGAGGCCCTACAGGAGGAAACCTGGGATCCCACTTGGTAGCTGAAGGAGACAGCACTGACGTGAACATTTGTTGTTTGCTAAAAAGGATTACAGTGAGCTCACAGGTAAAAGAAAATTATAACAATTTTATTGTTTTTTTCTTGGGGGGGAAGAAAAATGGGCCTACTGAGTAATTGGTACCTAATTAGAAATTGCAATCAAATGACCACGTGTAACGTAAATTGGTTGAGAACTTAAAAATTGACAGAAGGATCTCAAAACAGAAAAATTAAAAGCTAACTTAGGACTTGGGCTGGAAGATATGTAGAGAGCTATAGTATTATATGTTTATATTTTTAATGTTCTAATCTGCAACTTCAAAGAGTCAAGTTAGCATTGGATTATTATTTAAAAATTTTTTAATTATGGCTTTCCTCACCTGCTCTTCATTTCATAAAAACTTTGACCTTTAAACTTTTATTATCCAGTATTTTCGGTCTTCATCACCTCAATTTTCTTTTCTCTTACTTTGCTATGTCATAACAGACAAAATCCTTTCCTTGGTTGGTATAATTGTTTGGAAAATCGTAGATGTAAAAGTCTCCTAAAGAAAATGGATTCTAGTATTTCCCGCCCACCATATTTATCCAGAAAAAGTAAAAAAAAAAAAAAAAAAGAAAGAAAAAAATGAGAAGAATATGGTTTACATGACTGCCACAGGTTCTTTGGGAACTTTAGGCTGACAGACCAATGTGAAACATTCACTATTGGAATAAATGACCAAAATTATGCCCAGTATGTTTTGGTGCTGGATATAATATAAAATTGAAATACTTTCATGATGTTATCATGATAAGCATCTCCTTACCCCTGCAAGGATCATTTTTCACTAAGAACTCATCAAGTGCCATCCATCCACCTCCAACACGAACCATCACAGTACTCCGCAGGATCCGGACCAGTCGCAGTTGCTGGGAGTCTCCAAACTGTTCAGTGAAGAAAGAAAGAACCTCTAGTTGTCAATAATAATTCTAAACTACAGGATGATGTGCAATTTGCAGTAGCTAAAGCAACCGACTTTAATTTCTTGCTTAGTTCATAGCGATTAGTAAAATCTCAGAAAAGGGGGTTTGTAATGATTTGTGTTAGACGGCTGCATGCTGATTTAGCCCAAAGGAAACAGTTTGAAAAAAAAAAGATTACAAAGGTTATCAAGTATACTACCAAAGCTTTGGTCTAAAAATTATTTTTCTTTCTTATGACAGAAACAATATTAGTAAGGCAGTAATTTTAAAATGTTTCTAGGAATTAAACATAGCCATGAAAGTAAGCACTGGCCCACTTGCCCAGGGCTTATCCAAAATAAAATGATTCTAAGAAAAATTTAATAAGCTTTGATTCTTCTTCATTAAACTCTCTCTTACAGTAAAACCGTTTTCCACTGAACTCTGTGAGAAATCTTTATAAACTCATTTTCTTTTCTGTAAGGGCAGTTTTCACTTAAAAAGAATAAAGTAAATGAGTATGACTCATATAAATTTCACAGTCAACTAAAATTTCTGCATCCCTAATGATCTGGTAAACCAATTTGTTAAAGGCTGGATTAATATGCCATTTTAGATTACTGTAATATTAGAATAGCCAATGACACATTATTAATGATACAGCTGCCAAATCTAAAAGGTTTCTCTCATAGTTGTCTGTACCATAACTGTTGATACTAACAGGCAATCATCTTTTTCTTGCCCTTTCAATAGATCTCCAATAATGTAGATATGCTACAAATTCTGCAAGTCCTGAATAAATTTCTAGATTCCAGGTTTCTGATCACAGGTTTATGTTTTGAAAGCCTGTGAGAAATGATTTTATACTTTAAATCATTTCTAATAGGTTCATGTCCAACTCATAAAAACTACCAGACTGAATTTCACGGTTGTCATCCCAGCAGACAAGAAAGCAAAATGAACAGTCAATTAAACATAAATGGCTTCTTTGTAAAGCAGGTAACATACAATTGTGACTTTATTTGGGCTCATGATGGATAAACAGAAAACTCTAGGTAGAAAAAAATCTGCTACTTTTCAGTGTTTTAATACTGAGTTTCAAGAAGAAAACCCAAAAACAATACCAACCAAATCCCTCAGGATCCTAAAACTCAGAAGGACCTAGAAAGCATGTAAAATGCACCAGCAGGAACTCATGTGTTTTTCCATCAAACTTTTAAAAACCACTATTTCTAAATCTTTTTTCCTTAAACATTGAGACTTAAACTTTCCTATAATTCTTCCTGAAATGTTAATTAAAATTTAAAAATAAAAGTGTAAATTTATTTTGTTAGAAAAAAATTGGTGCCGCTAATAAGCAAAGGGAAAGGAGGGGATTTAAAGAAAATTACCCTTAAGGAACCAGATAATGGGACTAGATGATTTTGGTTCAAGATTATACTCAAAACAAAAGTTATAAGGAAATAACTAAAAGTTCCTTATAGAGATGATATTTCAAGTGTAATGAATACAAATAATTTTCTGTTTTAATTAGGCATTCTCCAGACAACTAACATCATCTTCAGAATTTCTCTAAATATTCCCAGTAACCAAATCACAAGACAAGAGAAAATAGACTAATGTTGCTGACTGTGCTTTCAGTGAGTAAAACCTTTTGAGGTATTTCTCTCATTCTCTCTGCAAATAAAAGATGCTCTCCCATTTGCTGACTCCGAAAATAGCAAGAATGGAAAAGTAACATTTCAGTATTATAGTATAACTAATGGAAGTTTTAAAAATCTATTCCAAGTAACTATTTCTATTTTAAATAAATTATTTGCTTGCAATAAATAAAGGTAATAGATAATTTGAAGCTTGAGATGTAATATGGCTTTAAAATGGAGTGGCAGAGTCATATCTAATGTAATATGGTCAGATACTATAGATAGCATGGTTCTTTCCAAAGTAAAATAAAATAAAATAAAATAAAAGCTTCATGAACATGTTTAAATCAAAACAGAGTATCTCCTTAGTTTCAAAATTCTGATCATGATGTAGTGCCACTACACAGGTTATACTGACTTAAATGTCAACATAAACATTTTATATTGACTTAAGTGCCAATAATATAAATATTCGATCAAGATGGCATAAAATGTGACTTTAAGATTCTGCATATATTATAGCGATAACTTTCCTCAAAAGGAATATTACTTAAAGCCTACTGAGTTAACATTTCTACTCAGAGATGCCAAGCCCCAAAATTGGTGATTTTGAACAAATGGCAAATAGCTTCTTTGGAGAGAACTTGTTACTTGTGGCTGAGTGCCAAGGAGACCTCTTGGCTCTCTGTCTTCCTGTGTCACTGCCTGAGGCTGATCCTTCTCAGCTACTGTAGACCGTATGTCCTAAACAGTTAAACACCAATGAGCCTAACACAGAGATGTGTGGAGAATCAAATTTGTGTTCCAATGAGTACTAGCATAAAATATATGCTCATATTATAAAAAATGGGAATTAAAAATTGCATTCGTAACATTGTAGCAAGCCAAGCTACAATTCATTATCTGGTTTGCTTAAAAGTAATCTCCTCATCTGAGAGACACAAGGCAAAAAGGAATCCTGGATCAAGGACCCTTATAGCGTTTACAGAAACACCACGCCAACCAACAATGTAGTAGCTAGGGAGACAGCATGGGAAAGATTGGCCATGGCAAGCTTTAATGACTATGAATTAAAGTTAAAAAAAAATCATCAGGAACTTGAGAATACATTCCACTGGTTTATACCTGATTTCCCAGGAAGAACTGATAAAAATGAAAAATGGAAGAAAGACACAATTAGTTCAACAGGAAACTTTCTGTATGACTCTAGAACATACACACATACTCACACTCTGTGCTTCTGGATGTAGTATCTAGTTTAGAGATGTGCAGGCACCCAGTTGTCCCAATTTCAAACCAAATAATCAGACTATTTTCTGTACACATATTTTTGAAAATCTTAGGATTTCAAATTTAAGTTAAAATTTTGAATACATTGATGATTATTTTTTTAAGTATAAAAATAAAAATAATATTTCATTTAGAAGTAGCACACTGTATTGGGGAAACTCAGCACATTTCTTATCTAGCTACTACATATAAGAGATGTTCCAAAAGAGAAAAAAAAAAATAGAGAAAGAGTAATGAAGTCACACTGTTCTTCTGTTTTGAAGAGAGTGAACCGAGTTAATTGAGATTTTGAATAAAAGCAAAAATTACTGCACAAGTGGAGAAGACATTATCCTCTCTTTTCATATTTATTAAAATGAGTCCATATTTTTAACTTTGTGGTTCTGGATTAGAGTAGCTTTCTTGTTTGAAATCTGAAAACTTACCTCTAATCATAACAAAATATAAAATAATATGAAGCAACCTAAATATATGAGATTTGAGTATTTTCTTGTGAATTTTTCTTTAAAGGTAATGTGCATGATGTAGATGTCAAAGATATTTCCTAATATGCAAAATGCAGGCTGCCGTTATACAAATTAAAATGTTAAATGTAAGAGTTTCATATACCATTAAATTTTGACATGAGGTAAAAAAGTAAATAAATAAGACTCCTGGAAAACAATGGAGATCAAATTGTATACAGATTTCAATTTATGTCCTTTAAAGGAACTACAACATTACTTTGAAAACTTACCCTGTATTTATTATCACCAATCTGCTCAACTTGAAATCGCTTTGCACATTTACACTTAGCTACCTGCCTTGTCACCTGCCAAAAACAATGATGAAATATTTACTTTAATGTCAATATTACATAGTACAATCCTTAAAACTTTGACACAACAATTAGAGTGAAAATAAAATGGTTGTATGAATTGTGCATGATATCGTGGCAGAACATACTATCAGTGTTGTACGCAATGGGAAGATAATGAGTACCTCATCTTCGATTTTGTCGGCATCTGTGATAGGTTTATATGCATCTTTATTTGGGTGAAGGGCTGCTACAAATTCATAGTAGTCAATATATCCATCGCCATCTCTGTCAAAGATGTCTGCAACTGCGCTCATCTCCAAGCGACTGGTTGGAAACTCTAAAATTTTGAAAACAATGGTAAGTAGTGACTTGTTAGTTCTTTCTCAAGACATTCTCAATTGCACATTTCAATCTCAGTGTAGCTGGTTAAATCATCAGTGATCAAATATATTAAAATCCTTTTTTAAAAAACTGATTTACATCACAGCAAATGAAGAGTTATATATAATCTTAATTTATCTTTAATTACTATTTAGGTGAATCATATAAAATGCTGTTTTTTTAGGTTGAAAATGTTTAACACTGGCAATTTTATATGGGTCAATTGCTAGTCAAAGAATAAATTATATGAAATTTACCTTAAGAATGACATCTAGTAACATCTGTCAGGGAAATCACATACAAATGATTGGGCCATCAAACAAAAAGGTGATAAGTATCTTAAGAAGTTTTATAGAGTTCTAATTTCCTACTAATGACAAAGTTAGATCAGAATGTGAATTAGAATGAAAAAGGGACTTGAATTTATTGACTTCCTATTACACATATGCCAGGCAACACACACACACACACACACACACACACACACACACACACACAGAAAACACCTTAAGAATCATATATTATTAACTTTATTATTCTAACAAGTTCTCAGCCTCAGTGGAGGGAACAACATATCTGTGATTACACAGTTAGTGAGTGTTCCTGACTCCAGAGCCACAAATTTTACCAAAAAAACATTTTTTTAAGGGTCGTGACTTCCTAGGCAACTTATAAGACAATGCTTTATTGTAACACAAGTTTACCAGACCCACACTTTTAAAATGTGCTTATTTCCTTTAAAAATTGTATCAGTCATAGTCATCTGTCTTGGAACTTACTTGAGGAAAGAATTCCATCAATAAATTCCTGCCGCGTTATTTTCCCATCCTGGTCTTTATCAATTCTCCTGAAGAAGTCCATCACTCGAGATTTCTTGTGATTCATCCATCGCATGTATTTTTTGCGCCAGATATCAAAATCAAAGTTAGCAAATTCCCTCAGCTAAAAGGACAAAAAGTATTTTGATTGAGTTAATGCTGTACTAAAATTGTAGACTATACTATATGAATAACTTTTGAAATGATTCTCTAGGTAGTACACATATCCTTCCCATTTCAAAAAGAGGTATGATCTTGCAAAGGGGACTTAGAAACATTTTGCCTTTAAAATGTATTCCATTGCTGTCACTGATTTTTCTTTACAAATAAAATTCCTAAAAACTTAAGCTGTAAATTTCTGATTAATGCCAAAGTCATAAAGGTGGTCCGGCTCTAAGTACCACCACTAGTCATGCTCACTGGGATAGCAGGTCCAGATCAACAGCACTTACCTAACCCTTCAATCTCTCTCCCTCTGCACTATTAGCCACTCTCTTAACTCCCCAGGGCTTCTAAAAATTTCCCAATTGCAGAATCTAAAACTTGAAATCTTAGGTAATCAAATACACACAATCAAAAGATCTGAAATATAAAAGATTATATTTTCCAGGCAGCATCACCAGCAAACATTATGTCAAGTTAGATTTTATTCTTAAGGAATCAGCTTCTGATTGTTAAAACATAATCATTTTTTTTACTTCATTGATTCCCTAAATCCAAATCCCATATATCAATATTTCACAAAATCACACATACTTGTGGTATTTATTTTGGAAATTTAAAAATGTACTCAAATAGCAAGAGTTTGCTTATTATCAGAAAAGTTAAAAAATACCAAGATTTTGGCAATGGCAATGTGTTATGAGGAATGAGGGCAAATGACAATGTGGTGTTGAGGGTATGAATTTCCAAACCTCCTCTAGTCTGTCCAAGGCATCATTGAGTTTCCTCCTTCTTTCCAACGCCAGGAGCCAGACTTGCTGCCATTTGCTCACCAGTAAGTTTACCCTAGGATTTTTGGTTTCAATTTGTGTCTGTGACCCAGAGGGATACAAGCTTGATGCTGGAAAGCGTTTTCCTGTGAAGGTATAACTTCGGTTAGGATGGCAGTTTCCAGGGTGCTGAAATGTGTTAAGGCTTGACCTTTTTTGCTTCTAGCTAAGACTGCATCAACTTAATTACGTGTTTACGCAAGTAAAAGTATCCTAATTTAGATGATGTATAATGTCAAGGCCCAAATCTGTTTTCCTTATTAAGGATCACACACTGTTCATGCAATTTAAAGAAATATCTCTGGACAGGGGCATTTAAATACTGGAAACCTCTCTCAATGAATTATGCTTAAAACATCTTCCAGCTTAAAATTCATGCCATTTCAATGACAACGAAGCATGCTGTGATCCTCCACTTTGTTAAAGGAAATCTCCCAGGCCAGTGAGACTACCTTACAATGACTTACATCAAACCCAGCTGTCCTTCCTAGAGAATAAGGCAGAAAGGGAGAGCAGATGAGGGCAGCAGGCACTGGGCAGTCACAAGAGTCAAAGCAAGACACTTCACAAATGCCAATAAAATATGGCAGCATGTGTATGGGACCCCAGCCTTCGCCCACATCCATTTTCCACTGAGATTGCATGTTTCCTGTGCATAGTCTCAAACCCAAGTTTACTGCCTTACTAAACTTTCCTCCTGCTTTCTGGCTGTTTTCCACAAGTCTCAACAACTTCACAAAACAATGACCTTAACAAATTTTTCTCATCTTACTAAATGGCTAAATACGGCCTAGAAACATTACTAGCCTAGGGTCATATAGAATGTTAAGTGTCCCAGCTAGGATTTATAGTACAACAAATACTTGAGCATTTAACTATATGCCTGGAAGTAGGTTAAGCATTTTGTATGTACTAGCTCATTTAATTCTCACTGCAGTCCAATGAAGTTATAATTATACCCTTCTACAGATGAGGAAACTGAGGTTCAGAATGAGTTTAAGTAACTTGTCCAGGGTTATGTTTCTCAGTTTGGTAAGTGTTGGAGACAGCCAAGGAGTCTGGCTATAGGGCTCTTAATAGTTTACCTTGTCTCCTTGTGTAGTAAGTAATTACAATAGCTCCGACATCATTTCTTTTTAATTAAAAAATTAAGTAATACGCAAAATGCATTTCTATTCAGAAACGCATAAAACATATAACACAAATTGTGTTTCTTTTTAAATCTTCTCCAAGCTAACTATGATTGTTTTCAATGTCATGTCATGTTGTTAAAGTAGCTCAAGAAGTATATAGAGCCTGAAGTCACATGAACATGGGCAAAAGCTATGAGATTGCTGGTCACCAATGAACAACTAAGTCATGAAGATTATCCACGTCATGGTCATTTTTGTTATGTTCAGCTTTAATGTTATATATATAATGGAAGACAAATGAGACAATGCAAAGGGTGTGATGATTTCCATTCTTACTGTAAATTTTTTCAATTTTCTTCTAGCTAATATGAAAGATACACTTCAAGACAATAAAGTTACGTATAGAAACCTGGGTATATTTTTTCTTTATTTTTAAATAAGTTTCTACAATACTTGAGCACACGTATTCCTTCTAGAAAGTATTTCATGATATCAAGTGCTCATGTAAAATCACCAATTGCCCCCAAATTTCAAATAATTCAAAATAAAAGAAAATTAGCTCCCTTATTTATTGACATTTTAAAGAAATTGATCACTGCTTACTTCCTGCTCGTCCCTTATCCAAGACTGGAATATGGGATTGTAATGAGGAAGGATCAGCAGCTCTCCTCTTATAGGTCTTCGTTACTTTATCAACATCAGGCTGTTTTCTGGTCATTTCCTCCATGAAGGTCTGAAATGAAAGAAATGATGTCAATCAAATAAGAGTTACTACAGAAAACCGTCTTTAGAAATGAACTAAAAGCAGAAGGATAAAAGAACCATGTTATTATTTCTGAAGAAGAATAAATCATATGCTTTATCTTTAGGGTAAAAAAAATCTAAACCATCATACTGCAGGCATTTACTAATTTCTAAAGAATATAAAATGTGGCCAGGTGCAGTGGCTCATGCCTGTAATCCCAGCACTTTGGGAGGCCAAGGCAGGTGGATCACCTGAGGTCAGGAGTTTGAGACCAGCCTGACCAATATGGTGAAACCCCATTTCTACTAAAATTACAAAAATTAACCAGGCATGGTGGTGCACGCCTGTAGTCCCAGCTACTTGGGAGGCTGAGGCAGGAGAATCGCTTGAACCTGGGAGGCAGAGGTTGCAGTGAGCCGAGATTGTGCCACTGCACTCCAGCCTAGGCAACAGAGTGAGACTCTGCTCCGTCTCAAAAATAAATAAATAAATAAATAAAATGTTAATGCTTGTAAAGAGAGTAAATTGAAAATAAAAATAATTTGTTTTAGTGGAATAACCTGCATGGACACATGGGAGAAGTCATGTGAATAAAATAACCTGTCTGTGCATCAACCAAACTCAAGTTTCCAAGCTCCTCAGAAGAATCTTTAGTAAGCATCTGTCTACAAACAAACTAGGTAGCTGGGATGTTTCCAAGAACTTTTCTGTGGCACATTTCACCTACATATTTGAAATATTTAAGATGGCTTTGATTAGGCAACATAGTGAAACCCTGTCTCTACAAAAAATTCAAAAATTAGGCCAGGTGGCATGTGCCTGTAGTCCCAGCTACACAGGAGGCTGAGGTGGGAGGATCACTTGAGCCTAGGAGCTTGAGGCTGCAGTGAGCCACGACTGTGCCATTGCATTCCAGCCTGGGCAACAGAGTGAGACCCTGCCTCTCAAAAAAAAAAAAAAAAAAAAAAAAAAGATGGCTCTTTGATATATTATGACATAATACATCCACATTTAATGTGGACATATCAAAATATTCATAAATAGGCTATTCCAAGGGTGGTAAAAACTATTTGGGTTAAAGTATACTACCATTGTATTTAAAAGGTTTAACTATCTTGCCACTGCTTATCTCATCTCCTTGGGCTTATTATTATTATTTACTAGGTATCCCTCTATTTGGAATATGCAGCAAAGGCTGTGGAAAGGCAGAGACTGTGAAAAGTGATGGGGAAAAGGAGACCCAGACAAAAGGGAAAAGTGAAGTAACACCTTTCTGGAATATTTGTCACACTGAAGAACTCTAATACCTCTGATCACAGGAAACATGACCTGGTACACTTAGAGCCATTATAGACATTGATGTCTTATTAGGCTTTTAAAACACACACACACACACACACACACACACACACACACACACAAAATAATGGCAACATTAATTGCTTA
This sequence comes from Homo sapiens, assembly GCF_000001405.40. Taxonomy (NCBI): domain Eukaryota; kingdom Metazoa; phylum Chordata; class Mammalia; order Primates; family Hominidae; genus Homo; species Homo sapiens. The sequence goes on from NC_000006.12 coordinate 56,475,461, forward strand.
ACCAACTGAGCTAACACTTAATATTTCTCTTTGTAAATGCATATTAAACAAACTGTGAGCAATCAAGTAAATCAAAGTGAGTGTGACACCCATCATTTGAGTTTAAAACAAGAAGGATATATAGGAAGGCTGCTTTTCCTAAGAAAGACAACACGTTCCCTTTTTCATATGATGTATTTCAAGTGATGACAGTCATCTTCACAGACATAAAAATGCAGAGCAATCAAACCTTGTTTGATTAATGCAATGTGAACATAATGCATCCACATTTAATGTGGATACCTTAATGTGGGTACCTTGTACCCACTGAAGCCAGGGAGGTGGAGGTGGGTGAGATCACCAAAAGAGGGAACAGAGTGAGAGAAATAGAGAGCTGAGGATAACACCTAAGGAGTAAGGAGAGCTGACATTTAGAAGGCAAAAGGGAGGGCAGGAGTGAACGTGAGACAATACCACGAGTGTAACCCCACAGAGGACAAAGAAGGAAAGTTTTGCAAAGGTCACAGAGGGTTCCTGTAAAGAGAGGTTTTAGGGCAGTTGCAGAGTTGGAAACACAGTTGTAAGGAGCTGAGGAGTCTGAAGAAGTGAAAATAACGAGAACAAAGCAATGTTTTGAGAAGTACAGCAGTGAAAGAAAGAAAATATCTGAGATAATGGTTAACAGGAGTTAGGATTATATTTATTTTACCTGGTGTTCTGCAATGAGTGCTTTCACCTCTTCGATCTCCTGGGGGATGACTTCTTTATCCTTATCAGTAAGTGTAGTTTCAGCCCATTGCAACCAAGCCAGCAAAGCTTCCAACAATTCCTGTTTGGCAATAAGCCCAGCCAGAGCACTTGCTAATCTCTGCTGATGTTGCTTTGCCCAGGCCAGCACCTGTCAGAGAAACAGAAATTTCTCTGAATTTCCTCCAACTTAGTAAAATAATTGCAGTGATGTAAAATAAATAAATTTTAAATGAAAATTAGGATCATCCTGAGCTAGACCCATAATGCTTCTGGTCTTTTTAGATTCCATTAGTGGCATCAAGATCTGGCTTGAGGAGGACATGAGAGCCCACGATGATGTTCATCATCTTCAGAATTTAAAGATGCATGTCAATCACTCAGGCTTCCTTTTGCTTTCTAATTTGAGTTCAAATATGCATTCTCTGAAGGATCAGGTAAGCTTACTCCATGTGGCACAGAGTAGAAATGTAAAAAGCTAAGATACTGGCAGGGCGTGGTGGCTCACGCCTGTAATCCCAGCACTTTGGGAGGCCGAGGTGGGCGGATCACGAGGTCAGTTCAAGATCAGCCTGACCAACCTGGTGAAACCATCTCTACTAAAAATACAAAAAAATTAGCTGGGCATGGTGGCACGCGCCTGTAATCCCAGCTACTCGGGAGGCTGAGGCAGAGGAACTGCTTGAACCTAGGAGGCAGAGGTTGCAGTGAGCCGAGATCCAGCTACTGCACTCCAGCCTGGGCAATAAATCGAGACTCCGTCAAAAGAAAGAAAAAAAAAAGCTAAGATATTAAATACAGAATTAATTCACTTTATGTATACCAATTCACTCCACCAGTATATACTGCTCCGAAACACCATCCAACTGCTGGATTATTCAACAGAAACAATGTGGAAGGAGGCCAAAATGTTATACAGTGTACTAAATATTTGCCTTCTAATTTTCCAGGGACATAGCTGCAAAATTTCTTTGAGCTTTTAAAGAAAAGTGAATTGCAGAGATTGTAATGCATACAAGAAGCGTATTTAAAAGAACGTTTTCTATGTAGAGGTCTCATTTTCCCATGGCCATAAGTGCATCTTAATTCCTGAAATTTCCCACACCCCTCAACTCTCAAAGCTATTGCTACTCTGAAGATTATCTGAGACACACTGACCTCCTCAAACCTCGCCCGGATGATTGTTATCCAGTGCTTAATGGTAGTGATGGAGTCGGGGTGGCAGATAGCCAAAACGGTGTCGCCCATAGTGGTGGCTTTATTTAGTTCAGCTCTCTTTTCTTCCAGTTTCTTCATGAATTCCTACAGCAGAAACAAAGACTTCAATTAACTGTTGGCATTGGCTGAAAACAAAACTCTGGTGGCATTTGTTTGACTGCCAGAATTAAACAAATAAACAAAAACTTCAATTGGTTTATTCACAGTGAAAATCATCTACTAATTGGGGAGGAAAAGGGGACAAAATAGAAAACAAAGTACTTTCTAACATGTACTTCAAAATACAAGTACAGTCATCCCTTGGAATCCAAGGGGAGTTGGTTCCAGGATACCGTGCATAATAAAATCCAATGATGCTCAAGTCCCTGATATAAAATGATGTAGTATTTGCATATGACCTAAGTACATCCTCCCCATATGCTTCATATCATCTCTAGATTACTAATAATACCTAATACAATGTAAATTGTTGTAAATAGTTGTTATACTGTATTGTTTAGGTAATAATGACAAGGAAAAAAGTATGTATATCTTCAGTACAGATGCAACCATCCATTTTATTTTTGAATATTTTTAACCATTTTATTTTTGAATATCTGGATACAGAGGGCCAACTTTATAGGATATTTCATGCTTCAAAAACTGTATTATACAAAAAAATAACTCTCCCAAATTTAGATATAATTATGTTATTAATGGAGAATAGCATTGGGAGAGACAGTATTGCTAGAGATAGAAACAATACTGATTGACCAAAAATAAGTTCTAACAAATAAGGTAAGGAGGTTAATATTTAAAATAGCATTAACTATGCCAGGAAATATGGCAGCATGAATAAAAAAGTACAAAGTAGAGAGAAGCCTGGGTAAGGAAAGATAAATGTTTGGGGGTATGGGAGAGAGGGCCCAAAGTGTCTATGCAGTAAAAAGTGAAGGGGAGGTTGGAAGAGTGAGCCTGACAGCAGGTCAGCCCATGTGAGAACTGTCCCTTTAAAATGCCAGTAAGAGCCACTCTCCTCTGTTCTGGCAGTTCTAGCCAGTCTCTGCCAGCAAGCGGAATGAACAAAGCCTTGACATCCTCAAGGATGATCTTTCAAATAAATGTTTTACAAATGTCTCACATACTTAATTGTACTTTCTACCATCAGAACTATATCCATAGATAAGACAGATCATAGAACTCTGAAAATGTGATTACAAAATGAGAATCTTTGCCCTTAAAAATGTGACACGCTTCCAAAATCTCATATAGAATGTTAGAGATCTGCAAACACCCCAGTCTCTCTGGACCCCTGCACCAAGAGCGATTACTTGATTACACAATGAGTGCCAGAGGCCGCAGAGATCGATGATGCCCATGCTACTCACACTATGTGAACAGGGGTGTTCACTTTGAAATATAGGTGTTTTACTATACAAGAAAACCTAAAAAAACTCTTCTGGACATCGGCCTAGGCAAAGAATTTATGACAAAGATCCCAAAAGCAAATGTGACAAAAACAAATATAGACAAATGGGACTTAATTAAATAAAAAAGCTTCTGCACAACAAAAGATAGAATCAACAGAGTAAACAGTTAACCTACAGAATGGGAGAAAATATTTGCAAATCATGCCTCTGAAAAAAGACTAATATCCAGAATCTGCAAGGAACTCAAACAACTCAACAAGAAAACAACAAACAACTCCATTGAAAACTGGGAAAAACACATGAACAGACATTTCTCAAAAGAAGAAATACAAGCATACAAGCAGCCAACAAACACATGAAAAATGCTCAACATCACTAATTATCAGAGATACACAAATTAAAGCCACCCTGAGATATCATATTACACAAGTCAGGATGACTATTACTAAAAAGTGAAAAAACAACAAATGATGTGGATGCTGAGAAAAGGGCGTGCTTATACACTGTTGGTGGGAATATAAATTAGTTCGATGCCTATGAAAAACAGTATGAAAATATTTCAAAAAACTAAAATTAGAACTACCATTTGACCCAGCAATTCCACTACTCGGTATCTACCCAAAGGAAAAGAAATCATTATATCAAAAAGACAACAGCACTCATATGTTCATTCCAGCACTATTCACAATACCAAAGTCATAGAACCAATATAAGTGTCCATCAACAGTTGATTGGATTAAAAAAAAATGTGGTACATATATACCATGGAATACTATGCAGCCATAAAAAAGAATGAAATCATGTACTTTGCAGCAACATGCATAGAGCTGGAAGGCATTACCCTAAGTGAAGTAACTCAAACAGAAAATCAAATATCACACGTTCTCATGTATAAATGGGAGCCAAACAATGGGCGCACATGGACATAAAGATGGAAATAATAGACACTGAAGACTCCAAAAAGCACGGAGGATCACAGGGGCCTGAGAGTTGAAACATTACCTATTGGGTACCGTGTTTAACATTTGGATGACTGGTATAAAACAAGTCCAGTCCCTACTATTACTCAATATACTCATATAGCAAACGTGTACATGTACTCTCTGAATTTAAATTTATATGATATGTTTATATGTTTTATTCTAATTTAAGTGGCCTTTTGTCTTTAACCTCTGTGAAGCAGCTCTGTGACATACCTCCTACTCTGGCATTTTGCTATGTTAGACTGTTCGGTCCACAAGATTAAAAGACTGTGTTTTATTCATTTTTGTGTTCCCGGTAGTTGGTTCAAAAGAGTTGTGATTTACTGAATAAATGCTTTTTAGACCTTTTATTTACAAGTTTACTATAATGGAGTCAACGTTCAATTGACAGCACACTCTGATAACACCTACTTTTTAAATATCATAACTTAAATTATCATTTTCCCAATACAGGATCCTCCTAAATGAAAAAAATTTAAAACTCCAACATTATAAGGAAGAGAAAAAAATAGGTTAATCTAACATCTGTGTTTCCCCTGGAGAACAGCTGATACAAATAATGTACTTTCAATCACTTCTACACCTAGAGGAGCCAAGGTTATACCTAGAATTTGGTGGACTGGACTGTCAACATTCCACTGAATTCTATGCCCTTCCAACCTAGTCTGAACCTTACCTTACTGGTTTGTTCTCATGTGGGAAAGCTTGCCATTTTTAGAAACTGGATATGCTAAGAAGTCTCCAGTTCTGGTGTTAAGAAATTAAATATTCTGTTTTTCTTTGAATGGTGAATGGTGAATGTATGAAGGGAAGCAGAGGAGATGGAAAAGAATGAATAGTGTTACTGCAAAATATTATTAAGAAATGTTTTATAAAATTACAGGTAATTTTATGCTATTTAAAAATAATTTGTTGTAAAAACCACTACCCCTGCTCTGGATACGTGCCTTCTGGAGGTTTCCTGGTCCTGGTGTGAGAGTGGTGATACCACAAATAGGCTCCTTTCTGTAGGGTGTTAGATATGCACAATGGGCTTTAAGTGGTGTCCAGCAAATATTTATTGCTACTCTGAGACCCAAACCTAAGTATGTTAATGGAACTCAATGCTGGCTGATGGTAAGCCCACAGTAATATAATATAAACTACATTTTCAAAATATTGAACTGACTCAAAAATTTATAATACATTTGATGTAACTGTCTTCTTCTTATATTCTAGCTTCAAATTTAAACGGTGTATATAATATATAGCATTTCATTCTTCCAGAAAATGCTATGCAAGCTTGTACCACTTTTTAAATGACATGGCAATATTTCATCGCTATAGATTCAGCAACCCATCTTTGATAGAGGGTGTTAATTAACATAACAAGTCTCCACACATGATGTAATCCATGCTACACTAGAATTAATGATGTATTTCCAGCCTGACTTCAAAAGACAAAATTATTTACTGGTGTTTAAAAGATCCTTTAAAGTTAATAGGAAATGCTGACATCAACACTACATTGAGCGTTACCATTTCAAATTCTTGACTTTTTGAGTCAAAGGTTAAAAAACATTTGTTAAGAGATATTTGGATTACTCTCTGAAGGGTTTTGGCAAGTTTCATGCATTGCCGCAGGAAAGATCTTGATTTGAAAACTCAATAGCCAGATTTAGACTTGGTTAGTTATTCAATAGAATATTGGCTTATGAAATTCATTTTTAAAGTTTTTAATGTATACTATAGGTTTCTTCTAAAAAGGATTTAAAAGGCTCTTGATTAAAAACAGAAGCAGCAGAGGCTTAAAAATAGATTCAAAGATGAGTTATTAAATTACCTGTGTGTCTTGTTTACAAAGGGCAAAATTACTAATTTACAATCCTACGGGTATAATTTTATAAATGCCAAACTGCTCGTTAAAGAGGTTTTATTTTTGAAATCCACATGATAACTGCAACAATCTTGACCAATTTTGGTCAAAAGCCAAAAAGCCTAGATAAATCAATATGCTTCCTTGAGATAGGAAACAGAGTAACTACCTTCCCTGAAAAGGAAACATCAAAAGACAGGTACACATACATGTGTGTGGGTGCATGGGGACATACATATGTAAGCAATGTGGACAGAAGTACACTCTCAAATGTATCAGGTGTTTAAGTATTTCTCAGGAAGGAAAATATTCATGCAGTTGATATTTGTAATCCCGAGTCTATTTTCCCTGCTTTGATTTTCTAATTTAGCTTTACATAGCATTTATATATTACTCACTTTATGCTGATCAATGAGAGTCCGGAGAGCATCCTCATCATCTGGGAGGACACCATGGAAACGCAGGGTTTGCTCCGCCTCAGCCAGCCACTCCAAGAGGGCATGTACCACCGAGTGGAATTCCTCTGCCTAAGAGTTCACACACACACACACCCCAAACAAAATTCCCAAATATGCCTGTTAGCACAATTTACAAAACTGTATAGTGGATTCATCCCTTCAATGAAAAAAAAAAAGTTTTAAATTTAATTGCTTCATTACTCCCATTAAGAAGATAGAGATACACATATTTTACAAGAAAACACTTAATATATTAAAAAAAAAGCCTATATGAAGAAAAATTTACCACTTTAACAACTTGATTTTAGATGAATGGCAGTCCATCATACTTCCAAGCTGAGACATTACTCACGCAGCACTTGTATGTGAAGATTAGAATGCCTCCCTCTAGCAGTAATTTAAATTCATGAGGGAGGGTGGGAGAAGGATCAAGGCAATGTTGCTATTAGAATTTCCTTCTTCAGACTGTCCTGATTGAGACACGAGGGCCTCACAATTTTTTACTAGAATAGTTCTTGTTGAGGTTTCAATACTTTTCCCATTACACCCAGCTCTCATTTACATGGTTTTTACCTGACGCAGGGCTGCTTCTAACCGTGTTTGCTTTGATATAGAAAGTGCACACACGGTCTCCCAGCGTGTGCTTAATTCCTGCATCTGGACCTTGACCCAGGAGGAGTCATCCCGACTGCCTTCTATGAGTTCTCGGGCTGAGCGCTTCAGGGCCTGCACACTGCTGGTCCTCTTCCCCAACTCTTTTTGGAAGGCCTAAGAAGACCATATTTTGAAAAATTAATTTTAATTACAAAACCAAAACAGCAACACATACTGTTTGAGATATATATGTGCACATAACATCATGTAAAGATATCTAAGACCTACAGTTTAATAACCATATTTCTGGCAGCATCTTCAGAAGATAAATGACACACTGCTCCTATTTGAGCACCATCAAGAAGAGTCTTGTATAAATTTGTTCAGTCCTGTCACATTCTCATGAGAAAACAAGATAAGATTATCTTATTTTAAAATGACATATTGGATTTAAATAATGGCAGCCAGCCTTCATTATTTCAATTTCATAAAACAATGCAACAAATTCCTTTTCTTAATGATTCTTTAATATGGTGTCCCAATTTCTCTCAAATCACTAGTGTGAATGTCAAGTGGATGCTGGCTTTGGCACTACTCTAAGAGATGTATCTAAGAACCTAACAGAGGACTAAGCAATCTTGATGTGTGTACCACGGATGTCTTAGAGATAATGGCAGGGAATTCCATAGGAAGTTGGCAGATGGTCTTTTATTCCTATAACACTCCTTGGTCTTTCATAATATCTTAGGTACTAACTCATAATGTCAAATTTTAGAGGCTTAAATCCTTGTCTTTCACCTTAGAGGAAAAGCTTCTGGGTTTGCTTTTTTTTTTTTTTTTTTTTTTTTTTTTTTCCTGCCTAATTTTGACAAACTGATGTGCCAGGAATTAAATTCATTTATTTTGGCCACAGACTGATCTAAGAAGTGAGCCCAGAGCTCTTTATTTTTGATCCAAGAGTCTGTGTATGCAACTAGATCTTTCAAACATTAATAACCAACATTCTGTCACAATAAAATTAATGTGTTTTTAAAAAAATCATCATAAATGAATATTACCATTTGGCCATATCTATAGGTTTCTATTCTGATACTCAGATCATTCACAAAAGTGAGCCTATCACAAAAGTGATTATTTGACTGATTCAACTCTAACAGTTAAAATGAGATGTGCCTGCAGAAAGACACAAACACACACGTATACACCAATACACACATTCACACACACACAAGCACACATGCAAATGGTACAGTATCTAAATATCCCATTTATGATAGGACTAGTCCAATAGTTTTCAGAAGACTTTCCAAAGCATTTTTACATACTTGAACTTCTTGAGCCTTCCAGTTGTATTACTAATGCTAAATGATTAATTCATTCTTGATGACCTTTAATATATAAAAGATCTGGCAATTACCTAGAGTAGTAAATATTTAGACAGTGAGTTTACAGAAATGGCATTTATGTAAAAAGTAACATTACGCTATTCATTACTCATTGAATAAATGCCAGGAAATAGAGAAGTTTGTATTAACCATACACAAAACATTTATTTCAATATAAGCAAAGCCATGTGATTTTTAAATTTTTAACTTTTGTAGACTTGACCAATGTTCTTTATTTATTCTTTTATTTTATTTTAATTTAGTTTGTTTCACTTTTCAGGTGTAACAAACTCTCTTATGGGTATAATGATAGAATAGAAAGAAAAAAGGAAAAATAAATATGTAATAAGACTTTTAAAAAGAATGGTAAGATCAAAATAGCATAACCAATATAAAGAGAACATTATAAATGGAATAAGTTTTCTGAACTCAGATACTAGAGAGAAGAAATACAAGATGAATTTAAGTAGAGTGATGTAAGACATTTTTATATAAAGTCAACTCCAATACAACTATTCTACATTAGTACTATGCTTCATATTGTTTCCAAGGCTAAGTTGCTTTATATCATTTGGTCATTATTTTGGACCTTACACTTAGTTGGACACCTTGAATATTACCTTTGATTTACATGACATGACAGTTTTACATGCATATCAGGAGATTTCAAGGAAGCCAGTTTTCTCGAAGTAAATAATAATCAAATCCCTTATAGCATAAGCTGCTGACTCATAAACTGCTATAATTCAAGGGGCAAGGTTAAAACAGTTTTGGTTCGGTATTTTTAAAAGCAGTTGGTCATGACCACCATGGGTCATGTCACAAATCTACATACTTATGCAATGACTTAGTGTCAGGTCACTGAATGAATGATTTTAAATTTTATTACATAATTGTTTAAGTGCATAACTAAAGATAGTAAAACATTCTTGAAATCTGTTTTAAAGCACCAGAGAATGAAATCACTTTCCAAGTTCTAAAAAGGTTTTAGATCTGGTAATTAAAAGCAAAAGTATTTCACTGACACTAAATAATACTTCCCCATCACTTTTAAAGTTTGCTTCCAGGTTCTGCTCAAACGGACACATATTTCAACAATAAAGACTGTTATGTAGTATGATCTATAGTCTTCTGATTTTAAAAGGCTAATTTAAATGGTTTACATTTCCTGTACACTCAGAATAATCAAACAAGATAAAATAAAATGTCCCAGATAACAATACCTTGTGATTATCGATCAGATTCATCACCAAATCAATGTCTCCATGAACAGGCTGGTCTTCTGCCAGCTGGGGTTCAACTCTATATAACCAATCAATGAGAGCCTGTAGGGCATCTGTGAATTGTCCAGAAAATAACAGGGCTTCCTCCAATTTGTTTTGTCTAGGGAAAAAGGTAGAAAAATTGATCCTTGCAACAAAAAACGTCACTCATATATCTGAACATCTAAAATTAATTGATGAAGGTTGAGTGGTACTCAAGGGGAAGAGCAGTATGTTGGTATTCATTGTTGTTTCTTTGCTCTTCTTAGGAAAAAGACAAAACTTTTCTAAACTTTCTTTCTTATTCCTTAAATACATGGCATCTGTTCCAGGAAAATTCCCACCTTTGGAAACCATGGACCCTTCATGTTTCTTCATAAAAATAAGCCTTTTAAACTGTTTAAATATTTTTAAAATTTTGTTTTAGATTATCAGGCAGTAAACTTGACATTTTTTGGTATACACTTCTATACATTTTAACACATGTATAGATTCACGTAATCATCACCACAATCAAGATCCAGAACAGTTCAACCATCCCAAAAATCTTCCTCGTGCTGTCTCTTTATAGACACGCCCTGCCCCCGCCTTCAAACCCCTAGCATTCATTGATCCGTTTGTCAGGACTTTATTTTTTTGTCTTTTCAAAAATCTTGTAAATAAAACCATGCATACAACACTGGAAAAGGTATGTAACATGCTGTGGCTGAGGAATTTAAGATTTTTTCAAGGGCCAGGCGCAGTGGCTCACGCCTGTAATCCCAGCACTTTGGGAGGCCGAGGCGGGCGGATCACGAGGTCAGGAGATCGAGACCATCCCGGCTAAAACGGTGAAACCCCGTCTCTACTAAAAATACAAAAAATTAGCCGGGCGTAGTGGCGGACGCCTGTGGTCCCAGCTGCTTGGGAGGCTGAGGCAGGAGAATGGCGTGAACCCGGGAGGCAGAGCTCGCAGTGAGCCGAGATCCCGCCACTGCACTCCAGCCTGGGTGACAGAGCGAGACTCCGTCTCAAAAAAAAAAAAAAAAAAAAAAAAAGGATTTTTTCAAAACTAACATGACAAAAACTTACTGTGAGTTCCCCAGAACTGAATATAATCTATTTAATCTTGATACTGACAAAAATCATTAAGATTAAGGATCAGCGGGAAAATTTGGAAACATGTACAATATATTTGAACTCTACTACTATTGTACTCAATTAAATACTTAAAATTTTTGAAATATGTCTTGGGTTTTCATGGAAATGTAATGAGAAAGAGGGAGATCAGAAAGGGGTAGATGGAGTTGGAAAGAAATGCTGGGGCCAGATCAGTGGTACCTTGCACGTCACATTAAGAAGCCTGTGTTTCAATGCATGCCCAGTAGTAAGTCACCAAAGGGTGTGAAGGAGGGGAATGACAAGATTCCATTTACATTTTTAAAAGACTATCCAGTAGTTATGTAGAAATTAAGTCAAAGAAGTGATAAAAGTGGACATGGGAAGACGAGTCAGAAGCAGTGGGTGTAGTCAAGTCTGAGATGGCAGAAGCTTGGACAATGATATCACTTTTTATTGTAATGAGTAGTTAAAAATTAATGAACAGCAAAGACTTCTCAATGCAAGTGCTATGTGTGTGGGATACTTAGGACAAGCAGAAGTTCCTCAGGCAAAGGAAATATTTAAGGTTCCCGAAATGTCCCCGCAAAGCACCATTACTGTGTATTTGAAAGAGGTCTACAGAGTAACCAAACTGTCTTAAAGAACATTTTACCTTTCCACAGATTTTCCACATATGGTATCCCATTTGTCTCTGAGTTCACTCAGCATGTCATCCAGTTTCAGGTTGTCATCAGCCAGGGAGGTTTTCTCCTTCAGAGAACGTCCAGTCCTGTTGGTGGTGTCGTAGACAGAATGCTTGGCTCCGAGTGATTTCTGAAACTCCTAAATATTTAACAAGAAAAAAATGCGAATTTCTTCTTGGGACTAATAAACAGGTAAGAGGCATTAACAGAGGCATCCCTAATAAATGGAGATGAATTATAGATGCTTTCTGACTTATAATGACTTGACTTAGGATTTTTTGACTTTACCATGGTACGAAAGCCATAGGGATTCAGTAGAAACCATACTTCAGTCACCTATTCAATAAAGTACCTAAGATATTCAACACTTTATTATAGAAACAGGTTTTGGGTTAGATGATCTTGTCCTATTGTAAGCTAATGTTAGGTGTATTAAATGCATTTTTTATTTACCGTATTTTCAACTTACAGAGGGTTTATGGGGATAAAAACCCATCGTAAGTTGAGGAGCATCTGTATAGTCTTTCTACACAACTCAATCATAAGCTTTTATAGAGCAGGGACATTGTCTTTGTAGGCCTCTCATTATCATCTTACACCTAGTAGATGTTTATAAATATTCAATAGGAAGAGTAGAAAGAATGAGATAACTGTTACTGAATATACAATAGCAGGAATGAGAACAAAGAAAGGTCAACTTAATGGGAAGCTTACAAACTCACAAAATATAATGGAAACATTAATACAGTGATTCTCAATCCTTGTAGCAAATTAAAATTACCCTAGATAGTAAAATGCTATGCAAATGTACACTTTTCTAAAATAATCTCAAGGTTATAATTACCTAAGAAGTTTTTACGGCCTTTAAAAGCTACATACTTTAAAGTGTTTTAATATGACTAAATTATTTAATTTGTCATGGGTAATAGGCAACTACATCTGGAAATTTCTAAGTAATAGACAACACAATTACAATCACATTATTTCTACAGTTATCCATAAATTTTTTTTCATATTATGCTAAACAGAATGCCAGTGTTATAGAATCATGGTATTGACAGAGATTTTCTTCACAAAGCAGATATACAAAAAATGTTATGGTTGAATACAGGTCACTGTTGCCAAATAGAGACTTTAAAAAGGTAGATATTCTTATTTATAGGACTCTCTAACTTTAATATGTAATATACTTTCATAAGACTACACGATACAACATCCACATTCAAGTTCAAATAAAGCATTCTGTTTTGAGAAGGAAGCTCTCATTTCGCCATCAGAGGGGAAGGAAGGAAGGTGCTGTTCACTGTCACTGTGCTCCCAATATTGAATGTGGCAGCTCACAGGCAAAGGGTGCCAGCAGAGCAAGCCATTCATTAGCCCTCATCTGGCCAGGGAACAGATGCTCAATATGTTTCCTCCCATCCCTCTAATCATGACCTCCTAAGGTTAGACCCACTGATGGAAGCAGCCAACCTATGTGAAGATGATGGCCAGGATTTCCTCCTGATGATGACAAATTTTATATCACCCCAATTTTTCCAGCCTTTAAAAATTATGTTTCAAGCGATAATTTATATGTACGTGCCTAAAATTGTAAAACCCTTTGCAAGAATCACTCTCCTTTTACCCACATCCTCATCCTGATGGCTGGTGGGGTCAACTTTATAAATAGAATTACATAAAAATCCAAATTCAAAAGAGCTGGGGAGGGTGGGAGGGAATGCTCTTTGAATGTCATGTGGAAGATATAAAATATGATAGGCATAGAAAAGGTAGAAAATATTTAAAAAACAATGTTTCTACATGCTTTTCTAGTCTATATAAACATGTCTTTGGGTACCTTTGAGGTTGGGTGGAATTTTATACGTGCACAAACACAATAAAATATTAATTTACAATTTAGGTACAAGCATCCAATTTTTCTCACTCTATTGTTTAAAAGAATCCATACCGCAAAATATCTATTACTTTTTACTACAGAATTACCTTCAAGGTGCTATTTTGTCTGTCAAAGAAAGTACAGGAAAAGACAGCTATCATGAAAAACTGAAATGCCAATGTTTAAAACCACTACAAATCCTTTATATGTTTTAGATTGTAGAGGATTTCCATTTTTATTTTGTATGTTTTTCTTTTTAACAATTAACCTGGGAATCATTAGTGAAATGGTCACTGAAGAGTGAAGATATTGCAACATAAGCAACATGAAGAGCAATAGCTTTTAAATTTAATACAGGTTCACACTGGACCTACATTTTTTCTTTAGTGATGAATAAACACGTGATGAAGTAAGGATTTTAAAGTGATCTTGAACTATATAATGAGACAATATGCTCTTCTTAATTATGGACCCACCTTATGTTGTGCAAGTTGTGTTTTTATTTTGTCTGGATCATTTGCGATTTCCAGTTCAGAATCCAAAGACTTTTCTGACTCTTCTAGCCACTCCATAAGTTTACTCCAAGCTTCATGGAACTAGAAAGAAATTCACACCTTTGTCTGAAAATTTTTCAAGCATATTATACTTGAGATCTAGCACAGTTTTAAGACAGAGATTAATAGTGATGAAAATCCTGAAAATTATTATTTCAAAATTTCCACTGAAGAAGAAAAAAGTAATGCTTTCATCAGCAAATTACAAAAAAAGTCTTGATAATGCTTAGCATTTGTGGCTGTGCCCCACTGTCACTTTGTTTTAATTCATTCAACATATCAGCTCTAAAAGAGCCTAGAAAAAAGTTAGGAAGCTACAGAAAGAACTTCTTCCTTATACTTTCTTCTTGTTCAATAATTAACATAAACTCTCAGAAAATGTTTTGTATTTTTGTTGTTGCTGTTGTTTACTGCTGTCTGTTGACAGATCTGGGTTTACTTCTAGGGAATTTAATCCCTATGTTAAGAAAGAGGAACAAAAATGGGGAGGGGTAAGTATAAAGCTTGTAAATTGATTTTTTAAAGTAGCAAAAACAAAAAAGAGGCCATTGCATTCCTATTTAATGCAAAGATAGTTCAACATCTTTATTGCTGCTATCAATATCCTCAAATCAATGCCTGTGCCTCACATATTGGTTTTATATGACTGAGCAGCCACAATATTTGGGTTCTAACACAATGTTATTCTCTTTGGCATCTATAACCTTGCAAACATTCTGGTACTATATATATTTGATTTTGAGCACAGTTTCTTTTCGGTTTGTCATCAAGAACCAGCAGGTACTATTTTCTGATACAATTGTGAAATTGGTTATAAATTATTTGTCACAATAAGCTTAAGTGAACAGATACCTAACAAAAAATTTAGTAATCAAAATTAAATCTATTGTATACCAAAGCACATGAATAATGAAATAACAACAAGATATTTAACAATAAGAGCAGAGTAAGGACACAGACTCACAAAACTGTAAGGGCTCTCTGGAGATCATCTCATTACAAACCTTCATATCCCTCTCACAACTTTAATCAATTAAAACATGGAAAAATGGAAACTAGAATAGACACATGAATTGTGAAAGTCAGAGAAGTATGATCAATATCTGAGCCAAAAACTGAGATATTAGAAGAAGAAGAAATAAATAGTAGAAACAGCTAGTCAAGGTGTTAGGTAGTTTGACTCCAAATAATACAGGCTATAACAGTTGGATGGTAAGGTCAATGATACAAACGCACAAGTTCTGAGGCTGGTTCTGCTTTCAAAACTATTTTTAAGCCATATAAATAGAGGAAATGCTATACATTTGCACTAAAAACAGTAGCAAATATTTATAAAGTTAATTAGACAAAATGAGAAAATAAAATTGATTAAATCGAGAAAGGAGGAAAAAGATGAGCAACTGGCTACTGATATCCAAGAAACATTTATAAACTGATGTTCATAACTCAAGAAATGCCGGCACTACACATGTTATTGCACCACATAATGTGGAGAGAAAACTGTCAGGCTGAGAATTAATACTGTCTTAAAGAAACATTAGAGATGGAGTATATCCCAGTGACTCATTTGTAACACTGAACATTTCACACCTCCCATTCAAAATGGGGTCTATGGTGTGTAATGCTATAACAATGCAATTTGTCATTTCTCAAGCCTTCAAACATTTGTACTGTTAGCATTAAACATTGAAACACCTGACTCCCGTGACATCTTTTTGCATCACCCAACTGAGCTTAACTCCTCAAAACAATGGGGTACAACACTAAGGCTAGAAAATTGCAGCTGACTGAGGCAAAAAGTAATTGTAAAATCCTCCTACAATATTACACTAAATTTCTAGTAAAAATCAAATGTTTAAAAATATATATATTTGTCAAGCGAGGTAGGTACACCTCTCTCTTCCATGGAGTACAAAGACACACAGAGATGCATAACTTTACCTCTTTGTGTTTAGTCTAGAATGGAATGTTAACAACAGGTAAAGGGAGTAAGGAGAGGAGAGTTCTCTGTGAAATTTGTGAAAATCTCTAGATTAAAATTTTAAAGTGGCCCCAAAAGATTCAAAAAAATTAATTTCAAAGTGAGATGGAGCTCTATTATCTGCTCAAAATATTAGAGAAGAAATGAAGGTCTGTCAACAAGTGTTCAAAGAGGTGGGGAGTGCCGACCAACTCAGACAGAGAATATGCCCCTTCAGAAAGCTGTCGGGAGGGCTACATGTCTGGCTCTCAGCACTGATAGCTTGTGAAGAAAGTCTGGCTTAGGAACTAAACAAAAGGTAGCAATACAATGAAGTATGATGTCTCACTCTGATTATGAGAACAGAGGTCAAAAGGACAAAGAAAAAGAAAACAAACCCAATAAAAAAAAATTCTGAGCTTCTTTCTGGGCCTCAATGATAATAGCCTGTCTATGAAGTCAAGCTATAATCAGTCTTCTTAAGATTAGTCCCCAGGGGCTGAAATTGCTGCCAGGTCAAAAAGTGATGTCAGCATCCAAACTGAGGCCACAGCCCTTTTAGGAAAGAACCACCATGGCACCATGCCATGATTGTTATGCCTAATACAGCCTGTGATAAAAGTACATCCATAACATATATTTCAACAGCAAGAAGTGGTTTATTGACAAGTTCAGAGAATTTTTCTAAAGGGTTATTACCTGCTTGGCTCTCTTCCTTGCATCATCCAAAGATCTTCCTCTCTCTACCAACCGTTGAACCACTTTTTCCCATCGACTTTGTACACTGATAAGTAGATTCTTGATTAGAACAACATCTTGTTTCTGACTAAAATATTTTAGGTGGGTTCCAGTTTTGTCCAGCTCTATTATCTGCTCACGATGAGAATTTACTTCATTGGCAAAAACCTTTCCCAGAAAAAAAGGAAATAAGTAGAAACAAATGAAAATCAGATCAATCTTAAAAATGCTTCTGGTGTCATAAACCTGAAATTATTTTAAAGGACAAACGAAAGCTTTCGAAATACCAAATGCATGCTTTTGACTTTAAAAAGGCCTGCTGTCAGCCGGGTGCAGTGGCTCACGCCTGTGATCAGCACTTTTGGAGGCTGAGGTGGGTGGATCACTTGAGGTCAGGAGTTCAAGACTAGCCTGGCAAACATGCTGAAACCCCATCTCTACTAAAAATACAAAAATTAGCCAGGCATGCTGGTGGGCACCTATAATCCTAGCTACCTGTGGGGAGGCTGAGGCACAAGAATCGCTTGAACCGGGAGGCAGAGGTTGAAGTAAGCCAAGATCACACCACCACAGTCCTGGACGACAGAGGAGTGAGACTCAGTCTCAAAAAAAAAAAAAAAAGCCTGGTGTCTGAAAAGAGAATCCTATCTATTTGACTCACTACATACCTTGTGTTCGTCAATTTGAAATAAGACTGTGTCCAAGATGAGACTTGGCCGAGAAGCTACATTTAGGGTCTGTTCAGCCTGAGTAAGCCAGTTGATGAAGTCTTGGAGAGAATTGTGGAACTCCATTGCCAAGTTGAGAGCCTCTTCCAGTTTAGTCTGCAAGGACAGATTGTTTAGTATGTGATGTTTAAGGGCCTTGGTTATTTTGTTTGTTTCAGTTTAAATATTCTCTGGCAGATTCCTTTCCTATCCCCACTTTATTTATGCATATCTATTAATATATTAACTAAATATCTTATAAATGTAATGGGCCTCACTAAAATACTGGCAAACCAAAACCCTTTAAGCCTAGTAAGCAGCATCTCACTGTAACTAAAAAAAAATTAATATACGCTAAAGCATGTTTTTTGGAAATTAACCAAAGAACACAATTACTAAATATAATCTGTAAAAAGAAAAGTTGACATTCATACAATTAATTTGGGGACTCAAAATATTATGAAATACATACTTTATGCTCCATCAGTGATGGCATATAATCTTGTATTTCTTGCCTATTGTTTTTTTCATGCAATATTGAGATTTCTTAGATTGTCAGTTTTGCGGTTTTAAAAAAGTAACAAAGACATATTCATAATTTAATATACATTTTAATCCATTCTCATGAATTTTTAAATGTAAGTACTTAAAAGAATATACACAATCATCTCACTCTCTTGCTTTCCCTCTCTCCCTCACCCATATATATAGTCTTTTGTTTAATTAGATTAAAATAGAATTAATTATTTAATGACCCAGAATTTGAGTAGTTCTTAACATTTAAAAATATAACTAAGTAACATTTGATCTATATATTTATCTATTTTTGAATATATCCCACCCCTTTAAATATGTTCTCATGTTAAAACAGAATATTATTTTCAACTACCCCATGAAATCTCCAAATATATACAAAAAATGTTTAAACATAAATCATTGAAAGTTCTACTCCTGATAGCTCTACTCAGAAATAAGGCCAAGTCCAAGACATGAAACAACTAAAACACTGATTCTATTATATTAATCAAAGCACATACTTTCCTTTCATTGAGTTTGGTTTCCACCGATTCCCATTTTTCTTTCAAGTTATTTATGTCTTGGTCAATATTTGTCTCTGCAGATTTTGGGCATCTTGCAAGCATCTGCTGGCCTTTCTGCATCAGACTCTTATATGTTTCTTCTTTAGCTTCAAAGGCAGCACAGACTTCCTAAATTGAGATACCCTCAAGTTATATCACTTTAAGAAAGTAAAATTTAAGAGTTCTATTTTTCTAGGTCATCAGTCCCAAGCTCCTCATCATATATTCATCTCTGTTTGCTCTCTCAGGGCAACCTTGACGCATTTATACTTTTCACTACATTGAAACAACAATTAAACCTACAGTCATACCCTGTCTACTGGGAAATCTAAAAAATGGTGTTATCATTATCAGCCCATTCTGGCATGCTAAGATTTGAAGCAACAGTTTAAATGCTGTCAAGAAAGCTTTCACTGTACAGTAACTAATTAGTTCTGTGAGTTTGGGCAAGTAATTTCATCTCTCTGAGCCTCAATTCCTTCCTCTGTAAAATGAGAGGCTCTCGTAGATCCCTCCTTGTACTATGATACAATGAATGTAGTATTTCATTGGTACGATTTAATTCTGCACTCAGAAAACATGCAATGGATAGAAAGTAAATAACCAGCACAGTAATATATTTAAGTTGATTATTCAGAATTATAAGAATCAAACTTGTGGTACTATGAATATTATTCTCATTTAGAACATTTCTAAAGCTTCTAACTAGAATGTTGTATGTATCTTCTATACAGGACATAAAATATTGCTTAAACAAATTCAAAGTTTAAGACCAACAAAACAACAGTTACTTCTCATTTAAAAAATTAAGACTAGTTCTATTTTATTTATTCAACTATAATGTGGGTTAAATCATAGTTCTCACTGAAAGATTATATATTTTATGTCTCACATTTTCAACTTTATACGTTTTAAAACTTGCAATATAACTCATATAATATAAAATACACTATTATAAGTATACAATTCAGTGTTTTTAAAATTATATTCACAAGGTTTTGTAATCACCACTAACTCCAGAACATTTTCATCACCTCAAAAATTTATTTCTTAAGCTTTAAAAAAAGCCCTATATAAATATATTTACAATATCATCTACTAAAAGCTTTAAATCCTAAAGCAAAACTTTCAGATATAGCTAAAAACTCAGGAAACTAATATTGTAAGTTTTGTACTTTTCTTCATTTCTAGCACAACAAAATCAAAAGAACTTTATTGAAATGATATTACAAATATCAACAACTCTTTAGAATGCTTTAAATCACAAATTTAAACTTATTTAAACAGATTTCTATGATTTATTATATAGGGTTACAAAAGATTCATTTTAAATACCCCGCCCAAACTCAGTTCGCTGAAATGGAATATTTTCTAAAAGTAAAGTATTCTTAAAGGTAGGTTCTTTGCTTTCAAGTTCTTATATTCTTCTAAGTTAACATTTTAAAAATATTTATATTATTAGAAAATAATCCCAAGCATCTATCTGTTCATGAGTTCATTAAACTTATAATTAATGGACACTGTCAAAGCTGTGCAAGTACTTTCCAGGAAAGTAAGGAGCTATCTGGAAGTTTCTCAGGTTTTTTTTCAAAAAGGAAGATAAGCACTTACAAGTTTAGTCTATTACTTTTCCAGTGAAACAAATAGGTCTCCTGTGGCACTAAAAACCAATAACGACAACAACAAAAACCACATACATAACTTTCTAAAACAATAAGTATACCATAAAGATTTCTAGAAAATTCTACACCGAATTAGTAGGACTTACTTAAACTACTGATGGTGATTGTGAAATAAATATGATGCTACCTACTGTCATAATCTGTTTTATTTCTTTACAACATCTACATGATGGTTACGCCCTCCTCAAATCACTAAATTCAAAATTATTTCCAAATAAGAGCAGTTTTATTAAGATCTTACAACAACATTATATCTCTATTAAAGAGTGTAGATATTGATGTACACTGATCTATTTCTTTTGCCAAATTTCTAAGTACTTCTACTTTTATCTCCCAAGATAATAATCATCAGTATTTGAATATTTTAAAAAATTTCTGATGTAAATTCACAAAAGTAAAAAATTAGGGGACTCTTTCAAAATCTGAAACACTGTTTCCTCTCAGAACTTCTAGTGCTGAATTACAATGGAATATGAATTTAAAATGTCAATAAATCCAAAGTAGCCTAAATTTAATTTCACAGTCCCCATTTCTATGAAAGAAAGCCCACATTTCAAGTCTCATCATTTTTTCCTCATCTTTCTTAGGAGCCAACTGTGTCACATGATCTAGGTAGGAACAGCGCACAGGTACAACACTCCAGACTGGACAGTTAAACAGAAGCCTCCTCTTTGTGTCTGTATTTGGTGTAAGTATGAAGTTGAAGATAAAGCTCTATCACCATTAAAACAAACAAGGAAGTTTTTTTTTTTTAACGGAACAAGAGTATATTTTCTAACCTTCCATGAAACCAAATGAGACAATCATGCTTATAACAATAATTTTAAGTCATTCTGATTATTTTGGAGGTTTTTCTTTACACTTCAAGGCACAATAATTTAATAATTTACACTGTGTTATATTACCACCACCCATACAGGCTTATTTTGTGGGGGAAGGTTTGTGTCTAAAAAGTGTCTAGAATTCTAAAACATACTGACACACTAACCTTTGTGGCACTGTTCACAATAGCAAAGACTTGGAACCAACCCAAATGTCCAACAATGATAGACTGGATTAAGAAAATGTGGCACATATACACCATGGAATACTATGCAGCCATAAAAAATGATGAGTTCATGTCCTTTGTAGGGACATGGATGAAATTGGAAATCATCATTCTCAGTAAACTATCGCAAGAACAAAAACCCAAACACTGCATATTCTCACTCATAGGTGGGAACTGAACAATGAGAACACATGGACACAGGAAGGGGAACATCACACTCTGGGGACTGTTGTGGGGTCAGGGGAGGGGGGACAGATAGCATTAGGAGATACACCTAATGCTAAATGACGAGTTAATGGGTGCAGGACACCAGCATGGCACATGTATACATATGTAACTAACCTGCACATTGTGCACATGTACCCTAAAACTTAAAGTATAATAATAATAAAATTAAAAAAAGAAAGAAATAAAGAATGGGTTCTGACTTTAAAATTTTAATCAATAAATGGTGTGTTTCTAACATGTATACACAGTGATTTCTGCCATAAACTATATCTTTAAAGCCTTCTCCCACGATTTATGTATCGCCAGGGCCCATATAACATGGTCAGTTTGTTATTCTGAGGCTAAAGCTGTAGGAAATACTTTGCTTACCATATGGACATTAAGCTGCTCCTTGGCTGTTTCCGGTAAACCTCCCAGCGGTTTAGATGCCAACAGATGACGCTCCGTGTCAGTCAGCCACTGCTGCAAATCCTCAATTTCGCCATGGAACCCTTTGGCCTGAAGTAATAGGCAGTTTTAAGTTGGGGCCATAAACACTGTCAGTTTCAAGCAGGAAATAAGCTTCAAACAATCCCAGCCTGCTAAGCCTCTCTATGCATTCTTAAGAACAGCCAGGTACCATTAGATTTGCCTTTCTTCATCAGGAGAGCTCTAGTAGATAAGAGTATTATGCTAAGAACTAGAAAGCTGTGTTCTCTTCTGCTGTTCTGTTCTTTATTTCACTTATTTTTACTCCTCTCCTTAAGGTATAAAAATTAAACAGGAGTCTGTGAACTAATAAAAGAATTCCATGCTATTTTGGTCTTGAATGCTATAAAAACTTTCAGAATTTATTCTCTTACTCACCTGGCGCAAGGCACCATCCAGCTGCTGCTTCCTTTGTTCTGTTTTTTCCAAAACATTTTGCCAGCGTTGATTTAAAACCTCTAGCTTGTTCTGAAGGTTGCTTGCTTCTTCTCCTGCACTTGATTCAATTAGATCATTTCCTGCTTTATTAACGGCTTCCACTGTGGACTGATGGGCTAATACATCATTTTGGAGCACCTGAAAATATAAAGATAACACCATGTTTGCTAGTTTGTAACATGTTAATATCATCTTTAATGCAATTGTTTTCCTTTCTGGTTATGAAACATCCTCAAACAAAAACGTTATATGTGTAGAATTTTAATTTTTTTTAAAGAGATGGGGTCTTACTCTGTGGCCCAGGCTGCAGTGTAGTGGTTCTATTAGAGCTCACTGCAACCTCAACACCTGGGCTCAAGCAATCGTCCCATTTCAGCCTCTCAAATAGCTGGGACTACAGGCACACACTGCCATGGTTGGCTAATTTTGTTTTATTTTTTATACAGATGTAGTCTCACTATGTTGCCCAGGCTGGCTAATATTAAGTTTTTAAATGATGAACTTCTTTTCCCCTAAATTTGCAACCTTCCTGGATGTACCTTTACTCTATCAATGTCCCCTGAAATGACTGTGTGAGAACAGTTTGCTAGTTATTCCCACTGGAATGACCTTGCAATTGATGACACTAAATATCTAGAGATTATAATTAAAAGGTTCTAAAATTTCTCACTTGGTTCAAGCCAATTTTAGTTTAATTCTCATGTCAAGTAACCAAAATATATATTTTACTCCTATATATTCATTTTCAAATATAAAATTATCATGTCTAAGGCATACAGTACCATATTTTACAATCAGCATTCTGAAAGAGAAAAAAAATTCCAGAATATTCCTTTATCTTCTCTCATACGAGGGGTCCTGGAATTGACTGCTAAGTTGAAATATTGGAAGGCCCTAAAACTAACACTCTATGTCAGAGATACTTAAACCCAGTATTCCAAAATTCAGTTGTTCTTCAAGTAGAAAACATATATAATAAAAAGCTTACTACAGAACCCAGCAAATAATGCCTTCCTTTTATACAGTGGAAATATATGAATAGGTTAATAACGCTTAAATGCACTAAAATGGGGTAAGTGCAGAAAGCAACCCTAAGGTTTAAAAATATCAATTTCTTTTACTGAATGAGTATAGCCTTAGTAATATTAATAGTTTCCTTTCAAGGAGGCTATGCTTACATTTTTGGAAAGCAGAAGAAACCTCCCTCTAATGTTGGTAAAAGTTGATCCTACTCTTTACTCATTGACTCAGTGTTGGCAATAGTAAAGAAAAAGAACATTATCTCCCATCCTATGTAACACATCACACATCTGGAAAGAAATTCAGACCAGGGTGGATTTTCAGTGAAGATCAGTAACCCTCTGACATCACTGTTTCTCTGACTGTTTTCACTCATATTCTGAGGCATCTGGTTAGGGAGTGTTTTTAAAAGCCAACAAAACCAACTGAGTAAGAAGTTATCTTTATAGAAAGCACTCACTTTGGTATGTTAAGAGTAGGATCACTCTCAGAATCAAAAAGTTAAATGTTTTCATGGCCAAAATATAAAAGAGAGTTCTATAAAATTCATTCTTCTGAATGGTCTGAGTCCTGCTACAAAGTCAGAGCTTAGGAGTAGGAGAAGAAAGCAGGAAAGGAACGGAAACATTCGCCCCTTCCTCCAGCAATTCTGCTGGGAATTTTATGTCCTCTAATTTTGATCTTTGAGGAATGGAAAGAAAAGAGAGAAGAGAAAAGGGGCCATTTCAAAGTACTTAAAATTAGACAAACAGAAGTAAGAGGTCTTTACCTATCCCCCACCAAAATAACTGGATCAGGGTGCCTCATTTTTCCACCTCTACCATATTATACAAAGTTCCTATCCTGATGTATGTTACCTTTAAGACAGTTGATAGGTTTATAAAAATGTAAATGCAGCTATAAACTCACACCATGAGAATAAACATATTTTGTTGCTAGGCAGTTGGTCTCACCAGTCATTAGGGCTTTAAGCAAATGTATAATGTAGACATTAAATAATGAAACAAGCTTCTATGTCAACATTAAGTGTGCAAAATAAATCCAAATTGTTTAATCAAATGTGGCTGGGCAATGACTATCAATGTAGATAGACAAGGTAATAGAAAAATAAAATTTTAAACTAGGAAACAATTACTGTGGGGAACTATGAAAGAAGAAGAACAAAAGCAAGAATAGTCAAAAACTGTACAGCATACAGTGCTAAAAACCTACCTTTTTAAAAAATGTGAATCAATATGTAAAATAATCAAACATTTCCTATTTGATAGTTAAGGAAAATTTATTTTAGTTTAGGATTTAGGACTCTGAAGATATCACTATTAATGTGAATGTCAAAGTCTATGAAAGATTGTTGAATGCCAGGATAAACTCTACTGTGCATAATCTTTTATCCATTAAGTCTAGTGACTGAAGGGATAGGGAATGATCTATTAAGAAGTGTCACAAAGGTGACAACAATATAAGATTGCTTTGCATATATCTCTTAAGACAAAATTTTTTCAACTTACTAGCTTTAAATCAAGTGCAGGACATATAACAACTTTTTAAAACGTAATAAATACTTTAAAAAATCCAGAAAGGAGTAAGACACAAAAATCCAGTCAAAGACAAGAGTGACATGGAGACAAAGGGATAAGCCCCAACATAAGAAGAGATGTACAGACAGATAAAAATATGTCAGAAATGACAAACAAGCTGCAAATGAAAGAGACATGGAAATATGGATGACCAGAGTGAAAATATACATAAAACCTGCAGTAGGACATTTTCAGCCTATGATTTTTTAGGCTATCCCTAACAACTTTAAAAAATAGGTGACATTATCACAATGACAGGTATAATTAAGGATTTAAATCTTTAGTGTTTGCCATGCAGCTCTAATAAACTTTAGTACAAATTGCTCATCCTTGTTTTGTTTGATAAAAATTGCCTTGAATGAGAAAAATATTTTGACCATAATCTTTTAAGAAAAACATTTTGACTATAATGTTTTAAGTAGTTAACCTTTAGTTATAAATGTCAAATATGAACTTGTGTCAAAATCATAAACTTGAAACACGCATAAAGAAGAAATATATCCAAGAAATCTGATGACACTAGAAATGGACAGAGAAGAAACATAACATGCATTAACAGCTACGTACATGATGCTTGGCAAGTTCAATTTCAATGGCTTTAGGGTCTCCTCCAACAGGTTTCTGCTCACTTAGCAAGCCCTCGGTGTGTGTCAGCCATGCCAGGAGCTCATCCAGGGCATGTTGGAACTGACCCAAGGCTAATAGAGCACCCTCCAGTTTATGCTACAGAAAAAGTGGAAAGAAAATCCATTTATAAATTTGATATTATGAATGACATGTCTATAAAACAAGGACAAAAATAATTGTTTCATGTTGTATAAGTCCATAAACGTATCCAGTGAAGCCTAATCATCATATCCTTCTATGTTTTAAGTTTGACGCTCCTCATGGTTAAAATAGAATATATGAGAAGCAGAAATAATTCTAATTTTATCTTTAATAATTATTTTACATTAATATCTGAAATTGAAAATTTATAATTTCTTAAGAAAAGTCTTGGTATTTACCTGTCTGTTGATGATTCTCTCCTCCAGGCTATCCCATATCAATTTCAGTTCCATTAATGGGTCTTGAACAGTGTGTTTGTCACTCTCTTCTGTTACTTTCTTTAGCAAAAGCTCTGCTTGATGATTCAGTCTTTCCATTTCTATCTGCTGTTGATAGGCCTCAGACTTAAATTGCTATTTTAAAAGAGATATACAAAGAAAATATTGTTAAAAATCACTAACTCCAAACAAAGAAATCTATTGGTTATATCATTATTCTAATTCACACTACTTACTGAGGGGAGGTGACGCAAAGTAAAAATCTCACATGAGGCTTACCAATGGAAGAATTATAGGCAAAAAAAATAAGGAAAATATTTTCTCTTTATTCAATATTTTTGGATGGATAGATGTTTCTATTTATAATTTTGACATTTCATTTCATTTTGTTCTCTACAATAAAAAAATAAATTTCAAGGCTGAACTTATTCCAATATATGCATTTGAAAAATGAGTTTTAAAATTATACAAAAGAAAATGAAACATATGTTGACACATATGAAAGCCAAAAAAGTCTTAAGAAACTCAAATTAGTATTTCCTGCTCTGAAACACACACACATCTTGTATCCCCTGATAATTTTATGTTTTCTGTAGCTGTGCTGTGTTCATTAATATTCCTATGCCTCACCCACTGCTGACACAGAATGCTATTCTCTCTCCTTCTACTTTCTAAGTCACTGACATAGTTAATCATCTTGGCTTTGCCAACCAACAGGTTAGCAAACAGTTGCTTGTAATAGGTAACTGTCCTTTCATAAAATATTTATTTTAATATGTAACAGTACAAAATTCATGGCTAGAAGTCCCTTAACTTTGTTCAAAAATACATGAATAATAATTTGAAAATAATAACAAAGGTATAGTAAGCACTTGGTATGTTCAAGTTACTTTCAACCCACTTATTGGGGAAATAATTTTATCCTTAATGTAAGCTAAAGACATAGGAGTAAAACCAGTTAGTAAGACCAGTAAGACCACTGAGGCCATATGCCCTAAGTGGGTGAACCTGGACCTAAACTCAGATAACCTGATTTCAGAGTGAGCACTTCTAACCAGGCTGCTATATAAAAATCACTGACCTATACGAAAATAACCAAAATAAATTATCCACACCCATAATTGTACATAAAGTATATCATATGTTTGCCACATGAACAAATTAAAGTTAAACAAAATTTCAATTTAGTGGTAAGGATAAAATTCTCAAAAAGAAAATTTGTTTCTAAATGAAATATTCTATGTCACACTTAGATATGAAAATGCTACAATTTTAAAGCCAGATAATATTTTCACATAAAATCTAGCAAAGTTCATTGCAAACAGTGTGATGTCTCTGCATATGGAGAGTTAAAATTGGGAAGGAAATAGCTGATCCCATTTTGATAAATGATTATTGGTATAGAGGAATTCAAAGAGGAAACAGTTCAGCCACTTTCACATCTGCAGATCAAGAATTACAAAAGCAAAAACTACAGAGAACAGCAATGGAAAACAACAAACATTTACAAAACAAACCTTTTGGGAAACATTCTTATATCATGGATGTGTTTTTAACCTGTTGAGACTAAATTAATTACTCAGAACATTCTAAAGAAAATAAAAATGTTGGGTTAATGGGTATAAAAAAATAGAAAGAATGAATAAGACCCTGTATTTGCTAGCACACCAAGGTCACTATAGTCAAAAATAATTTTTGTACAATTAAAAATAACTAAAAGAGTATAATTGGATTATTTGCAACACAAAGGATAAATGCTTGAGGTGATGGGTACCTCCATTTTCCCTGATGTAGTTATTATATATTTCATGCCTGTATCAAAATATGTCATGTAACCCATAGATATATACCCCTACAATGTACCCACGAAAATTAAAAATTAAAATTAAAAATATCAGGAAAAGAAAAATGATGCTGTAGTGTATTGACAACATACTAGTGTAGTGACAACAATATACTACTGAATAAACAAGTTAAACAAGTTATAAAAATCCTTACACTATTATCTAAATACATCTCTCTCTCTACCTATACATACACACACACACACACACACACACACACACACACCCCATGTCCCTAACATGAAGATATCAGAAAGGCTATAAATCAAATCTAAGAAAGGTGATCTCTAGGTATATAACATTTTGGGTGACTTGAAATAATTTGTTTTTCTCCTTTTTATTTGCATTTTCTGATTTTTCTATACGAACAGTTATTAATTGACTATAAAAAGAAAACTATTAATAGTATTTCTTTCCTTTATTTAAAGAACACTTATATATTGCTTAGCATGTGAAAGCACTATGTACATTAAACTAGCTTTATAATTAAGCTGTCATACTTACATTAGGTAAAATAAATTTATGTACAAAATTATGTGAATCAAGGACTTAAAACTGCAAGGGAGTCTTCGATAAATTAGCCCCCACACATACCTTTAGCTCTTCAATCTGCTGCTTGACAGTTTCGAGATCTGTTCCAATTGGAGACATTGAAGCTAATTTACCACCTGCAATATCTACCCAGTCAAATACCGCCTGAAAGACACATTCGCCCACGTGTTGTTACAACAGTACATTTGAAATTGCTACAGTATTTCAAGTACTACAGAAAAATACAATCATAAATCTAAAAGATATTATAGAATTAGACTATTTTATAAAAAATTAACATGGTTCACCTAAATTAGTAAAAGCAGTAATATACCAAAATGGTTGTCCCAAATATGAAATAGATACATACAAGTTTGCAAAAGAAATTGTTTATTCAATAGATTCTTGATATATTATGAACTTCTAAAAAAATCATTTGAAAACATTTATAGAATCCAATCACATGGAATTCTTCATTACATGTGCTTAAAAGGCAGCTTGTATAAATATACTGAAAGGAAAAGATTCAAATCTATTTGTTCATTCAAATAAGCAAGAAATTACTGTTTAGAACTTAGGCAAAATATTTGACTCAAACCCTTACATATTATTTAGATTAGCATTAAGATCCTGCACATATAAATTATTAGCATTAAGACCATTATTCTGAATTATAACAGGTTTCAGACTCTCCTGCATTTCTTATTTATTTAGGTAATAAAAATAGTCTAAAAAGGCTCAAGTCACATTTTTTTTAGGTACTGAATACAAAATAAAATCATTTTGCCATTACTCTGTCACCCAAGCTGGAGTGCAGTGGCACAATCAAATAGCTCACTGTAACCTCAAACTCCTGGGCTCAAGCAATCCTCCTACCTCAGCCTTCCAAGTAGCTCAGACTATAGGCACATGCCACCATGGCTGGCTAATAAAAAAAGAAAAAAAAATTGTAGATGGGGTACTTCAGCTCTTGTTTTGACAGGATCTTGCTATGTTTCCCAGGCTGATCTTGAACTCCTGGCCTCAAGTGATCCTCCCACCTCAGCCTCCCAAAGCACTGGGATATTTTGCACTTTAATGAAGTTTACAAACCATATAGTAGGGCGATAAATCTTGGATTTTTAAGTTATCATTAGCCAACCCTGACTAAGTACTTAAGCAGCAACCTGGGAAATAAAACGTATTTTACTTTACAATCAAATCTTGAAAATTAGCATCCAGAGCTTTGACATCTAGCTACAGCTAGCTGTACTGTAGCTACTTAATAAATCAATCTGCCCTTTGCTAGCACAGGTGATGCTACTAATACATGATCAACAGGACTTATGACAGGCCTTACTTTTCTGGTAGTGATAAAGAGACTATACAAGCCATGGTGGCTTGCGTGTGACCTCCTAAATGGCTGCATGTGGTGGCATTGCCACCTCTAGCCATGGAAGAGATTACAACTCAATGATTTAACAATGACCTAGCCTCACAGACTGGAGCCCGAATTAGTTACTTGTCATTGATACCTAATAGAGTAAATTATCACTTAGGTTACAAAAGAAAAAAAAAAAAAGAAGAGGGAGGGAGAATATAATAAAGTGTTATTTGTAGTAAAATCTTTCATATATTTCCAAAGTTCAAAAAACTTCTCAGCTGGCATAAAGCCTAGCTGTGACATTTATTTTTACAAATATAGAAATGGAATGGCATAATAAAAAAGGAAAAGATGTTCTCATCTGGGCTTTAAAAATAATATTCACTTAGTGTTATGGAAATACTTAAGCTTTTTCCATATGGTAAGAAGGATGAAAGATTAAACTCCTGCCAGTCTGTTAGGAAACGGAGCAAGGTTAAGGGAGGTAGGGAGAGAAATATACCCGAGTTGGCCTCAACTGACAAGATAATTTTTAATATTAAAAAAAAACCTTATAAATGGTTAATGAACTGAATGAAAACCCTTAAGTGAAAAACAACTATTAAAAGAAATTATATACATGGAAAAGAAGAAAACACTTTTTACACACCAGATTATGACCTAATAGAAATCTATTTTTGTACATGGAGAACACTGGCTTCAAATCAAATTTCTTTACTTCTGACTTTAGTTAAACTTGGTGATATTTTTAGATAGTGTTTACTCCTTTCATCTTATTCCACTCAGAACAGAATTCACATTTAGTTCCATTTCACTGTCTGGTGCTGAGCCATTTATAAAAAACACTGTGTGAGAACATTTACTTTCACTTAAAAAAAATCAAAATATTTCTTTTCAAAGTAAATTTCACTGAATGTGTATACAGAAATGTGTTTAGATGTGTATATAAATCTACACATATCTGAAAGGTCAGAAATATCTTCTAAAAGACAAAACATGAAATGAGATACACAGGCAACTGCAGGAATAATTTGCCCACAATTGCATATGCACTGGCAGATCTTGAGGTGGTGCCAATATGTAGACATCAATTAGTACGATTCCTCCTTCCAGCTAAGACCAGCACATACACTGTAATCCCCTTACCTGCAGTCCATCCTGGTACTGAACGGCAGCCTGCATTGCCTCCTCAAGTTTGTCAATCCGGTCTTTCCAAGCTTTATTTAGAGAATCCCATGCTGAATTTAACTACAAGATGTATGTTAGAATTCTTTTAGTGCCATATTTTAAACTTTCAACTACTGTTAACAAAATATTTTAGTTAACTAAAAACTTTTTAAAAGCCATTCTGATAAGTAAGCCAGTTGTACCTCATCTATACTCTTCTTGACAATGGGTTTATCAGGCTCCCCACATGCCGCAATGAGTTCAGAACCTAGGTTAATAACTATATCCAGCTCCTCCTGTAGTCCATCTATTTCTTCCCTTATGGTCTAGAATAAGAAAATGACAGCCTTAGAATTTTAAGCAAAACCACATCAAAACTTTAAAAAGTACACAACAATATCAATGGTAGTTATTTCTAGAAGGTGGCATTCTAATCATTTTTCTGTTTTCTAAGTTTCTGCAATAAATTTTTTCAACAAGAAATATTTTAAAAGAAAAACAGCACCCTTTTAGTAACAAATGTCAAATGTTTATTATAAAGATATTTAAGAAATGATAAATAAGAAATACCTTAACAAATACCAAAACAAATTTTTAAAAATATCAACAATACTGTAAGGCTTAGAAAGACATTTTGGTTTCCAAACCAATATACATTTAACATAGACAAGTAAAATATAAATCCAAAAACAATACAAATTAATATATTTGTTAGTAGATTTAGAATAATCTAGCTTTGGATTTACATTTTATGTCATTACCCTAGGCAGGACCAGGTAGGACCTGTAAGGTACAAAGATACCACAACAGAAAGGCAGTATCCTACTTTTGCTTTCATCTTCTTGGTTAAATACATTCATTCATTCAACAAACACTGAATAACCATAAACCAAGCCCTAAACCAGGCACTGGGGATACAAAGAAAAATAGATATGGCTATTCCCCTCAAGGGGCCCACACTACAGCAGGAAAGACAGAGGCATAAGCAACAGTAAACCATACTATGTGCAGAGTCCTTTGCATGAATAAAGTATTACGGGAACACAGATGCACTAACTCTGCTAAGTATACAAGAAAAGGTTTTACATGGGGGTAATGATCCAACTGAACCCTGAGTGGACTTTGCCAGTAGAGTGGCAGGAAGGACATTCTAGAGTGAGGAAATAAGATGCGCAAAGGCACTGACGCTAGAAAGAGCAAAACAGTTTGTTTTGGGAAACGCCCTTTCTAATCAGTAGCAGGGAGGGAGTTTGGTAAAGGAGCAAGAGAAAAACATAACTTTGGAAACATAGGCATGAGCTAGGCTGGCATGCAAAAAGCTGCATGCCCTGCTCTAGGGAGTTTGGGCTTGATCCAGATGGCAGGGGATGCCTCTGACGGGGTTTAGGCAGCAACACAGTAAGAGCAGATCTAGAGAGAAGACTGGCAGCAAGGTCAGAGGCCTAGCAAGGAAAAGACAGTCTGCACTTTGGATTACTTTGGAAGCCAAAAAGAAAGAGAGAGATAATAAGGCCCTGAAATAAGGCAAAAACAGTGAGGATAAAGAGAAATTTTTTGTTGTTGTTGTTTTGTGTTTTTGTTTGTCTTCTGAGACAGGGGCTCACTCTGTCGCCCAGGTTAGAGTATAGTGGCACGATCTTGGCTGACTGTAACCTCCACCTCCCAGGTTCAAGTGATTCTCATGCTTCACCCTCGAACTAGCTGGTACTACAGGTGTGTACCACCACGCTTAACTAATTTTTGTACTTTTAGTAGAGACAGGGTTTCGTCATGTTGGCCAAGCTGGTCTCAAACTCCTGGCCTCAAGTGATCCGCCCACCTCGGCCTCCCAAAGTTCTGGGAATACAGGCATGAGCCACCACGCAGGCCTGAGAAATTGTTTTAAACATACAATCTCAAAGTGAAATTTGTGGGTATACTCTATCTCCTACTGTATCACTGCACATTCCATTTTCAGAACCAAATATAAATGTTAACAGAGTAACTCCTAACATTTACCCAAGGAATCTGGATTTCATTATGCCACAACTTATTTTTCTAACTTTAAATGAGATTTTCTGCTTACCTCTGCTGCTTCTTGCTGTTGTTTTACTACTGAAGGATCAATTCCAGGATCTTCCAGGTCCCGGATGAAATCTTGAGTATCTTTAATGGTAACTATCAATGACATGTGATCACACCAGAACTTTTCTGCTAGCTCCATCACATCCAGTAGTTTGGCTTCCCTCTCTTCCACCAGTGTGTGTATGTTCTCCCAAATGAAAACCATTTGGTCAAGCTTATCCTGAACAGCTATGAAGCAAAACAATATCCACAAGGCGACTGGTTAGCCCCACGTAACCAACAAAGCAGAATGTTATAGTTCACACAGAAAGTAGTGATCCAATTTGCTAAGTATCTAAAACTGGACCAAGTTTTGAATGACCCCAGTCCAGTGGATATCAGTGGGTCCAAGAGTCTATGCCAAATAACATAATATCTCTGGGTCTGCTATTCTTGCCAAACCAAGGTTCTTCCTGACAAAAGTGAGCTCAGAGTAGAACCAAGTTTATCAAGTTTCAAGTTCATTAAGGCTATCCTTAATCCCAAAGGGAGTGAAATAATCACCTAGGTACACTTTTATGCTCCCCAAATCAAGAGTAAAATTGTCCGTTCAGTCCCAGGAATGTAACAATGTATGGTATGTACTTTGGGCTTGCTTCTAGAGTACTCTCATTGTGAATTTCCACTACGCACATGCTCTCCCTTTTGACCCTCAGCTCGTATCTCAAAGATGGCTGGCTGTGGTAGTGGTTCCCATTTTTGTGGCTATGTGATGCAGGATCCATGCTATGTAAGGTAGCAGAGTCAGTAATGAGGAAAAAACCCCAGATATGGCCTTATTAGCAATATGCTTCAACCTACTGATTTAAAAGGCCTGAATACACATGGTCTTTGAACATATGGTCTTTATACATGGTCTATGTATAATGGCACGCTTTGTATTCAACCAAATAATTTCACAAACACAGGAAGACATTAACAAGGGATTTGCATACACAGCCCTTCAACCCTAAACACATCACATTTGTAGTATCTTTTTTAAGATGCGGCATTTTGTTATCCAATTGGACGGTGAGTAAACCGCATAAACATTTAGAATGCTTTAAAATTTGTTTCCCTATTCCAAAAGTATTACCTTTGGCAGATATGTCTTTATCAGTCCCCCCAGATCTAGCAATCATTTCCTCTCCCCTCTGTTTAAGAGTTTCATACAACGGCTGTAGCTTTTCCATGTCTACTGACACATTCTTATTTTCACTGATCTGTTCCTTGATCTTCTCAACCTCTGCAGAGATAGAGGGTGGCTGCCTCAGACGTTCCACGATGCGTTCCAGGCTCTCAAGGATCTGATCTATCTTGTCATGGAACTAGGGGCAAAACAAAGAGATCTTTTATGGAAAAAAGATCTGTAATACCAAGTGTGAAATTTAAATGAAAAAACATTTTTTACAATTTAATGTCAGAATTAAGAATAAATCTTAGCCTCTTTATCAACAGACCCATTCAAAAGTTACATCCACCTGGTGTGTGAAGACATGCCTAAAATCATGAAGTATATGCACCTCTGTCACACTACCTATGTACAATAGACTTAGTTTCTTATGAATATTTGAGTGTATCCATTAAGAAATGGTATATATTAATATGTAATTGGACCAGGACGACATGGCAGCAATGTCTCTTTACCTGCTGCTTCATCCTGTTATCATAATTCAAATTAATTTTAAAAATCAAGTTCAATAAGCTGAGTATTTGTCTATTACAATGGATTGTTTACTTCATTTTTAATGAACTATTATGGCATCCTGAAAAGTTATATTATTTAATGTGAAATTCATGGGAAGTTTTGATTAGATTCCAGGGAATCCTTAAGTTATGCATTTCCTGAATTGAAAAATGTTAAAAAAAATTTTAACAAAAAACCTCCCCAATGTTGTAACTTCTGATATAACAGAAGTTACAAGTGTCAGAAGTTTTTATTTACTTCATGGTTAAACACATAATCAGACACATGAGAGAATGTAAAATTTTTATTTGTAAAGGTTCCATAGACAATTAAGCAAAGCTATAAAAACTTGTTCATTCACATCTATGAATGAACTTTGTTCTATACTATCTCAAAGTTAAAGGAATAATCACACAGGATTGTGACACTGGCCCACTCTAATGTGCCATATCTAATAATGAAAACCAAATCTTGAAAATGGAAAATCTTTGGGTATTTCAAAATTCAACTTCTTGAAAAAAGATATTTTCAGAAAAGAAAAAACCATCAATATCCAACTTTATATTCTTTTTCTTTTCATTTAGCCTATCATTCTTTCTTCTCATTGCCTTCTTGAGAGTACTTTATTAATAATTATAACACTTTCCTTTATCTCCCCCAATGGCAAATATTACATTCTACTCAGGATGGACACTGAATTAAATATTCAGACAATGATGACAACTGCACGTTTCTTAAGTCATTGAAAATTATTTGTATTATATCTATAAGCAGGCAGAGAAAGATAAGGAGATAAAGGCTGGATGCAAGCAAACATCACCTCTGAGGGACACAGACATCAATACTCAAGAGTGAATGTGGTGAAATAATTTTAGTTAAAATTTAATCAGGAAATCCAGGAAAATGTCTTTCTGTGCTCTGTTGTCTGCAAGAACCCAATTCTATATCTAGTGTAAACAATTACCTGAGTTGATTGAGAAATGGCTTCATCCAGTGCCACAGCACGCTTTTTGACATCTTCTTTAATTTGACTGTAAAGGGTGTCGGCTGCCACATACTTCTCTTGGATAGAAAAGCCTTCCCCAGGGCTCAATTCCAGTAACTGTGGCCCAGTTTTGTTCATCTT
This sequence comes from Homo sapiens, assembly GCF_000001405.40. Taxonomy (NCBI): domain Eukaryota; kingdom Metazoa; phylum Chordata; class Mammalia; order Primates; family Hominidae; genus Homo; species Homo sapiens. The sequence goes on from NC_000006.12 coordinate 56,511,359, forward strand.
ATCTATATGAGGCTTGTGTTCAGCTATCAACTCACGCAGTTGCTATAACAAACCAAACAGCTTTTCAGTATCTCAGGGTCACACCTCCATATTACAGCTGTCTACACCTGCAATGCATCCAGCTGGCAAGAAACTCCAAACAAACCCCTCCCCATCACAAGGCATTTAACACATGATGGCTCATACAGCTCTTTGCCAGGAAGAGAAGGTCCTGACACAAAGATTAAACAACAGTCTGGTCACACCAAAGACCCTTTAGGGTACAAAGATGCTGGTTCAGTGAAATAATGAATCCCAGTTTATTATGCATCTCATACCAAGAGTAGCACATTTTGACAAGAGCATTAGCCTAGGGTCATATTATATAAAAGTATTCTGAACTCGCTATGTCCCCAACCTACAGACACCAAGTCATATCTGATGGTGTTCCTTTCTGCACACTCATGATATATACAAAAATAGAAGAAAGAAAAAGAGAGAGAGAGAGAGACAAGACGGGGGGAAGGAGGGAGAAGGGAAGGAAGAAAAAAGAATAGAAAGAAGCTCAATATAAGTTAGATGCAATGCTGAGACAAAACCTCAAGATAAGGAATGTTAGGGTGATGTAAGCCCACAAGGCATTGCATTTATATATGCGGACTGATATAAAATGAATGAACATGTATTACATTTTATATTTATGTATGAATCTATTCTATATATATATGATATATAGACACACATATGAATGAATCTATATTCATTATTTTAAAATATTAAAGGCTGCAAGGGCAATCTATCAATACACAGCTATATACTGAGCATTGTTTGTAAGGTATATTTAAGGAAAAACACATGTCATATGAATGTGCATAATTTTGCTAGCTAATCAAGAAATACAATGATATTTATACTAGTGCGTGGGTGTAGAATTCAAGTGGATCCCCATTCCCTTTAATAGAGAAGATGTGTTGGAAGCCTGAATAAAGCTAGAATACATACACCTCATGGATCCCATGGATTTCAATGAGCAGTTTTTCATGGGTCAAAACCAAAGCCACCCCCAGGGGGAAGATCTGCCTTTGCTTGCAGGTTTTTCTGAGGCTGGCCTCTGTGCAGCATTGAGGGGTCTTTCATTTGCACCACATTATTGATTAGGTTCCCTCATCAGCAGCTCTTTGTCCTCACCAGAATGTGTATCTCCAAACTCCAGCCCCTCACAAAAGCTTCTCTGGGGAATCTTACTTTCAGGAAAGATGGTCTAGAGATAAGCTACCAATCTTTTCCTGCAAACTCTAATTTCTATCAGTCACCAGGATGGCCACATACCTAGATTTTTATTGAAAGTGTCTACTAAAATCAATTATGAGCATTATTTTGAGAACCTGTTGAGGAATTACATCATTAACTATCACCAATGTAATAAAATGTTTTTGAAGGTTTTCAAAAGACTGCCTCAAAATAGTTTTAGAAAGGGCTAAATAAAGATGAATTCAATTTTAAAAGAAGGAAGAGTCTAATATAGCATGCTGCACATAAGAATGTGGGAGGGCCATGTTTGCAATCTAGCTCCTGGGCGTCCCAGGCCAAGTTTTTATTTTTATTTGGCATAATTAGGTATCTTCATGCTGCTTTACCGAATGGAGGTGGTGATGGTATATCAGCTATAGATAATCTCATGGAAAAGGAAAACTGAAGATGTTACATACGTTCTCCTGTCAATGTTCTTTCAGGAATGCTTGGAAAACAAGCTTTCACTCAAGAGTTATCAAGAGACTCTCAAATAAAATGCTACATCTCTGCTGATATTTCTGGAGTTCCTTTGGGTCTAGGTAGATCTCACCTGTATAGCATCACTATAAGGCAACTTGGCTTGGCAAGTAGTGAGAGGAGCCTTTTTTTTTTTTTTTAAGACAGAGTTTTGCTCTTGTTGCCCAGGCTGGAGTGCCGTGGCACGATCTTGGCTCACCACAACCTCCGCCTCCCAGGTTCAAGTGATTCTCCTGCCTCAGCATGCCAAGTAGCTGGGATTATAGGTATGCACCACCATGCCCAACTGATTTTGTATTTTTAGTAGAGATGGGGTTTCTCCATGTTGGTCAGGCTGGTCTCGAATTCCTGACCTCAGGTGGTCCACCTGCCTCGGCCTCCCAAACTGCTGGGATTACAGGCGTGAGTCACCACATCTGACTAATTTTGTATTTTTAGTAGAGGCAGGGTTTCTCCATGTTGGTCAGGCTGGTCTCAAACTCCCGACCTCAGGTGATCCACCTGCCTCGGCCTCCCAAAGTGCTGGGATTACAGGCATGAGCCACTGTGCCTGGCCGAGGAGCCTTTTTTAAACCCTTCTTAAACCATTCCATGACAGGCAAGAGAACACCTACCAGCCATCTACTCAGGTATGTGTGTGTATCAGAAAAGGGCCCAAAAGGAGATGCCTTTTGCCTTATATGTGACAAAATGATTCTTGGCACATGCTGTCATAGGAGTCCAGTCATGCTGGAGCTATCTGGTGTGACTTGATATCTATCATGTGGTAACATGGCCCTTGGAGCCATTTTTCATTCCTGGCTAGAATGAACTAGATTTTCCCCCAAAATACATGGAGAAGATGCTGTAGAGCTGGAAAAGAAATGCCATCCTAGGAGGCTACAAATATTCTGCAACAGCAAAGCTTTTAGTTTAAACAATTTGAAGATGTGGCTACAAAGTTTTGTACCTCCCTTTATACAGACAATCACAAATTTGTTTTGAGAGCTTAAAGATTATGCAAAAAGGCAAAAAAACTCAATTTTTAAAATTTCAGCTCAATAATGAGCCTTTCCATACTATTTGATGCTATGCTAAAAATGTGGCTATTCAAATCACCTCAGCATAGAAATCCATGAAACATTTTTCATTTAAAATAATTCAGTAAGTAGATATCAGATTTCTGCCACAAATAAATCTTTATACAAAAATTGAATTCTACATACTTGTCTTTCTCCTGCTGAATCATTTAGATAGAACTCCATAAGATTCCTGTTCTATATTAAATAAAGTTAAAGTGTGGTCTCTAAAACTCTCTTTTAAATAAATACTTCAGTATAGTCTTCAATGCCAATTCATTAAAAAGGTAAACAAACAAGATTAACAAGATGTCACATATTCCAAACAATGATGTAATAAACCCTGAATTGAACTTTTCCCTCCCTTTCTCTCTCTCCCTCTCTCCCTCCTTCTCTCTTGGGCACAGGCGTATACACACACACACACACACACACACACACACACACCCCCTCATGCGCATACACACACACATGCACACCATGATTAGTCTCAGAGTACATTCTGTACAGATCTGGAAGAGCAACTAGGTTCACAAGTCCATAAATAGCAAGAAATCTAGTTTTTTTCTGACAGTCTGGAATGCTCTCTCACATAAACCCTTACAAAATTTTAAGCCATATTAACAATTAAGTGACTGCTGAAAAGAGGGCTTTATGTGCCATTTCATACATGTTTAAAATGTGATGTAACTGTAGTTGTAAATGTGCTCCTCCTACTTTACCCATTTACACTTACAGGAACAAGAACTTCAAAGGAGTTCCATGTACCTAAGGTGAACAAAATAATCTGTCTTTATACTTCATCATTTTTCCTTTTCATAGCTTTCATAATATTGCTATTTTGACACATTCATTATATTACACATTTTCTCCAAACTCAATGGCCTTGTCTGTATAATGGTTCTCCCATATATTTCCACTCTGCATTTACATTCTAAATGTATAAATTTAAAACAATTCAATGTGTGTAAATTGAAAGCACTTCAAAAGCTTAATCCTATAACATTTTTAAATGGGAATTTTTTCTATCTAGATGATTTATACTGCATATTTTATAAAAGTTGTGATGTAATTAATGACATATACAACAAGTATATCCACATGAGTCTTCTCACTATAACCCTGTATAAGAAGCAATTATGAGGTAAGCAAATTACACAGACCAGAACACGGTATTCTAAAATGCCTTAATCATGTAAGTGTTTAACTGTACTAAAAACCACCATAAAAATCATGATTCTCTTTTAATGGGGAATACAATATTCTCTTTCACACCAGGCTTACCCGATGTTCTTCCTGCTGCTGCCTTAGAGTTTCATATTCAAGGGCTGGGGCGGGAAGCTGAGAGATGATTGATTGTGTTTCTGTCAGCCATGGCCAAAGTTCTTCATATGTTTCCCAGAATTGGTTAACCAGGGACTGTGCCCGTTCCAGCTGCAGATACCTTTCTGAATTAATCTGGCAGATGGTATCATAGTTCTTCAGTACCTTGTCCAGTTTTTTCTAGAAAATAAAAGGATGAAATGTTTAACTGGTCAGGCCAACGAGCACACACACTCCAGAGTGCTCTGTCCAGCACAGTACACCTGGACAGAGTGGGCGTTTGACAAATATATGTTAAATGAATACATCAGTAAAAGCTATTCAGATTTTAATGGTTTATACGTACAAAAGTTCACTTTAAATTAAAGTGCCTCAAGTTTTTATGAATAAGACACTGAGATCTCCAAAAACAATACACACAATTCTCCAGTCATTCTTACAATGGCTTCAAGATTAGAAAACAAGTCCCATATGATTCTGGCAACATATATTTTGCAGAAAAAAAATAAAGACCACTTTTTGCAAATGAAATTGTCAAAATTTTTAGTTAACAAAATTTAATTATATATATACACACACACATATATATGTGTATATGTGTATATATATGTGTGTGTGTATATATATATAGAAAGAGAGAGAGGGAGAGAGAGAGAGAGAAAGAGAAAGAGAGAAAGAGAAAGAGAAAGAAAGAGAAAGAGAAAGAGAAGGAGAAAGAGAAAGAGGAATCAAAGCAGAACATTTGCCATTGTGCTATACACGGATTTAATGGGGTAGTCACAGTGATCTAGATTATGGTATAAACTCATAGCAAAAACTAATAGCAGAAGAAGATAAAGCACAATCATAACTCAATAAACCACAGAATAACAAAGAAATTATTTCATAACAATCTGTATTTTTCACATCAGAGTCTTTATAAAAATAATATTCAATTATAAACAAGCAAATTGCCATTGTAGAGTATAAATAAATAAAAGAGTGCATATCATTACATTGTGCATCCTATTATTTTATCTGTGGTCTACCTTAAAAGCAATGCATACTCTTTAAAATATGATTTTAGGCATAGAGATTCCTATTTTTTTTGCCATGCATGGGATATCTTTCCTACCAGAAGCATGAATATGCATCAATTTCTTCAGGCTGCTTAGATGTCTGAATATGAATTGAACATTTTTATTTGTGGCTGGTTTTCTGCCAAATTAAAGGATAATTAAAACTACACAAGCTGAATGCTTCCTTAATTACTCAGATCATATTTTCCCTATATAGCTTACTGTAACTTTATACAAAATGGATTTCAGCATTAGAGAGAGCCACATATTTTGGTTTTTATTAAGAGGCC